>NC_000009.12:109470552-110095552 GCF_000001405.40 Homo sapiens
GCATGTGGTGGCACCTGTCTGTAGTCCTAGGTATTTGGGAGGCTGAGGTGGGAGAATCGCTTGAGCCCAGGAGGTCAAGGCTGCAGGGAGCTATGACCGCACCACTGCTCTGCAGCCTGGGCAACAGAGCGAGACCTCATCCAAAAAAAAAAAAAAATTTACAAACACTTGGGTGGGGATTTATTTATCATTTATTAAGCACTAAGATGAGCTCAAACTAAGAATGTCTGCTCACTGATCAAGATATTAAAAAAATAGTGACTGAAATGAGACTTTCTTTTTAACCAGTGACTTAAAACTAGCGTACACAAGAATCATCTGGGGACTTGTTAAAAATGCAGATTCTTGGTTACCATCCACAGAGATTTTGGTTCAGTAAGGGCCCAGGAAACTGCATTGTAAAACAAAAAATAATTTTCTGGACTTATAGAAAAGTTGCAAGAAAAACAAACTCCTGTGTAACCCTTTTGCCCTGGATTCAATTGTTAACATTTTGGTACATACGCATCTTTTTTTTTTTTTTTGAGATGGAGTCTCACTCTTGCCCAGGCTGGAGTGCAGTGGCGCAATCTCAGCTCACTGCAACCTCCGTCTCCTGGGCTGAAGCAATTCTTGTGCCTCAGCCTCCCGAGTAGCTGGGGCTACAGGCCTGTGCCACCACGCCCAACTAATTTTTGTATTTTTAGTAGAGACAGTGTTTCACCATGTTGGCCTAGGCTGGTCTTGAACTCCTGACCTCAGGTGATTTGCCTGCCTTGGCCTCCCAAAGTGCTGGGATTACAGGCGTGAGCCATCGTGCCCGGCCCACATACACTTTATTTCCCATGTCTCTCATCTGTATACACACACAGACACACCAGGCTTTTCTCTGAACCACTTGCTGCAGAGATCATGCCCCTTTATCTCGAAATATTTTAGCATGTATCTCCCCCTAATAAGGGCATTTCATAACCACAGTACAATTATCACACTGAAGAAATTTAACTGATAAGCACTTATCTAATATCCAGTCCATACTAAAATTTTGCAAATTGTTCCAAAGATGTCCTTTATTTATCTTCCCCGATCCACAATCCAAATCAGGATCATGCCTGGTTTTACTTGTCATATGGAAGGCACTTTTTTTTTTTTTAAAGAGACAGGGTACTCATTATGTTGCCCAGGCTGGCCTCAAACTCCTGGGCTCAAGCAATCCTCCTGCCTCAGGCATCCTAAGAAGCTGGGACTACAAATGTATACCAACGCACCCAGCTTGAAGTTGCATTTTAAATAAATACCCCCTGACCCTCATGGCAATGGTGCAGCTGGTCTGAGAGCCACACGGTGGAAAATCTTCCACCAGACAATCTTCAGAGTTCCTTTTGGTTCTGCCTGTCTATGCTTACAGCCAGGGTCTTTGTTAGGTGGGCATCCTTATGTCAGTTTTACTGTCTACATTACAAGTCACCTCCCAGAGCTAAATAGAGTTTCTGTAGCTTGGCAGCTGTCCCATCACTCGGTCTGGGAGAAGTGCTTCCTAAATCATTGTTGATGAAGTAACAGATTTTCCAGTCTATATGTCAGTGCTGGGATTAGTACTGTTGTCTAAATAGAGAAGAAAGCAACAGGAAAACTGCCATCATTCAAAAAGGACTGTATCACTTGATATTGCATAACCAGATGTCTTGGCTTGTTCACTCAAATGAGTTCACATCATTCACCAACACCAATGCTTAACAATTTGTCCAAATTATAAAAGGCCACACAATGCACACACCCTTCCTCAGAAACCCGTTGAGTCAACCAGCACTTTCTTAAAGCAGCAGCAATGAAACAAGATGCATACATTTTGTGCTATTTATCAGGCTTTGAAAATGTTCTTTTTAAAAATGTTATTTAATATTTTCTGTTTTCACCATCATTTTTATTTTTTTGCGAACGTTCTTAATGAAATTCAGCCCAACTAATTAAAAATTAGTCATTTCAGTTTTCATTTGTGAAATGCCCAAATATCTTAGAAAACACTTTCCTATACATTTCCCTTTATTAGTTTTAAAATAAGTACAGTTGATAACAAAATTACTGTACAACTGGTACCTGGAATTTAATCTTTTTCCTCATAACTCTATAATTTCATAAATTGATCAACACTACCTTCTGCCATTTTTAGCCTGCTTTCTTGGCTTTTAAATTTTCCAAAGTACAATACTACATAACAATACAAAGATAAATACACTAAATACACTAACTTATTTTTAAAATTAGGTTTTAATGTAAACATAATCGTGACTGAATACTTGCTAAACTAGAAAAACAAACGTCCTTATTCAGGGAGGAATACCTCATATGGCTAATTCAACGTTAAAGCCAAGAAACAAATTTATCCTGAACCTATATACTAAAACATTAATTTTTAAATAACATTTTTAAAGCATAAAGTCTGCTAATGAATAACACAGTTGACAATGCCAGTGCTGGTGAACAAAACTTTTTAAAAATTTGGGTATTTATGAATGTGTTAATACCTTTTATGAAAAAATGATTTATGAACATATTTAATACTCGAGTCTTCAGATTTTTCTCTAGCACAAGGGAGACACACTCACACAGGTCACTTTAATAATACAGCACAATACTCCGTCGAATCATCTTGCAGTTGTCAATCCTGATACTCCAAAAGTACAATTTTGGGATCAAATCATTTGTTCTACAGACCCTGTAATTTGTTCGGGGAGTGGCTCTCTGACTGAAGCCCCTGGGAAGCCCGGGTGGAGTCATTTGTAGGACCCGTTGTATTCAAACTGAGATCTGTAATTACTGGCCTTCTTTTCATACGACTTCAAAATGTCAAATAGTTTTCTTATTATGGAGTTGGGGTTTATTTATAGGTTTTATTTATAGGTTCGACACCATGACACTTGCAAAACTAACAAAATAAAAGTTATACTTGATCCTGGCAGGGTAAGAAGTAGTAGTTTTAAGCTCCCTGAAGGGCAAGATAAAGAATGCTGCGGGAGCCGCGGGCAGTTTCGGGAAAGAGGTAATGTTGCTATAAAGAGAAACCAATCTCTTAAGTGCCATGAGCTGGGTTTTCAGTGTTGTGATGAGAAGCTAGTAACTAAAACACAAAGTTTGCCTTGAAGCCGGCAGAAAACTCATGCTAAGTATATTAAATGAAGCCATTCAATTTAAAGAAAAACCTTTTTCTTGAAGTATCACAGAGAGAAAAAGTACAAATGCTAAATATAGTGCTCCCCAGGAGCCCAGCAGGAGCCCCTCATGTCCTCTTCCAGACACTCCCTTCCACAGGTGACCACTCTCTCCTGACTTACAACGCCATCCTCCTGAGTTTTTTAAAAATTAGATTGTGTTAGAAGTTCTTTTTTTTTTTTTTAAAGAGTTTTAGGAAATCTGATTATGATGCAGTGTCAAACAGCACACCCCCAAATTCCACAGGTCTCAACTTTCCCTGGGTTGCTTCTCGGTACCCATGTGGATGTCTTGGGTGGGTTGCAAAGAAATAAGATTTGGTTTTGCCCAGGTAGTCACTGAACAGTGACTGGTAACCTTTCCCCACTGCGCGCCACCTTGGTGAACCCAGACACTTAAGAGCCAGCAAACCTGCCTCCTGGGAGAAAAATAGGGCAAATGCCAGCCCATGGGGGGGTTTTAACCAAGTCATACTGAGGAAAATGACATCAGGACTTACCCCAGACAAGCTGTCCCCACGACAGCCTCCAAGCAACCTGCATCTGACTACGATTTCATGGGCTTGTCAATCTTGTTTACAATTACTTTTAGCCTCCTTGGTTGCTACTTTGGCAAAGGAGTTCCGCATCATTTACTCTCTCGATGTTCATTTACTCTGTGCCGTCTCTGCGCCAGGCCAGGGAGTGGGCAGTATCAAGTTCTAGGGGAGAGGAAGCCCCAGGGTGCTGGAGGAACACAAGGAGGGCTCTGGATCCACCAGGGTGGGGTGGGTGTCAGGACCGGTTCACAGAAATTTCATGGGGAGTCTTGCAGGATAAGGGGTATTGGCCAGGGAGAAGCTGCAGCATTCCAGACACTGCAAAACCCATGTGCAAAGGTTGGGGGGGAAAATGCACGCATGGTATGGGAACTCCACAGAAACTGATTTAGCAGGCGTTCCTGAGGAATAACTGAAATCTTAGCGAAATCTCAGGGCGGATAAGATTAGGTACTTCAAAAATCCAAGGGGCTGTCACACAGAAGAGGAATTAGGATACAATGTAAGGCTGTGGGAAAGTTACCAGCATCAGAATCAGACAGCTGTGGGGGGACCTCAGCTTCATCACTTACTGAGATTAACTTCGGAGAGACTGCTTACCCTCTCTGAGACTCAGTTTCCCTACCTATAAAAGAGGAAGGATTTCCCTAAGGTTGTTTTAATCACTGGAGATAATGTGTATGCAAATTAACTTGCACCTAGCTACTATAATTAGACTGATTTTTTTAGGTCCCAAAGGTTCAATGGGTAGAAGATGAAAGAAACACATTTCTCTTCAACAGACGAAGGAGCTTTTAAACAGTTAAACCTGCACAAATATGGAAGGAAGTGCCCTGTAAGAGAGTGAGCTCCTCATCACTAGAGGTAATCAAGCAGAGAAGCTGGATGAGACCCTTGGTGAGAAGGCCTCAGAGGGCAGACTGACAGTGAAGAGTGGGATAGATGAACTCTGGGCTTTCAGGACTTCTGTTTCAACAATTCCAAGGTTAAGTTTCTGTACATGTAAGCCTCAATGTGGTATTGTTCAAAACTGAATTTCCTTTCATGTATACTTTCTCATCGGAAATAATTCTAAATGAATACCTCATTCTTGGAAAAAACTGAAATGGCCCATCAAACCGTGAAATAGGAGATGAGGGACTATAACAAGCAAAAATATGTAAAGCTCACAAAATAGACAATGGAATATGTTTTACATTTAGCTGTTTCTACCTAAAATTAAGCTACTGATCTCATTTCATTTTCCCTCCGAGTAGTTCCACTAGGCCCCAGACAGACTGGAAATCAGGATGGAATACATTTACTCCACAGGGACATGAATCAAGTTGCATAAACCTTACAAAAATACTCTGCTAATATTTGCTCTCAGGCACAGACACGCCCATTTGGGTGTCAGTCCACGATATTTCTATCTTAGGCTCTGGCCCCCACCCCTTTACAGCCAAAAGCAGCAGAAGCCTTCAGAAAAGAAAACAGCTAAAGTCACTTTGAAAGGTTTGAGATGTGCTAATCACAGTGCATACCAGCCAAGAAGCTGGAATCTCACAACCGGACCATCCTGCCAGCCTCTGTTCCCGCCAAGGAGTCTGAAGCCAGTGGTAGTCCGGCCAGAGAAACCCAATCCTCACCACCAGTGTCCCTCGCCATAATTTTATCTCAAGGAAACAGAGAAAAATACTCTCCACTTACCCCCACGAAGCATCATCTTATTTGTCTCTGATCAGCCAGGTGACTCGCGAAGTCACTAACTCACTTTTCTCTGGCTCGGTTTCCCAGGTTAGAGCCCTCTAAAGCTTTTTCCAGCTTTAAAATCCTCTGCCTGTAAGGTTTTAATCCAGGGGGCCATCTCAGGTTATATTAGGTTCGGTAACCCTGCTGGTTGCCAGTGTGCCCCTAGAAACCATAAAATATTTTTATGCAGCCTATTCAGATTTCCAGGGCTTTGTACCCTGATAAAATGGGGTCAGCAAATTAATGAAACTCTTTAAAAAGACTTCTAAAAGGCATGCCAAAATGCAAATCAGGAGAACAACATTTAGGAACAAATGAATGAAATGTATATGTTTATCAAAATAACAAGTTGTAAACCTTAAAAAAAAAAACAGTAAAAAGTAAACAAAAGGAATGTATAATTGCTACTAAAAAATAAAAGGTAAAGAAAAAAAGGAAATAATATATGTCATTGCTGCTGTTGATGCATTTATCTGTACTGAGGCCTTCCACATGCTGGGAGCTGAGAATACAGAGATAAAGACAACCCTCTCACTGATTTCAAGAGTGGTCCGTGACTGGACCAAGAAGATCTTTGCTTGGGAGTACTCTGGGACAGGAGGGGTCTTGCCAGGCCAGAGTCCACTGGAGGTTTGAAGGAATAGCCAGACCTGGGTTCTAGTCTCTGCTCTGCCACTCCCAAGTGGACATGAACCTGAACAAATTAATGTTTTGTCTTAGTTTCCTCCCCTGTGAATAACTATAGGGAGCAGAGATTTCATTCTTAACGCAGCACAGGGCCTGGCCCGCCACAGCCACTCAACACCAGCTCTGTGAATGCTGCCTATGCATTCTTGCCCTTCCCACCTGCCTTCTTTCTCAGTCCCTGGGCCATTCCCTTTCCTGTTTCTGGGCTTCCTGTGCTACAGGGCTTCAGCGATTTCCAAGTATTTTTACACCCCTCACTCCTGACTGATTGATTTTGACTGGGCCTGGAAGGTAGCACTGCTGTTAACCATTTTACAAGATTGGGAGACTCGACTCAGAACCACGCACAGGTCACACAGGCAGACTTCAAACAAGGTGATGATCCCAAGCTCAGGTGGGGGCATCACACACCACCCACTCTGAGTCCACTGATCCACGTGACTGGGAGGCAGACGAATTACAGGTGATTCACTGGAGGTGGTAAACGGAGCCCCACACTTAGTCACTATTGTCTCTGTAACTTACTAAATAAGGTATGTTCTTACCCTTTTGAGATAATCTTTTATAAACACTCCCCGAGGCTCTCATGTTGGTAAATTTCCTCTTACAAGGGAAATGGCCCAGAAAACCTTCTTGCCCCCTAATTAACTCTGCAACATTAGAAACTTGAGTAATGATCTGGGTATTTATCACCATATTACCTCTGCTCTAAGATGACACACCTGATGTAACAGGTGTTTCAGCAAAGTTATTTTAAAGAAACAGTACATCCAAGGTACCCTGTGACTGTGAAGGTCACGGTGATTTCAGAAGCATTAAAGTGTGGCCAACGCACCTTTCAGAATTGAGGAAATGTAGTAAATGACTTCCTCCCACTTTTGCAAAAGGCCTGGACTGGAGTGTGTCACATGATGTCTAAAGGCCCTTCCAGCCTCACAGGCAGCCGTCCCTGGGTTAATTATTAGCAGCAGCGGGAGGGCAGAAACAGGCCATCTCATTTCCTGAGGCCAGGCTCTGGGTTTGGCCTGGGGCCGCTCCTACCTGATGACCAGCTCTCCTTCCGGACCTCAGTGAGGTGGCCAGCCCTGGCCCCAGTCAGTCTCTCCTCCCACTGCACCTGCCTCCAGGGATCTCGGAACTGCCAGGACTCCTTCCGGCCCATGGGAAGCTGAGCTTCTCAGCAAACTAGAGCTCCATAAGACTCTTGCTCACTCACCTTTCGGGGCACATGCACTGGCTCTGAGCCAAGGATCTCATGAGGACAGTCATGGGGCAGGAGTAACTGATAAACAAGGGGGCGGCAACCTGGGTGTAGCAGGGGCCTGGATCTCTGGAGGATCCAGGACAGCCTCACGGTGTCTGAACCCTGAGCTTCTTTCAACCTGCCAGGAGAGAGGCTCAGGTAGCAAGAAATAACCCTGGGTGGCTGTGAAAAAGGGGGATCTGACCACAGATGGTAGTGAACCTTGGAGGGGAAGGAGAGGGCGGCTCAGACCAGTGGCTACAAAGGGCGTGGACTCTGATGTGCTCAGGTTGAACAAAACAAGCCAACCAACAATTTTGTTTGTGTTTTTTAAAAAGTTGAACTTGTAATGTCTATGCAATCATATATTCCACTCTTTCTCATGATCACTATCCAACATTCGTCCAGGTATTTCAAACACTTCCCTGACCCCTTCTGTTATGACTCTACGATATTCCACCACGTGGGTGTACATAACTGTGGCTGGGTGTTCAGATGACTTCTCACTAGCAGAGCTCAGATGTCAGAAAGAATCCACAGTAAACCCAGAAAAGGAAGAGGAAGCATGTGACCAAGGACAGGCACCAATGCCAAGGAAGTGGGGGTCCCGAAGAGCCCTGAGTTAGGGCAAAAACACCAAAGAAAGGAGGAACGAGATGACAGACAGGGGCTGGGCCACCACCTAGAGGAGGATGGCTAAACATGAGCAAGGTAACTGATGATGATTTGCGCAAAATCGCCAAGTTAACTGTGTTCTGTCTTTTCTACCAGGTAGAACAATCTTTTACAATGGAAAAGATGAAATTAAAGGGGATGGGAAGCCATTCCCTGAGCAACTCCCATGACCCAGGAGAGAGCCCACACTCACCATCTTACTGGACTCTCACATCAAAAGAGGGGACCAGGCTTCGCCCATGAGGTTACCACATGTGTTTCTGAGGTGACCCAGCGGCAGGGCAGAATCCAAACCGGTGGCTCCTGCCAAAGACGTGCTCCTCCCACTACCTCTTCTGGTCTTTTCTTTTTCTTTTCTTTTTTTCTGTTCTTTTAAATCTCCGGTAAACAAGCGTTTTTTTTTTTTTTAATTGTAAAATATATAGGACCTAACGCTTGCCATTTTAGCCATTTTTAAGTGTACAATTCAGTGGCTTTAATTATATTCACAATGTTGTGCAAACATTACCACTATTTCCAGAAATTTTTCATCATCCCAAACAGAAACTCTGTACCCATTAGGCAATAACTCCCCATTCACCCCTCCTCCAACTCCTGGCCACCTCTAATCTACTTTCTGCCTCTACGAATTTGCCTAGTCTAGATACATCAGTGGAACCACATAGTATTTGTCTATTTGAGTCTGGCTTATTTCACTTAGCATGTTTTTAAGGTTCCTCCATATTTTAGCATGTATCAGAACTTTATTTCTTTTTATGACTGAATGATATTCCATTTTGTTTATCAATTCATCTGTCATTGGACATTTGGGTTGTTTCTGCCTTCTGGCTATTGTGAATGGTGTTGCAATGCTTAAATTTTATCATTTCAGCATACAAGTATCTGTCCGAGTCCACTTTCAATTCTTTCAGGTATATACGTAGGAGTAGGATTGCTGGGTCACATGGTAGTTCTATCTATAGCTTTTTAAAATTTTTTTGAGACACAGTCTTCCTCTGTTGCCCAGGCTGGAGTGCAAAGGCACCATCTCAGCTTACTGCAGCCTCCTCCGCCTCCCAGGCTCAATGGATCTTCCCATCTCAGCTTCCCTAGTAGCTGGGACTACAAGTGTGTGCCACCACGCCCAGCTAAGCTTTTGTACTTTTGGTAGACTGGGTTTCGCCCTGTTGCCCAGGCTGGTCTCAAACTCCTGAGCTCAAGCGATACACCCTCCCAAAGTGCTGGGATTACAGGCCTGAGCCTCTGTGCCTGGCCCTATTATGTACAGCTTTTTGGGGAATAATCAGATTGTTTTCTACAGAGGCTGCACCATTTTACATTCCCACCACAATATAAGAGGGTTACTATTCCTCCACATCCTTGCTAATACTTGTTAGTTTCCTGTTTTTGATCATAACCATTCTAGTAGGTGTGCAGTGGTGTCTCATTGTGGCTTTACTTTACATTTTCCGTAATGACTAATGATGCTGAGCATCTTTTCATGTGTTTACTGGCAATTTGTGCATCTTTAGAGAAATGTCTATTCAAGTCTTCTGCCCATTTTTAAAATTTGTTTTGTGTTAGTGTGAGCTGTTGACTTTCAGGGTCTCGCTCTGTCACCCAGGCTGGAGGGCAGTAGCACCATCTTGGCTCAGTGTAACCTGTGTCTCCCAAGTGATCCTCCAGCCTCAGTCTCCTTAGTAGCTGGGACTACAGGCACACACCACACCTGGCTAATTTTTGTATTTTTTGTAGAGACGGGGTTTCACCATGTTGCCCAGGCTCATCTTGAACTCCTAGACTCAATGATCTGCCTGCCTCAGTCTCCCAAGGTGCTGGGATCACAAGTGGGAGCCACTGCGCCTGGCCTATTCTCTCATTCCATAGGTTGCCTTTTCACTTTCTTGATGATGTCTTTGGATGCAAAAAAGCTTTAATTTTCATGAAGTCCCAATTTATTTTTCTTTTGTTACTTGCATTTTTAGTGTCATATCCAAGAATTCATTGCCAAATTCAAGGTTGTGAAGGTTTACCCCTATGTTTTCTTCTAGGAGTTTTATGGCTTTAGGGTCTTTTATTAAGGTCATTGATCCATTTTGAGTGAATTTTTGTATATGGTATGATGTGTTAGCTGCTCTGGTCTTGCTGAGTGGAGTCCTTCACCAGCACGATCTTCTGGCAGAGCTAACATCCCTACACAAAAAGGCTGGGTCTGAGTCTTTAAAATCTCACCACTGCCGCACAGGCAGCCTGCCCAGTGGCTGGTACCCAACAGGTGCTCAATAATTCACTGTGGGATGAATGGATGGATGGATGGATGGATGGATGGATGCATGGATGCATGGTTGGATGGTTGATGGATAAACCACTAGGTTTATCCCTCCACTCACTTCTTATGACTGCTGCCCACAGCTGGCTGGGAGACTCTTTCATAACAAAGGAAATCTAATAGGCTAAACATATTAAGAATTAAATATCAACAACGGCATTTACACACTCCTAATATTAACCTAAAAATTACCCAAGATCTAACTCACAGACCTAACTGGACAAGACAGAGGAAAGCCCAATGTACCCTTGCCAGTCTCCTGGTTCAAGTCCCTCAGTGCACAGATAAGGAAACCCAAGGGCAGGGCAGGGCATGGCAGGGACTTCCAAAGCCAGAGCCCACCGAACACAGGTCTCAGTGATGGCCAACTATAGATAAGCAAGAGAAATACATGAGGTTAGTTTGAACTGCTTCACAGAGGAGGGGTGGCCCTCTGGTTCTAAAATCTCCAAAGGGGATGGGGAAATGAACCCTGAGTCCTAGATCTCATTCTGCTCCACCAGGGTCTCATGCTTCTCTGGCTGTTCCCAGGTGGTGCCAAGCTTGTTCCAACCTTGGGTGTTTGCACGTGCTGTTCCCTCTCCTTGAACACCCTTCCCTTAGATATGCACCTGGCTCTCTCACTCAGTTTCTTCATGTGCCTGCTTAAATTTTACCTCATCAGTGAGGCCTTCCCTGATCACTCCTTCTCCCTCTCACCCTACTTTAGATTTCTCCTTAAATGTAAGTTCCTTAAAGGCAGGGATTTTAGTAGTGAACTGCCATCTCCATGGCATCTAGAACAGTGTCCAGTGCACATGAGGCACTAAGTATCTATGGAATGCATGAATAAATTGATAAAATTGGGAACCCCATACTCAGTGTGTAGCATGTCACTAAGTGTCACAAGAGGGGAAGGCAGATGGGTGGGCACTGCCTGGACCCTGTAGCCACAGAGGCACCCAAGTTTACTTCTGGACCCATAGGCTGTCCAGCGCTCCTGGGCCTGTGACAAAGACAGGGAGGGCTGGGACATTGTGTACAGTCAGAAACTCCCCCGCCTTTCGGTCAGGTCCAAGATGCTGGCAGCTGCTCCCCTGCTGATCAGGCCATAGAAAATGGAGCCTCTGCCCATAGGCGCTTAAGAAATGTGTGTGAAATGCACAAATGAATGAATGAACAACTAATGCGCGCAGGGATTACACCTGCACTTTTAGAAGGCTTGTGTCAGCGCTAACACAGCATACCATTCCAATGGGGCTGGAAGGCAGTCTGACTAAGTAATTCCATTTCTAGGAACCTGCTGTCAGGATATATTCAGACATGAAAAAAAGTTTTAGTTGCAGAGATTTTCCTCCCAGCAACATTTATAACACTGAAAATTACAAACAAAAAAGCTACTTGCCAATTTCGGACGGCCAGTTAAGTAAGCCACAAAACAGCCACAGGATGTCTGTGTGATTAGAATATTAAGAGGCTTGTTATAAAGTTGTATCTACGGGATAACCGCAACTAATTAAAACAAAGGAATCTGAAAGACAAAAAAACCCCACATGTGTTAGTTTTTCTATTCTTTCAACTTTTCTGTTATTTTCTATGATGAGCAATCATGAGTCAGAAGAAAGTCAAACTGATCTAATTTTTTTTGTTTTAAATGCTGTCACCTAATGCTTTATTGGTGCTAGGGTGTTAAACTGCTTAAATCTCCGTCCTCTGACTCTCTGCTGCCTCCTGTCCCATTTCTGCATCCCCAACCCTGCTTCCTCTTCCTGGGTTCCCTCCCACTATCCACTGTCTGCCCTGCCCTACCACCTCTGCAATGCTCTGGCCTTTTAATCCATACCTGGACCCACTCCTCCCCCAGAAACCAGCTCCAGTGCTGGGCTGCCTCCTCCACTTCCCAGATCTGTGGCTTTGGACAAGTTACTGAACCTCACTGAGATTCCATTTCCTCCTCAGGAAAATGAAACTGACATTAACCCACAGGGTCCTCGTCAGCACTCGCAGGTGCTAAGGCTGTGGGCTGCTCTAGACACTGCCCGGTGTTGGAGCCCTATCTGCTGCTTCTACTCAGCCTCAGGAAGAGCTGCTATCCATGCCCTGATGCACAGGGAGAAAAGTCTTGATCCCCAGTCTGCATAAATCTGGGCACCTGTCCTTTCCTGAAGGCAGCAGAAGAAAAGTAGGTTTGCTCTTGGCTCCCAGATCAACATGATAGCTTCTTGGCTGAAACTGCCATTCCCCCATGGAGCCCTCCACACCTTCAGAGAACTCACAGCCCAGCCCTCGCTCCTCAGAGCTGACGCCCAATATGCGAGTACCCTTTAGACCATGTTCCTGGCAATTTCACCAAAGGCCTGGCTAATGCCATAGCTGGGCCTCCTGTCCACAGCGACAGGCTCCAGTGCCCCAGCTCGGTGCTGGGCTCTCCTACTCCCTTTTGATCACAGGCTTTACTCATTCTTCCTTCAAAACCTGTATCCACCCCTCTCACTAACACCAGCTGTGAGGCAGGTGCTGGGGTACAAGGTTAAGAGGCTGTCTCAGTTCCTAGCTCTCCGGGAACTCACAAATCAATCAGAGAGAGAGGGATGCAGAAATCACAGCTTTCCATGTGGGGAGTGCTAAGACAGAGGACCTTCCAGGGTGTGACCATGGCTCAGCCTCCGGCAGAAAGCGATGCCTTCTAAGGAGGATATAACTGTGAAGCCAGACTGTGAGGGATGAGATATCAAGCAACAAAATCAAATCACTCCATACGTCTCCCAAAGCTCTCACCGGGCTCTTACGATCAGTCTCCATCATCACCCACAATCTGATTCCAACAGAACCCGACAGACCCCAGACGCCTGGAAACACCTGCCCCTTTGAGGTGTCTCCAAGCAGCCAGGCAGAAAGCTGGGTATACGTTAAGCTGTGCGTGTTTTTTCCCTACCTTCTCCTCCACAAGGCTCCCCATCATTAATCATGTTCTGGATGAATGCCGCTCAAAGTGCAGTCTCTGGACCAGTGACTTCAGCATCACTGAGTGCCTGTTAGAAATGCAGTCTCAGGCCTCACCCCTGACCTACAGAATCTGAATCATTTTGTATAAAGTGTGACAGGCTGCGTTCTCCACTCCAATTCCAACTTCCTCCTCTTCACTCTGTCGCGAGCTGCCATCTTTTGGTGCCTTTGACATCTACGCAGTGAACTAAAGCCAACCTCTGCAGTGTCCACCTCAGGCAGAATTGCCTGAGCCCCACCCTGCCCTGGGTGGCGCACACCAACCACAGCTCTCTCCACCTCAAGCTGTGGACACATGTCCCACAGCAGTCCCTCTGTCCAGACAGCTGAGCCAGTACTGCCTGAGTACTCAGCATGCTGCTGTGTCACCACGGGATCATCACACGACCTTGTGAGGTGGAGACACCACTGGCATTCCAGTGTGGAGAGGTGGAGACCGAAACTCAGGAGGCTCGAGCAGGGCCCTGGAGTGAGGGAGTGGGGGCCCGGTGATGGTCCCAGGCTCACCACCTGTGCTGAGAGCTAACACTGAGCACAGCAGCCTGGCCGAGCCACCTCTGTGGAAACTTGGAGCTGAGGATGGACATCTGAATCTGAAGTGAGGAACAGCCACTTGGCTAGGAGCTAGAATTGAGGGGCAAAAGTTGTGGAGAACAAACACATGGGAGAGGAGGCAGAGGCCAGATCCTGAAAAACTCTTCAGTGGTGGACTGAGGTGCCTGGACTTCAGAGGCGACAGGAGGGTAGTGAGGTTTCTGGAGCAGGCTGGTCAAAGTCAGCAGCACCCTTGTTTGATATCCATCCCATTCCCTCACCCCACATCTACCTGGGACTTGCTTCTCTGACCCTCCTGCTGTGGCAAGATCCTGATTGTCCCAGGTGCACATGGCTCTACTTCCTGACTGCTCATCCTCACGCAGTCCTCAGCCCTCTATGACCCCCCATCCTGCGCTAGGACAAAGCCTGGCTCCCAGGCATGCCTACCAGTGGTTTCCCCAGCTGGCTCCTCAAGAGCAAAGCCTTATCAAGAGTCATATAAGGCCAGGTGCAGTGGCTCACACCTGTAATCCCAGCACCTTGGAGGCCAAGGTGGGTGGATTACTTGAGTCCAGGAGTGCAAGACTAGTCTGGGCAACATGGTGAGACCCCATCTCTACTAAAAATACAAAAAGTAGCCAGACGTGGTGGTGTGCATCTGTAATCCCAGCTACTTGGGAGGCTGAGGTGGGCAGATCGCTTGAACCTGGGAGATGGAGGTTGCAGTGAGCTAGCTTGGGTGATAGAGTGAGACTCTGTCTTAAAAAAAAATAAAAAGTCGGCCGGGCGCGGTGGCTCACGCCTGTAATCCCAGCACTTTGGGAGGCCGAGGCGGGTGGATCACGAGGTCAGGAGATCGAGACCATCCTGGCTAACAGGTGAAACCCCGTCTCTACTAAAAATACAAAAAAAATTAGCTGGGCGTGGTGGTGGGCGCCTGCAGTCCCAGCTACGCGGGAGGCTGAGGCAGGAGAACGGCGTGAACCTGGGAGGCGGAGCTTGCAGTGAGCCGAGATTGCGCCACTGCACTCCAGCCTGGGCAACAGAGAGAGACTACGTCTCAAGAAAAAAATAAATAAATAAATAAAAATAAAAAGTAAAAATAAAAAGAGTCATATATGATCCAGCCCCCAGATCCTCGCCCTCTTCTCCTGTGACTGGCAGCACCTTCCCCAGGAGAGCTCCCCTTCCCCGCCCAGTCTTTCCTGACGGAATCATCAGTTTCCACACTCATCTCCTCCTACGGAAACCAGACTCTTCTCCTTCCCCTTCCACCACCATCCTGAGAAGACTGAGTACGGGAGAGCCTCTGTCCTGGAGCAGCTCACGAGAGGGAACCCCTTTGCAGTGTGTACCTCTTTAAAGGAAAAACATTCTCAAGATCCACCCCCGACTCCCATACACCTATTCACCTGGACCTATTTAGTAACTCTGAAGAAAACTGAAGCCTTTCCTGGTCTTTGAAAATTCTTTCAATAGCAAATAACCACTGCAACAGCAAATCTAAGTTTACGATTGAAAACATTTAAGGTTAACTTTACATACAACAGAAAACATTACAATGACAACACAGAACTTGGAAATTCTTGCAGTATGAACAGACTGAAGACAGGTCTGCAGGACTCTGTGAAACACAGATCTCCCCTAGAGTCCAGCCACTCAACATGTGGTGGCTTACGGACCCCATCCTGGCATCACCTGGGACGGTGCTGGAAAGGCAGAGTACAGGACCCAGCCCAAACCTGCTGAGTATGTATTTGCATTTTAACATGAAAACTTGGGAAGCCCTGGCTTATAGCATACATTTTGCAGGGTTGGAGAAAAGATGGGGAAAAGCAAGGCCAGATGGAGCCTGCACAGAATGAGGTGATCTTCTGTGCTTTTTAAGGGAACGTTTTTCTGGTAGCTATGTGAAGGAGGTACAGGCGCAAGGGGCCTATTTGTGACAGTAAGCAAAAGAGGCAAATGGGAGAAGCGAGAGAACTCAGTTTGGGTGGAGTGGAAAAGGGGAGTGGGCTGGAGAAGGGATTTCTGAGGTGTGGTGGACAGGCTTGTCCAGGGCAGGTTATGGGGGACAAGTGAAGAGTGACCTTGGGTTTCTAAGCAGGAAGACTATGTGGAGAGGACTAGTGGAGAGGGCATTTTTAAGAAAGAAGGTGATGAGCTCTGTTTCAGAAATGCAGAGGAGGGGCCTGGGGGCACTCATGAGGAGTTGTGCAGATGTGATATACACAGGATTGGAAATGCCCAGTGATATGGTTTGGTTGTGTCCCCACACAAATCTCACTGAGTTGTAGTTCCCATAATCCTCACATGTCATGGGAGGGAACAGGTGGGAGGTAACTGAATCATGGGGGCAGTTACCCCCATGCTGCTGTTCTTGTGATAGTGAGTTCTCACGAGATCTGATGGTTTTATAAGGGGCTTTTCCCCCTTTTGCTCTGCACTTCTCCTTGCTGCTGCTGTGTGAAGGAGGTTGTGTTTGCTTCCCCTTCCGCCATGATTGTAAGTTTCCCAAGGCCTCCCCAGCCTTGCGGAACTGTGAGTCAATTAAACTCCTTTTCTTTATAAATAACGCAGTCTTGGGTATGTCTTTATTAGCAGCGTGAGAATGGACTAATATACCCAGAGATGATCAGGCCGGAGACACAGACCTGTGAGCCCCTGCTGATAGAACCAGCTGAGTTTACCTGAAAAGGCCTGCAGGACAGTAAGATCAGAGGATAAAGGGCAGCAGAGGAAGAGCCAAGGTGTGGAAGGTAGGAGGGGAGAGGAGCATCACAGAAGCCCTGGAACAGAGAGGAATTTCTCTGACCAAATGGGCTGAGATATGAGAACCTGCCTCTGGTCTTAACAAGTGAGCAGTCCCTGGCCACTGTGGCAAGAGCAGGGAGGGCCCCCCTGGCCGCAAAGCGCAGAGCATATTATCTAAAAGTGTCATGAAACCCTGGGCAGCGGACCTCAAAGGACAGTCCCTGGCGTCCGAATGAGTGGCATCACCAGAGAGCTTGTTAGAAATGCAAACCTTCCGGCCTCACCAGAGGCTCTGATTCAGACCAAGAGAATCACACGCTCTGGGGGTGGGGCCTAACAGCCTCTTTTAAACAGCCTTCCAGCCTTCCAGGTGATTCTGATGTGCTATAGTTTGAGAAACACTGCTACAGGATATGGAAATTCAATGGAAGGTATATATCATCTTTTCTACATGAAAACGAAAAGAAGAAAAAGACAGCCTAGCAACTTCTACATAGAGAAACTCAGCAAGAAATGCCTAACTGCTTCAATGCCAATACAACTTATTTCTATAGTCAGAGAAATGCCAAAAGGTATTAACAAAATAATAAAAATACATGGCCCATCTGATAAACTTCCTTGGATGAGATGTAGAAAACACACCCAAGATCTGGGGGCTGGAAATTCTGAGACATGGGTACCAGTTCCTACTCTGCCATTGACTATGTGCCCTTGAGTATGTTACATCCCTTGCAGAGCCTCGGTTTCTCCATCCAGAAAAGAGGGAGCCGGAAAAGGTTTTTCTGAGGTCACTTTCAGTTCTGACACTGTGTGACATGCTCTGTCCTGTAAAAAGTGACCCCAAACGAAATGCTTTTAAGCAGCTGTGTGGGGTCGGGGGGAGGAGGGAAGTACTTTTTTTTTTTTTTTTTTTTTGAGATGGAATCTCGCTCTTTTGCCCAGGCTGGAGTGAAGTGGCATGATCTGGCTCACTGCAACCTCTGCCCCCACACCCCAGGTTCAAGTGATTCTCCTGCCTCAGCCTCCGGAGTAGCTGCGACTACAGGCACCCACCAGCACTGTGTAATTTTTTGTATTTTTAGTAGAGGCGGGGTTTTGCCACGTTGGCCAGTCTGGTCTCGAACTCCTGACCTCAGGTGATCCACCCGCCTCTGCCTCCCAAAGTGCTAGGATTACAGGCATGAGCCACCGCACCAGGCTGAAAGTACATTTTTAAGCAGTAAAATCTAATAACACAGTTAACCAGAAAATCTTTCCAACATTCAGCAGTACTAGTATCTTGCATTCTAGGAACCGGAACATTCCTTTACTAACTGGCTTTTCCATTAAAGCTGCTGATGCCTAGAGTAATAAAAACACGACTGCACTGGACAGTGTTCTTAAAGTTCACATGACTGGGATGCTTCCCAGAAAATAGCTCCATTATCTTCACATTTTCATCCTATAATAATTTGTAATCCAGGAAGGCAAGGTTTGTATTTTCTTCTAGGCAGAAAATAAGTTAAAGAACCAGACTGTATGGATCCCAGAGCCTGACCCCTTGACCGAGTGTCTGGTCACTTGATATTACAAATCTAGACTTCCTGATAAATGGCCCTGTAGTGACCTTGTTACTGGGATCCCTAGATGCTGGTTTCCTGCCTGGTTTCTCTGCATCCAAGTCCCTGTCTGCATCTACTGTCCATCCAATGCCCATCCTCTTCTGCCTGGGTCCCCAATGCCACCTGCTTCCCTGCCTTTGCCAAAGGTCAGTGACTTAGTCATCATCTCAGAACTAGGGCTGGAACAGGGATGTGGGCGTTGGTGCAGGAAGAAGAGGTGGAAGTGTGAGCACTAGAGGAAAGAAGATAAGGTCTAGGGTGACTCCCGCCTCCTGCCCTTCTTTGCTTACACACCCTGGCTCTTAAATTCTATTAGAAATTGGTCAGTGGGAAGCACAGCTGGCTTGTTCATCTCCCTGTCCATCTATCATAAACTCTGTCCCTGCTCCTCCATCCAGCCAGGGTATGTGAGTGACGTTCCAGACTCTGCCAGTCCTTGTGGCAGACAGGTACCATAGTGAGGTGAGAGCTGACAAAAGGCCGGTGTGGCAGGCACAAAGCTGGGAGTGGCATCCTACTGGAGGTGGGACCACAGAGGTGTGGGGACCAAAGCCACAAACATCAGGCCTGCAGGCCATGCAGAGGTTAGTTTTGTCTTTATCCAGGTAGAAGATTCCTAGTGCTAGAGGGTTTTCCATGCTGGCTCACCCTGCACTGATCTCAACCTCGAAGTCACTCTTAAATCCGGACGTGACCACACGTCCGGATTTACCTAGGGCAGTCCCGGCTTAGACCCGTCAGTCATGTGCAATTATTAATAGGACCCCTTTTTATTCTCAAATTGTTCTGGTTGGGATGATAAATTCTAGTTGCACTGTTCTTGGGGGCCTAGGCCTGTGAAGTCAGTGCTGCAGTTAGAGAAGTCTACCCATGATTAGCAGGGACGCCCAGCCTGATGAGTCTCACCCCTCATCAAACATTCCATTTGCCTCTCCAGTATCCCTGCCAAACCATCATCTGGCTTCTGCTTGTATATCTGCAAGGACAGCAGGCTCACTATCTTCTCAGGAAGCCTCTCTTTTTTGGGGAAAGCTTTGTTATAAAAATAGCAGGATTCAAACCTGTATACAGTATGACTGCAACTAAATAACAACATCCAGGCCGGGTGGGGTGGCTCATGCCTATAATCCCAGCACTTTGGGAGGCCGAGGTAGGTGGATCACTTGAGGTCAGGAGTTCTAGACCAGCCTGGCCAACATGGCAAAACCTCATCTCTATTAAAAATACAAAAAATTAGCTGGGCGTGGTCGTGGACACCTGTAATCTCAGTTACTTGGGAGGTTGAGGCAGGAGAATCACTTGAACCCAGGAGGCAGAGGTTGCAGTGAGCCGAGATCGCGCCACTGCACTCTAGCCTGGGTGACAGAGCAAGACTCCATCTCAAAAAAAACAAAACAAAAACAAAACAAAAAAAACCCCACATCACTCAGCAGGGAAAGGCGTGGGGCTGGAAGAAAGCAGAAAACCTGCTGACTTTTCCCCTTGCACCTCCTTCCATCTCTCCCTCTCCTCATTCAACAAATATTTACTGAGTGCATTTGATGGTCCAGGGACTGTGCTTGGCACTGGGGACAAAATGGTGAGTTAAAACAGACTCAATGTGAGGGGCATTCTACAAAATAATTGGCTTGTACTTTCCAAAAACGTCAAGGTCTGGCTGGGCATGGTGGCTCACGCCTGTAATCCCAGCACTTTGGGAGGCCGAGGTGGGCGGATCACCTGAGGTCGGGAGTTGGAGACCAGCCTGACCAACACGGAGAAATCCCGTCTCTACTAAAAATACAAAAAATTAGCCGGGCGTGGTGGCACATGCCTGTAATCCCAGCTACTCAGGAGGCTGAGGCAGGAGAATTGCTTGAACCCAGGAGTCGGATGCTGCAGTGAGCTGAGACTGAGCCACTGCACTCCAGCCTGGGCGACAGAGCGAGACTCCATCTTGGAACAACAACAACAAAAAAAGTCAAGGTCCTGAAGGACCAAGAACAATTGGGGAACTGTCTTAGTTTAAAGGAAACTAACGAGACATGACAACCGTACGCAACCCATTTATAAGAGTTTTTTTTTTTTTGCTATAAAAAAGGACATCACTAAGACAACTGGCAAAACCTAACATCTAGGCCGGGCGCAGTGGCTCGGGCCTGTATCCCAGTACTTTGGGAGGCTGAGACAGGCAGATCACTTGAGGTCAGGAGTTCGAGACCAGCATCCAACATGGTGAAACCCTGTCACCACAAAAAATACAAACATTAGCCGGGCATGGTGGCACACGCCTGGAATCCCAGCTACTTGGGAGGCTGAGACAGGATAATTGCTTGAATCCAGGAGGCGGAGGTTGCAGTGAACTGAGATCACACCACTGCACTCCAGCCTGGGTGGCAGAGTGAGGGACACTCTCTCTCAAAAAAAAAAAAAAAAGTATATAAAACTTGAGGTTTATAGATTAAACAATGTTGTATCACTATTAATTTATTGATTCTAAAATTTGTATTGTAGTTACGGAATATCATCGCTTTTAGGAAATATATGTAGGGGGAAAGGAGGCATTGATAAATAATCCTCAAATGGTTCAGGATAGATATATATGTACACAGGGATAAAATAAAAAGAATAAAATGGTAATGTTTGGGGAATCTGGGTGAAGAATTTATGGGACTTCTTTGATTTATTCTTACAACCTTCCTATGGGTCTGAATTGTATCAAAATAAAACATTAAAAGAAAAAAAAATAAAACTTAGAAAAAGTTTTTTTAAAAAAGAGACCCTGCCTTCACACAGCTTACAGTGTAGCCGGGAGACAGGTACTAATACAAATAATTACATTAATTAACTGCAAAATTGCCACTAGGAAAAGTGCTATAATGGAGAGAGATCTGGTGGCATGAACATTTATAGCAACAATTTAACTCAAGTCAGGAAGGTGAGCAAAGGCTCTGCAATCATGGAGCTGAGACCCACAGGATGAAGTAATCAGTGGGGAGGGGGAGAAGGTCCCAGGCTCTTGCAGTCCCTGCAGCAGGAAGGAGCACGGTGAGGTGAGGGCTCAAAGAGCATGAACATAGGGCCTGCAGGAGATGCTGAGAGATCAGCTTTGTCTTCATTTTGAGAAAAATAGGAGTGTATGGAAGACTCCCCCGTCTGTGGAGTAGAGAATCCACTGGAAGCAGGAGAGGGCATGTGCAGATCATGGCAGTGCTGACAGTGGACCAGCTGCTTTCAGAGAAGCATCATGCATAATTTTTCTTGTGTTCCCTGACACTTTATTTTCTACAAGAACCATGAATGCATTTGATAACCAGAGCAGGGGAGGGGACTCGGGGGAGCCAGTGGGGAAGACTGAGCTCAGAGGCCAACCTCCCCTCCCCAGGCCCAATGGTGGCTGGCGGTCAAAAAACAGCTGATGGAGCTGGTTGCTGCCTCCCTCACCGAGAACCTCTGGGCTAGCCCTTGAGCTGATGTGGCTGAGGGAGGTGACATGCATGGGCCAGGTCTCCAACCCCACTCCTACGCCAGGGGACCCTCATCAGCACAGCATTCAGGCAGCCATGGCCCCTGCACAGTCCTGGATGCTCCCTCTTGGAATATCCCTTCAGTCCTGAGAACCGGGACCTGTGGTCCTGGCTGAGGAGGGACCTTCACTCACCCACAGCGACTCTCAGCACTGAACACAGATCAAAGCACTTGTCTGGAGGGTCAGGGGTCTGACCACAAAGTGAGGGACCCCTTTTCTATGCCAAGTTTTGCCTTAGTTTTCCACATTAGCTCATTGACAACAGTCAACTTAAAGGGAATAGGTGCAATTATGATCCTCATTTTACAGGGTGGAAGTTGATTATACAATTTGGGTCATTATTGTAATGCCCAACTAAATCAGAGTTGAGAGGCCAGGGGAAAAATACTCAGGGCACATAACATTGCTCCAAAAATGTAATTCTCTGCAAGCGTGGCTGCTAAAACTGCCTGTTATAACCTAAAACCAGTTTTATTTAATAACTACTGAAACAAATTGCTGTGACCCTAAGACTAGTTTTATCTGCTACCATCATGCAACAATCAGAGCTTGCCAGCTCCCGAAGAGCTTCTCTAGTGCCGATGGACTTTTTTCAAAACAATACATAATATTTCTCATTCTAATAAAACTCCCAACATTCTCTTTGTTTTCCAAACCAAAGACCACCTAGTCTGTATAGATTTCCCAAATTATTATTCTTACTTCCCAAGCAAAATGTTTTAAATTTAGAGAAACATCTGTTTTTATATTTTATTTGACTTTGACAACAGATGATTTGTCTAGGCACAGACTTGGGTTCAAATGTTGGCTGCAGCCAGGCACAGTGGTTCACGCCTGTGATTCCAGCACTTTGAGAGGCTGAGGCAGGAAGATCAGTTGAGCCGAGGAATTCAAGACCAGCCTGGCAACATGGCGAGACCCTTTCTCTATATTTAAAAAACAAACAAACAAACAAAAACCAAAAAGACAAATCTCGGCTGCACTGCTTACAAACACTGTGCTCTTTGGTGGTTACTTCATCTCTCTGAGCCTCAGTTTTCTCACCCCCTCTGTAAAATGGGGCTGGAAGGAATCAGTCAGATTTTGAGGCTAAAATGCACTGTTTGTTCCCTATGGGGGCTCAGTAAAAAAAATTCACTTCACTCTACACTGCTTAAACATTTACTAAAAGCTTGTGTATCCTAACAGTAAATCATGGGACCTCAATTTTCCAGGACTATTCCAATTTCAAATCCTCTGTCCTAACTTTCCATATAAACCATCAAAATGTTTCAAAAATTCCACTCTCTCAGTATCCAAACACTTCTCAGGCCTCCTCTTGCACAAAGCAGTGGCACACACATTCTTTTTTCACACTACAGATCCCGTTCTTTGGTTCAGAAAACGCAGTCAGCACAGTCCTGCCGGTCCCCTAAAGGAAATGGGGTCAGTGCTCCACTGCAATTCAGACTGGGCTGTTTCCCGGCACATCTATGTAAAGGCAGCCAGGGGGAGGCCGGGCCACAATCAGAGCATCACCCACAGAGGGACATACACTGGGCAGAGGAGTTCAGCCCCCACCTACTTGTACCTGGGAGGCAGCCTGGCGACAGGGTTGCTGTGAAGATTAAATGAATTAAGTTACTATTTGGAGAGCACTCACAACAGTGTGTGGCAACCAATAAGTACAGATTAGTGCTGATAACTAAAACCAGAGGCATCCCTGCAGAAGTTACTCCTGCCTCAAAGACAACACAGTGGCATTGCTCCCATCCAGGTGAAAACAAGGAGAATAGGCACTTAGCCCTGGGCTAGGTGAGGCCTGGCCCATGTACAGAGATAAAGCAGACCCGAACCAGAGCAGGTGGGTTCTGCATTAGTGAACACCAAGAGGCTGGATTTGGCTGGGTGCGGTGGCTCACGCCTATATCTCCACACTTTGGGAGGCCAAGGCAGGAGGACTGTTTGAGCCCAGGAGTTCGAGACCAGCTTGGGCAACATAGTAAGACTTTGTCTCCACAAAAAATAAAAAATTAGCTGGGTGTGGTGGCACATGCCTGTAGTCCCAGGTGCGAGGTACAAGGAGGACTGCTTGAGCCATGATCGGGCCACTGCACTCCAGCCTGATGACAGAGTGAGACCTTGTCTCAAAAAACAAAAAAGACCAGGTTGGACTTGGAGAAGAATCACCACGCCTATGATCCACAAAGTCTCTTCATGCCTTTGCCCCTGCTGTTTTGCCTGCCCTAAATGCCATCTTGTTCCTAAGTTTGAGGCTTAATTCAAATTATGCCTTGAAGTTAGAACTAACTTCTCCCCATGGTTAGAACTACGCTCCACAGTGTCTCCTGATGCCCATCGGAATGAATGGCTGCATCCTCTGGTGTCTCTTGCACCTAGCTTATCCTTTTAAAGTACTTACAGGACCATGGACAGATGGATGGGGACGCACATACACATATACAAACTGTCTTTCCAAATCCACCATGAATCCTTCCAAGGCAGGGGTTCAGCGTTCACCTCTGTAGCCCTATGGCCTAATACATGGTAGAGACTCAATAAATGTCTCAATTTGCTGTTAAATCTGTGCTCACACCTGGTCTTGGAATAACAAGTTAACCTGGGGGCAGTGGGAAGCTTCAGGTGCACACACAAGCAGAAGCTCTGGAGATGCAACATTTCTGGGTCTTAGAACCCATTACCAAATCAGTTTTCAGCCAGGGGCTTACCAAGCACTTCTCAGGTCCTTCTCGGCCAGAGGAAAGAAGACATCTATAAGATCAGGCTCTGAGGTCACCTGGACCCAGCCAAGAGCAGTGTGGACACTGACCTGGTCTCCTCCTGTCTCTATTAGAGTTGGAATGAAGAGCTGATGCTGGGTAGGCTACTGCACCCCCACCAGCCCTTCCAGACCAGGGTATGTGCTGGGTGCCTTCAGCATTCCAGCTTCTACAACAGATCTTGGGAAAAGATAAAGAGGCATTGTCCCTGCTTTCCAGGACCGCAATGCTGGAAGGTGAGCTCTCCTGGGAAAAGATGTAGGGACCACAAATTGCTGGTCTTTTCTCAACCACCACAAACCCGGAGGGTTGGGGAAAGGCAGGGTGCCATGTCTTCTCACTCCCTCCCATCCCCAAAGCTGAGCCCTTCTGGTAGGTTATGCCTGTCCTAGAAAATGTCTCTTGTGTGCCTGGACCTGTAGTTCAGAAGGTCAAAATTGGTCCCTCTTGCTCCTGGCCCCACTCTACCTTTGCCAGCTCAGTTTCCTTATCTGCAAGGTGGGGAATGGGGTGGGGTTTGGCAGCAACAAACCCCACTGTGTGTGAAACCTTCCAGTTCACAGCCAACAAAGCGTTGCTCTCAATTCTCTGAAGCCAATTACCACCTCGGAACCCCAGCTTTTTCCAGGGATAAGATTTGTCTCTGACCTTGCCTCCCTAACCAGGTCTCTGAGACTTGAATGAGAATGCTTAAAACTACCAGAGTATCTTCTGTATGATAAAAGATGAATCGAGGGGTCAGAGACATGACTGATGATATGGTAAGGGATCCTGAATCTGCTTCCATGGTAACTTGGGCTTTTTCTCCTGCTCCAAGCTGTCTGAGGGCCCACCACCTGTCTGGCCTGACCAGGGCCTGCCCTTTCCTGCACGGAAGTGGATGCAGGCAACCTGGATTCTCTGGGGTGCACCCCACATCCCCACTCAGCACTACATCTGCCATACAGAAGTTCAATAAATGCCTCAGCTACTCTGAAATGCCTTCAGTAACTTGACCTTTTATATTCCCCAGCTAATGTCTAATTTGCATATATGAGTCCTTTTTAGGAGATGGCAAATCACCAGAGAAAACGCAGGATCAATACAGAGTATTAGGCACGTTCTATTCTACTCTAATTCTCTGCAAATTGGTATTCCATTAACTGCATGTGGGATTTATGGGAGCTCGCTATAAACTAGAATATTTAACTAGAATGGCCTACTCTGTCAGATAATAGCTTACTGTTGTTAATTTTCAACTAGTCAATCTCAGAAAAGTTTCCAACTTCCAATATACTTCACATCTTGATTTAATCATCCGGAAAGTCATCCATATCAAAGCCTCCATACAACAAAGGGACAGGCAGCTTGATGCAGAAGAAAAAGACCTGCCCTTGGAACCAGGAGACTTGGGTTACACCCCAGCTCTACCACATACTGTGTAATTGGCTGCTCAGAGCCTCCATGTCCTCATCTGTAAAATGGGAGTGACACCAGTCTCACAAGGGAGTTGTAAAGATTAAATAAGACGATACAGGTGAATGTACTCTGTAAGTTCTATAAGGCTATGCAAAGGTTAGTTATTACAAAAGCACAAGATGAAATTCTCAAACAACTCGGGCTAATGACAGAAAGCAAGAATTAAATTGGTGGTTCTAAAGGGGTGCTGGGGTGGCATTTTGCTCCCTAGGGGACATCTGACAATACTGGAGGCATTTTTGATTGGAACAACTGGGGAACAGGAATTGCTACTGGAATCTACAGACCAGGGATGCTTCTAAACCCTACAATGCCCAGGACACAAAGAATTATCAAACCCTAAATGTCAATAGTGCAAGGCTGAGAAACCCTGATCTAAATAATCGCTTAAAGTTGGATTTGGGAGCTTTTTAAAACAGAAATCTTCCTAAGCAGGCTTTACTTTCTCCCATCATCTGCTTAAACATTTGCAAGATGGATCATCTTGCAAAACAGCTCTTTTGTAAGTGAAGCCAACTGCCAACTTCTGGAGTTTCTGAATGTATAAAACTGCTTTTAAAGGAGATGCTCTCTGATTACAATTCGGCTAAATTGTTTTTCCGAAGGCCTTGACTTCGGCAGAAGTTCTCCTGGGCACAGAGACAGGGTCTGTCACTCCACCACTAGGCCCTGAAGATGGTTTCCTAATTCTAATTTCCTCCTGAAATGAGAGCCACGAGGGTCTCTAAACGAATTAAATTCACATCACGCCAACTGCTTGCTAGCTTTGTGCCGGGCACGGTGCCAAACACCTCCACATAATTTATCCCACTTAATCCACTCAACAACCCAGCGAGGTGGGCATTATTACCAGCTGATTGCAAGGGAGGAAACTGAGGACCAGAGAGGTTAAACAACTTGCCAAGGTCACCAGCTGGCCAAGGGGGAGCCCAACTTGAACGGAGGTCTCCAGTTTCCAAGTCACAAGCTCTTTCCACCAGCTTGGAAAACCCAGGTGTCAAGTTGTCTCAACTTCCCATGAATTTTTAAGGCAACCGCAACTTCTCAGTAAGTTTAGGTAGCTGAAAATGGGAATTTCGGGGGGGCTGGGCACTCTCACATACACTCCCCCATCTGCAGCTGTCTCACCGCAGGTACCTGATAAATCATTCCATATCGTCCGCGGAACGGGGAGGATTTATTGGCTCTGGAGTTTCGTGCCAGGCCCAGGAAATGCCATCTTTGAAAGCCGAGAGGCGGATTCGCCCTGGGAGCCGAGCGCTGGCAGCCGCTCTCGGCTAGCTCCCCGCGGGCTGTGTGCCCCCTCGGAGCCCCGAGCCGGGGTCGCGGCGGCACGGGGTCCTCCGGAGGTGCCGGACGCACGGGCTCCGCGGGTTGCGCCCGCCCCTGCCCGGCTGGAGCGCACGCCCACGCTCCGGCGCCGCGTCCCGGCCGCCAGCCCGCCCCGGCCGAGCCCCACCCGGCGCCCCGCCCGCGCCCTCCCGCCCCGGCCCCGCCAGGTGAGCGCAGCGGGGCGCCCCCTCCCCGCCCCGACGTGGTGCGGGG
This sequence comes from Homo sapiens, assembly GCF_000001405.40. NCBI lineage: Eukaryota > Metazoa > Chordata > Mammalia > Primates > Hominidae > Homo > Homo sapiens. The sequence continues at coordinate 109,498,071 of NC_000009.12, forward strand.
ATCCCGGTGCAGCCGCACCCGCCAGCCCGCCCGCGCGTCCGCCGCGCGCCCCAGGGACGGGTGGGGGCGGGGTGGCGCCGAGCGCGACCCCGGCCCCCGGCAGCCCCGCACCCTGCCCCCGGCCCGCTGGGGTCGCACGGGCCCGTACCTGCAGCATCCGGGGGCGCGGAGCGCCCAGGTAGGTCGCGCGTGCGGGCGGCGCGGAAGCTCGCTCGCGGCGCGACCTGGCCGCCGTCTGAGCATGCCCAGTGCCGCCCGCGGGCGGTTCCCGCCGGCCGGGCTGGCCGCGACGGGCCCGCGCGCCGGGCGGGGGGCGGGCGTCCGGGCTGGCCTGCGGTGTTCTCCCGCCCCCGCCCCGGGCTGGCGCGCCCCGACGCATCTCCTAGGGGCACCGGGGCTCTCCGCCGAGCTCCGGGCAGGTCCTGAGTTCCCTCGCGCATGCATGCAGCCATTCGTTCCACAGCCATGACTGGGCACCTACTGTGTGCCAGGCCCTCAGTGATTTCATGCCTAGGGAAGGCAAGAAGTCGGCGCCCAAAGAAACTTTGAAATGAGGAGTCTTGCACGACGGGTGCGCGGTTGAGCTGAGGTCCCGCTGACTTCCAGTCCAGTGCTCGTCCCTTGGCACTAGTAAGCTTCCCTGGTTAAACCTCCCCAAGGCTCGTGGGACCCCTACCTGATCTGTGCTCCTGCTTCCCACCTCCGTCTCATCTCACACCTGCCTTCCTGCGGATCCTAGAGCGCCTTTCTGTCCATCAAACACTCGAACTTCACTAACCTCAGGACATTGGCGCCCGCCTTTCCCTCTGTGGGACGTTCTTGCCCAGCTTTTCACGTGGCCGGCGCCTTCTCATTGTACATAGGTCCCCTCCTCAGAGAGGCCTTTCCTGACCACCTTCCTCGATTAGCCCTCTGCTCCTGACCACTCCGTGTACTCTGTTTTCTTCATAGCATTTAACAGTGATTTATCCATTTTCAGCAAATATTTATTGAGCACCTATTCTGGTTTTTCTCGCGTGGGGAACAAATAGACAAAAATTCTGTCCCCCAGTGGAGTTTGGGGAAAGAGGGACAGGTAACAGATAAACAGCAAATTAGCAAACTATGCATTATATTAGAAAGTGATAAGTTCTAAGAGGAAAAAGAGCAGGGTCAGGAGATTTGGGGCTGGAGGTAAGCAGTGAATTTTCAGTGAAGCGGTCGGATAGGGCCCTTGAGCTGATGGACGGTCTGATTGGGTGACACTGAGAAGGTGATAGTGGTATTTCAGCCACGCAGATAAGCAGGGAAGAGCATTCCTGGCCGAGGGAACAGCCAGTGCCAAGACCCAAAAGAGCGCCGGACCGCTTAGGGAACGGCAAGGAGGCAGAGGAGCAGATGAGGTTGGTCACTTTGGCTTTTCCTCCGATTTGTTTAATTCTCATGTTGTATTTCCCTCCTAAATGTCAGCTTTGGGGCTGTAGCTCTGCTTGTCTTTACTGCAGTGACCCCCCTGCAACACTGTCTGGCACACACTAGGCGCTCAAACATTATTTGTTGAATATGTGAACGAAGGGATGCAGAGATGGTTGGAACCCTCCAGTCGGGCCTGGGTGCCAGGTCCTGGGGGCAGTCGTTCCAGGGATAGACTGAGGCCTCGGCAGCCCCTGGAACCTCATTTCGGTCCTTGTCCCGGAGTCGCACGTCCCGGGATAGCGCCGCTGCAGCGGGTGCCGCCCGTGCATCGCGTCGGGGGGATTTCCGACGGAGCCCGGAGTCCAGGGGCAGGACCGCCCGCGCCCCGCCCGGCCCGGCCCGGCCTCGAGTCGCCAGCAAAACCTGGAGCCGCGGCGCCCGCTCAGCACCACTCGGACGGGCGGGGAGCGCACTGGGCATGCTCGGAGCCGGGCGGGGCCGGAGCCCCCGGAAGGAGGAGCCCCCTGGAGGGGCAGGCGACGCCCCCCGCAGAGCTCCACCCAGCGCCCCCGGGCTCAGCAGGAGGCATTCTCTGTCCTTTCCCCACTGCCTTATCCTCTCTGTGCTTCAACCATTGTGAATACCTACGCTTCGATCTGGGCACCCGAGTGGAAGTTGAGTGAAATAAGGAACGTGAACGTGTTTAGACCACCTTAAAGATCCATTTCTTGAGTGCCTACCAAAATCAGCCGTCATCCTCATGCCAGTTTGCCAACTGCTGAGATGAGGAAACCGAGGTCAACGGAGGATGTGTGAATTTTCGAAGTTGTCTTAATCTGCTGACCCCTAGACTGAAATTACCTTTTCTTTTCCCACAGCTAACAGCTGTTAGCTTAAACGATGCCCTCAACTTTGAGCTAGGAACATGCTTACACCTAAAGGAAAGACCTAAATATTTTAAAAATCATGCGTTTTAAATCACCATAACAGAAGCAGGAACAAAATGAAAGAATACTCCCCAAATTGGAAACAAACTAAGTACTCAATAACAGAGGGATGATTAATTAGGTTATGGTATATTAGTTGAAATAATAACTATCTTACACTAAGTTAAAAAGACCATGTTGCAACAGGGAAAACACGGTACAATGTTAAATGAAAAAAAAAAAAACCGCAGAAAACAGGTCGGGTGAGGTGGCTCATGCCTGTAATCCCAGCACTTTGGGAGATCCAGGTGAGAAGGTAGCTTAAGCCCAAGAGTTCAGGACCAGCCTGGGCAACATAGCAAGACCCCATCTTTACAAAAAAAAACTTATCCAGGTGTGGTGGCATGCACCTGTGGCCTCAGCTACATGGGAGGCTGAGGTGGGAGGATCTCTTGAGCCAGGAAGGTCAAGGCTGCAGTGAGTTGTGATGGCACCATTTGTACTTCAGCCTGTATGACAGAGCGAGATTCTGTCTCAAATAAAAAAAAAAAAAAAAGCTAAAAACACAAATAGATTGTATAAACATGGTGTTGACACATTCACCAAGACTGGAAGGAAATATGGGAAAATTAACTAGTCATTTTTTTGGAGTAGTAAGTTTGGGTGTTTTTTAAAAGTTTATTAATGTCACAATGACATGTTTGCAATAATAAGCATTTAAAAGATCAAATTAAAAATTCTTGTTTTGTGTATATCCAGTTACAGTAACTGCTATTATCAAGCTCAAGTACGATGAATATTTTATATATATTCTCTCTTTAATCCTTACCATCACTCTACAGAGTGGGTGTTTTAGCTCAGTTTTACAGAAGAGAAAACAATCTAGGGGCTGTTCACAGCTGTTAAGGGGGTGAGGATTTGAACACAAGTCAATCTGATCTCAAAGTCAGGGTGTTAGGTTTTAGGACACACTGCCTCTCTGTGTAGTAGATTACCATGTATTGATGATAAGAGAAGCTATATGTCATCTAATTTTGTAGGGTTTTTTGCCTTATTTTCTCTACCCTTTGATGTGTTTGTAGGCTACAGATTACCTTTAAATGTTCTAGTCTCCTGTTACTGTTTTATTCTTGGGGCCAAAATGTTAAAGTCTATCCTTTTAAGCTGTTGCATCTGGAGTGACATAAGGTTATTATTACCAATGACAGTTGATCTTATATCATAAGCTCCCAAACCTTACGTAAATGGGGCTTTTGAATGGGCACATAATCTTCTTAGGCTATTGTTGAACTCAGCCAAGTGTAGAGCAAATTAAAGCCCAATTGGGAATAGAGCTGTACTCAGTCCCAGATCGACTGGTCCAGAGAGGACCCACATAGATTATCGTCTCTGGGCATTCACTTTGGAGGCAGGATCACAACATGATGGAACCACCTGGTCCATGGACTCCTCAGGGACTTTTCTGTGATGAAATGACAGAGAGCTGATAGTCCTGATGATGTTTGCTGAGAGAAAGCCAGGACCGTAAGAGCAGCCCTCCTCCTGCGAAGCTCAAAAATATAGTCACCTCTCTCTCTTAGTGCCAGTAGACTGTACCTGGCTGAAAGATCCAGAAACCGTGAAAAACAATAACAACAAAGAAAACAAAAGAGCATCATTTTATTGGAGAGTAAGATACGCTACAAACTGAATATACATCACAGGTAATGGACCAGATTCGTAAAAGAGGAACAAGAGATGAACATCTAAACATAGTTATTAGCAGCATTCCCAGAAGCTGCCATTGGGGCAGAAAATCAGGTGCCAGGCACTGTATGCAGGCAATTGGTTAAGGGAATTTATAGGAAGAGTTTCCTGGAAGAATCACTGAGGATTGTCATTCGCATCAAGACTTGGGAAGTCTGCCCTACTTGTACTGCTCCAGTGATTTACAAAGCAGTGCTCTGAGCTGAGATGCTAATGCTCATCAATTATTTGTGCTGTTAATGCAAGCTTATGAAGAGCCCGAGAATCCATAAATACATGGGCAAGTGGTGCTGTTAGAATGACATGAAAAGAATATGATGTAAAATACACATGGTATGGTATGTGGGAATTCAGTAGGTTGAACTATAAATTGCCAGGCAGGGTGCAGTGGCTCCCACCTGTAATCCCTGCACTGTGCGAGGCTGAGGTGGGAGGATTGCTTGAGGACAGGAGTTTGAGACCAGTCTGGGCAATGTAGTGAGACCCTGTCTCTACAAATAAGAAAAAAATTAGCTGGATGTGGTGGCACCCATGTGTGGTCCCAGCTACTTGGGAGACTGAGGTGGGAGGATCACTTGAGTCAGGGCGGTTGAGGCTGCAGTGAGTCCTAGTTGTGCCACTGCACTCCAACCTGGACAACAGCAAGACTCTGTCTCAAATAAATAAATATGAAATTGCCATTTTATGGGTCAAAATGGTTGAACATCGGTAACTTCCTGTATTTCAATTTAATGCATACACATAGAACAAAAACTAGAAAAACTGCACCAAAATATTATTGGTGGTGTGTCTGACTATTGCATTTATGTGCAGAGAGGCAGGCTACAGAAGTTATCTTTTACAAATTAGGAGAATTTCAAGTCTTTGGGTGTCTATTTTTTGTATGTCTTTATAGTTCTCTAAATCTTATGTATGTTTCTTTCATAATCTGGAAAAATGAAACAAATTCAAAAGTTGGCAAGCTAAAGAAAATGATGTAAAGAGAGGGAAAATGACTACTCCAGAATTGCTCAAAAAAAAGTGAGAGGCTCCTTTCATGGAGGGTGAAGCCCACCCTGCCTACCGACAAAGAGTCACCAGGCATGGTGAATGACAGCAAGATGTTTATTTCTGGCTCAGGAGCGAGAAGGTGGTCAGCCAGGAGCATGCTAGAGAAGCGTTAGTCAAATTCAGGACACTTCATCCCCTGAGCCTGTGTTCTAAGGCTCCTGGACTCGATGAATCTCACTTTGAGAAACACAAACATTTCAGCCTAATGTTTTATCCATTGAAAAATGTCTTTCTCGGCTGGGCAAGGTGGCTCATGCTTGTAATCCCAGCACTTTGGGAGTCCGAAGCAGGCAGATCACCTGAGGTCAGGAGTTTGAGAACAGCCTGGACAGCATAGTGAAACCCTGTCTCTACTTAAAAAAAATACAAAAATTAGCCAGGTGTGGTGGCACATGCCTGTAATCCCAGCCACTTGGGAGGCTGAGGCAGGAGAATCGCTGGAACCCTGGAGGCAGAGGTTGCAGTGAGCCAAGATTGCACCACTAACTGCGCTCCAGCCTGGGCAACAGAGTGAGACTCCATCTCAAAAAAAAAAAAAAGTCTTTCCTCTGCAAATTATCACTGTAAAAGAGGGATTTTGTCTGTAAAACTGATAAATTTGAGTACAAGAGCAGTGATGAAGGGATTGTTGTCAATTAGACATTGGTAGATTCATTCATTAAATATTTATTATATACCCTACTATGTATCAGGCACTACTCTAAGTGCTTGGGAGACATCTGTGAACAAAACAAAAATATCCCTGCTCTCATGGAGCATACGGTCTAATAGAGCAAGGTACAAGGAACAATAAACATCATAAATAAATGAATTGTAAAAAGAGCAGGGTAAGTATAGTAGGGAGAGGGATGGGGGCAGAGAGTTGTAATTTTAAATAGGATTGAGAAACGTAATCTCTTAAGCAAACACTTAAGCAAAGACCTGAAGGAGATGAGAGTGTTATTCTTGCGGGTATCTGGGGGAAGAATCTTCTGGTCAGAGAGAATAGGATGGGTGATACCAAGGCCCTTGAGGGAGCCTCTCTAGATTAAAGAAGCTGGTGAGCAAGGGAGAAAGCTGCAGGAGATGGAGTCAGAGAGGTATCAGGCACCAGACCCGTAGGGCCCTCCCTTCATCCTCTAGTCCCAAGAAGGACAGCCTTTCAGTCTCAGCTGGACAGGGAGCCAAGCCAACCTCATGGCTGCCAGATGTGCTTGTCAGCTCATCAAAAAGTAAATTCTTTCCCTTGGGGTGGTCAGTTGATGCCAGTTTGGTGGTAAACACAGATTCAAATAAGGGAACCAAAATTATATAGCAGCCCTCCGCTATAAGGGGGTCAGCCAGACAGTCCAGATTATGCATATATTTTTAATATTATCATAGAGATGGAAAGATGACATTAAACAATAAACTCAGATGATTCCCAGACCTTCAAGGACACTTGTGGGAACCCTCAAGGATGGAGGGAGTTTGAAAAACACTCTTTGGGTGTCCACACTGTAAAACTGACAGAGGACCATACTGTAATGGACCTGTGAACCACCATGTGGATTTGCTACCACATGGGAAAACAGAAACGTAAGTGTAGGGACTTTAAGATCCTTCTCTGGAAACTCAGATCATTGAGGATGCTTCCATCAACAGAAGCTGAGACGATGAGACATGCAGAGAGTGGAAGATGGCGTCCTGAACTGCAGCTGACCGAAACAATCGCCTTCCCTGAAAGGGGTGGTGTCATCTTACAAAACCCAGGGAAAATGGGTTTGTCAGAAGTCTCTCAACCACAGCCTCAAAGTTCATATACTGAAAACAAAGAGAGAGGAAAACACCTAGGTAATGTAGAATAGTCATACAGTGGTCATGGCTTTGAAAAACCAGCAGTGATGAAGGAAATACTCAGTAATCCCTAATAGAGGATTCTAGGGAGGAGAGTCAGTAATAATAGTGAAGGCAGTGTTTCTGGAAGTGTGATCCAGGAGCCATGTAGATCACAGCCACCAGGTCACCATGGGGGAAGAAGTCTGTGTGGAAAACCAGACTCCTGACCTGAGCCATGAACCTTCTGAATCTCTGGGTGTGGCACCCAAGAACCTGCATTTTATAATTTACTATAGTAATTATTTTGGTATAGAGTCTTGCTCTGTCACCCAGACTGGAGTATAGTGATGTGTCCATGGTTCACTGCAGCTTCCACTTCCTGGGCTCAAGTGATCTTCCTGCCTCAGCCTCTGGAGTAGCTGGGACTAGAGGCGCATGCCACCACACCTGGCTAATTTTTTTTGTTTGTGTCTTTGTTTAGATGAGGTCTTGCTATTTTGGCCAGGCTGGTCTCAAACTCCTGGGCTCAAACAATCCTACTGCCTTGGCCTCCCAAAGTGTTGGGATTACAGGCGTGAGCCACTGCACCCAGCCTATAAGAATCTTTTGTACACCAAAGTTTTATTAACTTCTGTCCTATGACCTCCAATATACGTACACCAAGAACATAGTCTGAGTAATAAACTAAAGGATGGGAAATTTTACTAATGGTCTTCTAGGTATTACTGATGCTTGGATGGATGGAACTGAGGATCAGAACATCAACTTCTTTTTTTTTTTTTTGAGACAGAATCTCGCTCTGTGGCCCAGGCTTGAGTGCAGTGGCGTGATCTCGGCTCACTGCAAGCTCTGCCTCCCGGGTTCATGCCATTCTTCTGCCTCAGCCTCCCGAGTAGCTGGGACTACAGGAGCCTGCCGCTATGCCCGGCTAATTTTTTGTATTTTTTTAGTAGAGACAGGGTTTCACCGTGTTAGCCAGGATGGTCTCGATCTCCTGACCTCGTGATCCGCCTGCCTCAGCCTCCCAAAGTGCTGGGATTACAGGCATGAGCCACTGCGCCCGGCCCAGAACATCAGCTTCTTAAAGGAGGTGCCCATAGAAAGGGGTAGAAGGAGAGGGGAAGAAGAGATGAAGAAAGGGCATGCCCCAACCACATATACGGACCCTCAGCTCTCAGGCTCTCTGCTCTTGACCTTGGGTCTCTGATGTCATCCACCATGCTCTCCTGGGACCAGAAGCAAGCTAACCATGTGACTGGAAAGGCAGCAGTAATAGGGATAGTAGTGGTGATGTTTGCTAAGAGCAGTGGACCTTAAAATAAACACATCAAAGTATGCAGGATACACACAAAACTGAAACTGGAAAGGTCATCCCCTCCCGAAGAGGAACTGTATGAGTGGGGCAGAGGAGGGATGGAAGTTTACATAAACCTTTTTGTACCTTCTGAATTTTCTTCCTTTATTTTTCTTTCTTTCATTTCTCTCCCCTTCCTTCCTTCTTTCCTACCTACCTTCTTTCCTTCCTTCCTTCTTTCCTTCCTTCCTCCCTCCCTCCTTTCCTCCCTTCCTCCCTCCTTTCCTTCCTTCCTTCCTCTCTCTCTCTTTCTTTTCTTTCTTTCTTTCTTTTTTTTTTTTTGCGACAGGGTCTATCTCTGTCACCCAGGCAGGAGTGCAGAGGTACATTCTCAGCTCACTGTGGCTTCAACCTCCCAGGCTTAAGCAATCCTCCCACCCCAGCCTTCCAAGTAGCTGGGACTACAGGTGCATGCCACAAGACTTGGCTGATTTTTGTATTTTTGGTAGAGATGGGGTTTTGCCTTTTTGCCCAGGCTGGTGTCAAACTCCTGAGCTCAGGCATTCCTCCCGTCTTGGCTTCCCAAAGTGCTGGGATTATAGGCATGAGCCACAGTGCCCAGTCTGAATTTTCTACCATGTGATGTATAACCTATTTTAAATAAAAACATTCTCATTTGGAAAAAAGTAATGAAGCATGCCTAATATTTTTTCAGAATTGTTTTGTTTTCCATCTTGGCTGCCTCCAAATTTTGCTGACCAAGTGCAAAGCCCAGGTTTCTTAACAAGCCAAGGCTCTACGACCAGGGCACAACAATCCATACCTTGCTTGAAGGAAACAGCTGGAGGTCAAGAACTCTCACTACTACTGGAAATTCATGTGGCTGAGGGATGGAACAGAAGAGAGCTTTTGGATAAGGATAAAAGAAAAGGAAAAATGGTTTTGGTGACCCAGGGATCAGGAATGATGCCTCCCTGATACAGGTGGTAACAGAATGGCCAGAGAAGTGAGATGGAGAATTCCAACTGGTCAGCCCTCTGCTGGAAGTCACATCCATGAAAAGACAGTTATCTGAAAACCTATTCTTGCTTGGCTTACCATTTCATTGCCGAGAAACTGGAAACCTGTCCTGGGCCCAGGAGAACACTGTGCTCCGAATTCCTGGTGACATTTTAAGAACGGGGGATGCTATTCAGCCTGCCCAGTGATCTGGTGCTTCTAGTGTTGCACGGATGACACACCACAGGATTTCCTCAACTGCGCCCTGGCGTCCTGCTAGGATGTCTTTCTCATTTTTTCCATGGTACACACAGTCATTGCATCACAGTCCAAACGGACTGTCCAGCGATGCCTTTGTAAACATGAGTCACATGTGAAGTTAAAGGAATCTGTGTTCAGCCAGGGACAGCAGAGTTCCTAAGGCACATCGTCTTCACATAAGGGGTGCAGATTGATAAGGGTCATAGGACTTCCTGCTGAGATGCCCAAGCAGTGCTCCGGGACTCACTTTATGCAGCAGCCACTGAGGCCTCCATCCATAACACTCTTCTTCATCCCTATGAAGTTCTCCAGCTATCATATCAGAAAACATTACTATTTCCCCATTTTTCACCTTCTTGGGTGTCTCTCAGTTGGGTCCTGAATGTCACCCCCTGTCCAGCCTTGGTCATCCCAGCCCAAGCACAGGCACAAACCTCTTTCTTGCTTCCCCTTGAAAAATGAAGGTCACCTATATCAACCTCCCGAAACAACACATTCGACTGTCTCTGCCTGTTGAAATCCTGGTTAAGGTCCATCTCAGAAACTGCCTCTTCCCCGATTATCTCCACTGGCTATGAGCTCTCTAATCCCTGCACCAGAGAGTATTTGATCTGTTTCTCTCTCTCTTTTTTTTTTTTTTGAGATGGCGTTTCGCTCTGTCACCCAGGCTGGAGTGCAGCGGCGCGATCTTGGCTCACTGCAAGCTCTGCCTCCCGGGTTCATGCCATTCTCCTGCCTCAGCGTCCCAAGTAGCTGGGACTACAGGCGCCTGCCACTATGCCTGGCTAATTTTTTGTATTTTTAGTAGAGATGGGGTTTCACCGTGTTAGCCAGGATGGTCTCAATCTCCTGACCTTGTGATCTGCCTGCCTCGGCCTCCCAAAGTGCTGGGATTACAGGCTTGAGCCACCGCGCCTGGCCTGTTCTGTTTTCTTTTATGCTTCTCATCACATTTTGACTTGCATTGAGTTATCAATGTGTGTGCCCCTTTCAGAAAGATCTTCCTGAAGCCATTTAGGCTGTGACTATTATGTCTAAGCAAGATATGTGAAGGGCTATGTGCCCCTTACAAAAAAATTGCTTGCTTTTCTGCAGTGAGCAAGAAGGGTGATGTTGTATCTAAAGGTTCTTTGTCAAAGTCCTTCCAGAATTTTTCTTGCTAGCTTAATAATCAATCAGTAGATAGAAAAGAGATATAGATAGATGTAGAAAGATGTGTCCAGCAGTGTCCCAAATAAGGTATAACTAATCTGTGATTGGATATCACTGTGCACTCTAAATTTCTTGCCTATGTGTAACAAGTAAGTCAGGATGTCCCCCCCCCACCCACCAACCTCCACACCCAAGAGTCATCTAGTTGTGTTAGAAGGTCTGCAGGTGGGCAGTGGCTCATGCCTGTAATCCCAGTGCTTTGGGAGGTCGAGGTGGGAGGATTGCTTGAGGCCAGGAGTTTGAGACTAGCCTGGGTAACATAGTGAGACCCCATCTCTATTTATTTTTAAAGGAAGATCTACAGGTGAAGGGCACATTCTTTTGTTGTCCACCTGTATTGCTGAGTGAGCTAATTCCAAACCAGCTCTGGGGCCTATGACCTCCATATTTGAGCAGAAGAATTAAAAAGTCTGTAAAATCCCTCATTGAAATTATCAGGAAATAAAGGGAAGCTAAAACCCTCTTAGTGTCTCATGGTTTTGATTTCATTGCAATCTAGAATTGTATATAGTGCAGTATCAATCATGGGAAGCTGCCCCAGTGTTGTCAGCCTCTGTGACAGTATTTTATTCTCACACTGTAGGGTAAATGCATTGAGGCAACCTTCATATTTCTCTCAATCCTGCGCAATCTGCAGTAACCAGCTTTCTTTGATTACCTAGATAGGCTCAGGGGCCTCTCCCTCTGCATTATCTACTAGATTCTCACTTTAACACATTATATACAGTTGTTTAAGTCTGCTACTCCAACTGTTAACTGTCTAACATCTTTTCTTATGCTGGGCTCCTGGATAGAATCTAGCACTTACTGAGAGTGTGATGAGTGAGTGAATTAGTTGACATTGGGTTGCCTTATTGATATGCCCGTCAGGCCAAGTTCCTTGACTTACTAAGGCCAGTGTATTATTTTCCATTACATTTAGTTCAGTGATATTTTAAAAATGTGCATAATACTAGCACATATTCAAATGCCAATTCACATGAGGGAATAATTTCCCAACAGTGTTATCTAGCTTCTTCTCAAGTTCCCTGGGTGGAGGTCAGTCTTTGTAGTTGATGTTGGGTTCCTGACCCAAACACAGCTTGTGCCAGTTATGGAAAGGAAAAAAAAAAAGGGCAGTTTTCCATGGTTTGGATAAAGAGGTGACCGTGGGAACATGTACAGCTCTGTCTGTAGTTCTGGTAAAGTCACTGAAAACGTAACCCAGCCCGGCTCTCTTTTGTACCCACAAGGAAATGGGGATAGACAAGGCCTGTCAAACAAGAGGAAATGGAGCAAAAGGAAATAGACCCATTCTGCAAAGCCATATGGCATATGCAGCAGAGGGAAGTGTTGGTCCCATTCAGGAGGGAAAATATCTCTTTAGCTATTTATTAGGAAACATTGAAGTAATCTTAAAAACTGTGCTATATAAAGAAAAGATATGAACCCCATCTATTCAATGGAAAAATCCAAATGCAGATAAAGGCTTATGAACAGAAATGAGTCATTATAGCACTGCTGATAATTGCCAAAAAATATGTAACAGCTGGGCGTGGTGGCTCACACTTGTAATCCTAGCACTTTGGGAGGCCAAGGCGGGCAGATCACCTGAGGTCGGGAATTCGAGACCAGCCTGACCAACATGGAGAAACCCTGTCTCTACTAAAACTACAAAATTAGCCAGGTGTGGTGGTGCATGCCTGTAATTCCAGCTACTCAGGAGGCTGAGGCAGGAGAATCCCTTGAACCCCGGAGGCAGAGGTTGCATTGAGCCGAGATTGCGCCATTGCACTCCAGCCTGGGCAACAAGAGCGAAACTTTGTCTTAAAAAAAAAAAAAAAAAAATATATATATATATATATATATATATATATATGAAACAAGCAACTGTATGATTATGAAATAGTATGTCTCACTGATTGTTATATAACTCAAAATTATTTTACGAGGAGATTGTAATCACGTGGGAAAATGCTAGCACTAGTGATAATGCTAGTGATTCAACTCCTGTTGAATCACTGCATTATTTTAAGATAGTGGTTCTCAAACTCCAGCATTCAAAGAGTGTAAGACAGAAAGCTGTATTGCTGGCCTAATTCTGTAAAGAAGAACACATTTATGAGCAAAAATGTGAAAGCAAATGTGCTAAAAGGTTTTTCTAGATAATGCTATGACTAGTGATTTTAATTTTCGTTTTTGTATTTTTAAAACTTCTACAACATATATGTGTTATTCCAAAAATCAAAAAGAAACATTAAAAAAATCCATGTAATCAATATCAAACACAAAACTTTAACTTTGCTCCCAGCAACAAATACATAAAATATTTAGGGGCATATTTTTATATCAAGGTGATTAAAGCACTGACCATGGGAATTTTATGACTATCCTATGGGAGGTTCAGCCATGGTGCTTAAGATACCCCTAGTGTCCTTCTCATCTCCTTTACACCAGCTCTGCTTGCAATCCTGCTGAGTCCTAAAATCCCCATGAGTAGGGGTGACTGTGAGCCATGGACGTGCTTAGCAAGACCAATTGGATTCCTTCACCTAGGAGTTTAAACTAGAGAACAGTGGGGAAGTGAGAAGATACACAAAGAGATGCCAGGTTCAAGGGGCAGCCACAGTAACTTTGACAGAATGCAGTGATCCCCAAAGAAGTGACTCTCTGGTGTCTACACTCCTGTGAATTCCCCTTTCATGCTGAGGCTGAGCATGGCCATAGGACTTCGTTTTGCCAGTGTGCCAATGCCTATCAAATATCTACCTGCCATGTTTGTCATAGGACAGGCAGATATGTGATAGGCATTGGCATATTGGGGTTGGCCCTCTTGGAAACCTGAAACCACCATGCCCTAAGAAGCCTGAGATGAACAACTTCATGGAGAGGGGCCCAGCCAGGCCAGGTTTATCTCAGTCGAACCCAGAGCAGACCTGTAGGAGAATCAACCAGCCAACACATTGCATCATGAGGACGGGAAAAATCATTGTCATTTTCAGCCACTAAGTTTTAGCAGTGTTTTGTTACCAGCAATGGATAACTGAGGCAGTCCCAATAGGAACTTTGGTTGAATCCCTGTATTATTTTAAGATAGTGGTTCTCAAACTCCAGCATTCAAAGAGCTGGGTCAAAATTCAAGTGTCTTTAGGGGAGAGACATTGTTGGCCTCATTTGCCTTTATATCCCAGTTCCTGGAATGGTGTTTATCACATACCTAGACCTGAAGAAATATTTGTAAATAAATGAACAAATGGATCTTGGGAGTTTGTTTAAAATATGCCCACCTCTGGAGATTTCTAATTTGGTAGGTCTAATTTGGTAGGGCGAGGTCCAGGAAACTGCATCTGAGTGATGCTGAGACAGGTGGCTTGCAGACCACATTTTTATCATCAGGGCCTCAAATTATCCTTGCAACCAAAAGAGGCAATTGACCAATCTTCCACCTGGCCGTGCATCAGAATTACCTGAGGAGCTTTTTAACGATATTCCTTCCAGATTCTCACCCCTGACCTACCAAATCTGAAAACCTCTGGAGGGGGAGACTCACACTCTACATTATTAAGAAGCTCCTGGGTGCAGCTGGTGCAGCTGGTCCACAGATTGGAGGGCATTTTTGCTGGCCTAACCAACACAAGTCTCCAAAAGCCATCTGGCAGCCAAACACACTTTTCTCACTCCTGAGAAGAACACACACCTACTCAGTTAAACATTATCACACTAATCTTTAAAGCTTTTTAAAAGACAGCTTTCATTTTTACGTCAAGAAATGTTTGTTAGGGACTCCTAAATCTCAGTGTCTCATCTGTCAAACAAAATTTGGTAACACCTGCTTCCTGAATGCCATGAAGACTACATGAGGTAAGGTGTGTGACCACACATTGAAACCGGAAACACCAAGCACAGGATTTTTAAGACTTTAATCATAAGTATGACATAAAGGAGATTAAAATTGTTTATCTATTTTTAGGTAATTATTCAGGGTTCTTTAGGAGGTACCTTGTTCCTCCTTAATCAGGGAGAGACAGGCCTTTGGGACCTCCTACACAAAATGTTTCAGAGAAGGGAAACCGTGGACACATTTCTTATTCCTGCACATGGTGTTTAAAGCACTGTGTGCTCTGAACCCTGCATTACCTTGTTCTTTCCTTCCCCTGGTCCTTTTCCCTCCCTCCTCCTGCCCCTAAGTGTCAGCCCTTCCAAAACACTAATGCAGTAGGCTGGTTCACATCTTTGACTAGCCCTGGCTCAAGCTGTGTATTATATCTGAAATGTTCTTAATTCATTAATTATTATTGAAACAGGGTCTCACTCTGTTGCCCAGACTGGGGTGCAGTGGCACAAACACGGCTCACTGCAGCCTCAACCTCCTGGGTCTAAGCAATTCTCCCACCTCAGACTCCTGAGTAGCTGGGACTACAGGTATGTGTACCACATCTGGCTAATTTATCTTAAATTTCTTTTTTTTTTAGTAGAGACAAAGTCCTGCTGTGTTTCCCAGGCTGGTCTCAAACTCCTGGCCTCAAATGATCCTCCTGCCTTGGCCTCCCAAAGTGCTGGGATTACTGGCATGAGCCACCACATCCGGCGTGGAATGTTCTTTCTTGTCCATCCCATCCACTTAGAACTCTCCAGAGTCTTTGATGTCTGTTGCTATCTCCCACCCTCTGGTCAGATGAAATTGACTAGCCCCTGTTACGAGCTCCCCTAGACATTTATCCTGTTCCCCCCCAGAACACCTGGTTGCACTTACCTAAGTACATAACCTTTCCTTCCTCACTGAGTCCAAGCTCTTTGAGGGCAGGGGCTTTTCCTTACTCATCCCCAGGTCTCTAATCCTTAGTGTGCCTAACCCAGAGAATGGACTAGTAAATACTTGTTAACTGAGTGTATGAAAGTTAGGGGTTGTCTTTGGTGGGTTTAAACTTCTGAAAAAAGAAAGCTGTTTACTCCTGGACATAGTCATGTGTTTGTCTCTGATCCTGATTTCCTGATGTTGGCCTTTGTCTTTTTCTGCTTTCTGTGCAGAGACTTATGAAAATCAAACAACATGCAACAAGCTGCTTACTTGATCTTTAGCTAGTGGGGGTGTCTAGCAGGTTTGGAAGAGTTTGAATATTATATGTAAATATAATATTTGATGTAAATGGCTAATTAAGATATTAATGAGAAATCTCTTTTGAGGGCCAGTTCTGAATTTTTGTTGCTCCAGCTGGGTGTTCCACATGTACTTCAAGCTTAACAAGCCCCAAGCTAACAGATCAACTCCATCCTACAAGCCTGCTCCTTATCCATGACTATCCACCCAGTTGTCTGGACTCCAAGCCGCATGTCCCAAGATCTCCCTCTCTCTTGCCAAACAAAGAAATGACGTGTTCTCTCCATTCGGCACCCCCCAGTATTTCTCACATCCTTCCCAAGCCCCACTTTCTATTTCAGGACCTTCTTGTCTCTCACTGGGGCTCTTGCAAATAGCCTCCCAATTGATCTGCAGACTCCTCTCATTTTTCCCCCCAAATACTGATAACATTTTAATGTTATTAAGGCATGGATTTGAATAAGCTATTCCTCTGCTTGAAAACTTGCAATGTAGGCTCTCCCCATGGCCTACATACTGGTTGAAGTCCAAACTCCTTAGTCTGTGCCATATTTGAGGGTAACAAATGTATCTAATCAGAGGCCTTCTCTTGGGAAGTGAGAATGTGAAGAAGAAGTGGCGAGGGGGTTTTCATTCATTCAGGAAATATTGATTAACACTAACTCTATGCCATGTACTACTGTTCTAGGTTCTGGGAATACAGTGAAGACCTTGACTTTGTGGAGCTTATTGTATGGAGGAGAAGCAAAATAGCGTCATTGATATCTGCTTCTAAGATGACCAGGTAACTAGAGCTCCATCCTGAAAAATGAGGAGTGTGGTAGGTGCGTAGACTGTTTTAATGGCTCAAGTTCTTTGCTCCTCTCTGTAGCCATGTTCTTTGCTATGTGACTTTGCAGTTCCTTCCACTGGAGGTAGATGGACTTCCCCCTGCTTGACTTTGGGCTTGGCCTTGTGACTTGCTTTGGCCAATGGGATGTTAGATGTGAGGCAATTAGAGGCTTGAAATATGCTTGTGGGGTTAAGCTTATATTTCTGCTTCTGACATAAAAGACTGCCCAGTAAACCATTGGTCCCAGAAGAATGAGAAAAAATGTGAAGTAGAACCAAACTGCAAATAACGTTGTTGTTTTAAGACACTAAATTTTTCGGGTGGTTTGTAATGCAGCATTATTGGGGCCAGAGCTGGCAGATACAAGAGGTTTTTTTTTTTGACAGAGTCTCACTCTATATTGTCTGGGCTGAAGTGCAATGGTGCCGTCACTGCTCACTGCAGCCTCAACCTTCCGGGGCCAAGCTGTCTTCCTACTTCAGCCTACTGAGTAGCTGGGACTACAGGCACATGCCACTATGCCTAGCTAATTTTTGAAATTTTTTTGTAGAGATGGGGTTTCACCATGTTGCCCAGGCTGGTCTTGAACTCCCAGGCTCAAGCAATCTGCCCACCTCAGCCTCACAAAGTGCTGGGATTATAGATATGAGCCACCATGCCTAGCACAAGAAACTTTAATTCCATCCTCCATGAGATCTACCTGCTGTGCCTGCATTGGAGTTGCTGCTCCAGAGGTACTGGGCTACTGCTGAGCGCAGGGGGGGTCTTATACTTCTCCATACAAGAAACACTATCTTAATATAGCCATTTACATCATCACCTGAGAAGCCTGAGTTTGTCTTTTCCTTGCAGCCCGAAAGAGCCCAACTGTGTTAATCCATTTTGTGTTGCTATAAAGGAATACCTGAGACTGGGTAATTTATAAAGAAAAAAGGTTTTTTGGCTCATGGTTCTGCAGGCTGTACAAGAAACATGATGCCAGCATCTGTTCAGCTTCTGGTGAGGGTCTCAGGAAGGCTTCACTTATGGCAGAAGGGAAGAGGAGACCATGTGTCACACGGCAAGAGAGGGAGTAAGCAAGAGAAGAGGGGTACCATGCCCTTTTTAGCAACCAGCTCTTAGGTGAACCAATAGAGTGAAAACCCACTCGTTACCTTGGAGAAGGCACCAAGCCATTCATGAGGTATCCACTCCCATGACCCAGACATCTCCCACTGGGCCCAACCTCCAACAATCAGGATCAAATTTCAACATGAGATTTCAGGGGACACGTATCCAAACTGTATCACTAATGAAGACAATGTCTGCCCTGTCTATCACAAAGTCCTAGAGGGATGGGTTTGCTCTTGATTACTATACCGGCACAGAACCTGCTGGGGTGTCCAGTGCACTCCACTAGCTGTGAAACCAGATGTCACTCCTGTCAAAATTAGTAAATTTAATGAAGCCATCTGTCCTAGGTCCACTCTTGGAAGATCCCTTTCCATGCAAGAGGCTATTACTAATTCAACTGATAAACCAACCCACTCATTCACTCGTGATGATAGGAAGATGGTCTGCCAGACACCGGGATACAAAGGCCAATTAGACATGGCTGATCCATTCCTTATAAAGATCATAGGCTAATAGAAGGGACAGATAAACTATTATAAGGTGGTGAGATAAAAATTAAAGAAGTACGAGTACGATACTGAGGGAGTGGAGACTAATCCTGTCTGGTGGGTTAGAGAAGCTTTCAAGGACAAGATGATACTTGAAATGGGTTTGACAGGCAGGGAGGAGTTGACCAGCTACAGAAAGGGGAGAACATTCTTGGAAGAAGGTGAACAAGCATATACATTTAAGATCCATGGTGAGGGTGTAAGGGTGTGTGTAGGGGGATGGTGGGAAGTGGTAGAAAATGAGGTGGAAACTCAGGCATAGCCAGGTGTACACAGCTTGTATACTACAACCAGGAGTCTGGACTTGGTTCCAAGGGCACTGGGGAGCATTGAAGATTGTAAGAAGGGGAGTAACACATTTGTATTTTGCTTATTTAAAAGACCATCGGGCAACAATGATTGTGGAGAAGGCAAAGACTCTTGCTAGGTCATTGCACTAATAAAAGGGAACAATGAAGACCACCTGGCAGGCTGGTGGAAAACAAGAGAAGTGAAGGGATGGGAGAGGTAGACCTGGTTACTGAAGAATGGGAGAGCTCCCAGGTTTCTACTTAAACTACTGGGCAGATGGTGACACCATTCATTTAGGTTAGGGGACTTGCGAGGTGAGCAGGGATGGAATAGGGGTCCTCTTAGGCACATGTGGATAGGAGGGAACTGTGGGGCCTCCAAGCATATATTCCGTAGGCAGCTGAATACTCAGAACTCAGGAGACATAGGTATTCGGGTGTCATAGTGTGTAGATAGTGGTTGAAGCCATGGGTTTGATTTGTTACTTTGCCTGGCCATAGCTGGTGCTTGCAGAGGCACTGAAAAGTCATCCTCACATGTTGAGGATGATCTTTGGAGCCCCAGAAGAATCCCTAGATGGACCTAAGAGTTATCCTAGGAAATCCCAAGCAAGGACCATTTTTATTCACCTTTGTGTGGCCAGAACTCTCCACAGGGCTTGGAAGTTAATACATGCTCAGTTACATTGGATGAATGTGTTGAGGTTCTCTGATCCTTTGAGGTCCCCCAGGCCTGGGGAACCAACATCATCAGGTCCCAATACCTGGAGGTGATGCTATAAGTTCAAATTATGAATTAACCAAGTTAAGAATTATTGTAATTCTATACTTCCAGAGATCCTCTAACGGTACCCACTGCTATACCGTCCAAAGCGCCTGTTCAAGGTAGTGGTTATCAAAAATGAATGTGAATTAAAATCAGCTGGGGAAATGTCCTACAACTATGGATTCCCAAGCCTCATAGGTATTTGATTTAGGTCTAGTTTGGAGATAGGTATTTTGATTTAGTAGGTCTGGGTTGGAGCCCAGGAAGTCTGCTTTTGAAACAAGCTCCTGAAATAGTTCTGATGACCATGTGATGGAAACCATAATTTGGGGAAAGCCTCTGGTGCTGGCTGTTCTCCCTTGCCCATCCAGATGTGCTCTCTACTTCTAGTCACTCTGGCCTGTGCCTGCACAGCTGCCTTCTGTGGCCTGGACCATCTGGGCTTCTTTGGCCTCTGGCTGCCATTGGGTTCCATCAGTGGGAGACCCTAGCAGAAGCTGGGTAGGATGAGAGAGAGGGTGGACATTGAGTCTCCTGGCCACTCCCTGCAGGCTGTGGTTTGGCAATGACTGCATCCATGATGCCTGTCAAGCAGGTCCTCTCTCCTGGCTGCAGCTCTTGCCAAATCCTTCACCAGCTCCCTTTCTTTTCCCCTGCAGGCCTAGGGGTGGTTACGGCTTCCTGCAGTGGCTGGTCTCTGGGTGCTTCACTATGGTTTCCTTTAACCCTGCTCAGGTCTCTCTAAGTAATCCCTTCATTACATACTCTCCAGTTACCTCTTTGTTCCCTCTGCTCCTGCCAAGACAGGAAAACAAAAACATTGACTGGAAAGAGTCAAGAATTCTGGGCTCAGTTCAATTCAATTCAGCAAACATTTACTGAGTGAGGTCCTCTCAGCCAGGCTCTATGCCAGGAGCTGAGGTTACAGAAAAGAACTCAGACATGGCACCCACCTCCTGCAGAGTTCACAGCTTCATGGGATGCTAGAGGGCCCCTGGTGTGGCTGCACTGGAGGTGGAGTAGAGGCTGAGATTGTCATGCCTAGTCCAATTGGAGGCAGAGAGATGCAGAGAACCTTTGGCCATAGGATGCTCCCATTGGACAGGTGCTGATCAGGGTGACCCAGCCTCTAGGTGATCTGTGTGGTCTGGGTGCCTCCTGCCATCTCCCAATCACCGTAATTAAGGCTTCCTTCCTTCTAAAGCAGGTTTAATTCACCAGCCTGCCAAGACTCCCCTGCCTCCATCCAGAGGGGTGTTTGGGAGAAAAGAGGAACACTTGTTGGAGTAATGGGCTTGAGGGCCCTGAGGTTACAACTGAAGTAAAGCTCTGGCTGGTATGTGTCACAAACCTCCCATTCAGGGCTCATAATTCCACAAACCATCTCCATTGACTTTAAAGAAGGACATGATCTTGAGCAAGTTCCTTCTCTGCCCTGGGCCACAGTTTCCTCATTCCTCAAACAGGGCTGATAAGGTCAGTGCAGGGAGGCTGACCAGTGCTGTTCATCCAGAAGACTGAGAATAAGAAAAAGCATACTTTAAAGGAGTCTGGCAAACTCCTATTCATCCTTCAAAAGCCAACTGAACATTTTACTTCCTCCAGGAAGACTTCCTGGAGCCCCCTAACTTCTCCTTCTCTTGTATTCATCATAGTCTCCGGTAACATGACCACCAGCCTGCCTAGTCCACTTGACCTCTAGATTCCTCAAACATC
The DNA here is from genome assembly GCF_000001405.40 of Homo sapiens. Classification (NCBI taxonomy): domain Eukaryota; kingdom Metazoa; phylum Chordata; class Mammalia; order Primates; family Hominidae; genus Homo; species Homo sapiens. The sequence continues at coordinate 109,519,093 of NC_000009.12, forward strand.
TGTCTCTTTCTCTCCAGAACCCAGCACTGGGCCTAAGGCATATCAGGGCATCAGAAAATGTGTTATGAACTGAGTCAAAAGGAATTCTTCCTGCAACAGAAGAAGTAGTGCAGAGGGTTCACGTTACAACTTTCGACTTTACAGTGGTGTGAAAGCAATACACATTCAGCTGAACATCAATAAGAGATACCAATACTTCATTATAAAACAAGCTTTGTGTTAGATGATTTTGCCCAACCGTAGGCTAATGTAAGTGTTTCAAGCATGTTTAAGGGAGACAGGGCTAAGCTATGATGTTCAGTAGGTTAGGTGTATTAAATGTATTTTTGACTTAGTACGTTTTCAACTTATGATGGGTTCGCTGGGATGTAACTGCATCATAGGTCGAGGAGCATCAGTAGTAATACCAGTGACCTTATCAGCCTTGTTTGAAGAATGAGGAAACTGTGGCCCAGGGCAGAGAAGGAACTTCCTCAAGGTCACATAGCCTGTAAATGACATGGTAGCGTTGGGACTTGAAGCCAAACAAACTTGCTGACTGCAAGGGCTGGACTCCTCATGGTGCAGGGAGGCTGACCCGTGCAGGGAGGCTGACCAGTGCTGTTCAGCCAGGAGATTGAGAATAAGAGGACACTTTGATGGAGCAAGTGCTCCTTGCCAGGAACTGTTAAGAGCACATTTGCATCAACGCACTTAACCCTGACAGCCTTGTGAGGTATATGTGTGAACAATGCCCAGTTTGACAGATTAAGATCCAGAGCCTTGAGATGATTAAGAAATGCATCCAAGGGCACGCTGGCTCACGCCTGTAATCCCAGCACTTTGGGAGGCCGAGTTGGTAAGGTTCATGAGGTCAGGAGATCGAGACCATCCTGGCTAACACAGTGAAACCCTGTCTCTACTAAAAATACAAAAAATTAGCCAGGCGTGGTGGTGGGTGCCTGTAGTCGCAGCTACTCAGGAGGCTGAGGCAGGAGAAAGGCATGAACCCAGGAGGTGGAGCTTGCAGTGAGCCGAGATGGCGCCACTGCACTCCAGCCTGGGTGATACAGCGAGAGTCTGTCTCAAAAAAAAAAAAAAAGAAATGCCTCCAAGATCATACCAAGAAGAGGCAAAACTTACCTAGATTTATCTAGAGCCCATGCTCTGCGCCATTGCATTTTCCCCAGGGAACTTGACTCCAATTTCAGATTAGGAAGAAAGACAGCACACAGCTCAGTGTTGTACTGTACTGTATTTGTAAGAGATTTATAAACAGAAATGTGCCTCTACATCATGGCTCCCCTACCTCCCCAAATAAAAATAAAGAAAGAAAGAAATGGAAAGGAAAAAAGAATAGTGCTTCTAGGAGCATCCCGAAGTATATGAATTGAGAGTTTGGAAAATTGACAGCATGACAGAGTAAACTGCAGGCGCCTAGCGGAACATGCTTGCTGTGCTGGGGATCAGCTGTGTGATCCTTTCCTTCTCTGGGCTTCAACTGTTCCCTCATCTTTCTTTCAGAGCCTTCTTGACAGTGTTTCCTTTTGGATTGGCAAGTATGTGGGACAGTTTGTGTCAAGCACACAGTCTCTTTGCGCCCTCTACTGTTCAGTTATAGCACTGTCCGTGGCCTGGTTTGTTAAATTCACGTACGTTAAGGTAAGGGGATGGTGAGCCACAAAGTGCGTCCACAGAAGGCCACAATGTCACTAAGCAAAAGCCAGTCCTCTTCCATCCTAGCAAAGACTCGAAAGTCCTGTTGATCCTGCCCACACAATTTCAATTATTTTCTTAAGTGCTTTTTCCTGAGTGCACTTGCACACACGCCCTCTACACCCACACCCAGTACCACCTGTTATTAGAGTTATCACATTGTATGGGAATTGCCGGCTGACATGTCTTTTTAAGCACGAGGCCTGGCATTACTCACCTTGATAGTCTCTCTCTGCCCTGTAGGAGAGTGTGTGACATGTATACCCTCCACTCAAGTGTATGGAATGTAGAGAACAATGAATCAACAAAAAAAGAGATGGCAATCTGGAGAAAGGTTGGGGTAAAGAGTTGCAGCCAGAGGGGGATGTTCTGAATTCAAAACTTTTTTTAAGGCAGGGTTTCCCTCTGTCGCCCAGGCTGGAGTGCAGTGGTGGAATCATGGCTCACTGCAACCTCCACCTCCCAGGCTCAAGCAATCCTCCCACCTCAGCCTCCCAAGTAACTGGGACCACAGGTGCGCACCCCCACACCCAGCTAAGGTTTTGTATTTTTTGTAGAGATGAGGTATCACCATGTTGCCCAGGCTGGTTTCGAACTCCCGAACTTAGGTGATCCGCCCGCCTCAGCCTCCCAAAGTGCTAGGATTACAGGCATGAGCCACCACGCCTGGCCTTGAGTTTGGAACTATTGCATCCCAGTTTCAGTAAGGTTCCCTCTGCCTGCAACATGTCCCACTTCCTTTGCCCAACTTCACCTGCATCACACCTCTCATCCTTGGGGTGTCAGCTTAGGAATGATCCCTTTGGGAAGCCTTCTCTGATTCCCACTTGTCTGAGTGAGATCTGTTTTCTATTTGCTTCCTCACATCCTGAGGTTTTTCTACCAAAATACTTATCAAACTATATTCCAACTCTGATTTAGTTGTCTTTCCCACTAGACTTGAATTTCCACAAAAGCAAAGACGAGGTCTAGCTTGCTCATCCTGGTACTCCCAGTGCTTTCAAGGGTGCTTGTGTTCATCCTTTTATTTGTAGAATGACTATTATGTTAGAACTAATATGAATGGGCTAACAAATTCCAAGATGGAAATGAAAATCATAGAAGGGACTCAGGGAGCATCTAGTCTTATCCCTTCATTTTACAGATGAGGAAACTGAGGCTTAGAGAGGGTACCTCTCCTTAGAGAGGAAACCGAGGCTTAGAGAGGCTAGAGCCTGTCAGTGGCAGAGCTGGAATTAGCGAGTTATAATGGGGACTTTCTGGGCTTTATTTGCTGTCTGATTTGTCTAAGGAATAAAGGTGTCTTAGGTTCTTGTGACTCAAAGTGTGGACGGCAGACCATCAGCATTAACCGCACCTGGGAATATGTTAAACTCTCAGGACTTACCCTAGACCAGGAGGGCAGCTATCTAGGCTTCTAAATCATTACAGTTCCTTGCAGGAAAGCCATCTGGTCAAGTGGAAAAGAAATCCTAGCCAATGTCTTGTGGCATTAAGTGCAGGCTATAGACCAAAGGCCAAAAGTGTGGGCCCCTCACCTCTCAAAGTTCAGACAGTTTCGAAGTCCAGGGCCTGGCCTGATGGAGGATGATGGCCAAGATTCAGGTGAGCTGACTCAGTGAATAAAGAGGCCTCGAATAAAGAGGACCTCCTGGAAGCACGGCAAAAGCTGACTAGCACGCCTGATGCTGCACATTGTAGCATCCAACCTTGCAGCTATTACACTAAACAAATATTTTTATAAATGTATATTTATTTATACAAAGAATTCCACCCACACTGCTCAAGGTGGTGGTGAAAGTAATATACGCGTACCTGCTAGTGGCATTGTAAACTGCAGCCTGTTTGGAAAACACTACAACATGTAATAACAACTATAAAGTGATTTATCTCCTCAGACCAAGGAATGCCACTCATAGGAAACCATCCTAAGGAGATAATTCAACACAAGTGAAAAGCCACATGCATGAGATGTTTATTAAAGTTAAAAGTGGAAAATACTAAATCAAAAGGGAATGGTTGAGCAAATTATGACATGGTATCTTCATGAAGACCATTCAACTTTAATTATAATATAATTAATATGTCCCACTTCACCTGCTTGGGGTACAATAGTGATGAAGAACATGATCTGTGGGTTTTCAGTTCTGACTCTACCATTTACTGTGTTACCTTGGACAAGTTTACTTAGCTGTTCTATGCCTCAGTTTCCTTATCTGTAAAATGGGGATAATAGCAATACCTATTTTATAGGATTGTTGTGAGGATTAAATTATTTAATTACGTTCATTAAAGTGCCTGGAATAGTGCTTCTCTATAAATTTATATCTTTTTTTTTTTTTTTAATGAGATGGAGTCTCGCTTTGTCGCCCAGGCTGGTGTGCAGTGGTGCGATCTTGGCTCACAGCAACCTCCGCCTCAGGTTCAAGCGATTCTCCTGCCTCAGCCTCCCGAGTAGCTGGGACTACAGGCACGTGCCACCATGCCCGGCTTATTTTTTGTATTTTTAGCAGAGATGGGGTTTCACCATGTTAGCCAGGATGGTCTCCATCTCTTGACCTTGTGGTCCGCCTGCCTTGGCCTCCCAAAGTGCTGGGATTACAGGCATGAGCCACTGTGCCCAGCCTATATCATTTTTTTAAACAGTCAGATTAAATGGCTTGATAGTCGCATACCACCTGGTACAAGAATGCTTTTCTTTCGTCTTCAGAGTCTGACCTCCTAATAAGTTTCAGCCCTCCAGGCATATTTCCCAAGGACTCCTTTGAAGACTCAAGGAGAGAAAACAAGAGAATGTCTTCAACTGGGCTCTGCATTTCATTCTTTATGGCTCTTGTTGCTATGTTGTGTGGCCATTGAAACAGGTGACCTGGGGACCCTCTGGAATTCTCCTTTTCCAGAATTATGCTCAAATGTGGTAACTTCACCCCATACATGCCTAGACTCCCGGATCTTTAGAGCTTATATAAATGTGTACACACATGCACAGACAAACACACACATAGTGTATGCGGCCTTCTGCAAGTCTCTTCCTGAGGGTCCCTGAGTCCCAGTTGCTGAGCATGAATGAGATTCTTTCCTTCCTCTTTCAACCCCTTGGTCTGTTTGCAATGACCTCCCTGGGATGTCATTCCTTTCAGTGGATAACTACTTGGTCCAATGACAATAACAACTGCTGCTGGTCATGGTGGCTCACACCTGTAATCTCAGCACTTTGGGAGGCTGAGGTGGGAGGATTGCTAGAGCCCAGGAGTTCAAGACCAGCTTGGGTAACATAAAGAAACTCTTGTTTCTACAAAAAATAAAAATGTTAGCTGGGCCTGATGTGCACCTGTGGTCCCAGCTACTCAGGAGATGGAAATGGGAGGATCACTTGAGCCCAGGAGGTCAAGGCTACAGTGAGCTATGATCGTATCACTGCACACCAGCCTGGGAAACAGAGTGGGACCTTGTCTCAAAAAAAAACCAGCAGACAAACAAACCAACCCAGCTGCCATTCATTGAAAGCCTGAAGAGTGCCAGTTGTTTTGCTGCTGTGCCTTTACAAACATCCATCCTCAGAATGAACCTATGAAGGAGGTACTATTATTCCCATCTCACAGCTGGAGCCTCTGAAGTTCAGATACATTAAGGAGCTGGCTCAAGACTCACTACTCATGTGAAATGCCTGAGATTTTAACCCAGGTTTGTCTAACTCCAAAGCCCACACTCAGAATCATGAGCCTAAACTGCCTCCCTGTGTAGGGATATAAACAAGAAGTTTATAATAAATGGTAACTGCAAAAGTAAAAGCTAAGTCACATTGCCACAATGAATATAATTGTGTAAAAATATGTCTGCATGTGGACAAAGCCTTGAGAATATTTGCTGTGCAAGACTGATAGGATCGTTATGGATTCTTTTCCTTTTAAGTAATTTCCTTTTGTGATAGCTATATAGTTTTTTGATTTGGATTTTGTTTTGTTTTTGAGATGGAGTCTCGCTCTGTCGCCCAGTCTGGAGTGGAGTGGCATGATCTTGGCTCACTGCAACCTTTGCCTCCCTGATTCAAGTGATCCTCCTACCTCTGCCTCCCGAGTAGCTGGAACTACAGGCATGCACTACCACAGCTGGCTAATTTTTGTATTTTTAGTAGAGACGGGGTTTTGCCGTGTTGTCCAGGCTGGTTTCAAACTCCTGGCCTCGTGGCCTTAAGTGATCCGCCCACCTTGGCCTCCCAAAGTGCTGGGATTACAGGTGTGAGCCACCTTGCCTGGCCAGTTTATTTTTATTATTTTTTACAGGGTATTACTTTGTCACCTGGGCTGAGGTGCAGTGGCATGATCATGATCATGGCTCACTGCAACCTTGACCCCTCTGGCTCAAGTGATCCTTCTGCTTCAGCCTCCTGAGTAGCTGGGACTACAGGCATGTGTACCACCACACCCAGATAATTAAAAAAAAATGTTTTTGTAGAAATGGGGTTTCACAATGTTGCCCAGGCTGGTCTTGAATCCCTGAGCTCAAGCGATCCTCCCACCTCAGTCTCCCAAAGTGCTAGGATTACAGGCGTGAGCCACTGCACCTAGCTGTTATAGACTTTTTGCCATTTTAAAAAGCTAACTCCACCTGCAAAAATTAACTTCCTCTAAAGTCCAATAGTTCTCAGCCTTGGGTGCACATGAGGATCATCTTGAGGAGCTTTTAAAAGATACCCAATGCCAGGGCTCCATCACAGATGAAGTAAATCAGATTCTCTAAGAGCTGGGCCCAGGGAGTGGTATTTTAAAAGAGTCCTCCCATTGGTTTTATGTGCAACCAGGATTGGGAAACAACTTCATGGAGAATCTTGGCCTGCCACTCTCCCTCTTCAGGAGAACCTAGCTGACCTATATTCTGCAGCCTCCTGCTAATTAACTCAAGCGTTTCCCTCTGTGTTCAGGAAGGGTCTAGCAAGATGACTTTTTCTCTAGTCGTTTTTGCAGAAGGGCACTAGGAGAACTTTTTGGGAGATAGAAATTTTCTATAGCTTGATTGTGGTAGTTACATGACTGTATACCTTTGACAAAACTCCTTAAGCTGTATACTTAAAATTGGTGAATTTTGTTATTTGTTCATTATACTTCATTGGGCTTTAAAAAGTTATGACTCTTGAAAATGAAGAAATAAAACTTATTTACAGATTATATGTTTTAATATGAAGAAAATGTGAAGTTTATAAAGTATTTGATAAGTAAATTTAGCAAAGGAACTGAATGCAAGGTCAATATACAAAATTCATTTGTATGTGTATTATATATACTAGCAATAAACAACTAGAAAATAAAATATTTTAAATACCATTTACAATAACAACAAAAGCCACAAAATATTTAGGAATAAATCTAATGAAAGATTTCAAAGACCAGTACACTGACAACCATAAAGCATTGCTGAGAGAAAGTAAAGAAGACTAAAATAAATTGAGGGATAAATCATGTTCATGGATTAGAAGACACAATATTGATAAGATATTAATTTACTTTAAATTCATCTGCAGTTTTAATGCAAACTCAATAAAAATTTCAGCAAGTTTTTTTTTTTTTTAAAGTGGAAATGATTAGTTTATTTTAAAATATATGTGAAGCTGGGTGCAGTGGCTCATTCCTATAATCCCAACACTTTGTGGGGCTGAGGTGGGAGGATTGCTTGAGCCCCGGAGTTTGAGATCAGCCTGGGCAACAAAGTAGGACCTGATTTCTACAAAAAAAGTCAAAAAATTAGCCGACCATAGTGGCACACACCTGTGGTCCCAGCTATGTGGGAGGCTGAGGCAGGAGGATCCCTTGAGCCCAGTAGGTTGAGGCTGCAGTGGGCTGCGTTCATGCCACTGCACTCCAGCGTAGGTGACAGAGTGAGCCCTTGTCTAAATAAATAAATAAACAAAATTTATGTGAGAGCAAAGGACCTAGAAGAGCCAAGGCAATAGAAGAAGATGAACAGAGGACTTCTAATATCTGATAACAACTTATAAAGCTATAGCAATTAAGATAGTTTGGTACATGGATAAATAAGTAGACAAAGGAAATAGAATAGAGATTCCAGCAACAATCCCAGCCATAAATGGTCATTGGATTTATGACAAATATTCTACAGCAAGTCAGTGGAGAAAGTATCAACTTTTCAGTAAGTGGTGCTGGGTCAATTGGATATCCATAAAAAAAAAGAAAGCTAGATCTTTCATACCATACACAAAAAGTCATAATGAATCATAGACGTAAAAGGGCTAAAATAATGAAGATTCTAAAGGGCAACATAACAGGATATCCTCATGGTCTTGAGATAAGCAAAGATTTAAAAATAGGATACAAAAAAGTATAAGTCATGAGAGAAAAACTTGATAAGTTGGACTTCATTAAAATGAATAACTTCTGGCTGGGTGTGGTGGCTCACACCTATAATCCTAGCACTTTGGGAGGCCAAGGTGGGCGGATAATTTGAGGCCAGGAGTTCAAGACCAGCCTGGCCAACATGGCAAAACCCTGTCTCTACTAAAAACACAAAAATGAGCCGGGCATAGTGGTGCACGCCTGTAATCCCGGCTACTTGGGAGGCTGAAGAATGAGAATTGCTTGAGCCAGGGGCGGGGAGGTTGCAGGGAGCAGAGATTGTGCCACTGCACTCCAGCTTGGATAACGGAGCGAGACACTGTCTAAATAAATAAGTAAATAAATAAAAATTTAAAAATAAAATAAAATGAATAACTTCTTATAGTTAAATAGAAGGAATAAGTTCTAGCATTTTGATAGTAAGTAGGGAAGTTATAGTTAACAGTAGTTTATTGTGTATTTTTCAGAATAGCTAGAAGAATTGTAATGTTCCCAACTGGAATAAAAGATAAATGTTTGAGGTGATGGATATTCTGATTACACTGGTTTGATCATAACACATTGTGTGCAGGTATGAAAGTATCATATGTACCCTTAAAACATGTACAACTATTGCATATCAATAAAAATAGATAAGTAAAATGAATAACTTCCATTCATCAAAAGGCACAATTAACAGAGTGAAAAGCCAAGCCACAGACTGATAAGGGATATTAGCAATACACATATATCCGACAGAGGACTCATAATCAGAATATATAAAGAACTCTTACAAATCATTAGGAATACCATCTAATTCAAAAAAATAGGCAAAAAACTGTAAAGATTACTTCACAGAGGAGGACATCCAAATAATTAATAAGCAAATGAAAAAGTGTTCAACATCATTATGCATTAGGCTAATGCAATTTAAAAGCACATGATATCTCCCCCATCACTTGTCATTAAAAGCATTATAATATCTAGTGTTGGCAATGATATAGAACAAACTGGGATCCTCATACTTTAATGGTGGATACAGTCATTTTGGTCAATTATTGGACAGTATTTACTCAAGTTTAGCAAAAGAAATCTTATGTCCAAACAATGTCACGTGGCAAATACCCAAGACAAATGAGTTCTAATGTTCAGCAAAAGACATGTATTTGAACATTCTTAGCTGCATCATTTATAAGAGCCAAACTGGAAACAATGCAAATGTCCATTAACAGTAGAGAGAAAATATAAACTGTGTTATGTTCATCAATGGAATACTACATATCAATGAAAAAGGTCAAACTACTGCTATGCGCAATGAAGAGTACCGATCTCATAGATGAGCCAAAGAAGCTAGACATGAAAGTGTACACGATCTCTGATTTCACTTATATGAGGTTCAAAAACAGGCAAAACAGATCAATGGTGAGGAAAGGCAAAATAGTGTTTATCTTTGGCAGTTTTTAATTGGGAAAGAAGCCTTTGGGAGGGCTGGATATATTCTTTATCTTGATCAGGATGGTCATGTCAAGGGTATATATAGTGTAAACAAACATTCACTGAGCTGCGCTGTTCATGTTGGTGCACTTTTCTATATATATGTATATATATATGTTATGTCTAAAAAAATTCAAATCTCTGTGTGTGTGTAACAGCCTTTCCTTTTCCTTCTCCTCCTCCTCCTTCTTCCTTGTGTGTGTGTGTATGTGCACCTCTAGAGTCTGAAAGTATTAGTTGTACATATCTAATCATCTTAATTCTACTTCCTTGTGTGTTAATTTTCTTTCTTGATACTGGTGCTCTTCTCTGATGTTGGCTTTCCTTAAATATTTGGCTACTCTTGGCTGCCTACTCTTCTTTGACTTTAGAAATCTCTGTTAAGCTTATCATTGTTGTAGATATGGTCCAAGTAAGTGCCTCCCATCATCGTGGGGGAAGGACAGGCTGTATGTTGGTAGTTGTTCTCTGGTGTGAGGATTCCTTGTCTTCCACCCCTTGAATTTGCTAGGAACCTGGGACTTCAGTATCTATACTCAGCACTTCCACCTGGGAGAGATGCTGCTCTCTGTCTCTCATGACACATGAAGGAGGGAGAAGGGCTGCAGGTCCAGCAGCTTCTCAAAGTGGTTCTGAAATCTTGGTCTCTCAATCAGCTGCATCAGCACCATCAGGGAACTTATTAGAAATGCAAATTCTCAGGCTCCACCACAGACCAGCTAGATCAGAAACTCTGGGCTGGGGCACAGCAATCTGTGCTTTAACCATCCCTTCAGGTGATACTGATGCCCACTCAAGTCTGAGAACCACTGTCCGAGAGAGTGCCCCAGTTAATTTCCTGGAAAATCACTCCTCCTCCTTAATCCTTTTTCACAGCAGGAATTCTTGTGAGTATTTCCAGCAAAGGCTCCTTTATTCCTGTTTCTCCTTCAGTCCATTCCTATCTGTTCTCTATCACTCAGAAACTCCTCATCATTTCTGGTGGGTTGCTAGCAATTGCTCTTGCTTTCTAGGCTTCTAATGAATTAAAACTTTTTTTAATTGGCAAAATACACGTAATATAAAGTTTACCACCTTAAGCATTTATGTGTACAGTTTAATAGTGTCAAGCGCATTCACATTGTTGTGCAACCATCACCAATAACCATCCACAGAACCTTCATCTTGCAAAACTGAAACTGTATACCTATTAAACAACAACACATCATCTAACAGATTTTTAAAAAACATATGAAATGGAATGCGTTGGGGGTGGGGATTTAAAGTTACTAGATGCATATGCTCTGCATACCATCTTTTCTTATTTATTTATTTATTTATTGTAGAGACGGGCATCTCACTATGTTGCTCAGGCTGGTCTTGAACTCCTGGCCTCAAGCATTCCTCCTGCCTCAGCCTCCCAAAGCACTGGGATTACAGGTGCGAGCCACCATGTCTAGCACATCTTTCCTTATTTTATTGTGGCAAAATATTAATAACATAACATTACTAGTATAACTATTTGTAAGTTATAGTCCAATGGCATTGAGTTCATTCATTTTGTGGTGCCACCATCACCACTAACCACTACCCATCTCCAGAACTTTATCATCCCAAACTAAAATTCTGTACCCATTAAACAACATTTCCTCATTCCCCCACTTCCATCAACCCTTGGCAACCACCATTCTATCTTCTGTCTCCCTGAACTTGACCACTCACATAAGTGGAATCATATTTGTCCTTTTGTGATTGCCTTATTTAACTTAGCATGTTTTCAAGGTTCATCCATGTTGAAGCATGTGTCAGAATTTCCTTCCTTTTTAAGGCTGAATACTATTCCATTTATGAATATACCATATTGTGTTATTTATTCATCTGTTGGTAGGCACTCGGGTTGCTTCTATTTTTGGGGTATTGTGAATGGTGCTGCTATGAACATGTTGTATCCATATATCTTTCTGCTTTCAATTCTTTTGGGAGTATAACCAAAAGTGGAATTGTTGGATCATATGGCAATTCTGTTTTTAATTCCTTGAGGGAGTGCTATACTATGTTCCATTGCAGCTGCATCATTTTACATTCCCACCAGCAGTGCACAGGGGTTCTCATTTCTCCACATCCTTTTCCTAACATATGTCATTTTCTGGGTTTAAAACAAATAATATCCATTCTAATGGGTGTGAAGTGATATCTCATTGTGGTTTTGATTTGCATTTTCCCAGTAATTAGTAATGTTTAGCAACTTTTCATGTCCTTATTGGCTATTGATATATCTTCTTTAGAGAAGTGTCTATTCTAGTACTTTGCCTATTTTTGAATTGGGTTGTTTTGTTGTTGTTGTTGAGTTTTATGGGTTCTCTATAAATTCTGGATATTAATGCCTTATCAGATATGTGATTTGCAGATATTTTATCCCATTCTCTGAGTTGCCTTTTTACTCTGTTGAAAGTGTCTTTTAATGCACCAAAGTTTTTCATTTTGACAAAGCCCAATTTGTCTATTTTGGCTTTTGTTGCCTGTGCCTTTTATGTCTTATCCAAGAAACCATTGCCAAATCCAATGTCATGAAGCTTTTCTCCAAAGTTTTCTTCTGTAGATGTCATCTCGATCTAACCCCTAACAGCAGTTTTCAATTGTCCACTAGTTATATCTCAATAATATCTAGCTTTTCCCACCCCCATTCTGCCCCTACCATAACATGAATGTTGAAAACCTGGCAATTTTGCTGTCAGCTCAGAGTATAGATAGGGTGCTCTCTGATGAAGGGCTAAGACAAGCTGGACTAAGGTCAGAAATCTGGATGGCCTTGATCTTATTAACCCTGATCATGCCAAAAGCGTCCTGGGAATAGCAGAATAGGCAAAACTGTTGGAATCAGTTGGTTCTTGCTCAAAATCTTGGTTTACACCCACTCGCTGCCACTATTAGCTGGGGGGTCTTGGGCAAGTTCTGTAACCTCTTTGGGCTTCAGTTTTGGTTTTATTTTTAATCTTTAAAATGAGAATAATAACACCTACCTTCAGGTGTAGTTTTGAGAATGAGATAATGTATGGTCAGGCTCCTAGAAGCTGGGAGCTCTACTTATATTAATTACATCATGTGAGATATGGTTGTTACCCAGTACATCCCCTCTGCTTGGCCTCTAGCCTGTGAGCATCTCCCCAGGCTAGGCTGGTACATCTTCATCTCTGGATCCCAACACTTGATTCTCAGTCTGGCACATGGTAGGACCTCACTAGACATTTGCCAAGTGATTGACTTGGAGGTTAAAAAAAAAAATCCCTTGCATTCTGCCTGAAAGCCACATCACTGTAATGGGACACAGGTTTGGAGTTGTGAGTATGAGAACTCAATTGAAATGTGTTCTACCTCTTTGAATGTATTTCGTTCCACATTATGGATACCAAAGAATGCCTGAGTTTTCCTCTTTCCTCTTCATTTCTGCTGTTAATTTTCACTTTCCAAATGAATGAGTCTTATGTGTAAGAATTTTAGAAGGGATTTTGGTGGGAGTGAAACTGGGTGACCAAATGTTCCGATCTTAGCACTGAAAGTCCAGAAAACCCCTCAGTCCTGGGCTTTCTGTCAGTACAGCTGGCCACTCTCAAAAGACAAATGGAAGCTGGCTGGCAGATACACTAACTACAAGATGGAGATATTTTGAATCCCCTTTAAAGTTTGATTTGATAGATTCTTAATGGTTCTGGTCAGTTCCATTGAATTTGCTACTTCAGGAAGTATGGAACAGATTAGATTTTCATTCTGGTTTCATTCAGATTTTTATTCTCTGTACAAAGTAATCCCATTGGCTCTTTTTATTACTATTATTATTTAAGACCTTATTAACAGGTGCTTGCAGTTTGTTGACTTTTTGAAAAAATCAAGTTGTAAACTTTCATTACAAATTAAAAATGAAGTTCTTACACATCTCCACTTGACCAGATAGGAAACAATTTAAAAATCTTTAAAGGCGTATTGTGAAAAAAACAGGCTTTAAAAAAAAAAAGAACTAAACTAAACTCATTTGTTATTACCAAAAAGAGGCGTCTTTAGGTGAAAATAATAAAAACCCCATGCTGCTTAGATAATACAGATAGTTCTATTTATCTGGTCAATGGGCAAAAAGCAAGCACTTAAGGTCTTCAGCTCCAATCTTTTGTTCATTTCTTATTGCTGGAATTTCATATTTCTTCTTGTTGGATGACTACACCGGTTGATGATAGAGATGATAAGTCGGAATTTACTCAGCCCCGCCCTGCTTAGCCTCGGGAGCGGACTAATTCTCAATTATCAGCTGGTGGATCGGCTGCTTTTGTCTCTTTGCCACCTTGTGGTTTAGGGTTTTCTTTTCTGGGTTTTTTTTTTTTTTTTTTTTTTTTTTTTGAGACGGGGCCTCGCTCTTGTCCCCCAGGCTGGAGTGCAATGGCGCGATCTCGGCTCACTGCAACCTCCGCTTCCCGGGTTCAGGCAATTCTCCTGCCTCAGCCTTCTGAGTAGCTGGAACTACATACAGGCGCCCACCACCATACCTGGCTAATTTTTTTTTTTTTTTTTTTTTTTTTTTTTGAGACGGAGTCTCGCTCTGTCGCCCAGGCCGGACTGCGGACTGCAGTGGCGCAATCTCGGCTCACTGCAAGCTCCGCTTCCCGGGTTCACGCCATTCTCCTGCCTCAGCCTCCCGAGTAGCTGGGACTACAGGCGCCCGCCACCGCGCCCGGCTAATTTTTTGTATTTTTAGTAGAGACGGGGTTTCACCTTGTTAGCCAGGATGGTCTCGAATTCCTGACCCCAGGTGATCCGCCCGCCTCGGCCTCTCAAAGTGCTGGGATTACAGGCATGAGCCACCGCACCTGGCCGGTTTAGGGTTTTCTGTGTGTCTGCGTCGGTAAGTTGCGGCGGTACCGACGTTGAGGTGGCTGCTGACCTTGGGTCTCACCTCGTTGATTTTCTTTATCCTCTTCATTGCCGTCCTCTCTAGGCTGTCTTTGGCGAGGAGGGCCCCTGCGGAATCGTGGTCTATATCCCTGATATATACTCTGCCACACTGATCTACCTTGTTTTCCTGCACCCTGGTTGTCAGCACCCTCCATCACTTCTCCCTGCACAGGAGGGTTGGAATACTGTGGTCCACGCCCATAGGGTCTCCGCATGTAGGAAGGTGGGAACCTTCACCTGCTGTAGGGCCGGCGTGGTTGAGCCTGGCCTTGGGGAGCACGCTCCCATCCCTCGTTCTTTCCCCCACTCTCGCTATTCTGGTAGTTTTGCTGGTAATTGGGTGGAGGACCCCTACGACGTGGATAGCATCTATAAGGGTTACGGTCTGCTGCATGTTTACTGCCTTGAACTGGAACACCACCAGGACCTATAACATGTGCTGCCTCTGCACCCTTTTCTCCTTCAACCACATCAAACTCCACAGTCTCTCCATTTCTACACTGCGAAGGTACCTCCTGGGGTTATTCTTCGTTTTGGCAGTCTGGGGTACAAATGTATCTTCCTTGATGTCATTCCTGTTGATGAAAGCATATCCGTTCCTTAAGTTGAACCATTTTACTGTTCCCAAAACCTTCGTTGCGATGACCTTCTTGTCCCCGCCGGCAGGTGCTGCTGATGTGAAGCCTCCCGGGCCACCGTTTCCTGTGCCGCTGCCCGTAGTGCCGGGCGTGGTGTCACCGGCGCTGAGGGCGGGGGGCGGCGAGCGGCAAGCGGCGGGCGGCTGCTGGGTCTCGGCCTCGCTGCTCAAGGTTGTGGTGATGGTGACTGGGGCCGGCTGCGGCAGCTGCGGCTCCTCCCGGGGTGTGATGGTAGCTAGGCCAGCGGTGGTGGTGGGGCTGCTCAGGGCTCTCTGGGGTCCGCTCTCCGCTCCCGCTACCGATCGAACTCTTGGCTCTTAAAAAGTTAGTGTGGCCGGGCGTGGTGGCTCACGCCTGTAATCCTAGCACTTTGGGAGGCCGAGGCGGGCGAATCGCCTGAGGTCAGGAGTTCGAGACCAGCCTGACTAACATGGTGAAACCCCGTCTCTACTAAAAATACAAAAAAATACAAAAAAAAAAAAAAAAAAAAATACCTGGGCGTGGTAGCTTGCGCCTGTAATCCCAGCTACTCGGGAGGCTGAGGCAGGAGAATCGCTTGAACCCGGGAGGCCGAGGTTGCAGTGAGCCAAGATGACGCCATTGCACTCCAGCCCGGAAGACAAGAGCGAGACTCCGTCTCAAAACAAACAAACAAACAAACAAACAAACAAACAAAGTTAGTGTGCAGTAGTTTTGGACATGCTAAAGTGACTAAAATTGAGACTAAGAAAAATAATTGTATTAATCGTGGGTCATAGCTCTTTTTCTAAACCTATTTCTGGATTGCATTTTGCTCTAATAAAAAGCAGGCTTACTTCCTTGGTAAAGTATTTGTTCAAAGACAGGTCTTTATGAGCAATCTTTGGAGGAAGATGAAGTGGGTTAATTTTACTTTAAAAGCTCTGTGGGATGCCAGAGCTGGTAGGATGTGCGAAAAGATGGGCTTATGGTATTTAAAAAATCAGTTTGAAAAGAATTGTGGTTCGTATTTCTCATCTCAGTTAATATTCCTGAGTTTGAATTTTGTGAAAGATCATTACAACGACTTAACTGAAACATGATCAGGCAGGTATTTCATATTCTGGTACGTTCTTTATGATCATTCACTGGCCGGCAGACTCCACATATCGTTTCCATGGGTCCAGGAACCTCCCTGCTGTTGTCAGCCTCCACTCAAAAATTTCAGTGTAAAATATAGACCTGATCCAGTTATGTTCCTGCTTAAAAATCCTTACTAGCTCTCCCACTTCTCCCAGGATAAGTAAAGTCCAAAGACATTCCAGGCTTGCAAGAGCTGATCTTCAGTTGATCTGATAAGCTTATTTTCTGGCTTTTACACATCCTCTTTTTTTTTTCTTTTTTTGAGACAGAGTTTCTCTCTGTCGCCCAGGCTGGAGTGTAATCACGTGATCTCAGCTCATTGCAGTCTCCGCCTCCAGGTTCAAGTGATTCTGGTGCCTTAGCCTTCTGAGTAGCTGGGACTATAGGTGCGTGCCACCATGCCCAGCTAATTTTTGGATTTTTACTAGAGATAGGGTTTCACCACGTTGGCCAGGCTGGTCTTGAACTCCTGGCCTCAAGTGATCTGCTTGCTTCGGCCTCTCAGAGTGCTGAGACTACAGGTGTGAGCCACTGCACCTGGACATACATTCTCTTTAGAGCCTTCTGCTTCCTCTTTTTCTTTCTTTCTCTTTTTAAAATTAAGGTGAAATTCAATAACATAGAATTAACCACTTAAACAGAACAATTTGTGACATTTAGTACATTTACAATGTTGTGCAACCGTCACTACTGTCTAGTTGCAGAGCATTTTCACCACCCCAAAAGGAAGCCCTGTACCATGAAGCAGTCACTCCCCATTCTCTACTCCCTTAGCCCCTGGCAACCACCAATCTGCTTTCTGTCTCTATGGATTTGCCTATTCTGGATATTTCATATAAATGGAATAATAATAATATTTGACCTTTTGTCTGGCTTCTTTCACTTAACATAATATTTTCAAGGTTCATCCACATGGTCACATTTATCAGAACTTCATTCCTTTTTATGGCTGAGTAATAGTCTGCTGTATTGATATATCACACAACTTGTTTATCCATTCATCCATTCATGGACATTGGGTTGTTTCTACCTTTTAGCCGTTGTGAATGGTGTATGCATATCCATGTATACCGATCTTCAATCCTTTTGGGTATATACCTACAAATGGAGTTGCTGGGTCACACAGTAATTCCGTTTCACATTTTGAAGAACCATCAAACCATTTCCCCTCCTTTCTCTTGTGTTACAATAATAGAGTACATTCAAGACAATTTTTGTCAAAGCGCAATGATACGATGCCTTTAATTATAACAGGCTGTATATGTATCCAAGGGCAAGGACTGTGCCATCTGTGAATCTCCAGTACGTGGCACAGGGCTGCAAAAAGGTGCTCAATAAATGTTTGTGGGATTGGATGGGTTACACACAGCTTTATCCTTAGGGAAGATATGGTGTATGTAAGGCTTTGAATATGAGAAGAGCTAAGTGGGGGTAGGGGTAGGTAAGGCAGAAGAGACCCTGCCAACTCCTTTGAACAAAGGGAAAGGAAGAAGATATGGTAGAACTAGTTCCCCTTAGACCTGGCTTCTCTTGCTGCCTTGCCTTTGATGAACTTATTGTAAGTCTCTGGGAAGTTAAATTCCCCTCTGTCAATGAGAAGATTGAATATTTTAGTGATATTCAATTTTTTTGTTTGCTTTAAGTTGTGGAAATATTCCCTGCCCCTCCCTTCCCCCCACCCCCCAATATGAAGTCGCAAATGAAAGCCCAGTGTGGTTGGAGTGTGCGTTTGAGGGAAGGGAAGGGTGCAGGGCAGGGCATGGACCTGGCTCCCTCTCCGTAGCCCCAAGGACCTTGGCAGGACTCCAAGACTCCAAGGTCCTGGCATTTTCTGAGCCTCCATCAATAGCCTACAAAGCCTCTGTTCTAAAAAGATTAAGAAAGCATTAACAAACACAAGTACACATTATTGTGCAAAAAGTATTTTTCCAAGTAATAGAGGGGTCCTTAAGGATTTACATAGCAACTTAAACAAGAAAAAAACCAAAGTCTTTCTAAAAAATTATAGTGACTAGTACCCTTGGCTAAAAAGGGAGTTTCCAACCCCCTCCTCAACTTCTTACGCTTAAAAAGAAAAGATGTAGGGCATATTACTTGAATAGAATTGTCAAACATTTTTATTTTCCTAGCTGAACGGATTCCTGCACCATCAGAGCATTTCCTCTGAAAATGTCCTGCTCTAAACCAAAGCTGAACATGTGAGTGGGCAGGTCGAGTCTTGTCCATCCATTCCGGGTTTCCTTTTCTTTCTCTCTGTCTGCCTGACTCTCTCCTGGTGAAATGGCTTGAAATTATGACATCTACACTCTACTGTCACGTTGTCTTTTCTTTCTAGTTCTTTACTTCTGAATTAATCTGAAAGATTGGGGCTTAGCTGAGTCCTCCAGATCACTTCCTGACACGCCAATTGTGTTGGCAAGCCTTACTGGTCCCTCAACAATGATCATTGCTGACACTTGACTTCCTTTGGTCCAGTTCAATTCCTTATGTCCACTGAAGCTCATTTGTAGGCAGCACTTCTGAAAATATACTGCCCAAACTTCAAAATCTTCTATTTGTTCAGGTTGAGAGAAGTTATTCAGGCAATGAGACTGAGAGATGGTTTACACAGATATCTGAATGAGCCAAAACCATGTTGTTCTTATCATTAACGTTCCCACTTGCTGTCATAGAAGTGTAGTTTAAGCCATGATAACCACAAACTTTATTCATATTCTACCATTAGCCCTCTCATTCACTTTTTGTGAGACTTCCTAAAATTCCGGAATTTCTCCTAAAAGGGAGTTCCTATGCAATGGCTGCCTCTTTTTGTATTAGAGCCCTGTTATAACATAGAAAGGAATTACAGTTTTAGTATGCTTCTGATTTTCCTCCCTTAATGTTGGCTTTCACTTCAAAATGGGCATAAATGTAAGCACTGCAATATTTTCATCATTTCTTTAAATGCAGTTTTTGAAAGGAACTTACAGTTTTCCGGAGGATGCCCACAGGATAATCCCTCTTGCTCCACCATGATGCTGTTGGACTACTGGAGAATTGAATGCTGTAATCCTTTACATAGCACTTAAAAAATGATTTAGAAAAGCTAAAGTCTGTCTTGGAAACCTCAGAACTTGTCTCAGAAATCTTGCCTCAATCGGCTTCCAAAGTATAATGTAACATGATTATTTTCCTTTCTGGAAACCTGTGAAACAGGTCTTGGAGCTCCATTTAATGTGTCAGAGTTTTAATTGATTCTTTGCTGTGTCTGTTCACCCCATAATAGCAGCGCTAAGCACAGGACGTGTCTTACAGGAATAGTCACCCAGAGCTTAGCTTGTTGTCACATAGCAGGCAGACAATTTCACAATGAAAATAAATCTCTTTCATGCCCCGAGAATTTCTTCCTGATGAAATGTTCTTTGCTGATGTTGAGAATGCGATCATTGATATCCACCAGTTAGCACTGATGTGGTTCCAGGGAAAACTTAGTTGCTATTCCTTGCCAGTTCTAGAAAAACAGTTTGATTGACAAGAGGGGTACCATGGAACTCTGATCCTTGAGTTCATTCACTTTTCTCTTGCTTCTTGGACCACAAGATAGGAGTGATTCCCATGCCCTTATTATAATCTCATATAAAGTATCTTCATATATGTTATCTCACTTGATCCTCATGATAACATTGTAAGGAGGGCAGGACAGGTATCATTATCCCCACTTTACAAGCCAGAAAACTGAAGTTCAAAGAAATTTGTAACCTACTCAAGGAACCACAGATAATAAGTGGCCAAGAAAGGACTAAAAAGCAGATGCTCTTTTTGGTAATTACCACTTTCCTTGGAGAGCAGCCAAGACTGCTCCACCAAGATCTTGCTGCTGCAGAACCTCCCTACCCCCCACATTCATTCATTCATTCATTCAATAAACACTTGTAGTGAGTATGAATTTTGGGGCTCAAAATTCAGATCTGTAAAACAAAATTAGTTTTTTTTCTTTCTTTCTTCCTTTCTTTCTTTCTTTCTTTCTTTCTTTCTTTCTTTCTTTCTTTCTTTCTTTCTTTCTCTCTTTCTCTCTCTCTCTCTGTCTCTCTCTCTCTTTCTAGATGGAGTCTCGCTCTGTCACCTAGGCTGGAGTGCAGCGGCACTGTCTCAGCTCACTGCAATCTCTGCCTTCCGGGTTCAAGCGATTCTCCTGCCTCATCCTCCCGAGTAGCTGGGACTACAGGCGCATGCCACCACGCCTGGCTAATTTTTGTATTTTTAATAGAGATGGGGTTTCACCATATTGGCCAGGCTGGTCTCGAACTCCTAACCTTGTGATCCACCTGCCTTAGCCTCCCAAAGTGCTGGGATTACAGGCGTGAGCCACTGCACCTGGCCATCTTTTTCTATAACTTTAATTAAACCCTTTCTTGGGCACTTAATCCTCCTGATGGCAGAAACTTAATCAACTCCAGGTTTTCTCATGCAGCTTAGGGAGCTGCCCGTCTTCCCTTTCCCCCCAGGTTTGTATATAAGTTCAAGCCATTGGGTATATGTGTGTTTGTGTGAGAGAGAGAGTAAGAGTGAGACAGAGACAGAGACAGAGACAGACACAGAGAACATCTGTTAATGACTCATAATATCCCAAATTTATTTGCCTAACATGTTTTAGATTCCTGCTAGGTGGGGGTGCACAGAGATGAGCAGCAGCATCCTTTTCTTAAAATGTTCAGTCTAGTGGGAGAGGAAGAGAAAGGGCAGAGAAAGGGCAGTGGGACGCAGGCTGAGAGAGATCCCATGATCAAAACCAACGCATTAGGGCTTGGCTGATTGAAAGATGTGTAAAGTGACACTTGTACCTTCCTCAAAGACCTAAGCAAAGACTATGATTCTACAGTTTCCCTGTTACCCAAGCTATTTGGTGTTCACAACATTGGGTAACTGATCTGAGCTCAGATTCAACTGGAAAGCCAAAAGAAACTTAATAATAAAACAATTATAATTTTGTATCTGTGATCTCATTGGACCTTCTCTATCTCTGTGAGAGCTAAAAGGATTATTCCTCTGTGGCCTATACAAAACTAGCATTACTCAGTGGCCTCTTCTAGGCACCATTGTGTGCTGATAAATGGCAATCTGGCACTGCAAAATAATTTGAACTTTTACTTCTGTCTCTTAAAAAAGGACTGAAAGACAGTATATCATTACATAAACTCCTCTTTCTTATTTTATCTTCTCTTTCCTTTCTCCTCCTCTTCTCTTCCTATTTGTTCTATCTGTCTCTCATCTATCTATCAACCATCCATTCATCCAGTCACCTGTCTCACATGCAGCTTCTCTTTCCCCAGTCCAAACTCATAGCCCAAATCTGTCAAGCTAGCTTGGTTTTAAAAAATGCACATTCCTCTTTCAGTTTCCTCTAACTTTTTTTTTTTTTTTTTTGAGATGGAATCTCGCTCTGTCACCCAGCCTGGAGTGCAGTGGCACTATCTCGGCTTACTGCAACCTCTGCCTCTCAGGTTCAAGTCATTCTCCTGCCTCAGCCTCCCGAGTAGCTGAGATTACAGGTGACTGCCATCACGCCCAGCTAATTTTTGTATTTTTAGTAAAGATGGGATTTCACCATGTTGGCCAGGTTGGTCTCAAACTCCTGACCTCAGGTGATCTGCCTGCCTCAGCCTCCCAAAGTGCTGGGATTACAGGCATAAGCCACTGCTCCCAGCTCTTCTTTTTCTTCTTCTTCTCCTTTTCCTTGTCCTTCCTCTTCCCCTTCCCCTTCCTCTTCCTCTTCCCCTTCTCCTTCCTCCTCCTCCTCCTTCTCCTTCTCCTCCTTCTTCATTCTTTCTTCTTTTCCCTGCAACCTAGTAGCTCTATGTCTTTCCCATATAAGTTGAAATATTAAAAAAATTACTTTGAGTTACGTAACAGACCTGGGGGAAAAATCTAGTGAAGACAGAACCATCCTTTACATGCTGGGATGAGGGGTGGGGTGGTGGGGTAGAAGAAGGAGAGCCCAAGGAAAACAAGACAGAACTTTCCTTGGTGGATGGAGAAGGAGAAGAGGTATGATTACAGTGGACTACAGTGTCTGCACGTGCATCGTTTTAGTCTCTCTCCAATTATTTTATAGATGGGAAAACTGAGGCCCAGAGAATAAAATAAGCTGCCCAAAGTCACACAGCTGGTAAGTGACAGGACTGTGATTTAAATCTGGATCTCTGACACAAAGTACTGTGTTCTTTCTACTCACAAGTGGAGTAAATTCCTGGTTTCTACATAATTCAAACAAGAGGAAAATTCACATAACTGATTTCTCCCCACCCCAAAGCAGTAAAGGAGAAGTCGCTTAATGAAAAAAACACATAAAGCCTAACATGAGAACCATGATTTTGGTTCTTGATTTGGAGAAGGTGATGGCCACCTGCTGCCAGAAATGAGGCATGAACCAAGAGAGGCAGTGAGGTGAAGGGAGCTGAGGGCATTGGGTTTCTTTTTTGTTTTGTGTTTTTTTCTTCTTATTTTACTTTTTGAGACAGGGTCTCGCTCTGTTGCCCAGGCTGGAGTGCAGTGGTGCGATCTCAGCTCACCGCAACCTCTGCCTCCCAGTTTCAAGCGATTCTC
Source organism: Homo sapiens (assembly GCF_000001405.40). NCBI lineage: Eukaryota > Metazoa > Chordata > Mammalia > Primates > Hominidae > Homo > Homo sapiens. The sequence continues at coordinate 109,541,846 of NC_000009.12, forward strand.
GTGCCTTGGCCTCCCAAGTAGCTGGGATTACAGGCATATGCTACCACACCTGGTTAATTTTTATATTTTTAGTACACCATGTTGGCCAGGCTGGTCTTGAACTCCTGACCTCAGGTGATCTTCTCGCTTTGGCCTCCCAAAGTGCTGGGATTACAGGTGTGAACTACTGCACCCAGCTTGTTTTTTTTCTTTTAGATTCAGGGGGTACATGTGTAGGTTTGTTACCTGGGTATATTGTGTGATGCTGAGGTTTGGACTTCTAATGATCCACTTAGTGAACATAGTACCCAATAGGTAGGTTTTCAACCCTTCCTCCCCTCCCCTTCCCTTTTATGGAATCCCCATGTTTATCGTTTCCATCTTTGTGCTTGCGTGTACCCAAAGGGCATTGGGTTTTAACGTTACTGGAATCATATGGGTTCCAATAGTCTAGAGAGTTAAGTGTTTCAAGCCATGCGGAAACTTGAGAGATCTGGGTTACTGATGAGGAAAAACATCTCTATACCTGACAAGCAGTGAGAATAGAAAGCCCCCAGGACTATTTTCTGATTACAAAATAATACATAGACCTTATTAACTATTGAAATACAAAAGTGTACAGCAGAAAGTAAACAGCTCCTGTAATACCCCAACCCACATACCAATGAAAGTCATAAGAAATCTTCCATATTTTTTTCCTGTACAAATACAGATGCTTCTGGATTTACAATGGGGTTATGTCCCAATAAGCCCATAGTAAGTTGAAAATGCAGTTAAGTTGAAAATGTGTTTAATATACCTAATCTGCTGAGCATCATAGCTTAGCCTAGCCTACCTTAAACATGCTCAGGACACTTACCTAGCCTATAGTTGGGCAAAATCATCTATGATATGGTTTGAATCTGCTTCCCTGCCCAAATTTCATGTCGCATTGTAATCCTGAATGTTGGAATTGGGGCCTGATAGGAAGTGATTGGATCACGGAGCGAAGTTCTCATGAACGGTTTAGCACCATCCCCCCTTGGCGTTGTATATTGAGAGAGTTCTTGTGAGATCTGGTTGTTTGAAAGTGAGTGGCACTTCCCCTTCTCTCTCTTCCTGCTGCTCTGGCCACGTGACATGCAGGCTCCACCTTTGCCTTCCACCATGATTGTAAGTTTCCTGATGCTTCCCCTGAAACAGCAGATGCCAGCATCATGCTTCCTGTACAGCCTGTGGAACCATGAGCCAATTAAAACTCTTTTCTTTATATATTACCCAATCTCAGTTATTTCTTCATTGCAATGCAAGAATGGCCTAATACAGGCTGGTAGCACAGTTCGTGGTTGAGAATCTGTTGTTTACCCTGGTGATTGCATGGCTGACTGGGAGCTGTGGCTTGCTACCGCTGCCTAGCCTTGTGAGAAAATATTATACTGCATATTGCTAGCCTGAAAAAAAATCAAAATTGAAAATTTAAAGGACCGTTTCCCCTAAATGCATATTGCTTTCATACTATTGTAAAGTTGAAAATCTTAAGTCAATCATTGGAGGTCAGTAAACATCTGTACTAATATGGTGGTAGAATAGTAGAGTATTATTCACAATTTGTCTGATTTCAACTCTTTTAAATTTGTTAAAGTTTATTCCATGGCCTAGAATATCAACTATCTTGTTGAATATTCCATGTGAACTGAAAAACAATGTATATTCTTCTGTTGTTGGGTGGCATGTTCTTGGCATGTTCTAAAAATGTCATTCAGATTAAGTTGGTTGAGGCCAGGCTTGATGGCTCACGCTTGTAATCCCAGCATTTTGGGAGGCTGAGGTGGGTGGATCACTTGAGCCCAGGAGTTTGAGACCAGCCCCGCCAACATGGTGAAACCCCGTCTCTACAAAAAATACAAAAATTAGCTGGACATGGTGGTGGGCACCTGTAATCCCAGCTACTCAGGAGGCTGAGGCAGGAGAATTGCTCGAACCTGGGAGACAGAGGTTGCAGTGGGCCGAGATCTCACCACTGTACTCCAGCCTGGGTGACAGAGTGAGGCTGTCTCAAAAAAAAAAAAAAAAAAATTAAGTTGTTTGAGAGTGTTCAGGCTTACTACATCCTTACCAATTTTCTGTGCTTGTCCTATCAATTTCTGAGAGGGAAATGTTGAACCCTCCAAGTGGGATTGTAGATTTATCTATTTCTCCTTTCCATTCTATTATTTTTTTTTGCTTCATGTATTTTCAGGATCTGTTTTAAGTGCATTTGCTTTTAGGATTGTGATGTCTTCCTCTTCCTGGTTAAAGTGACCAATTGACCTTTTATTATGATGTAATTTCCCTCCTTTATACCTGGTAATATTCTTTGTTCTGATGTCTACTCTATCTGATGTTAGCATAGACATATTAGCTGTTTTTTTTTTTTCTTTTTGAGACAGGGTCTTGTTCTCTTGCTCAGGCTAGAGTGCAGTGGTGCGATCACAGCTCACTATAGCTTTGGCCTCCTGGGCTCAAGTGATTTGTGTAACAGACCTGGGGAAAAATCTAGTGAAGACAGAACCATCCTTTGCATGCTGGGGATGAGGGGTAGGGTGATAGGGAGGAAGAGGTGTGCGCCACTATGCCTGGCTCATTTTTAAATCTTTTGTAGAGACAGGGTCTCACTACATTGCCCAGGCTGGTCTCAAACTCCTGGCCTCAAGAGATTCTCCCACCTCAGCCTCCCAAAGTGCTAGGATTACAGGTGTGAGCCACTGTGCCCAGCCAGCTTTGTTTTGATTACTGTACTGGTATATGTTTTCCTATTTTTTTACTTTTAACCTATGTCTCTATGTTTAATTTTTTTTTTTCTTTTCTGGGTGCTGTGGTGTGTGCCTGTAGTCCCACCTACTTGGAAGGCAGAGGCAGGAGGATCCTTTGAGCCCTGGAGCTCAAGGCTAGCCTGAGCAACATAGCAAGATTTGGTCTCTAAAAAATAAATAATTTAAGTTGGTTTCTTGTAGACAGTAGATAGTTGGTTCTTTTTTAAAAATCCAGTCAGATGACTTTTTTTTTTTTTTTTTTTTTTTAGAGGGAGTCTTGCTCTTGTCGCCCAGGCTGGAGTGCAATGGTACAATCTCGGTTCACTGCAAGCTCCTGAGTTCAAGTGATTCTCCTGCTTCAGCCTCCCTAGTAGCTGGGATTACAGGCTTATGCCACCATGCCTGGCTAATTTTTGTATTTTTAGTAGAGACAGGCTTTCACCATGTTGGCCAGGCTGATCTTGAACTCCTGACCTCAGGTGATCTGCCTGCCTCAGCCTCCCAAAGTGCTGGGATTACAGCTGTAAGCCACCATGCCCTGTAGTCTCTATTTTTTAATTGCTGTGTTTAGACCATTTACATTTAGTATAATTATTGATATATTTGGATTTAGGTCTGCTGTTTTATTACTTATTTTCTGTTCGCTCTTCTAGTTTTTTGCTCTGGGGTTCCCCCTTTCCTGCCCTTTTTTTTTTTTTGGATTATTTAAGTATACTTAGTATTTTATTCAATTTATCAATTGGCTTTCTGGCTATATATATTTTTTGTATCTTATTTGTTTATTTACTTACTTATTTTTTAGCATTTGCTCTAGGGAGCATAGTGTACATACCTAAACTTTTACAGTATATTTAGAATTAGTATTTTACTACTTTAGGTAAAATGTAGAAATCTTACAGTCATATAGTTCTCTTTACCCTTTTATTTTATAGGTATCATATTTGTTACATCTACATATGTCAAAAACCCCAACAGACAATCCTATAATTTTTGCTTTCAATAGTCATGCATACTTTAAAAGATTAAGAGGAAAAAATAGTATTTTACATATCTATATTTTTACCTCGTTTGTTGCTTTTCTTTAATTCCTGAAGTTCCAAGTTTCCCTCTAGTATTATTTCCCTTTAGCCTGAAGAATTTCCTATAGCAAATATTTTAGAGCCTACATACTGATGACAACTTCTTTTAGATTTCTCTCATCTGAGAATGTCTTCATTTCACTTAAATTCCTTTGAGATATTTTCACTGGAGGCCAGGCACATTGGCTCATACCTGTAATCTCAGCACTTTGGGAGGCCAAGGTAGGAGGATCTCCTGAGCTCAGGAATTCAAGACAAGCCTGGGCAACACAGTGAGACCCCAATTCCACACAAAAGTAAAAAAAATTAGCCAGGTGTGGTAGTGCACACATGTAATTCAAGCTACTTGGGAGACTGAGGCAGGAGGATAGGTTGAGCCCAGGAGTTTGAGGCTACCGTGAGCTATGATTGCCGCTGCACTCCAGCCTGGGTGACAGAGTGAGACTCTATCTCAAAAAAAAAGAAAAAAAGAGATTTTTCACTGGATATGCAATTTTTGGTTGAAAGTTATTTTCTTTTAGCACTTTAAAGTGTTAATGTAGCCACTGTGGTTTATAATGAGAAATCAATAGTCATTTGAATCATTGTTCTTCTAGAAGTAATTTATTCTTTTCTCTAGATTCTTAAGACTTTACAATATATGTATTTTTGTTGGTACAGTAAATTTTCACAATGTTTTCTTGGAAGTAGTTACTTATAGTGACTTTAAGCAAAATGACATATGACAACATTAATTTGACCATAGGCTAATTGAAATAAATGAGTTAAGTTCCTATGGTATATTTCTGGTCACAAAAACATCATCCAACTTCCAAATAAAGGTCAAAACATTTCTAACATTAAACACTGAAGTAAGTGTGAGCTATACAGACATTTAAGAAAGATTAAGTAAAGGGACTGGGCATGGTGACTCATGCCTGTAACCCCAGCACTTTGGGAGGCCAAAGTGAGAGGATTGCTTGAGTCCAGAAGTTCGATACCAGCCTGGGCAATATAGTGAGACATCTCTATAAAAAACTAAAAAAAAAAAAAAAAAAAAAATTGCTGAGTGTGGTGTCACACGCCTGTAGTCCCAGGTACTCAGGAGGCTGAGGTGAGAGGATTGCTTGAACCCAGGAGGTCGAGGCTGCAGTGAGCTGTGATTGTGCCACTGCACTCCAGCCTGGGTGACAGACCAAGACCCTGCCTCAAAACAAACAAAACAAACAAGCAAACACACACAAGTAAGATACTTATTTACCCAATTATTTCAGCTCAGGGTTGCATGTGGTTGGAACTTAACCTGGCAGCTCAGAGTGCAAGATGGGAGCTGACCCCAGATGGGGTGCCATTCCACTGGAGGGTACACTCGTACACACCCACACTCACTCATACTGAGACTATTTAGATATGCCATTTAATCTAATATGGTCAGCTTTGGGATGTGGGAGGAAACTGGAGTACTGGACCAAAAAACCCTGCAGATATGGTGAAAATGTATAGATTCCACACAGACAGTGGTCCCACCTGGAAATTCATTTTTTTTCTTTTCAACTTTATGACAAAATGACATTAAATGAAACATTATTTGAGGATGAGCTGTATTTAGAAGTTTTATTATGATGTGTCTGGGCATGGTTTTCTTTGAATTTCTTTTGTTTGGAATTTACTGAGTTTCTTAAATCTGTAAATTTAAGTTTTTCAAGAAATTTGGGAAATTCTGGACATTATTTCTTTAAATTTTTTTTTCCAATCTCTTTTCTTCTTTTGGGAGTCCAATGACATGAACATTAAATCTTCTGATACTGGCTTTTTTGTTTGTTTGTTTTTTTGAGACAGGGTCTTGCTCTATTGCCCAGGCTAGTGTGCAGTGATGTCATCATGGCTTACTGTAGCCTTGAACTCCTGGGCTCAGGTGATCCTCCCATCTCAGTCTCCTGGGTAGCTGGGACTACAGGTGCATGCCACTAAGCCCAGCTAATTTTTTGTAATTTTTTTGTAGAGATTGGGATCTGCCATGTTGCCCAAGCTGGTCTTGAACTCATGGGCTCAAGGGACCCACCTGTCTTGGCTTCCTAAAGTGCTGGGATTACAAGGCGTGAGGCACTGTCTGGCCACCTTTCGATATTGTTTCACAAGTCTCTATGGCTCTGTCCATTATTTTTCAATCTTTATTTCCTCTGTTATTCAGATTAGATAATTTCTATGCATCCATCTTCACGTTCACTGACTTATTTCTGTCATCTCCATTCTGCTGTTGAATCCATCTAGTGAATCATCTATTTCAGATTACATATTTTTAAATTTCAGCATTTCCATTTGGTTCTTTTTATAGGATTTATTTCCCTGCTGATAATTTTTACCTTGCTATTAATTTCAAGAGTGTTCATCTTTATCTCATGGACTATGGTTATGATAGTTGCTTTAACATCTTTGTTTGATAATGCAACATCTGGGTCATCTAAGGGTTGGCATCTTTTGTCTTTCCATTGAGAATTAGACATGTTTTTCTTCTTTTTTCTATATTGAGTAATTTTGGATTGTATTCTGGGACATTTAAAAATATTATTTTATGACTCTGGGTCTCATTAAAATCTATAGAAAATGTTGATTTTTATGTTCCAGCAGATCCCATTAGATCCAAATTGCAAGTTCTTCATCCCCTTCCGTGGGTGGTTGTTCCAATGTAAATTTATTTTTCAAACCTTTGCTATGGTGTTTTGGGTCTGTCTAATTAATCACCCAAGCCTCATATTAACCCCTAATTGTTTGTGCCACTTAGGGGTTAATATTAAACTGGGGCGATTAAATAATAATTCAGTTCCCAAAACCTTTTCTGTGTTGCTCTGGGTCTTTCCTGTGTATGCACAGCTCAAGATTAAGCCTGAGACTTGTGCAGTCTCATACACAGAATTAGGGAATTCCTTTCCCCTTTGACCCAGCTCACAGAGGACCTTTTTTTTTCTGATGCTCTGGCCAGGAAAATAGGGTTTTACTTAGAGTTTTAAATCTGTTATACCATTGCTGCTGTAACACGGTTCCATGACTGGACCCACAGTTTAAAGGCAAAGAAGCAAAAGGAGAAAGAGAGAAAAACAACAACAGGGTTTCTTCTCACATGTTTCGACTACAGGGGCCTCTTTCCCCAATTATCCTGGCCAGAGAAACAGTTTGGGCTGCCTGCACTGCCACCACAACAGTTCTATGACTGGGCATAAGAGAAAAGAGAAAAGGGAGGAAAACTTGGGAAATGTATTTTTGTTTGGTTTGCTGCTCCAAATTTGACCCCCATTCCCTATCTGTATGCTTTTGTTTAGTTTTTAGGTAACTGCTTTTCATATTTTGTTCATAGTTTTCAGTTGTAACTAGAGATTAGGGAGAGATAGGGTGTAGTGGGCTTTCTTCATTTTGCCTGGTACCTGAAGTCCTTCTAATACTTTTCATGTTTCATCTTTTTACCTTTAAAACTTTGATCCTTCTGGAATTTATTTTGGTGCAAGTAGTAATGTAGTGTTACTATTATTAATGTGGTAGTTATTATTGTTATAGGAAATATTTGGCAGAATAGTAAATTAGGAGCCTTAGTGGAAGGGCAGTTAGAGCTGCCTGGGTTCAAGTGGCTCTACCACTTGTAAGTTTATGACCTTGACCATAACCTCTCCTAATCTGTTTTTTCATTGGGATAGTGGGGCTAATGATAATATCTGCCTTATGGAATTGCTGTATTAAGTGAGTATTAAGTGAGACAATGCTAGTAAAATATTTTTTACTGAATCTGGCACCCAGTAGGGGCTTAATAAGTGGCAGTTGTTGTGGTCATAACATGGTGATAATTATTGTTATGATGTGTAATAAGACCAAGTCACCACACTGTGAGTCAGGCCACCACACTGAAGCCTTGGGAAGATGTTTCTTAGCCGCAGTACATACTTGAAACAAGCCAGAAGCTGCTCTGTATCTCAAAATGTATGTGAAGTCTGAATCAATGAGATAAGTTTGAGTTTGTAGGATCAGGAAATATCACTGGGAAATGGAGGATGTTGTAGATAACACCATTCACACCTCACTCAGTTGATGTTAGTAGATAAGGAAAATGAAGACTTCTACATTTTCTAAGATAGTGTTTTGCAAAGTGGGATCAGAATCAACTGGTATACTTGTTAAGATGCAGATTCTTGGGCCCTACTCCTGACCTAAGAAAATGTAACTGTGGTTAGAGCCTGGAGATCTGCATTTAATAGGCTTCCCAGGTAATTCTTTCATGAATCAAAATGCGAGAAATACTTTTCTAGAAAGAAAAGGGAAAAAGGTGGATGTAGGGTAGGAAGAGGAAAAAGAAAGGAAAGAAGGAGACAAAGCAGGAGGAGAAAAAGAGGAGAGGAGGGCTACTACTGAATTGGAGTAGATTAGCAACCTACCTTTCTAAATCTTCATGGGCCCACTGTTAACTATCATAATCAAATATAACCTGGATCCCAGTTCTCCTGATTCACAGATCACTCACAGATCCATTTAGTTAACCAAAAGTTTTTGAGTCTGGCTGTGTATCAGAACACTGGAGAGAGACAGAGGAAAAAGGCACGTCATCTACTATTGGAGAAGGACTCACACTCACACTCCACAGCCAACCAGAATTCAATATGTTGGTGCTGTGATAGAGTTATGCACTGGGCACAAATGGAAGTCTGAACTAGTGGCACCAAACTCAGACTGGGGGAGATCAAGAAATGGCTTCTAGGAGGAGAGGTGCCTGGGCTGAGTCTTGTGGAGAGTAATCATTCCTTAGGAAGAAGGGAAAATATTAGCAGCAAAAGAGGGGAGTGGGAGGTACTCACAAGGAGAAACAGCAGGATATGTCTAGGGAGATGTTGGCTCCTTGTGAAGGGGGAGGCTATATAGTGAGAATAGTGGTCAGTAGCCAACATTCCCATATTAGGAGCCACATCACAAATACCCTGTGGACTGTGTCAAGAAACTTGATCAATGAGGAACCATGGAAGAGTGGAAGCAAAGGGTGACTTGGTAAACTTTTCATTGGGATTAAAAATTATTTTTTCAAAATGGAAAAATAGCTTTATTGATTTTTTTTTCTGAAAATAGGGGTAACACACTCCAATTGTGGAAATAAAAGGATAATACAGAAAGATATAAAGAAGAAAGTAAAAGGCACCTGGAATTCCAACAGCCAGAGAAAATCTGCAAACCTAAATAAATTTGTTTATCCTTCCAGATATTTCTCTAGGTATGTGTATATCCAACCACTTGCACATACACATAACACATTAATTTTTTTTTTTTTGAGACAGGCTAACTCTGCTGCCCATGCTGGGTTGCAGTGGCACAATCTCAGCTCACTGCAACCTCTGTCTCCTGGGTTCAAGTGATTCTCTGCCTCAGCATCCCAAGTAGCTGGGACTACAGGTACATGCCACCACACCTGGCTAATTTTTGTATTTTTTGTAGAGACGGGGTTTCACTGTGTTGGCCAGGCTGGTCTTGAACTCCTAGCCTCAAGTGATCCACCTGCCTTGGCCTCTCAAAGCGCTGGGATTACAGGCATGAGCCACTGTGCCTGGCCATATAACACATTTTTAAATGAAGTCGTTTCACACGTGTTGTGAAATACTGCCTTTCAATCCTTTTTCACTTGACAATATTTAGTGGACATCTTTCTCTGTCAATAAATGTAGATTTAAACCTTAATCATAATTTCTACTATCTCTTTTGCTCACTTTTGACTTGCTTCTCATTCCTTCTCCAGGTGTGGCCTTTCCATTTGACCTCACTCCAAGCGTTAGCCTCCTACTTTGTTCCTTTGTGTCTTCTTGCCCACCACCTCTTCGGTGCCCAAGTCCCTTGCTTTGTCTCCACAGTCATAGCAATTTGGTTCTGAGTAATGCACTTCCTGTCCTATCACTCATCTGCTTAATGCTTCCTTGTCTTCCTATGTGTTCAGGATGAAGTCCCAGCTTTCCTAGGCTGGCTCTGGTAGCTCTCTTGTCAACCCCTCTAGCCTCCTCTCCCATCACCTGCAACCACCTCTCCCTGACCATTGTCCCTGATTTATGGCACAGCAATATTGAACTGCTTCTTTTTCCTACTTCTTGCCTCCCTGCCATTCCTCATGCTATTCCTGCTGCCTGCCATTCCTTCATTCCCCAAAGTGTCTGGTTGTCCTGGCTAACTCTGATTCATCCTCTAAGACTCTACCAGAGGTATCCCTGACACAATGTAGCCTGGATGAGCTGCACCTCCTGTGTCCTCCAAAGATACTCTGTTTCTCTTTGTTGTTAGCAGGTTGTATTAGAATTATCTCATGTGTGTCTATCTTCCTTATTGGCTTGTAAGCTCCTTGACTCATTCAACTTTGTCTTCCTAGAGTCTCAAATGCAATTGGTACGTGTTTGTTGAATGAACAAACTTGAGTCTTTGCAGAAGGAGTTCTTTGGTACCAGCAGTCAAACTCTTCTCATACTACCGGCCCTGGTGGTTCAGATCTCTGCCCTGTGGTTTCTACTTAGACTTCTGCTGCTTGCCTCTGTCTCCTGCCTACATGGGCACCTGGATCTTGTACTTAGTTTGGACATTGGCTTGTGATGCTCAGTTCCTGCCTCTTCCTTCGTTCTTGTACTAATCTAGTAATTTAGGTTCATATGTCTAACCCCTCCCTGTAAACCGATGATCCCCTGTCATCTGGATCTGCCTGAATTCCAAAGCCCAGGCATCTCCATCCAGTCTATCTTGTCACCTCAAAAAAAAACCCTGTCACCTCCAAATTCCCTGGTTCTAATCTATAGACATTAAACATTATTGTAAATTTTATATGATTATGATAACATCTTGACAAAAATGTCCTTCAAAACAAAACAACAAATCTGTGCATTTGTGTGGTTATGTGATATTTACAAGATGCTTTCACGTAATTTATTTAATTTATTTCATCAATTCTCATAAGACCTTTGATAATAACTTTGTGATTTATTATCCCCATTTTAGAGATGAGGAAACTGAGGCTCACTGCAGTTAAATGACTTGCTTGAGGCCTCCTGGTCAGCGAATGACAGAGCATGGACCTTAGTAGAGATCTTTGACTCTAGGGCTTTGAACTCTTTGGAGTTCACCATGACAGTAAAGCATTAGGCATATTTGATGAAAAACAGATATATCTGATTGTGAAGCTTAAAACATGCCCTCTTTAAATTGATTCTCTGTATTACTGTGAGCACAGCTTTTGTTTGTTTGTTTTGTTTTGTTTTGAGATGGAGTCTCGCATTGTTGCCTGGGCTGGAGTGCAATGACGTGATCTCGGCTCACTGAAACCTCTGCTTCCTGGGTTCAAGAGATTCTCCTGCCTCAGCCTCCCAAGTAGCTGGGATTACAGGTGCCTGCCACCACACCCAGATAATTTTTGTATTTTTAGTAGAGATGGGGTTTCACTATGTTGGCCAGGCTGGTCTTGAACTCCTGACCTACTGATCCACCTGCCTCGGCCTCCCAAAGTGCTGGGATTACAGGCGTGAGCCACCGCACCTGGCTGAGCACAGCTTTTTAAAAGCTTAAATTCAGGTCAGATTTCTTCCCTGATTACAACCTTTCAGTGGACCCTAGTCTCTCATCCAGTTACATGAGGTTCTGTTGAACCCAAGACCTGTTTTACCACAAATTTTAGCAATGACTACCACTTACCTTTCTTTAAAGGCCAAAAATGATTCGTGCCTTTGTGCCCCTTTGACCTTATCCCCCGCCCCCCAGCCACCAACCTGAGTTTTGCCTGACCAGTGTTTCTTTTCTATCTCGCTCAGGTATCATCTCTATTCTGGAGCCATTTTTAACACACCTTTATCCTCACTCTTCCTAGTAGCTCTTTCATGGTGTAATTGAGTGAGTTGTACACTTTTGTCCCAGCACCTCTAACCCTTTGTGGTATTGTTTTGATGATCTGTCTGCCTCCTTCTGAAGATCTCTGTATCTCTTAAGGTTAAAAATGAGGCCCAAGCCTTCTGTGTTTATAGACACAGTATTTAGCACAAGTCCAGCATAGAGTGAGAGATAGTAGATATTTATTGGATGGACAGACAGGTGGATCATTGGATGGCTAGATAGATAGATGAACGGATGGATGGCTTGGTGAATGGATGATGGGTGGATGGATGAATAGATGGATGTGATAGTGAACTTCAAGTTGTCATTTCAAATCTAGGTATTTGTTCAGTTAGAATGCATTTCCTCTTCTTCCTCTATTTTCTCCAATGACAAAATAATAAAATTTCTTCAAAAGAATGTAGGAAATGGGGTTACCTTCTTCTCCGCATAGAATAATACACTCATTGAGCTGTAGAGGAAACATAATTTCACCTGTTTCAGTCCCCAGCCTCTGACCTGTCAATCTTATTCCTAGCTCATATTAATAATATTCCAGTTGCTAGAAGGAACTCCTTATACTGAACCCAAGCCTATTGCCCTGACGTTTCTGCCTTTGAGTCCAGTTTTTGGCTTTTTGAACCAATACTGATGACTAATCCCTGTTTCACAGAGTAGATTTTAACATATGGGATCATGGCTTGCATTGCTCAAGGCTCTACTGCAAGTGACAGAAAACCCAGTTCAAACCAGGTAAATAAAAACAGACACTTATTACCTCCTGTAAGCCAATGGCTGAATGGTGACAGTGCCATCTCCACAGTTGACTGGACCCAAGCACTCCATCTCAGCTTGCCTTCTGGATGGATGTTTGCTCCATTAGTTCTAGCTCTTCTGAATGGCTGGGATTATGAGTACCCATTTTCTCTGCAAACAGCTTTTTTTTTTTTGATGTGGAGTCTCAACTCTGTCGCCTAGATTGGAGTGCAGTGGCACAATCTCAGCTCACTGCAATCTCTGCCTACTGGGTTCAAGTGATTCTCCTGCCTCAGCCTCTCAAGTAGCTGGAATTACAGGTGTGCACCATCATGCCCAGCTCATTTTTTTTTTCTTAAATTTTTACTAGAGATGGGGTTTCACTCTATTGGCCAGGCTGGTCTCGAACTCCTGGCCTCAAGTGATCCACCCACCTCAGCCTCCCAAAATGCTGGGATTATAGGCATGAGCCACCATGGCCTGCCTTGCAAACATATCTTTTAACTCACAATCCGAAAGGATATAGACAAAAATATCAGGGAAGGGCTTTGATTGGTCTCATTCAGGTCATGTGTCTGTGCCTGTAGCTGGAGGTCAGAGTACTGCAGTTGAGAGCCCCATCAGAATCCCAAGGAATGGGAAGGTGCATGTCCTCTACAAAGCAGGAGAGTCAGTTACCAAAATAAGGACACAAAAGATTCTGGTTAGACCCAAATAGGACATCTTCCATAGCCAGAATTTCCCTTATCTTCATGCTTCAAGTTTATTAAAACATGGGATTAGAGTGGGGCACAGACATTTACTATCCTAGTTTCTCCTTGGATGTGCTCAAATTTGTCAATATCCCTCTCCAAATGTGACCCTCTACTCTGAACATAATCTGCTGTTCCTCAAGTGGTCTGATATGTGCAGCGCATAACAGACCCATTGCTGTCCTTGTTCTCAACGTGGCTGTCACAGTGTTAGGCCCAGAGTAGGTGTCCAATAAATAGTGAATGAATAAAAGGATAAACGTGATTCTCAGGCCAATCCTGCCTAAACACTTCTCCCAAAGGCAGATAAGGAGGCCCTTGTGAGATCAATAATATACAGCAGAGGAGATGCGACCAGCTGCACTGAGAATGTGGGAGTACTGTGGGAGGCTGCAGCTGGCATATCTCACCGGGTGTGCCTGGTATGACTGCTTCCAGGGAGTACTCTGCCCTCCTTAAACTTTTGGTTCATTGGAATAAACTGTTCCTCCCTAAAGGCAGCAACATTGGAAGATGAAGATATTTGTGAAACAAAATTAAAAAAATACATATCCTTTTCTTGTCTAGGACTTTGGTTGCAAGTGACAGAAAACCCCAAATGACACTAAACTAAATATGATAGATTATTTATCATTTAAACAAAGTTCAGAGGTAAGAAATCAAGGCTGGAATGGCAGCTCCACAATCACTGGGGAGCCAGGTTTGCTCTTTCTTGTTTCTCCCATCTTGTTGGCCCATCCAAGGTGATGGCATAAGTTCTGACCATCATGCTAACATCCTTTTTAATAGAAAACTCAGTTCACACCAGATAAATAAAAGGGATAAAAGAAGGAAGGGGGTGAAGACATGTTCCAGTGGTCTTTTAATATTTCCAGACAGCTTCACAATGCTCTCATTTACATTTCACAGCTGAAACTTAGCTTTAGGTAAGAGGGAGGCTGAGGAGTGTGGTTGTTATTCCAAGCAGTTTAGTGCTCTGCTAAAGCTGGAATCTCTATTACTATGCAAGAGACAGGAAATGGATATTGGCCTAGGCAACTAAGATCTCTGTCAATGATGCCAGAAAGAAAAAGGCAATTTAAAAGTGTAAAGGCAAAGGTGGGAAAACAGACATATCCTGTTGTGGTCTGTGTTACATTCCTGGTAGGGGTTTTGTGAAAGAAGGCTTCAGTTCATCAGTCACGCTCCTGCCCAAGGCATCGTCTACAAAGTTAACCTGATCAGATCCAGGATATGATCTTGGTTTCCTATAAGCGAGACTCCCCAGCATGGTATGCAAGGCATTCTGTGCCTGTCCCAGTTCTACCTCCCTAGCTTTAGCAATCGCCACTCTCCTGTACTACAGCCACACCCAGCTCCTTGTCATTTCAAAACATGCTCAGGCCAGTTGTTTCTCTGTATATATACAGGCAGTTCCTGGTGCCTGGAATGCACTTTCCTCCCCTATTTGAACCCAAATTCCCCAGCATCGAGTTTGCAAATTGAAATTTTTCTTATCAACTTGTAGGGGTTCTTTTTATAGTTAATAGAATAGTTATGATTATAGGCTATCAATATGTGGCTCTTCAGCAAACGTTTACAAATACCTTTTCTTTCAGTCTGCCTTTCTTCCAAAATATTTTCCTCATCCTGCTGCTCTTTCTACAGACTCTTGGTCTGCTTTTCAGGCAGGAAAAGGGTCCCTAATGCCTACTCCTTTTGGTTCCAATGGCTTAAAGCATGTGCCAACTTCCTAGTTAGTGAGAAAAGGACTAGAGTCACATGGAAAGAAATCCTTCCTTCAGAGGATGTGTCCACTGAAAACCTGTCTGAGTCTGATACGGAAGAGGCAAACCTAGAGGAAAGGAAAAGAGAAGATAACTATCAGGATCCCTTGACTGGCTGGTCATTGCAGCCTGCAGCCTGGAATTGCCTGCTCAACGCTGGGTTAGGAAGAACTTTGGCATCTTGACTTCCACTTTATCATGGGCCATCTGGCTAGAAAGCAGCCAAAAGCAGAGACAGCATCCTTTCTCCATACCTGGACAGCATTGGGGATTGTGGCTGTGAAGGCAGAGGCGACCCAGCCTAAATGCCTTCTACATGGAAGACCAGCAGGCCATGTGCTGGGCAAATCCTTTCAGCAGTTTATTTGTAGAAAGGAACCACATGATAGCTGATCAGAGAATGAGGGTGCTTTTCCAGACATAAGATTTGAGTGTAGAGAGGCCAAAAGGAATGCAAGGCCTTAGGAAAACTTGACCTTTGTCAGCCTCTGCAACCCCAGAAGCTAGTAGAGGTCTTGTTTCCAGGGACAATTAGCCACAGCACAGCATGGGGCCCAAGAGGGCACTGATTCCTGAGAAACATCAGCCATGTCCAGGCTGAGACTGAGAAGACCTGCCCCTCGTCTGGGGACCTCACTCATGGCAGTTCTCCTGCTGGATAGCCAGTATGTGCGCAGGGAGGCCCAAGCCCACACAATCACGTTCTTAGCATGCAAATCTCATTCTTTACTTGTGTGTAGTGGCGAGGGTTGCAGTCACACTCTTGGAAACTGGAGAGAGCTGGAAGCAAGGAAAGAAAGACAAGTCAGAGTAAGCAGCCCTGAAATGCATGTGGCGCTATTTTAGTGAATGGATTGGGTAAGGAGAGGGCAGTGAGTCGAGGCAGTGGCCCAGTTCCTTGCCCAAGTGTATGAACAACAAGCTTCAGACTACAAGGCTGTTCCAGAAAATTTGCCCTAAGGGTGGAAATGTTTTAAGTCTGCATGTTCTGACGTGGTGGCCACTAGCTACTTATGGCTCTTGAGCACCTGGAACGTGATTATGACAATAAGGAAGTGTATTTTAAATTTTACTTAATGTTAATTAATTTAGACTTAAATATAAATAGCTACTGTAGTGGCTAGGGGCTGCCATACTGGACAGCAAAGTACCAGAGAACAGGGGGCAGGAATTTGGGCTTTAGAGTAAGACAGAGAGTCTTGCCTTCCTCCCTGGCTACCCCTGTGAGCTCAGATAAGCCATTAGACCTCTTTGTGCTTTAGTTTTCTCTTATTTAAAACAGGGCTGATGGTACCAGCCTCCTTGCCCTAGTGCCTGCAGGTAGAAATGCCCAACAGAAGATTGGCTTCTATTTGCAGACACCTATTCAAATTCCTATGCACTCAACAACCATCATTTAGACAACTCTGTTCCAGTCCTGAGAATCCCCAGCTGTAAGTCAAGGTATAGCTGCCGGGAACTTTCCAGGTTCTATAGGAAGCCCTTGGAGCTGGAGGCAGGAATAAGGAAATGGTTTCTGAGAAACCAGTCTCCTGTGTTTGGAAGGATCCAGGTTCATGGGCTCCTGTATCTCTGATGATGGAAAAGAGGGTCCCAAGGAGCTTTCCCAGGAAGCAACCATCCTAGGATGCTCAGTTCTGGGCAGACTCCTTTCATGAGATTTGTCTCCAAGACCAAGTTGAGTGCTGCGCCAGAGACTTTGAGAAACTCTAATGAGACCTCAGGGGGCAATTGCCCTGGGGGAGGTTGCAGAGGGAGGTGTTGGGATCCATGTCCCATGAGTCTTACTTGAAGGAAAGGGGCCATGATACCATAGGTTGGAGACAGGTTCCTGCTTCCCAGGCCCATGGCCTTGTCCATGAGGCAGGAAGGAAATACTGGCCACAGGCACCCAAGACTTCAGTGATAGTACTAGTCCCTGGCTTGTAAAGTGAGTTTCCAGGGCAAAAGGCCTGTGCCCACTGGCTGCCAGGGAGGGGGTGGGTACAGAGGAGCCAAAAGCCTGGGAAGACTGCAAGATTGAGTCCAATTTCCTGCCTCTTACTGTGAACTGGAAAGCAAACGCCTAGCCTGGCTTATTAAGGAAAGATACAGAGAGAGGACAAGATTTCACAACTCAGTGTTTTCTCAAATTTCTGAATTCCAGCCTCATTGCCCGTAGGTGACCTTCAGTGTGTCCCCAGGGTCTGGGAGCTGGGTCCCATGTTAGGCCCCCATGACTGTGGGAGGCAGTGATGTCACTGGCCTCCTGTTTCCATGTCTT
Source organism: Homo sapiens (assembly GCF_000001405.40). NCBI lineage: Eukaryota > Metazoa > Chordata > Mammalia > Primates > Hominidae > Homo > Homo sapiens. Next base: position 109,559,051 of record NC_000009.12, read on the forward strand.
CTGTATTCAGCACGCCCTGTGAGTTTGGTGTTCCTGGGAAGCCACTCCTCTCATGGCACTGCCTGGCAGCCCGCCGTCTCCTCTTGCTCTCATTCCAGGGCCACTGATGCTTATATTCCCATGGGGTCCCCAGCCACATATCATACCTCTCATCTCTCTCCTTTGGTCCTCATTCAGGATAATCTTTCATCTGCCTATGTTCTCTGCTAAGAATGTCCTTCTTACCTGAATGCTGTCCCTTTGCTTAAATACATCTCTCTGCTTTTCTGAAAACTTTTCCTACGCTGTGGCCTGAATTCCTCTTCCCTTCCTTGGACTTCTTCAACACTGTGTTTTGACCGTATGTCACTCAGTAGGACATTTGATTCTACACAAGGAAGCACCTCATTAGTCCTGCTGTCATAAAATCCTCCCCGTCCCACTGCTTGTCCACATCCCCCACCAAATCCAGCCTCACTGAGGGGTGCTGGGAGCCTGCAGATTAGGTGCAGTCTCTTCTCAGGAAAGAGCTTAAAATGTTTCTTCTATACGCTCATGCAGTGAAGCCTCCAGGGTTGATACCAGGGAGCAAGAAAATCAGAGCACCCTCAGGGGGTTGAGGCAGGAGACTGAGAACCCCCTGTGTCCTACTAGATCCTCAATGTGGCCCTCCAGGGCATTGAATCCAGCCGATGCCATCAGGATAAAAGCCCAGACAATGGCAACACCTGGCAAAATCGGAGTCATTGCCTGCGTTAGTATACCAAAGACATGCATCAAAAATGGCAATTTCAGCTGCAACCAAATGACCAGTTTCTTCTTTTCTCTGGCAGCAGTGTACTACCAGGTTCAGCTGTTTCTTGATCCCAATCCTGGGCCTGAAGGGTAAAGCTACATTGTCAACACAGAGAAGGGTATCTCTCTGTTTTCATTAATAGGAGAGCATGTGTCTCATTCATTAAAAAGTTGTTCACATATAAGACGTAGTATAGCTTAGATCAGAGAAAAGTTCCCCTCAGCTTTATAATTGATTATGATGGGGTGAGGGTGGGAATAATAATTAGAATAACATTCAGCCTTGGGTTCAAATTTCTCCCCTATTATTTCCTAGTTGGGCGAGTGATTCCGTGTCTCTGAGCCTCAGTGTCCTCATCTGTAAAATGGGAATAATAATGGTAACTACCTCACAGAGTGTTGTGAGGGTTAAGTGAAATCGTGCATTTCAGACATTGAGTACAGTTCTTGGGACAGGGTTAAATGCTCAGTAAGTATTAGCTATTATTGATATTATCAGGAGAGCAGTATCAATCATCAGATAAATCTATAGTATTAGAATATAGACACTTACTAGGTTTCAGCAGTAGGTACATGAAATGTACTTGGTTACAAGACTGTGCAGTTTTGGCTTTCTTGTGACCACAGAAGTGAAATGAACCAAGGACACCAGTGGAATCTGACCCAAGGGTCTTGGCTAAGGACAGATGGCCTGAGTGCCCCTTCTGGTTGCCCATTTTTGAGTTGCTTCCTTGTGCTAATGACATCATGCAGAGCAAAGCCATGCACAGAGAAGTGAACAACGGTCCGAGCACCAGGCGGCTCACAGGCCCCACCTGGAGGAAGGGATTGGGTAGAGTTGGAAGTGGATGGAAGGGGCCAGTGACTGAGATCGCCTGGGGAAGAATGTGAGTTCCAGATAAAGGGAAGCCTTGGGCCTGGAGTTTGAAAGCCTCTTGAACACCTACATGTCTGTACTTTCTCCTCCAGGCATGGCTGGGACCTGGGAAAATCAGCCTCATTCCCCAGTCCCTCCTGCTTGCCTGTGCTCTGGCGGAAAGAACACTCTGGGTTGGGAGAACGTAGCAATTACTGCTCTAGTGGCTCCTGTGAGAGGGCTTAGGTTGCCAGTGACCAGGGCAGTCTGCTGCCTTGTCATGTTCCCTGCCCTTTGCCAGTTCTAAAGAGGGAGGGATAGGAAGCCAACAGGATTATTAATGTGGCCGTTGTTGTTACTGGCACCGTCACCACTCTCAGTTGTAAAGCCGGACAAGGGAATTGGCTAGATCAGAAAACTACCTTCAAGTATTCAGATTCCTCTAATTAGATCAAAGAAGAAAAGAGAAGAAAAAAGACACTAATGAGCAATGAGAGACCAGAATGAACACTGAAGTCCATTTATTCAGAAGCAAAAGTCAGAGAAGGCAATGAGATGTGGTCAAGACAGGAAACTGCCCGGCAGGATACAACACTCCTTATCTTCCCTATCTCCTGCCTCCTGGCCTAAGACCATTGTCGATAGGCTACTGTGTGGTAGAATTGTCTTATGTAATCCTAGGGACAACCTTATGACCTAGGGGTCATTGTACCTATTTTACAGGTAAGGCAAAGGAGGTTCAAAGAGCGTAGGGGATTTGTCCACATTTATTTAGCGAGTAAGTGAGAGAGTGGAAGTTGAACTCAGGTCTGTTTGCATCTGAAGTTCTCTAATTGGTAATTTGGATTTCACCTCCCATGGCTCCACTTTCCTTCTCGGTAAAATGGGAGAGTGAAACTGATTTTAACATCATGCTTCTAACCCCCAATGACTACAAGTGGCCATCAAGTGCTGGAAAATGGGAAAGTGTGTGAAAGAACCATTGTCATGAAGCAGCAGCTCTGTGACTGGGTAGAGTTATCCATGCGAGAGGTCTGTGCCAGAGGCTGGCACTTGGCACCAGCAGCATTAGGAGGGAGGAGGGAAGTTCTTAGGATGTAGGGATTGGGACATGTAAGACCATCTGGGTCCTGAAGGAAGGACAAGTCTCTGTGCCTGTCTACCTGTTTCTCCAGCCATGAATCTTGGGTTCTCACTCCTACTTCCTCCCTAGGAGAGACTCAGTCCTGTCTAGCTAGCTCTGTGCTACCATACCAGACCCTCAGTTGTTAAAGCTATGTCCTCCTTACCCAGGTATTTCTCTTTCCATCCCTCTTTATCACAGCATCAGCACCAGCACCAGGAGGTTCCTGGAAAAGTGGCTGGAGACATGGTCCCCTTGTCCATGTAGCCAGGCAGGTCTGGCTTCTCTGAGAATTGTTGGAAATGACCCAAGTACAAAAGTGTAAATCAAAGCTCCTCACATGCTTTGAGACCTTCACATTTTCACTGAACTGGCAATATCAGCAGCACTGCTCCATGCCCACTACACTGGTATGACTGTTAGGATTTCAAACAACCATCAAAGCCCCAGCAGGAAGTCTTCTCTGACTTCACTGGTGATGCCAGAATATTCTGTAGTCCAGCTCACACTCTATCCAGCTACTATAAGACCCTCCAAGGACAATTTTTCTTCTTCTTCTTCTTCTTCTTCTTCTTCTTCTTCTTTTTCTTCTTCCTCTTCCTCTTCTTCTTCTTTTTCTTCTTCTTCTTCTTCTTCCTTCTTTTTTAATAAAAACCCCCATGGTGCACTTTTGGAAAAAAAATTTTTATTGAGGTATAATTTGCATATTAAAATGCACCCATTTTATGTGCACATTTGATGACTTTTGACATATTTATATACCTTAAATTTTCATGCAATATAATTGTGAAATAATCAGTATATGGAACATTTCTATCATCCTAAAAAGTTTCTTGTGCCCTTATTTAATTTTCCATGCACTTTTGGTCCTAAGCATCCACTGATGTGCTTTCTTGTCATAATAGATTTTTCTTTTTTATACTTTCATATCAATGAAGTCATACATTATGTACTTTTTTTGTGTCTGGTTCCTTTCAGAGCAGCATAAGAATGTTGAGATTCATTCACGTTGTTGCATGTAACATAGGTTGTTTTTATTATTGTCGCATACCTTATCTTATGGATAAGCTACAATTTGTTTGGCCATTCGCTATTAATGGTCATTTGGATTATTTCCAGTATTGGTTTAGGATGAATAAAGCCACAATACTATGAATATTTGCATACAAGTCTTTGTGTAGATAAGTTAGCATTTTCTTGGTAAATACTTAGGAGTGGAAATTGCTGTCTTGCTGTACATTTATGTTTAACTTTATAAGACATTTGGGTTGTGTCAAATGATTCTTCTCCATCTGTTGAAAAAGGCATATGAGTTATCTTGTTAAGTCTGTTAATATGGTGAAATACAGTAGTTGAATGTCAAATGTTAAATATTCAACCACTTGGTCTGTGATGTATTATCCTTTTTATACATTGCTGGATTTGATTTGTCGAGATTTTACAGATTTTTGCATTTATATCATGAAGGATATTGATCTCTGCTTTTTATTTCTTGTCATGTATTTTGGTTAGGTATCAGGGTAATGTTGGTCTCATAAAATGATTCGAAAGTGTTTCCTCCTCCTCTATATTCTATAAGACTTTGGGTAGAATAGGTATTATTTCTTCTTTAAATGTTTTATAGAATTTGTCAGTAAAGGTAACTGGGCATGGAGATTTCTTTGTCAGAAGGTTTTAAATTATAAACTTACATTTTTAAAGAGATATTGGGATACTCAGATTTGCTATCTTCTTCCTGAGTCATTTTTGGTAATTTGTTTCTTTTAAGGCATTTGTCTATTTCATCTAAGTTATTACATTTATAGGCTAAAAATTGTTAATAATATTCTCTTATTATCTTTTTAATCGCTGTAAGCTCGATAGTAGCATCCCTCTTTCATTTCTAATATTGGAAATTTGTGTTTCCTCTTTTGTTTCTGATATTGGTTGTATTTTCTCCTTTTAACTTAATCAGTCTAGCGGTGTATCAATTTTATTGATTTTTTTGTGTGGGAAATTAGTTTTTGGTTTAATAGATTTTTTTGTTTAACTATATTCCATTTTATTAATTTCTGCTTTTGTTTTTATTTTCTTCATTCTACTTACATTGCATTTAATTTGTTTTTTTTCCCCTAGGTTAAGATGAAAGTGTAGATAATTAATTTAGACCTTTCTTATTTTATAATATAAGGAGATAATGCTTTAAATTTCCCTGTAATCATGGCTTTATTTGTATGTACAAATTTTTATATGTTGTGTTTTAATTTTCATTCAGTTCAAAATATTTTACAATTTTCCAAGTAATTTATCCTTTGACCCATGATTTCATTAGAAATGTATTATTTAATTTCCAACTATTTGAAGTTTTTTCAGATTTTTTTGTTATTGATTTCTAATTTACTTCCATTGTAATCAGAGAAGGGGCTCTGTAGTATTTAAATCTTCTGACATCTATTGAGACTTGCTTTATGATTGAACATGATATATTTTGGTGAATGTACCATGTACACTTGAAAAGAATGTATGTTCTGTTGTTGGGTTGAGTATTCTATAAATATAGTAAGTCCAATTGATTGATAGTATTATTTAGTCTCCTATGTTCTACCTAATTTTGTGGCTGCTTGTTTTAACAATTACTGAGAGAGGAATTTTGACATCTCCAGTTATAGTTGCCAATTTAGCTTTTCTTTTTTGTCAGTTTTTGCTTCATGCAACTTAAAGTGCTGTTATTGGGTGTAGGCACAATTAGTATTGTTATGTCTTTGTTATAATAAAATGTCCCTCTGTATCTCTTTATCCTGAATGTCACCCTTTCTTATGCTCAATCTTAACATGATATTTTCTTTCTTATGCTCAATGTTAACATGGCATTTTCTCCATAATTTAAATTTTAACCTACCTGTATCTTTATATTTAAAGTTGCTATTGTCTAGACAATATATAGTTAGGTCTAACATTTTTATCTCATCTGACAATCTCTGTTTTTTTAGACCAAGAATCTTTTAACAGGAATTTTTTCTTTCTTCCTTTCATCCTTTTCACTACTGGCATTATACATTTTACTTCTACACATGTAATAAATCCCACAATATATTATATTTGCTTTAAATAGTCAATCGTTTTAATTAAAAATGGAGAAAAATCTAATTTTACTCATATCATTACTATTTCAAGTGTACTTAATTTTATTATGTAGATCTAAGTTTTCATCTGATATTATTTTCCTTCCCCTGGAAGATGTTCCTTTAAAAATATGTCTTGGGCCGGGCACGGTGGCTCACGCCTGTAATCCCAGCACTTTGGGAGGCTTAGGCGGGCAGATCACCTGATGTCAGGGGTTCAAGATCAGCCTGGCCAATGTGGCGAAACCCCATCCCTACTAAAAATGCAAAAATTAGCCAGGTGTGGTAGTGTGTGCCTGTAGTCCCAGCTACTTGGGAGGCTGAGGCAGGAGAATCGCTTGAACCCAGGAGGCAGAGGTTGCAGTGAACCGAGATGGCACCACTGCACTCCAGCCTAGGCAACAGAGTGAGATTCTGTCTCAAACAAACAAACAAACAAAAAGACATGTCTTGTAGAACAATTTAGCTGGTGATGAATTTCTTATGTTCTGGTTTTTTTTCTAAGGAGGTTTTAATTTGGCCACACTTTTGAAAGGTATTTTTACTGGACATAGAATTCTAGGATTATAGTTGACTTTTGTTTCAGCATTTTAAAGATGGATTCCATTGTTTTCTGGCTGCTTTTATTTCTCATAAAAAGTTAGTGTCATATCTTTGTTCCTGTCTGTGAAGTGTGCTTTTTTCTCCTCTGGCTGGTTTAAAGAGGGTTTTGTTGTTGTTGTTGTCGTTTCTTCTTTATTGCTAGTTTTCAACAATTTGATTATCTGTGCCTTGATGTGATTTTCTTTAAGTTTTCTCGGTTTGGTGTTTGTTGAGCTTCTTGGGTCTGTGTGTTTACAGTTTTTATCAAATCTAGAAGCTATTTGACCATTATTTTCTCAAATATTTTTTCTGCTTATCTCTTGCCCTCCTGCCCCCTCCCCCCCACCCCATGTGTGCTGTTTTCCACCTTTGTAGTTATAACTGGGTAATGCTACGCTTAGTACTCTTAATTTGTTTCTCTTTTTATTGACAAGGGAAGCTGGTCAATTACAAAAGGACCGAAAGCTGGTCCTTCTAGTGACAAAGGAAACTTCCTAGGTTTTGGACCTAGGAAGGGTAATATTAAAAATACTTAACAATCATTACAGTATGGCAAGGAGCAAAAAGAATGGTCACTAGCCTAAAATAATAGGCAAGACATGGGGCATCATTGCAAAAAACAGTCCTGGACCAGGTTCTAGGAGGAGAGAGGGGTGGGATACAACACCTGTGATCATTCCTCCTTCAACAGCCAGCCAAGAGCTGTCTTCATTTCCATCCTCAGGAGTGGAAGTGGTGGGTGATAGGGCAACAAGTTCACTTGGTAAAGAAGAGCTGGCTGTCATTCTTGATTGGCTGGTGAGCTGGGATTTTTTTTCTTTGGTATGAGATATTGGAGTATGACTTCTATGGTTGCACAGTTATACTTTTTAATATCATTATCAGTTAATAAATTCCAACACATGTATGCTGCATGGATATCCAGAGTTGCTCAGGGGTGTCACAGCTCAGTCACCCATTAATTACTCCCTGCCACCTGCCTATAGTCACTTTTCCTTCTCCTGCCTTCCTCCCCTTCACCTCCATGTCATCCCCACTCCCAGATTTGATGACAATGTATCCAGTGATTTTGTGGGATATGGCAGCATACAGACAGAAATCTTATTTTAATTTATATAAATTAACTTTTAAAATAATTTTAAAAATTAGAAGTAACTCTTATTATTTGCAGCTATGTATAATTTGTGAATATCCTTCCTTCCAGAAACAACTTCATTAAAAATTTGTCTTCTGTGTCCTTTAGTTCGAAAAAAAATGTTATCTACATAACTCCAGATTGTTGTAAAAGAAAACATTAAACTTTACAAGAATATATAACTCAAAACTGCAAATTCCTCTAATCATCAGAGATAATTATTCTTACAGTTAGCTTATAATCTTTAATTTTTAAATGCTAATCTTTTTTCTATTGGTTTTTATGAGAAGTAATATATGGTTAGTATAACAAAATTTATTTATAGTTTTCAGGGTGAAAGTCTTCCAAATTTTCCAGAGCTTTCAATGCCTTCTTTAGAAAAGCCTTTTAATTAACATTTTGCTTTTTTTTTTTTCAGAAATAAAACATCATTGTTAACCTTTCAAACTTACAGAAATGTATACCTTAGGAAGTGAGAATTTCTCACAATCACATTCCCCAAAGCAACTGCCTTTTAACCTATACCTTACCCACCAAAGACACACTAAAGAGCTTGACATTCTTCTAACACATCACATGCCTTTGAACCGGGCGTTATGCTCATGGCATTCCTCCAGTCTGGAATACTCTGCTCAGTGTTGCTCACCTGGTAATTTCCTGCTCATTAAGTTGCTCCTGCTCCTGCTCAATCTCAAATGCTATCTCCCCCTTAAACCCTCCTTCAGTTCTTCCAATCACAGTTGGTTGTTTTATTCTTGGTGTACCATTGAACTGTGTACATAACTCTCCTCTGGAGTTCATTGACTCGAAAGGGTAGAATTTGAATATGATCCTTCTGTCCCAAAGTGTACACTTTTTTGTGTGTACTCTGCTGCTTCCATGGAGCTTTTCTATTAGGATTTAGAATGGTTGTCTGTGATTCTTGATTTGCCATACTCTTCTTTTTAAAAATTGGGAGATAATTTACTTGCCATAAAATTATCCTTTTAAAAAGTACACAGTTAATTCTAATTATTATAGGTTTTAAATCCCAATTATCTTTATGGAAAGAATTATATTTATCTTCTTTATTTAAAAGAAGTGCTTCTAAAGCACTCAATAAATGTTTCCTGAATAAAAGTCTAAGTGTTTTACTATACACTATTAGCTAGTACTTTGCAAACTTAAAGTGCATAGAAATCACCTGGAGAGTGTGATAAAAATGCAGATTCTGACTAGAAGATGGGAACTGAGATCTAAATTTCTCACAGAGAGGAACTAAAGTGGCTGACTAGATAGAGCCAGGAAAAGCATCTCTCACTGAGAGACCGAACCATTAATAAAACTGGCATACTCCAAGCAGATCTTCAGAAGGAAGGCAGTAAGAGTGGACAGAGGGAGGAGGCAGATTTTGGGCTGGATGGGGAGGAAGCTTGGAACCCTGCACAGGGCTGCCGAGCAGCAGGACTCGTGCGTGGCCCTTAGCAGCTCCTGGGAAGGGGTGAGTTATATAGGTGAGGAGTGGCTCACTCTTGCCATAAAATCCTAGAATCCAGAATCCTAGAATCTTAGCTGCAGGAGACCCCACGGCCCTCATGGACATTTGGGCTGACAGGGAGAGCTACTTGGAGAGGTGGCAGGGACAGGACTCTAGCCTGTGCAGAGCCCAGTGGGGTGGTGTGGGTATAGCTGCAGCAAAGCACAGCCAGGGATGCCTATTCCCCAAGGCTTACCATGCTCCTTTAGGTGGTGTTGGCCTTTGTTGACTATCTGCTGGAAGTGCAGCCTTGGATGCCCAACCAGGGCACTTCCTGTGGGCTGCTGCCATAGCTCCTTCACCAGCAGACCCTGCCTAACCACTGGAGAACTTCGACAGACAGGCCCACTGATGTGCATCCACCTGCAGCCTCCCCCCAACTGCTTTGCCAGTGCACACACTTGCCTGCAGCCTCCCACCTAGTGCATTGCCCATGTGCATCTGTGCACTCATGGACCTTACTACCCTTTTGCCACTGGTGCATGTGCATGAAACCTGCTTCTGCCACCCTACCCCCACCGGTGTGCACACATCCTGCTGTGCCACTGTTGCCAGGCAGCATGTGTGTGTTTTCCACCAGCCCAGTGAAGTGCTTTTGCCAGCACCTCCTGCATTGGAGGGCTGTTGCCAGTGGACTGGGAACACCTCTGCGTGAGGAGCCAGAGGACAAAGTCATAGGCCTGGTACCAGACCTCCAGGTTTAGAACATGCAACCCTGGAGTGCTGAGCTGAGACTTGCCCTGCTGATATTATACAGAAACAAAGCCAGCAACTGAACCCAAAATCTAGCACAGTCAAACTTTCAAGGGCATCAAGGAATGTAAAAGCAAAAAACCCCATCCAAAGGACAGCAGCTGCAAAGGTTAAAGAAACATTAGCCCACACAGATGAGAAAGAACAACTGCAAAAACTCTGGCAAGTCAAAAAGCCAAGTGTCTCCACTCCAAACAATTATACTAGCTCCCCAGCAATGGTTCTTAACCAGGGTGACATGGCTGAAATGACAGATATATCAATAGAATTCAGGGCCTGGATAGCAATGAAGATCATCAAGATTCAGAAGAAAGTCAAAATCCAATCCAAGGACTCTAATGAATCCAAGAAAACAATACAAGAGCTGAAAGATAAAATAGACATTTTAAGAAAGACCCAAACTGATCTGACAGAGCTGAAAAACTCACTACAAGAATTTCATAATGCAATCAGAAGTATTAATAGCAGAATAGACCAATTTGAGAAAAGAATCTCAGAGCCTGAAGACCAGTTCTTTGAATCAACTCAGTCAGATAAAAATAAAGAAAAAAGAATAAAAAAGAATGAGCAAAACCTCTGAGAAATGTGAGATTATATAAAGAGACCAAATCTATGACTCAATGACATAACTGGAAGAGAGGGAGAGAGAGAGAGCAAGCAACTTGGAAAACATATTTTAGGATATTGTCCACAAAAATATCCACAATTTCACTAGACAGGTCAACATTCAAATTCAGAAAATTCAGAGAACTCCTGTGAGATACTATATAAGACGTCCGTCCCCAAGACACATAGTCATCAGATTCGCCAAAGTCAACACGAAAGAAAAAATATAAAAGCAGCTAGAGACGAGGGAAGGTCATCTACAAAGAGAACTCCATCAGGCAAACACCAGACCTTGCAACAGAAACCCTACAAGCCAGAAGAGATTGGGGGCCTATATTCAGCATTCTTAAAGAAAAGAAATTCCAACTGAGAATTTCATATTCAGCCAAACTCAGCTTCATAAGTGAAGGAGAAATAAAATCCTTTTCAGACAAGCAAATGCTAAGGGCTTCTGTTACCACCAGGCCTACCTTACAAGAGGTCCTTAAGGGAGCACTAAACATGCAAACAAAAGATTACCAACCACCACAAAAACACATGTAAGTTCATAGACCACTGACACTGTAAAGCAACTACACAATCAAGTCTGCAGAACAACTGGCTAACAACATGATGACAGGACCATATCTACAAATACCAATATTAACCTTGAACATAAGTGGGCTAAACATCCCACTTAAAAGGCACAGAATGGCAAGTTGGATAAAGAAGGAAGACCCAACTGCATGCTGTCTAAAAGAGACCCATCTCACATGCCATGACACCCACATACTCAAAGTAAGGGGAATGAGAAAAATCTACCAAGCAAATGGAAAACGAAAGAGCAGGGGTTGCTATTCTAATTTCAGACAAAACGTACTTTAAACCAGTAATGATCAAAAAAGATAATGAAGGGTATTACATAATAATAAATAGTCCAATTCAACAAGAAGGCTTAACTATCCTAAATATGTATACACTCAACACTGGAGCACCCAGATACATAAAACAAGTTTGTAGAGACCTATGAAGAGATTTGGATAACCACACAATAATGGAGGAAAACTTCAACTCCCCAGTGACAGTATTAGACAGATCATCCGAGCAGAAAACTAACAAAGATATTTAGAACCCTAACTCAACATTTGACTAAATGGACCTAACGGACATCTACAGAACACTCCACCCAAAGACAACAAAATATACATTCTTCTCATCTGCATATGGCTTATACTCTAAAATTGACCACATGTTAGTTTGGCCATAAAATAAATCTCAACAAATTAAAAAACACCAAAATCATACCAACTACACTCTCAGACCACAGCACAATAAAAATAGAAAATACTAAGCAGATCTCTCAAAACCATAGAATTACATGGAAATTAAACAACATACTCCTGAATGACTTTTGGGTAAACAATGAAGTTAAGGCAGAAATCAAGAAGTTATTTCAAATGAATGAAAACAAAGATACAACATATCAGAATCCCTGGGACACAGCTAAAGCAGTGTTAAGAGAAAAGGTTATAGTGCTAAACACCCACATCAAAAAGTTAGAAAGATTCAAATTAACAACTTAACATCACACCTAGAGCAACTAGAAAAACAAAAGCAAACCAACCCCAAAGCTAACAGAACAAAAGAAATAATCACAATCAGAGCTGAACTAAAAAAATTGAGACATGAAAAACCACACAAAAGATTAATGAAACTAAAAAGTTGGTCCTTTGAAAGGATAAATAAGATTGATAGACCATTAGCTAGACAAATAAAGAAAAAAACGAAGAAGATTCTAATAAACACAATAGGAATAACAAGGAGGACATTACCACTGACCCCACAGAAATACAAAAAAGCCTCAGAGACTATATCATCATCTCTATGCACACAAACTAGAAAACAGAAGAAATGGATAAATTCCTTGAAACATAAAGCTCCCAAGATGGAAGCAGGTAGGAATGGAAACCCTCAACAGATTGATAATGATTTTCAAAATTCAATCAGTAATAGAAAGCTTACCTACCAGAGAAGGCCCTGGACCAGATGGTTTCACAGTCGAATTCTACCAGATGTATAAAGAAGGGCTGGTACCAATCCTACTGAAACTATTCCAAAAACGTGAGGAGAAGGGACTCTTCCCTACCTCATTCTATGAAGTCAGCGTCATTCCAGTATGAAAACCTGGCAGAAACGCAACAAAAAAAGAATTCAGGCTAGTATCTCTGATAAATGTAGATGCAAAATATCCTCAGCAAAATAACAGCAAACCAAATCCAGCAGCACATCAAAAAGCTAATCCACCATGATCAAGTAGGCTTTATTCCTGGGATGCAAGGTTGGTTCATCATATGCAAATCAATAAACGTGATTCATTACATAAACAGAACTATAAACAGAAACTGCATAATCATCTCAATAGATGCCGAAAAGGCTTTTGATAGAATTCAGCATCCCTTCATGTTAAAAACCCTCAACAAACTAGTCATTGAAGGGACATACCTCAAAATAGTGAGCCATCTATGAGAAACCCACAGCCAACATCATACTGAACAGGCAAAAGCTGGGAGCATTCCTCTTGAGAGCCAGAGAAAGACAAGGATGCCCATTCTAACCACTCCTATTTAATATGGTACTGAAAGTCCTAGCCAGAGCAATCAGATCTAAGAGACAGAAATAAAGGGCATCTTAGGCCAGGAACGGTGGCTCATGTCTGTAATCCCAGCACTTTGGAAGGCTGAGGTGCAAGGGTGGCTTGAGCCCTGGATGCAGAGGTTGCAGTGAGGTAAGATCATGCCACTGCACTCCAGCCTGGGTGACAGAGTCAGACCCTGTCCCAAAAACAGACAAACAAAAACAAAAAGAAGGCATCCAAATAGGAAGAGAGGAAGTAAAACTATCTTTGTTTGAAGACTATATGATTTTATACCTAGAAAACCCCATAGTCTCTTCTCAAAAGCTCCTAGAGCTGATAAACAACCTCAACAAAGTTTCAGGATACAAAATCAATGTATAAAAATCAGTAGCATTTCTATATGCCTACAATGTCCAAACTGAGAGCCAAATCAAGAATGCAATTCATGACTATTGCATTCACAATAGTCATACACAAAAACAAAGTACCTAGGAATATACCTAATGAGGGAGGTGAAAGGTCTCTACAATGAGAATTACAAAATGCTGCTGAAAGAAATCAGAGATGACACAAATAGAAAAACATTCCATGCTCATGGATAGGAAGAATCAATATTGTTAAAATAGCCATACTGCCCAAAGCAAGTTATAGATTCAATGCTATTCCTATTAAACTACCATTGAGATTCTTCCCAAAACTAGAAAAAACTATTTTGAAATTCATAGGGAACCAAAAAAGAGCCCAAATAGCCAAGGCAATAATAAGCAAAAAGAACAAAGCTGGAGGCATCACACTACCCAACTTTGAACTCTACTACAGGGTTACAGTAACCAAAACAGCATGGTATTGGTACAAAAACAGACACATAGACCAATGGAACAGAATACAGAACCCAGAAATAAGACTGTACACCTACAACTATCTGATATTCAACAAACTTGACAAAACAAGCAACAAGGAAAGGAATCCTTATTCATAAATGGTGCTGGGATAACTGGCCAACCATATGCAGAAGGTTGAAACTTGACCTCTTCCTTACAACATATACAAAAATTAATTCAAGATGGATTAAAGACAAATGTAAAACCCAAAACCATAAAAACCCTAGAAGAAAACCTAAGAAATATCATTTTGGACGTAGGCCCTGGCAAAGATTTCATGACGGAGATGCCAAAAGCAATCGCAACAAAACCAGAAATTGACAAATGGGATCTAACTGAACTAAAGAGCTCCTGCACCACAAACACAAACAAAAGTCTATCAACAGGGTAAACAGACAACCTACAGAATGGGAGAAAATATTTGCAAATTATGCATCCAACAAAGGTCTAATGTCCAAAATCTGTGAGGAACTTAAACAAATTAACAAGCAAAAGCAAACAACTCTATTAAAAAATGGGCAAAGGATGTGAACAGACACTTCTCAAAAGAAGACATACACATGGCCAACAAGCATATGATAAAATGCTCAACATCACTAACCATCAGAGAAATGCAAGTCAAAACCACCATGAGATACCATCTCACAGCAGTCAGAATGGCTATTTATTAAAAAGTCAAAAAGTAACAGATGCTGGAGAGGTTGTGGAGAAAAGGGAATGCTTACACACTGCTGGTGGGAGTGTAAATTAGTTCAGTCACTGTGGAAAGCAGTTTGGATATTTCTGAAAGTACTTAAAACAGAACTACTATTTGACCCAGCAATCTCATTACTGGGTATATACCCAAAGGAATAAAAATCATTCTATCATAAAGACACATACATGCGTATGTATGTGCATTGCAGCAATATTCACAATAGCAAAGACATGGAATCAACCTAAACGCCCATCAATGGTGAACTGAATAAAGAAAATGTTGTACATATACACCATGGAATATGATGCAGCCATAAAAGAGAATGAGATCATGTCCTTTGCAGCAACATGGATGGAGCTGGAGGCCATTACCCTAAGTGAATTAACACAGGAACAGAAAACCAAATGCCACATGTTCTCATTATAAATGGGAGCTAACCATTGAGTACACGTAGACACAAGGAAGGGAACAATAGACACTGGGACCTATTTGAGAATGGAAGGTGGGAGGGGGGTAAGGAATGAAAAACTGCCTATCAGATACCATGCTTATTAGCTGGGTGATGCAATAATCTGTACACCAAATCCCTGCAACACACAATTTGCCAATGTAACAAACCTGCACATGTACCCCCTGACCCTAAAATAACCTAAAATTAAAGAGAGAAAAATAAGTAAATAAGTTTCTAACAATCATTTATGTGATGCCCATACTGCTGAACTAAGGACCAAACTTTGAATTGCAAGGCTCAAAACCACCTACTCTCTTGAATAAAGGTAGTTACCTTGAGCTCTCACAAGGGGGTGCAATGGGCAAACAATTCTATTGCTATTCATAATGCATTGAATAAATTCATGGGATGTGCTTTTTTCCCCGCAGCTGCTTTGTTAATTATTATTTATTCCATGGAGGGGGCACAGTAGATGTCTCAGTGTGCTAAAAATAGATTTTCCTTTAAGCCATATTTTCTAAGAATTCATCAAGATTATGTTCACAGAAAAGAAAATTTGATACCTCTGTGATTAGAAGTGTCAAATAAAAATATTACTAAAGTTATTAGATATGAAAGATCAGAAATATGTGAAAATAATTATAGTAATAATAAAAGCATAATGATAAGAGCAGTCATTTATTCATACCTATTAAATGTGTGGTAGAGGACTAGCTGTTTTACTTAGATGGTTTCATTTAATCCTCACAACAACTTTATAAGATAGGTAATCTTGCCTTCATTTTACAGGTAAGAAAGCTGATGCTTAGAGAAGTTAAATAAAATGCTCAGGTTCTGGAGGTCATAGTGGAAGGGAAGAATTTAAAAATGCTCCATCTTTTCCCAAAGTCTACACTCTTTTGTGTTGCTTCCAGGGAATTTTCTGTTGGGATATAGAGGAGTGATACAGAATTATTGATTTGCCATACCATTAAAAAATTGAGATATGATTCACAAACAATAATGTGCAATTTCGACATTTTCAGAATAACTACGAGGCTGTGCAACCACCACCGCTATCTAATTGCGGAATATTTTATCATCCCTCTTTTTGAGCTGGGATATCCATCTTCTGGTCTTAGATGTTTGAGTTCCTGGTTCTCAGGCCTTCAGAATTAGGATAATTACACCACTGGCTTTCTCAGTTCTCCAGCTTGCAGACAGCATATTATGGGATTTCTCAGCCTCCATAATTGCATGAGCCAGTTCACATAATAAATTGCTCTATCTATCTATCTACCTATCTATCTCTATCAATCAATCAATCATCTGTCTTCTGTTAGTTCTGTTTCTCTAGATAGACCTGACTAATACAGTCCCCAGAAGAAATCCCATACTCATTAGCAGCAACTCTCCATTCTCCCTCCTGAAGCCTTTAACAATTATTGATCTACTTTCTATTTTTAAAGATTTCCGCATTCCAGACATTTCATATAAATGCAATAATACAATATGTGACCTTTTTGTGTTTGGCTTCTTTCACTGAGTTCAGTGTTTTCAAAGTTTATCCATGTTGTAGCATGTATCAGTGCTGCACCCCTTTTTGTGTCTGAATAATATTCCATTGTATAGATATACCACATTTTGTTTGTCTCTCCGTCAGTTGATGGACACTTGGGTTGTTTCCATTTTTAGCTGCTACGAATGTTCATATGCAAGTTATTGTAAGCATATGTTTTTAGTTCTCTTCAGTATATATTTAATAGTGGAATTGCTGGGTCCTATGTTTAGCTTTTTGAGGAACTGCCAGACTGTCTTCCACAAAGGCTGCACCATTCTACATTCCTACCAGTGATGTCTGAGGGTTCCAATTACTCCATATCCTTGCCAACACTTGTTATTGATTAACCATACTCTTTTTGTTTGTTTGAGACAGGGTCTTCCTCTGTCACCCAGACTGGTATTCAGTGGCATGATCATAGCTCACTGCAGCCTGAAACTCCTAGGCTCAAGTATCCTCCTGCCTCAGCTTCCCGAGTACCTGGGACTACAGGCGTGTGCCACTATGCCCAGTTAATTTTTTTATTTGTGTAGAGATGGGGTCTTGCTGTGTTGTCCAGGGTGGTCTCAAACTCTTGGGCTCAAGCAATCCTCCTGCCTCAACCTTCCAAAGGGCTGGGATTACAGATGTGAGCCACTGTGCCCAGCCTGTCATACCCCGTTGATAATAAATTAAAGAGAAAATCACCAAATTCTTAAAGTAAGATGCCCTTTAATTTTTTTTTTTTGAGACAGAGTTTTACTCTGCAGCCCAGGCTGGAGTGCAGTGGTGCAATCTCGGGTCACTGCAACCTTCATCTTCTGGGTTCAAGCGAGTCTCTGGCCTCAGCCTCCCTAGTAGCTGGGATTACAGGCATGCACAACCACGCCCAGCTATTTTTTTGTATTTTTAGTAGAGATAGGGTTTCACCATGTTGGCCAGGCTGATCTTGAACTCCTGACCTCAACTGATCCACCCTCCTCGGCCTCCCAAAGTGCTGAAATTAGAGGCATGAGCCACCATGCCCAGCCTAATTTTTTAAGAACAGTGAAGGGACTTCTGCTTGCTTCTCTGTCATTGACTGTGTGACCCTGTAGCATGATGTGGCCCTTTAGATTTTCAACTGTGTATTTGGGATAATAAAATACGATTTGCCTCCCTGGTAGTCCTGCCATGAAGCTAACACAAAACAGCTAAGGCATGAGAAAGCACTTTCACAAATGAAAGAACTGTGAGTGCCCCTCGTTGCATGGGCCCTTTCCAAGGCCCTGGCCTGGATCTGCTCTGTAACCTTTCTCCCTTTGCAGAGTGGCATGGGCGTGGCCAAGGGCATGTTGAATCAAAGCTAAGCTGAGTTGGCTTCTAAATGACTTGTTTCTAATAAGGTGAGTCCTAGATATCAAATACATCAGGGCAGTATTTCCATTTATTCAATAACAAACTGTAATGCACTTAGTACCTGTACTAAGTGCTGGGAATACAATATTGAATAAGATAATTGGAAATTTTAACAGTTTTCTTGGATACCAATGGACAGAGCAGACATAAAATAAGCAAAGAAAGACACAGAAGAATTAAATAACATTACTAATAAGCCTGAGAGAATAGATATATGTCATACTTTATATTCAACAAATTGAATATATACATTTTGGGCACACATTGTATGTTTATTAAAATTGGCCATGTTCTAGGTCACAGAAAAGGCACCAATTTATTCCAAAGATTCAGTATCATCAGGCAAACTATATTCCATGGTCATAATGCAATAAAATTAAAAATCAATAACAATAAAAACTGGTGACAGGGAATATTCCAAAAGAGCTAAAATGTTTTCCATTTTCTGGAAAACCAACCAACTAACCAACAAGAACCAAATCAAAACCAAAATTTGTAAAAAGTCCCTTAACTCCTTGGGTTAAAGAGGTTATCACATGTCAAAATGCATGAGGCACAACCAAAGCAGTTTTTACAGGGGAAACTAGAGTTTTTAATACACTGATCAGAAGACAGGAAACTTTGAAGGAAAATAAGCAACATATTCAACTACAATAGTTGGAAGAAGGCAACAAAAGAAACCTTATCAGAAGAGGATATAGAATAATACAGCATAATTAATGCTCTGAATTATACACACACAAGATGCTGAAGGAGCCCACTGCAGGGGCAGTTAACCTGGGAGTGGTGACCCATGAGCTGAGTTTGATGAGTTTGATGAATTAGATTAGGATATGGTGGGAAATTTCTGGGAGAAACAAAAACCAAGTGCATGGAGGAGAGAAGCAGCTAGTTGTGCCCAGCTTCAGGGAAGGGTCCCTGTAGATGAGTGGTCAGGGAGAAGGCTGTGGCCATGTCAGAAAGCTTTGTTGTGAAATGGATGGTGAGGAATAACACATTTTTTAAAAGAATTAAGAAGGTCAGCATAAGAAGTAGTTAAGGTGATGAACTCTAGAATTAGATGGTGGTAGTTTCAAATCCCATTCTTCCACATATTAGTTGTATGCCCATGGGCAAGCCATTTAATCTCTCTAAGCTTCAGTTTCCTCATCTGCAGTTAGATAATAATAATAGCTACTGGATAAGTTTATTGGGTATGTAAAGCACTTAGCACAGTGCCTGGTATAAAGTGAGGGTTTGTCTGTTGTTCCAGTGTAATTACTCATAGCGCACACCCTTTCACTATCAGAGGTGTCTCAGTTTGGCTGATAAATGATATGACCACATCTGGTTCGCACTGTATGTGATTTTTTTTTTTTTTTTTAGAAAAGTCATTCTGAATGCATGTTGGAGAAAGGAGTTAATAAAGGGACACTAGACTGGAGACAGAGAGGTCAGTAGGAAGGGCCTGAACCTGGCTAGTGGAAACTGACTGGAGAGTTTCTGAACAGAATTTTTGTAAAAAAGGCCGGGTGCAGTGGCTCATGCCTGTAAACCCAGCACTTTGGGTGGCCGAGGTGGGTGGATGACCTGAAGTCAAGAGTTCGAGACCAGCCTTGCCAACATGACAAAACCCTGTCTCTACTAAAAATACAAAAATTAGCCAGGAATGGTGGTGCATGCCTGTAATCCCAGCTACTTGGGAGGCTGAAGCAGGAGAATTGCCTGAACCTGGGAGGTGGAGGTTGCAGTGAGCTGAGACCATTGCACTCTAGCCTGGGCAATAAGAGCAAAACTCTGTCTCAAAAAAAAATTTTTTTTTTTTAAAGAAGCAGCATTAATGCAAGTGGTATCAGCACAATGCTTCTAAATGTATCCCAGTGCTTCCAACTTAGGTGACTGAAGGGGTGGTGACCGGGAATTTGCCGAAGTGAAGCCCACAGCACAGATTTGGGATGAAGTTATGTGGGATGGTGAATTTTGGACATGTTGACTCTGATGTCCATGTTTTGCAATGTGAGGAGTTCACTTGAGAATTGGAAAACAGATTCTGACGTTCAGGGAGAGGCTGGGCCTGGAGATGGAGATATGGATCTTCCTATGTGTGGGAGTGAATGAGATCACTCAGGGAGAGAATTGAAAAGTGAGAAGAGATAAGGACTCAAGACCAAGCCCTGAGGAAACTTGGGGCCAGGTAAGAATCCATGAAGGATGTTGGTACCTGGGAGCTTGTGTAAACCAGGGGAAATGAGGGTCACAGAAGCCAAGGAGGGAAGTGTCTTAAGAGGCAGTACATTGTTAATGGTGTCATCGCTACCAAGAGGGCATGATGTTGGACTCGGCCATGTGCATGTCATGGCCTCTTCAGAAAGCAAGCTTGTGTGACTTGGCAGGGCTGGAAGCAGATGGCAGAGTTTAGTTTGAAGGGCAGCTAAGGAGAAATGAAGAGTTGTATAAAGTTTCTCAGAATAGCGTAGGTTCAAGGCAAATCTGTAAGTCTGATAATTAAAATAATCCATTAAAAAGTTTTGATATGATTCACCTGGCTGACATATAAGCATCCCTAAGGTGTTATTTATTGTGCCCTGATATTGTGCCTGGCACTTTGCACATATTGTCTTATATGATGCTCACAGCGACTGCCTGAGGAATGTGTTCCCTTGACAAACACAGAAACTGATAAAGACTGTAAGTGATCTGCTTAATATCATACCACTGCTGAGGGTTAGAGCTGCAAGTTGCATTTATCGCTGACTCACTGCAAAGTCCATGTTCATTCCTCTGAACCTCAACTCCAACTTGAAAATGCCCCTCCTTTTTCAAGTATCTAAAAAAAAATTCAAAAGCACATGCTACATGGTGATGATTTAAAAAATAAAAAAATGCTGAAACTTCACGTAAGTATCAAAGAAGGCAATCACTTGTTTGTCACAGCACAACTTGGGGACCTCAGAAATATGAAAGGCATTTAAAAAAAAGTCATTGTGCTTTCTTGTGCTGAGAGTGGACAGTGGAAAAAGACCTGCCATTTCCACCTGAGCCCCACTTTAGGGAAACAAGGAAACTTTGTGTATCTTTCAGTTCCAGAAAAGGGGAGCCTTGTTCCTGAGTTAAAGAGCAAGTTTCATCTTAGCCTTCAAGAATGATGCCTTTTCATGTCTTCATGGGGTACTGGAAGCCCTGCCAAAACTCATGAGTGGAAAACCAGACCCAAATTACCCTGGGCAGTCTGCACTACTAGTCTCTGCCAAATATG
The DNA here is from genome assembly GCF_000001405.40 of Homo sapiens. Lineage (NCBI taxonomy): Eukaryota > Metazoa > Chordata > Mammalia > Primates > Hominidae > Homo > Homo sapiens. The sequence continues at coordinate 109,580,292 of NC_000009.12, forward strand.
AGGCTCCCTCAGGGGTGTTAGTACACCTTTGTCCTTGGGCCTTCATACCTGTGTTATTCTTCACGTTACGTGCATGTTATATAGAGCCTTTTAGGTGTATGGAACATTTCATAATACATTTCAAAATGCATACTTAAAAATATAAACAAGAAAGTAGGACCAATATTTTCAAAAGAAAAAGAGATAAATTCCCGTGGTACAAGAACCGTTAAAAAAAAATGGAGTTAATACATTTCATGCAATACTGCAGAGTTAAAAGAATGGACAAGATCTGTTTGAACCTAATGGAGTAGATTTTTTTTTTTTTTTTTTTTTTTTTGAGACGGAGTCTCGCTCTGTCACCCAGGCTGGAGTGCAGTGGTGCGATATCGGCTCACTGCAAGCTCCGCCTCCCGGGTTCACGCCGTTCTCCTGCCTCAGCCTCCCGAGTAGCTGGGACTACAGGGGCCCGCCACCTCGCCTGGCTAATTTTTTGTATATTTAGTACAGATGGTTTTTCACGGTGTTAGCCAGAATGATCTCGATCTCCTGACCTTGTGATCCACCTGCCTCAGCCTCCCAAAGTGCTGGGATTACAGGCGTGAGCCACTGCGCTCGGAACTAATTGAGTAGATCTTAAAAAATACATTGTTATGTGAAAATGGCACATTGCAAAATAACATGTACACTGTGATATTTACCTAAATGGAGAAAAAAAAAAACCTATGTATTTTCTATGGATATAGTCGTATGTATTAAGTCATATGTATTAAGTCGTATTTATGAAGGCTCTATGCCAATCTTGCATTTGTGGTTACTTGACGGCTGTGAGGAAGTATTGGTGCTGGAAGAACTGGGGTTACTGGAGACTTAAGAGAAATTCAGCTTGATCTATGACAGCATTTTTTTTTTTTTTGAGGTGGAGTTTTCCTCTTGTTGCTCAGGCTGGAGTGCACTAGTGCGATCTCGGCCCGCTGCAACCTCCGCCTCATGGGTTCAAGCAATTCTGCCTCAGCCTCCCGAGTAGCTGGGATTACAGGCACCCGCCACCAAGCCCGGCTAGTTTTTTGTATTTTTAGTAGAGACGGGGTTTCGCCATGTTGGGCAGGCTGGTTTCGAACTCCTAACCTCAGGTGATCTGCCCACCTCGGCCTCCCAAAGTGCTGGGATTACAGGCGTGAGCCACCATGCCCGGCCAACAGCTATTTTTAAAGTGTGGTCCCTGGACTTTTAGGAGTTCCTATGACTCTTTCAGGGGATCTTCAAAGTAAAAACTGTCTTAGTCCAGTTGGGCTGCTATAATAAAAGACCATTGATTGAGTAGCTTTGAAACAACAGAAATTTATGTCTCATAGTTCTAGAGGTTGGGAGTCCAAGATCAAGATGCTGGCACATTCAGTATGTGGTGAGGGCTCAGTTTCTGTCCCATAGACGGCATCTCACTGTGTCTTCCCATGGTGGAAGTAGGAAGGCAACTCTTTGGGACTTCTTTATTAAGGGCACTTATCTCATTCAGGAGGGCTCCACACTCATGATATAATCACCCCTCAAAGCCCCACCTCCTAATATCATTACATGGCCTATTAGATTTTCGATGTTTGAATTTGGGGGGAACACAACATTCAGTCTATAGCAAACACTAAGATGCCATTTGCCTTGTTCACTGGGTTGACATTTGCACTGAGGGTGTGAAACCAGTGGTATGTAGCACTGCTGGCGGCCTTAGCAGAAATCAGGCAATGGGGTCCGACTGTGCTGGTCATCACTGCCACAGCACTGCCACACAGTTGAAGTGAAAAAATAAGCCTGCCAATTTCACTTAAAAAGTGGTAAAAAATTGCCGGGCATGGTGGCTCACACCTGTAATCCCAGCACTTTGGGAGGCTGAGGTGGGCAGATCACTCAATGTCAGGAGTTCGAAACTAGCCTGGCTAACATGGCAAACCCCTGTCTCTACTAAAAATATAAAAATTACTTGGGAGTGGTGGTGGGTGCCTGTAGTCCCAGCTACTTGGGAGGCTGAGGCGGGAGAAGCGTTTGAACTCTGGAGGCGGAGGTTGCAGTGAGTTGAGATTGCATCATTGCACTCCAGCCTGGGCAACAGAGTGAGACCCCGTCTCAAAAAAAAAAAAAAAAAAAAGACAGTAAGAAAATTATTACTTTTATTAAATTTGGCCCTTGTGTATACATTTTAAAAGGATATTCTGGGTGATGAAGTATGCACAAAGTACTTTTGCTGCATTCCAAAGTACAATAATTGCCTTAAGAAAAAAGCACTTGTGTGTTGGAGTTGAGAGCTTTTTTCCATGAAACACCATTTTTATCTAAAAGAATGACTGTCAGGCAAACTGTGGTTACTCAGACTAGGGTATTTGGCAGATATTTTCCTGAAAATGAACAAAAGGAGCCTGTCATTTCAAGAAAAACAACTGACAGTATTTGTTACCAATGATAAAATACAAGTTTTTAAGCAAAAACTAGAATTTTGGAAAACTTGTTTCTGCCATCATGATCTTGACAACTCAAATACTTAAAGACTTTTCTGGTAAGATCAGTGGTAATATTGACAAATGGGATTCTTTTAATATTGTCTAATCAAATGAGCCAACATTTGGAAGATTTGAATGGCTGGTGAACCATTATTTTCCAAATGATCTATATGTTTTGTTACAAAACCATTTTTTTCTTTGTTTTACTGCATTTTCAACTTGAAGAAATTTTTTGCTGCAAGCTTGCTGTTATGGACTGAATTATATTCCCCCCCAGTTCATATGTTGAAGCCCTAACCCCTGGAACCTCAAAATATGACTGCAGTGTTTGGAGACAGGGCCTTTAAAGAAGTGATTCAGTTAAAATAAAGCCATTAGAGTGGGCCCTAACCAGGTATTGCTGGTGTCCCTATAATAAGAGGAAGAGACACCATAGGCATTGCACACAGAGAAAAGGCCGTGTGGGGACACAGTGAGAAAGCAGCCATCTGTAAGCCAAGGAGAGAGGCCTCAAAGGAAACCAACCCTGCTGGCACCTTCGTCTTTGACTTCCAGCTTCTGGCACTGTGAGAAATTAAACTTCTGTTGCTAGAGTAATCCAGTGTGTGATATTTTGTTAGGGCAGCCCTAGCAAACTAACACAGTAGCTTATCTTATAAGGAACCTAGATTAATAGAACTAAGGTTATTGAGGAGTGGGGCAACAATTTGCAGCACATAAAGATCCAAAGAAGTTTCTCTAACATTTCCCCCCAATTATTTTATACTTCATGTTCTTTTCTGTCATTTCCCTCTTTTCCTATTTCCCCCCTTTTTTTATGCCCCAAAGCCAAAACGTCAAATCTAGCCAAGGGTTGCTGCTGTTGCTGGTGTGTATGTGTGTTGTGTGCACATGCACATGTGTGCAGGGAATGTAGAATTGGAGGGTGACAAATAATTGCTGTTTTTGTTTTCTTTTTCATGTCTTGGCATTAATACAAACCTTTTTCTCTGACCTACTATTAAGAGAGCAACTTGGAGATGAGAGAGAAGAAATTTGATCATAAAGCTTTTGCCCCAAATGTCTTAGGCAGAGGTATTTGGGATTAACATAGAGACCCTTCAAAAAAAACAAAGTAAAGAGAAAAATATGCCTCTAGAAAAATAAGGCCAGGGCTATTATTTCTCAAGGAGTGAGGCCAACATCAAATTAGTGAGAAGAACATATATCCTTCTTGTAGCCTGATTGGGTATCTTTGGAAGGATAATTAATTTTTCTGTTTGCAAGTCTTGTTAGCCTTCCAGTATTTTCAGAAGAATAATTGCCACAGCATGGTAGGTGGAGATATATTTTTTTTTTTTGAGACAGAGTCTCACTCTGTCACTCTGTCACCCAGGCTGGAGTGCAGAGGCGTGGTCTTGGCTCACTGCAACCTCCACCTCCTGGCTTCAAGCAATTCTCCAGCCTCAGCTTCCCGAATAGCAGGGACTACAGGCATGTGCCACCATGCCTGGCTCATTTTTCTATTTATAGTAGAGATGAGGTTTCACCATGTTGGCCAGGCTGGTCTGGAACTCTTGGCCTCAAGCGATCCATCCACCTAGGCCTCCCAAAGTGTTGGGATTACATACATGGGCCGCCATGCCTGGCTGGTGGAAAGAATTTGAACTGCAGTCAAAGCACTTACTATTTCCCTGCCTCTTCCTAACTTGGAACTGAAACCACTCCCTCCTTGCCCAAGGGGAGTCAGCAGGCGTGTGAGATTGAGTTGGCCACCCAGAATCTTTTATGAGTGTTGTGTGGGTCCAAGTAAGACAGAGCTGCCCTCCCAAGCTTGAGACCCATGTCTGTTCTGGGACCCATATTCGCTCATGGCATCCCCAGCCAGTTCCCAGGGTCCTGTTGAGTTGCCCTTGTAATAATATCAGCAGCAATTAGTATCTATTAAATATTCGCTGTACACTTGAACTACTTATTGCCTTTGTTAAGTCAACAACAATCCTATAAGGTTATCATCCCTTGGAAGGGACTGGGTAGCTTCTCCCAAACCTGTTTCCCATTGTGGGCTCACAGCTAAACTCTATTTCCCAGACTCTTTCACCACTAAGCATGGCAACACGATTAAGTTTTAGCTATAGGTGTGTGCATGAAAGTATTGTGTGTTACTTCCAGGCCTGGGCTAAACAGTGCTCCCATATCTGACTCTCTACGTTCTTTTCTTCTCCTCCATCTTGTGCAGACAGGCGCCAGAATATTGGAAGCTGCAAGCTGCTTTTATAATCACATGTTGGAAGACAGCTGCCACCCATTTCGTACCCTATGAGAGAGACAAATAAACTCCTATTGTGTTAAGCCACTGAGATTTTTAGGGTTTATTCTAATAGGTTATTAGAGCAGCTCATAGTAATACTTAGTAAAATACATAGTAATACTTAGCAATACATAGTAAAACTTACACTGTAGTACATTCCCATTTTACAGGTTACAAAGCTGAGCCAGGCCAGGCATGACTCATGCCTATAATTCCAGCACTTTGGGAGGCTGAGGCAGGAGGATTATTTGAGGACAGGAGTTCGAGACCCCCGTCTCAAAAAAACATTAAAAAAATTAGCTGATGTGATGGTGTGTACCTGTAGTCCCAGCTGCTTGGGAGGCTTAGGCGGGAGGATTTTGTTTGAGCCTAGGAGTTCGAGGTTGCAGTGAACTATGATCATACCATTGCACTCTTGCTTGGGGCACAGGGCGTGACCCTGTCTCAAAAAGGTAAAAAAAAAAAAAACAAGAATAAGCTGAGCCTTGGAACATTTGTGTTATCCAGATTCTTACAACTAATCAGCAGCTGTATGTAACCTTAAATTTTTTGTATTTCCTTGAGTGTGTGAGTGTGAGAGTGTGTGTGTGTGTGTGTGTGTGTGTGTGTGTATAGCACTGATCTATTAGTGTTTATGGGCACTGTAAGTTTCCTGAAGTCCCTCTTAATCTTAAACAGGGAATGAGAAATGTCAGTTTTGGGTACCATACTGTACCTTTGTTAGGGGATGGAGAACCATGTGCTTCTGCTTCTGGGCACTGCTGAGCAAGAAGCAGTGACCCCAAAGCAACTAAAACTCCCTCCCCAGTGTGTCTGCAGCCGTGGTGCTGATCGACAAGATCCCAATTCTTATCTGCAATGTGGAGGGCCTGGCTAAGGATGACGCTGGCTTATGGGAGAATGTAACTCTATAAGATGCCAGCCTTTCCCAGGGATATCAGTTTCAGGAGCCTGGCAGCATGTGGAAGGAAAACAATCTCAGGTTTTCTTACCGTGCTCAGGGAAGGTCCCCCTCCCACCTTGCCATGTGGAATCTCTATTGGAGCATAGCAGAAAACAAACCACCCCCACGCCCTACCATTCCACTTTTTTCTGAGAACTGTATCAGCATAGAATCACGTATTGCGGAAGCCTGGGCAGTGATGTGGCTGGTGTCTGTCTTCCAAGCCTATGCCCAGCTCTCTACTATGTAGATTTAGAAACTGTTAGAATGTTGGTGCTCAAAAGGATATTAGTGACTATTTTGGGCTGATAACCTCACTATAGAGTTCAGAAAACTGAGGCCAGAGAGAAGTGACTCAATGAAGTTCACAGAACTTGTTAGTGGCATATTTGAGCCCTTATTACATGCTTACCTCTTTGTTTCAGGATCATGTTTCCAAGAAAAGAGACTCAGACTCTAAGGCTTGTGTGTAAGAAATGCATTTATTGGATAGAGCCCTTGGGAACACACCTGAGAAGGAGTGAAAGAGGCAGGACTGGACAGAAGGAGAAGTTGAACTGTGTGTAGTAGCAACAGACACCTCAGCTGATGCCATGGGGACCTCTGAAGCTGGAGTGGCCATTCAGAGATGTCCCAAGTTGAGGCAAGAGGGCTGGACTTTCTACACTACCTGGACCAGTCACTGCATGTGTGCTGCTCCCAGAGAGGGGTGGTAACCTTGGATGAGTAGCCCCCTTTGGCAGAGGGCAGTTTCCAGGGCTAGTGGAGTGAGTGCCCCAGTCCTAGGTCCTCAGTCCTAGGTCCTGGAAAGGATCTGGATGGAAGACTGCAGCATTGGCTGTGCTCACATTTACACTCAGAGCTTAGGATGATAGAAACTGAAGCTTTGGTCACACAGCCACTAAGAGAAAAATTCAGGTCTCTGGGTCTCAGCTTTCAGCTTGAAGGCTAAAAGTCGTAAGGAGGCACAACAGAGAGGACAAAAAAAAAAAAAAGAAAAGAAAAGAAAGGTTGCTCTTGAGGCTGATGGACTTCCAGTTAGGGAGGTGGCCTCAGGGGGATGCCTGTTCAGGACTGGACTGATCGCTGAAGTGTATACTGGAGGAGAGAAGGTGTGTAAGGGAAGGAGCTTGGCAGCAGGGGCAAAGGGTGGGAGAGAAAAGATTGGTGCTGAATTCCAGAAATCCTGGTCTCCCAGGAGGAGCCGAGGAATCCGTGTAACCACAGAGGAATTTCTGTTTCCCTGATGTTAGGGTCTTGGGAGCAACATAGGTTGGGTGGGGTAGAGGTGTCATCCTAATAGTTCTTGAAACTTGAAAGAGGTTGACCCTTCCCCAGCCAGCAGACCACCACATACCCTAGGGACATAAAGGCCTTAAGTAGTTGATGGTATCTGCGGTAGTCTTAGCACCTGGGAGGCATATATTCTGCTAGGAAAAATTGTGAAAGACTTTGAAGTGGGCAAAAAAGACTACTGGGTGTCTTATCTAGGGCACCCTTCCTGGTTATCTGCATTACCTTGGAGTTTTATTTTGTAACTCTGCAATTTGTAGAACACTGAGAGTAATACACATGATTCTTACTCATAGAAATGCAAATGAATTTTGTCCAGTGGAGATGCAGTTGGTTGTTGCACTGTGGATATTGACTAGTTTTACACTTATTTGTAGACTCATTTCAGCATTCCAGGTTACTTAGATAGGTGTGTTCTTGGAATGATCCTTTGACCTGGTTATAACCTCTTACTGGCTCTCTTAATGAGTTAAATAAATCTTTGACCCATGCTTATTTAAAAAAAGGAGGATAAATAAATCCAGGTTCTCTGTCTCTGTTTAGTTGCTCTAAAACCAGGGAAAGTTGAACCACACTCTGCAGAGACCTCAGAGACTGCAGGAGGAAGGTGGTACCTAAAGGATGGACGGGGAGAGGCTTGAGAACATCCACTCCATACCCTCATGTCAACCAGAGAAGCTCTACCCTTGTCTATACTGTTCTCTTTTTTCCAGCAGGGAGCATCTATGTAACATTTCATTAGAACCAAGGTGTCATGGGTTGAATTATGTCCCCACAAAAGATGTTGAAGCCCTACTTCTCAGTACCTGTGAATGTGGACCATATTTGGAAGTAAGGTCTTTGCAGATGGTCAAGTTAAAATGAAATCATTAGGGTGAGCCTTAATCCAACATAACTGTGTCCTTATAAAAAGGGGATATTTGGACATAGAGATAGGCATGCCCACAGGGAGAGCCATGTGAAGATAAAGGCAGAGTTTGCAATGATACATCTGCAAACCAAGGAACGCCACATTGCCGGAAAGAAACCAGGAGCTAGGAGATAGGCACAGAACAGATTCTCCCTCACGGCCTTCAGAAGGAATCAACCACACTGACACCTTGATCTCAGACTTCTAGCCTCTATTACTGTAAGACAATAAGTTTCTGTGTTTTACTCACCGTGTTTGTGACAGTTTTCTACAGCAGCCCTAGAAAGCTAATACACAAGGTTTCTGCATACACATACAGTATAAACCGCCAGGTTTTGGCTTCTATCCTCTCTTTACCATGAGAAGTGGAGTTAGGCCTGTAGAGTGTTACAGTGCTTCAAGTACCTTAAATATAGCCTCCATTCAAGTGGGGAGGCACTTTATCTTTTTGGTTGTAAAACTTGCCAGGAAAATATGAGATCCAAAATAGCACACCCAGCTGCAGTTTGACATGGCATAATTACAGCTCTCCTGTTTGTTGTAGGCAAAAGAAGAGACCCTTGCTGTGTCTTAACAAAAGGAACAGATCGTTGCCTAAAAGGCACCCAGTTACTGTGTCCTCAATTTCCCAATCAGAACTGTCAGAGATTACACTTAATTAAGCCATCTTCTCCCAGGCTTGTGGGATCCGGTGGGTTCCAGTGGTAATTACTAAGGCTTCCCAGTAGGACTGATTTTCCTGTGCCTCTATGCACACTCTCATGGCAGGCAGGGGTAGTTTGGGCTGAGACGAGATCTTGGCTTTTTTTCTCAGCATATTCTGGACCAAGCACTGACTGTTTTTAAACACTATTTTAGTTGAATCTAGGTTGACCTGGCTCTTCTACAAGCATGTAAATGCTGAAGAGAACACACCAGGGCTTGAGGGGGGGAGTGATCTATGGGTAGGGCAGGGCCACTTTCTTTTTGCCTTGCAAGGAGTTCTCTCACTGTTCTTTAAGGTGCTTTGGGCAATGAACCTGGAGAATCAGCTTCATGCTTATCTTGGACTGAAGAGTTGCCAGCTGTTCATTTATCCTCTCTGCTTATTGATCCATTTGATGCCTGTCAGGTGCCTATGCATTGCTTGCATTCCCTGGGTTGATTATGCGTTTGACTCTGATGGAGATCCCATTATTTGTTTTTCTGCAGGAGATTAAGTAAATGTCTAGAGCTGGAATAATGGAGAGGGCAAAGAAGGTGAGGCAGGAATAGAGAGTTGAGATTCTGTTTTGCATCTTCCTTGCTTGCTACAGTGCACTTGGCATAAGGGGATTTATTTCTGTCTTCTGTATTCTGTCCCATTGGTTTATGTGTCTTTTTATGCCACTACCGTTCTGTTTTGATTATTATAGCTTTGTAGTATATTTTGAAGTCAGATAGCATGATACCTCTAGCTTTATTTTTGTTCAGGATTGCTTTGGCTTTTTGGGGTCTTTTGTAGTTTCATACAAATTTTAGGACAGTTTTTCCTATATCTGTGAAGAATGTCATTGGTATTTTAATAGGGATCACATTGAATCTGTAGATCGCTTTGGGTAATGTGGTCATTTTGACAACATTAATTCTTCTGATCCATCAATATGGAATGTCTTTCCATTTTTTGTGTGTGTCTTCAATTTTTTCATCAGCGTTTTACAGTTAAGTAGAGATCTTTCACCTGCTTGGTTAAGTTTATTCTTAGATATTTGTTTTGTAGCTATTGTAAATGGGATTGCTTTCTTGATTTCTTTTTTAGCTAGTTTGTTACTGGTATACAGAATTGCTACTGATTTATGCATGCTGATTTTGTATCCTGCAACTTTACTGAATTCATTTATCAGTTCTTTTTTTTTTTTTTTTTTTGAAACAGAGTCTTGCTCTATTACCTAGGCTGGAGTTGGAGTGCAGTGGCTCAATCTTGGCTCACTGCAACCTCCACCTTCCAGGTTCAAGTGATTCTCGTGCCTCAGCCTTCTGAGTAGCTGGGACTACAGGCTCACGCCACCATGCCTGGCTAATTTTTTGTATTTTTAGTAGAGACAGGGTTTTGCCATGTTGGCCAGGCTGGTCTCCAACTCCTGACCTCAAGTGATCTACCCACTTCAGCCTCCCAAAGTGTTGGATTACAGGCGTGAGCCACCACTCCCGGCCTCAGTTATCAGTTCTAAGAGTTCTGGAGTCTTTAGGTTTTTCTATATAAATGTTGTCTGCACACTGGGACAATTTGACTTTCTCTTTTCCAGTTTGGATGCTCTTTATTCTTTCTCTTGTTTAATTGCTCTGGTTAGGACTTCTAGTACTATATTGATTAAGAGTGGTGAACTACAGTCTTCTCTTTAAGCTTAGAGTTCCCACTCCATCTTTGGGATTTAGCACATGTTCACCAAAGAAAAAAAACCCAGTCACGTTTTGTGTCCTGTAAAATCTGACACCTTGGCCTTCAGCTAGTGTTTAATTGAACCTCTCCTGAGTCCACTAGCCTCCAGGGCACATCTCATGTGAGTTCCTCCATTGAACTGTCAGCACTTTTGGCCACCTCTAATCCTCTGCTGTGAGTTTCTCTCCTGCCTTCAGAGGAGTCTCTTGATCCCTTTGCCTATGAGACTTCATAAAGTAGTGCCTCAACTCTGCCGCTGCTGTGAGCACTCATGGTGGGATGCTGATGTTCATGGCAAGGGGTCTGTCTCCTAGGGCTGCTGAAGCTGCCAACTCTTGAAGTGCTCCTGTGTTGTCCCTGCACTGCCTGGCAGTGTTCTGGCCAGGAGTGGGGAAGAGGTTTCCTTCCCACTCTGGGCCATACTTTGCCTGTGGTCTGATTTTTAGTTCAGGTTTAATCTACAAAGAAAATATGTGCTGGGCTGGCTCAGGCCCAAGCCAACACCAAAGTCTCGAGCCAATGCCAGCGCACAGTCACCAGGCTAGTGGCATGTTCATGTAGGGGCCTGGATCCCTGGCGGTGGAGTCCTATGACCACACGGATAAAATGGGCTGAGATGACAGTGAGTGATGGCTCCACTAAGAGCTGTCTCCATCAGGATGTCTGCTCTTCTCATCACAAAAGAGATAATACACAAGGTATTTGCTTTTCCTGGCGCAAAGCAGAAACTATTACTTGAAAGTTTCTGACATGCAGACTTAATGGTGCCAGTCACTTTGTGGCTGCTTAGTAAATATTTATCCAAAAAATTGCAAGGCCAAAAAATATGTCTAGTAGCCTGTGTTCTCATAGCAGAAACTTCTATTGCATTTCTGCTTTTGACTGGGAAGAAGGTTCCAGAACAGACAGTCCCATCTCTAAGTAAATCTAGCAGGAGAAGCAGTAACTTAGACAGGGAAAGCTGAAATCACAATAAAAGAATCCATCCAACAGCAACTCATGAATTTTTGAGAGGAGCTAGAGGAGCTACTCTGAGGGAGATTTTCTCTTGTGTTTCAAACCATTTCTGACCCCTGACTTAGCGAATCATTATGTTTCAGTTACAAAAAAAAAAAAAAGGTTATCCAAGACTGTGGAGGTTGTCCAGATCTGTTACTTCTCGGTCTAAGAGGAAATCCATCCTGCACGAAACATGGGACAGCCTTCATTCACCTTACTTGGCCCTTTGAACTGCCAATAGAATTTCACCCAAAAAGGAAGTTTACAGCTCCTTATTATGGTAAGTGCCAACATATATCAATCAGGGTCCAGTCAGAGACAGAAACCACACCTGGTATTTAAACAGAAGGAATTATGCTAACAATTCATATTTGCATAGCACTTACAGTTTAGAGAGCACTTTTCTTATATTCTGCCCCATTTAAAATCATCACAAAATTGGAGTGACATAGACAAAACATTTTTTTCTTTATGTAACTAAGTAGATATCTAATTATTCTAAAACTTTTTTGCATGTGTGTGAAAAGCTATACATATGCATGAAAAATATCAAATGGCACAAAGGGGTAAACAATAAAAAGAAACTCTCCCTGTTACCTGTGATCCCTAGTTCTATTCTCCAAAATTTTGTTTTCTTCCAGCAATTTTCTTTGCATGTATGAGTTTGCACACACAAACACATCCACACATAAACATATATAATATATACATAGTTATATATATCTCCACTAAATAGTTAAAATTAATATAATTCCTTATAATATACACACATATAATTTTGTGTAAATACATCAAAGATTATGTCACATTAGTCTTTTTTCCTTTTTATTTTCTTATATGGCTTTCTCCATTCCTCGTTCATTCATTTATTTGGAAACTATTTACTGATAAGCTACTATGTTCCAGGCATTGTATTAGGATGTGGAGATACACCAGAGAGCAAAACAACTCAACACCACGGTGCTTATGTCTCCTTTCCTTTTTCCAGGTCAGCATGTGGCATTTTCATGCCCCAATGGGGTATCTCAGGCAACACTTCACAGCTCATGGCATGGTGTGGGGGCTCCATTCTATCTTCCTTTTTTGCAAGAATGTGAGGCTTTGCCATGTGTCCCTGAGCCTCCCAACCACTAGGGTCCAGGTCTAGTTACTATTCTTCTATGAGCCATTTGGCTTTCATTTTTGCCCCTCCAGTTGAGCTGGGCATCCTTCTTTCATTGTTGGTATCTGTGAATTTCTTTTCTTGCTTTCTAGTTCATCTGTGTATTTAAAAACTTTATTTTGATGAGTTTGTGCATTTTTATTTAGGATTTCTGCATGCTGATGGCTGAGGTGGGAGTGAGGAGGTCCTTCCATGACAGGTCACTTTGTCATGGTGACCCAAAGTGCCCAGGAGTGTTTTGACAGATGCTGGGAGAGACTGATAGTGAGAGAGTTATGCAAAGGGAATGGAAAGGTGTTTTGCTGGGCACTAAAAATGTGATCCTCTACCTTCCACAAAGAATGGTTTAAATTGCTTTGTAATTTATTTTATTTTTATCAAGCTATATTTTAATATAGTTCCATGCACAAAATGGAGTCACACAGTGCTCCAGTTATATTTGAAATCTGCCTTTAGGTTTCCGGTGATGGAGATGGTGAGCTTATTCATCTCAGAGTTTGCCATAGAGTAGATCCTCAATACATATTGTGTAACAAATGTATGAATTCATGGATGAGTGAATAAGAGTTAATTTGTTAGGATAAAAATCCTGCTGTTGAGGTCTTCCATCCTTAATAATTTGGCAACTCTAATGGTTGGAGGAGGTGCTATAACATTGACCATCAGCCCCAAATTAAGTTAGTGATAAACAATGACATTCCTGATAGAGGGAGCACAAGGGAAATATGAACGGCAAAACTAGAAAGAGGGAGCTTGAAGAGAAAACATTTCTCCAAGTGTCTTAGTCCTTTTGTTTTCCTACAAAAGGATACCTGGGGCTGGATAATTTATAAAGGAAAAAGAGGTTTATTTGGCCCATGGTTCTACAGGTTCTACAAGAAGCATGGCACCGGCATCTACATCTGGTGTGGGCCTCAAGCTGCTTCCACTCATGGAGGAAGGCGAAGGGAAGTCTGCCACATGGTGAGACCAGGAAGCCGAACGAAAGGAGAGAGGTGCCAGGCCCTTTTTAACAATCAGTTCCTCCAGGAACAAATAGAGCAGGAGTTCACTCATTACCACAAGGACAGCAATAAGCCATTTATGAGGGATCTGTCCCCATGACAGAAACACCTCCCGCCAGGCCCCACCTCCAACAATGGGGATCACATTTCAGTGTGAGATTGGGCAAGTCAAACAAACTTTGGAAGTGACAAGCTGTAACATCAAGGAAGTGACAAATGGAAGGCAAGTTAAAAAAAGAGAAAGAAATGACATTGATCACCTTATAGCAGAAATGCTTTATTGTCTCTGTGGAGAAAAATCAAGTAGAATTTTAAAACTGTGAAGAAAGGAACTGTGGGTTTCTCATCCCACATTGCCTACCAGGTGTAGTGACAGATTTGCCTCAGGGATGTTTTCATGATGACAGGGAAAGGCATCATTACCAGGGAAGTTGCAGGCCAGCTGGGCAGCAGTTCTCATATAGACTGAATGGCAGGTTCTTCAGAACATGAAACCAACTCAGAAGAAATTTAAACTTAGGTGTTGTGGGGAAATTAAAATAGAGGCTTTTGATTCCAAAGAGGAGAGAGAGCTTGATAATCACATGAAGTTGGTGAGGATGAATGTCAATGAAGCAGGTGTGAGATTAGAAGCTAAATCAGTGGCAGTTTTCACTGCACTGGGATCAGAGAGGAAGCCCTGGACAATGGGCAGAAATTAGTGGACCACACTTACGAGGAGGGTGGGTGATATGGTTTGGCTGTGTCCCCACCGAAATCTCATCTTGAATTGTAGCTCCAATTATTTCCACGTGTCATGGGAGGGACCCGGAGGGAGGTAACTGAATCTTGGGGGTGGGTCTTTCCCGTGCTGTTCTCGTGATAGTGAATAAGTCTCACGCGATCTGATGGTTTCATAAATGAGAGTTCTGCACTCTTGTCTGCTGCCATGTAAGATGTGTCCCGCTTCCCCTTCACCTTCTGCCATGATTGTGAGGCCTCCCCAGCCATGTGGAACTGTGAGTCCGTTAAAACTCTTTTGTTTATAAATTACCCAGTCTCGAGTATGCCATTATTAGCACTGTGAGAACAGACTAAAACAGTGGGAAGAGGAAAGTTGGGAAGAAGGTACCCCAAAGTGTGTAAAAGAAGAAGAGAATGATAAGTCCACAGCTGGACCCAGAGGCTACTGACAAAGGAGACAGAATGATTCCAATCTGTTCTCCTGTCCTCTCTCTCAAGGATATGGTCTTCAAACTGAAAAGCACAGAACAAAGAGTATGTGAAAAGGAAACTGCAGCCAAATAAAGTTCAGAAAATAGTGAGAACCAGGCCCAGATGAATTATCTTCCAGAGATTACAGGAGCTAGAACTATATGAAGCTGTTGTCAATAATCTATGAGAAATTGTAGAAAATTGGTGCTGGCCAGCAGATTGGAGCTGAGTCAACATGATTTTCAGCAGAGTGAAGTCTTCATGTGAATTAGAAAAAGGCACCCCTTCATCAAGATGCTTTTCTTCCATCTGTTGGGAAATTACCATAATATACAGATTTTAAAGAATAGGATACTTCATGGCCACCTGCCGGAAGAGTCTTATAATATTCAATCCTCCAGTCTATGATATCTGCTATGCATGTGGTCCCTCCTAATATGTGGGCACTCTTAAGTATATAGCATCTGCACACCCTGCCTCTAAGTTTCAGGACAGGAAAAGGGTGGGTTACAGAAATTATAGAATAAGGCCAGGCGTGGTGGAGGCCGAGGCAGGTGGATCTCCTGAAGTCAGGAGTTCGAGACCAGCCTGGCCAACATCATGGTGAAAACCTGTCTCTACTAAAAATACAAAAGTTAGCCAGGCATAGTGGTGTGTGCCTGTAATCCCAGCTACTCAGCAGGCTGAGGCAGGAGAATTACTTGAACCTGGGAGGCAGAGGTTGCAGTGAGCCGAGATTGCGCCATTGAATTCCAGCCTGGGCAACAGAGCAAGACTCCGTCTCAAAAAAAAAAAAAAAATTTATGGAATAAGAACATGATGTTGATCCTTAGAAAAATTGAACACTCCACGATCCTACTTGGGAACATTTAGAAAGTAATGTGCCGACGTGAGAATTCATCAAGAATGTTGATTAACGGAGAAGAGTTAACTTGGAGAGAGATTTCTAGGGCAGATTATAGTGCTCTTTGCTTAGTTCTGCCATCTTTAGCAATTTCTAGACAGCATGGGCCTTAAATTTTCAGATGCGATGCTAGGAGTGGGTAGAGGCTGGGTAATAGAACTGGGTACATAGAACGTTGACAGACTGAAATGATGGATTAATTTGTTAAAATTATATTTAATAGAGAAAACTTGTAGATCTCAGCCATTATACAATGTCATAAGTATAGAACGGGGGAAGATATGAGTTAGAAACATGAATAAGAGAATTCTGTTGCCAGGAGCCTCAATATAAATAACTAGTGAAAAGTGATCCCTATAAAAGTTTTTGGGGTCCTAGACCACAACAATGAAAATAAAATTATTAGAATGATAGAGGTGAGGGCCCTATTCTGCTTTTTTCAGTTCAGACCATGATTTTACATTTGATTCTGGGCCCCACACCTGAAGATAAATATAACTACCGGGAGTAAATTGAAATATTTGTCTAAGAAAGTAAGAGAAATGGAAATTATGTTTATATAGCAGTCTAAGGAATTGGAGATACTAGCTTTTGTGACAGAGAAAATTATAAAAGAAAAAGTTACTTGTAATTGGTAACTTTCCCATTGAGTCATCATGGTTGAACACTCTTTTGTTTATGGAAAGCAAAGTCATTCTTGGAATAATGGTCTCTGGCTTTCTGGGATTTGGGGAGAAGTCTAGACACCAAATAGAGAACAGCCAAAGGGAAAGATGTGGAGGAGAAGGGATGGACTGGGTGGGGATTCGTGGGCTGTGAATCTTCCTTCCACCACATCAGTAAAATCTTTGGCCAATTTACATCCTTTCTTTTGCTTGGTGGAAGGTATTTGTTGCTGAAGGCCGGGATGAAGTGTTGAGTTCTGCTTCAAGATGGATGAGCTTGGCCAGGTGTGGTGGTTCATGCCTATAATCCCAGCACTCTGGGAGGTGAGGGTGGGAGAACTGCTTGAGCACAGGAGCTTGGGACCAGCTTAAGCAACACGGCAAGAACTATCTCTACAAGAATTTTTAAAAATTAGCTAGGTGTGGTGGCGTGCACCTGTAGTCCCAGCTACATGGGAGGCTGAGGAAGGAGGATTGTTTGAGTCTAGGAGGTTGAGGCTGCAGTGGAGCCTGACGGTGCCACTGCCCTCCAGCCTGTGTGACAGAACAAGACCCTCTCTCAATGAAAAAAAAAAAAGATGGTGACCTCGGAAAGGAGAATTTTCATATGGCAATAGCTTCAAAATGCTTTAAGTTGAAAGATTAGTAAACAATCAATGTAAGCCAGTAGAGCCGAATTAAGACCAGTGAGCAAAAGTTCTAGAGAGGCAGGGTTGTTCTGTGGTGAAAAGGGTGCTTTCTGAGAGGTAATGAGCTCCCCCTCCCTGAGGGGTACAAACAGGCTGGATGATTTTTTTAGGAGATAATTTTTGGGAAGTATTAAGCCTGAGAAAGGAATTAAATTCTCATTTAAACCCTTAATATCTCTTCCCAACTTAAAATCATTGGAGTTAGTGGTTCTAATTTGCAGCAGAGATAGCCTGTGGTTCTAATTTGCCACACTCTACAGCCATTCTTTTTTCCTTCTTCCATTTAGGCAGGCCAAACAAACTCCACCCATTATGTTTGACTGATATATCTTCTCCTTTATATTGAGATGAAATTCATATAACATAATACCAATCAGTTGAAAGTGAGCGATTCAGTGGCATTTGATATATTCACAATGTTGTGCACCTCCCACCTCTATCTAGTTCCAAAACCCTTGCATCACCCCAAAAGGAAACCCCACACCCGCTAAGCAGTTCCTCTTGTAAGTCAGTGAATCTACAAGTTTTCCTTTCATCTCCCTTGTCATGCCATTTATTTGTGAAAGAAATGTGGTCATTTCTACTGCAGAATTTTCTACGTTCTGAATATGGCTACTTGCTTCCTATGGTGTTTAACTTGTTTTTCTATTCCTCTCTCTCCTATATTTTCTATAGACTGGTAGTTGTGTCTGGAGGCCTGGTTGGATCCAGAGTCAGCAGTTACTTTGGCAAGGATAATTCACAGATTTTGCTGCATAGCTCCTAGGCCTCACATCAACATACACAGTGTCCTGATTTTCCAATTCTTCTTTTTTTTTTTTTTTTTTTTTGAGATGGAGTCTCGCTGTGTCACCCAGGCTGGAGTGTAGTGACGCAGTCTCGGCTCACTGCAACCTCTGCCTCCCGGGTTCAAGCAATTATCCTGCCTCAGCCTCCTCAGTAGCTAGGATTACAGGCATGCGCCATCATGCCCGGCTAATTTTTGTATTTTTAGTAGAGACAGGGTTTCACCATGTTGGTCAGGCTGGTCTCGAACTCCTGACCTCATGATCCACCCGCCTTGGCCTCCCAAAGTGCTGGGATTACAGGCATGAGCCACCGTGCCCGGCCCCAATTTTTGCGTCATACCGAGATGAGCAGTGGGTTCAATAGCTGTCAGCCTGATTCATTCTACATAAGTTTAACCACCTGCCACCCGTTATTCAATGATTTTAGTGTTCACCAATGATTGCTTAATGTTCTAGAGGGGAAGAAGGGGCCCCAAAATGTGTAAAAGAAGAAGAGGATTAGTCCTAATGATTATTCCATTAGGGATTGCTAAGTGTCATTTCTATCATTTCTTCTGCCCATATTATCTGGAATTCTATAAAAAAGTATACCTTTGGCGGGGCGCGGTGGCTCATGCCTGTAGTCCCAGCACTTTGGGAGGCCGAGGTGGGCGGATCACGAGGTCAGGAGATCGAGACCATCCCGGCTAACAGGGTGAACCCCCGTCTCTACTAAAAATACAAAAAATTAGCCGGGCGTGGTGGCGGGCGCCTGTAGTCCCAGCTACTCGGGAGGCTGAGGCAGGAGAATGGCGTGAACCCGGGAGGCGGAGCTTGCAGTGAGCCGAGATCGCACCACTGTACTCCAGCCTGGGCGACAGAGTGAGACTCTGTCCCCAAAACAAAAACAAAAACAACTACAACAAAAGTATACTTTTATTGGCCCGGCACGGTGGCTCATTCCTGTAATCCTAGCACTTTGGGAGGCTGAGGCAGGTGGGTTGCCTGAGCTCAGGAGTTTGAGACCAGCCTGGGCAACATGGCGAAACCCCATCTCTACTAAAAATACAAAAAATTAGCTGGGCTCGGTGGTGCGCGTCTGTAATCCCAGCTACTTGGGAGGCTAAGGTACGAGAATTGCTTGAACCTGGAAGGCGGAGGTTGCAGTGAGCTGAGATCGCTCCACTGCACTTCAGCCAGGGTGACAGAGCAAGACTTTGTCTCAAAACAAACAAACAACCAAACAGTATACCTTTATCAACTGTTTGGTTTCCCTGAAATACAATTCATACAGGAAAAGCAGGATAAATGCTTGATCCTAGCATGTCATCAGTTTTCTGAATAGTGAGTCAATGGCCTAGAAGGCTCCAAGAAATGACCAGTGCATGCTACTATTGTTATTACTAATTTAAAAAATACTGTAGTGTAACCTGGGTAGCACTCTCAGGGAGTTTTACTATTTCTTTAATTATTGACCACACACCCTGTAGTGGTTTAATCTGAATTCACCAGGCTTCCACTGTTTATTCCTTCATAAAGCAGTTTGGAGTGGGACAGCTGATGGTGGAAGCATCTATTGGGGGTGGTTAAGTGGCCTGGCTTTGAGTTCTGGTCTATCTACATCCAAATTCTGGCTCCAGCACTTAGCAGGTGTGTGGTCTTGACTACATTGCCAAACTTCTCCAAGCTTTAGTTTC
Organism: Homo sapiens; assembly: GCF_000001405.40. NCBI lineage: Eukaryota > Metazoa > Chordata > Mammalia > Primates > Hominidae > Homo > Homo sapiens. The sequence continues at coordinate 109,599,675 of NC_000009.12, forward strand.
TCCCCTGTGAAAAATAGGATAATAGTATTCATATTGAGTGTTTTGGTGTTAAATAAGATAGTGGTGTATGGTGCTTAACACCCAGAGCCTGGCAGGTAGCAAGGTTAGAAAAACGGGAACTATTATCATGAGAAGCCTCTTGAAACAGTCTTGCACCCCATAGATCCATCCAGAAACACAAGAATTCCCGCCAAATGTTAATACTTCCTCACCACCAGTCACACGGGGACTTGGCTTGCTCCGTCTTGGATCTGAATTCAGCTGTAGCTTTATTCACCAGATCAGGCAGCTGAGCCCTCTAAACATGTCCCGAAAAGAACTCACTTTCCACCACCCACTGTGCTCACCAATATTATTGAAGTTATTTACCATCTACTTATCTTTCTTTAAACGTAAGTTTTGATGAACTCTGTGCATAAAGATGAGAAATATATCTGATGGTTGTGGCATATTTCCCCCTCCTGCCTCGCTCTCCATCCTTTACCCTGCTCCATGCTGGAAGGCTGACCATATGGGCCACATCAGTGGGCTTCCGTGTTCTCAGGCTTCTGGCTGGGTTTGGCTGATGGGAGGCACAGGCAGGGGGCCTGGAGTAAGGCTGTGGTTTGATTCCTGCAGCTCCTTCCCTGCCAGGTCATTGTGGCTTGGCTGCATTCCCCTACTGCAGGCTGCAGCTCCTGTCTGGCAGCCCTCTCTCATGCTCTCTGTAGTTTCCAGACATTTTGGCCTGTGGGAGGTAACAGCTCCCCAGCATTTCCAGCCACAGGATGGTGCATCATCTGAGGTTGCTTTTCCTAACTCCTCCCCTTGACTTTGTAAACAGTACTTTCACTAAACTCTGCTTAGAAGTCCCAATGTAAGTGTGCCACTGTGTCCTCCTGAGTGTTACAAAGTGTTTGTGATAGTAGAAGATCAAAACAACCTAAAATAATAAAAAATCATGGGGCACTAGTTTACCAAATTATAGGGAACTAGTTTACCAAATTATGATGTAGTTATCAGATACAATAATACATAGATATCTGAATTCAAGTTTTGTTTGTTTGTTTTTTAGTGACAAGATCTTGCTTTGTTGCCCAGGCTGGAGTGCAGTGGTGAGATCATAGTTTACTGTAGCCTTGTACATTCAAATTTTTGAAAAAATATTTAATGACAAATGCGTATAGCATAATATTCAGGGTTCTCCAATTTTGTAAAATGTAGTGTGTGTCTATGTGTATGAGCACATAGAAAAAGGTTAGAAGTTGACATTAGTTCTATATAGGATGTAGTTGAATTTAACTTAATTTGTGCTTTTTTGTTTCTTGAATTAAAAAATGAAAAGGTAGTTGAGTTTTGTAAGAATAAAATCAATACATTTTATGATTTTTACAGTATTTAAATCAGTTTTCTCGTTAATGTTGTGAATGTCAATTATAGCAACACAGAATAGTTACTTCGGGCAGATGTTTGTTCCTATCTGTATATTGTTGTGATATTATTATGATGTCTGTAATTTACTTTAAATTACTTTAGTGTAGAGATGTGTGTGTGTGTGTGTGTGTGTGTGTGTGAATGTGAAGGTATGTGTGTGTGAATGTGTATGTGTGTGTGTGTGAATGTGTCTGTGTGTGTGTGTGTGTGTGAGCGTGTGTGGTTTAGTCTGAGCTATTCTCTAGAGGCTGTCAGTTTGCCTTAATCAACAGTTCACACTCCATGGGTGATCAGCATGGCCATACTCCAAAGGCATCTGCTACCTCATTTCAGTTGTCTACATCTCAATCACCATCAGAAACTTCATTAATTAACATATCAACTGTCAGAAAAGCATTTTCATGGATAAAATTTATGTCTTGTTAATCTGGATAACAGATGTTAGATATAGGCTCATTTTATTGAAATTAAAGATTTTCCAGAGGTGTGGATTGGCCAGAATATTTTAGAGACAGTCACCACCCCAGCAAGTCCTATAGCCTGTCCTTTTAGGGGTAGCACTTGAGGCTTAGTCCCTAAGTGGTTTTGAGTTGAGCCACGGCGTGGGATGATTCTGGTGCTTTCTTTGGACAATAAGGGTGACAGAATCCTGCCTCTGGAATATTGTGGTATTTGCTTCAGGCATGAAAGGTGGGGTCAGAGCACCTAAAAAACAAAAGAGGTTGTATGATTGGTTTTATGCCTACTCACTAATAAAAATTTGTTTTATTGATATCTGTGGCAGATAGATACATGTGGCATGAGACTTACTTTATTTTTTAATTAGAAAAATTTTTTTTGAGATAGGGTCTCGTGCTGTTGCCCAGGCTGGAGTGCAGTGGAGCAATCAGCTCACTGCAGCCTCTACCTCCTGGGCTCAATTTATCCTCCCACCTCAGCCTCCTGAGTAGCTGAGACTACAGGCACGTGCCACCACACCTGGCTAATTTTTGCTTTTTTTTTTTTGTAGCAGTGAGGTTTTGCCATGTTGCCTAGGCTGGTCTTGAACTCCTGGGCTTAAGTGACTCGCCTGCCTTGGCCTCTCAAAGTGCCGGGATTACAGGCATGAGCCACCGAGCCCTGGCTGAGACTTGCTTTCATAACAACCAGATAGCAAGGTTATGGGGGTAGCTTACCATCTCCTGGACACCTAAACTTTTTGGCCAAGACAATGATCCTGAAAGTCTTAGATGAACAAAAAAGCTTAAGTCCATTTGCAACATAGAATATTTGGACTCCAAAACACAGACACTTTCTAGAGAGGTGTTTGGAAGACTGTGAGTTGCAAAAGAGCTATTTGAGGATCAAAATAGGATGGAAAGCCTGTCAAAAATGAAATAATTAAAGAGTATGGAGCAGAAATGAGATGTTCATCATAAGTAAAAAAGTTAACTTATTGTCCATTGTGTCCTGTGACTTTGTAGAGTTCTTGGTACTTACCTGCTCCTAAGACCAGTATGTTGCAGGTAGAGAGCAAAACAGAACAGAGCTTCAATAGGGTAGGATCTGAAGCTTGAAAATGACTGGAAGAAGATGGCAGACCCTTCCAGGTCAGAGGAGGAGCAGAATGCTTAGGAAAATAATTTCTGGGTGGAAAGGAAAAATGTGGCTTCTGAGGATCCTTGAGTATCTTCAGGAGACAGCAGATAGAAGTTAAGTCCTCTAAGACATCAGTGCCTCCTGAAATTAAGAAATAAAACATCAGTAATGATGGGCTTGTCAAGTCTGTTTACAGGCTGAACTTGCTTAGGATTTCTCAGCATTGTCTAAAGTCTCTCAATCCTTGTAATAACAATGGAATATGAAGTCACATATAAGCAATATTTTTATTTGCTCAAACTCTGCCTTTGTTCTAAGATATTGAGGCAGCTGAATAATATTGCCTATATTTGAGGATACGTTTTGTGGGCTATCCTGATACACCTTTCGGATGCATTTCTATTCCAAAGGGTGTCATATGATCAGCTTATTAAACAAGCTCAACTTTTTCTCACTATTGTCCCTTTGAACTTCTCTGTTGACTCATCCTTTCCTGACCCTGGATGAAACTTTGGAAAGCTCCCTGAGCTTTTTCTGTCATGCTCAGGTTAATACATTGTCTAAATTTCCAGGCATTAAGCCCAGACTGGTTGAATAGCAAACTTCAATCTTTCATCCCCTCCTGCAGCTTGGACCCATATCAGGCGGGAGACTAGCAGTGGGGAAGGGGGTCGGGGTTGGATCACTCACTATTTTCTCAGTCTTCCACTCTTTCTCTTCTGCTTTGTTGCGCTGGCTTCTCCAGTATTAGGGCTCGAAAGGCAAAGAGGGTGAGGGGCAGAAAATGGCTCCTTTGACTGCTATAGTTGTTATTTACATTGGTGCCCTCTGGGGATGGGGCAGTGGACCAAAGCCAGTCCCTCCTCTCCAGGGCTTGTTCTTGGGTTCCTCTGAGGTGTCTTTCCTGGGGTCCTCCTACTGTAGTTCCCTAATGTAGCATGTTCCTAGGACATCCTCTGGCCCTCAGTGACACCCTGTCATCCCCTCTGGTGGCATCACTTTATCCCTCCAGGTAACCTGAGACCTCCTCCCTTCTGATGGATCCATATCTAACACATGGGAAGAAGATATGCATTTTTGCCCTTCCACACTTTTCAAGTGGAAGCCTTTCAAGGCAGCCTTCTTCAATCTGCCACCAATTGCTCCTCTGGCCAGCCAGCCAGCATCTCACATTTTGACAGTATCAGGTTTGGGGCAGTTCTAGATTCTGTTTTTCAAACTCCAAAGTATACCTATGAAGCTCTCTGAGACCTGAAACCCATGCTCATGTGGCTTAATATGAGAGTGACTTCCTACATTGGCAGCTGAAATAGCTCAGTTGGGGGAGCATTACACTGGAGAATGACTTCCTACTTCTTTCCCACTTCCCAGTGGGAAGGGAGGGAGAAATGCCACAGCACATCAAGTCTTTTTCTAAAAAGCTCCCACTTCCCAATCTCTAACAAATCCTCAGGCTTGTCCCACTGTGATGAGTAAAGGACTGCAGCACCTGTCTCACGATGCTTAGCCCATCCTACGTAGGTGGTCTCGTCCTATTGTTCTCAGCTGAAACTCTGTAATGAAAAGAAAGATCACATTTAATATCCTGTAACTCTAACCACACACACCCATTTGGAGGCAGTTGTGTTCCAACTGAAACATTGCAGAGGAGTCATGATGATTAAGAGTCTACTACAATGGAAGTGGTGGGTAATGCCTGTCAAGATCTACCCAGCTAACATCATTGCACTCATTGTAATTCACTGTAAAGAATTTGGAGACGTAAATCAAGCACATTAAAGACTCAGGGTTACTCGTCTTTGGGAGCTCCCTAGTGACTTCCATTTTGCATCGACTGCCAAGTAGTTTCTGTCAATATCCCTAACAAAGTTAGAGCTGTGCCAACCATCTCTCTGTTTGAGACTCGAAGCAGGCCAGAACAGGCAGCTCACTGCATGGTCTTTATAGAATATGACCTAACTCCATGGCTTTCCTGGAGGGCAGTATGATGAACAACCATAAACAATTTCCTTATAGCTATATGTAAAATGTCAGAAGTAAAAAGCGGGCTAATGGAGAAATAGCCAGCTACCTTTAGTCTTCCTATAGACATCAAAGTTGTGAGACAAAACTGGCAATTCCAGAGACCAAAAGTAAAATCCATTGCCTTACAACAATAACTGTGGCAAGAAGAGAACATGTAACAAAGAGACCCAAAACTGAAAATTGGCACATTGCCAGTGATTGTTCTGCCTCATTTTAAGACAAATCCTATTACAAGTAGATAGTCAGATTTTTTTTTCTGGAATTTGTGATAATTGTATCTGAGCCAGAATGGAAGAAGAAACAATCAGAAATCTTTATTTTAAATGCCAAGAACAAGAACAGCAATTTAACAGCAGTAGAAAGTAGCCTTTGACTAAATTAGTCTTCCGGTCCCCCAGGCTTCCTCAAATTCTTCACAGCCTAGAGCAGGATTTCTCAACCTTTTATCTATTATAGCTGAATAAAGAGCTTGTTTAGACATTTTTTTCTAATCTCTTCCTGCCTATGAAATCTTAGTAACATGGATATAGCTATATATAGATGTATGAGATTGATGTTTATGTACTGTAGGTATATTTGTTCTTTAGACATAAAAAGAGTAAGATTTTTTTCACCCCCTAGTAAAATTTCCTAGGGCTGTCATAAGAATGTACAGGCACACCTTATTTTATTGCATTTTATTACACTTTGTATATAGTGTGTTTTTTACAAATTAAAGGTTTCTGTCAACCCTCCATTGAGCAAGACGATCAGTGCCATTTTCCCAACAGTGTGTGCATACTTTGTGTCTCTGTCTCACATTTTGGTAGTTCTTGCAATATTTCAAACTTTATTATTATTATATCTGGTATAGTTATCTGCGATCAATGATCTTTGATGTTACTATTATAATTGTTTTGGGGTGCCACAAGCCACATGCATATAAGACAATGAACTTAATAGACAAATGTTGGTGTGTTCTGACTGCTCCACCAATTGGTCATTCTTCTGTCTTTCTTCCTTTTGTTAGTCCTCCCTATCCCTGAGACACAATATTGAAATCAAGCCAATTAATAACACTGCAATGTTCAAGTGTAAAAAAGTGTTTCACATCTCTCACTTTCAATCAAAAGCTAGAAATGATTAAGCTTAGTAAGCAAGACATGTCAAAAGCTGAGATAGGCCAAGAGCTAGGCCTCTTGCACCAAAAAGTTAGCCAAGTTCTGAGTGCAAAGAAAAGTTCTCAAAGGAAATTAAAAGTGCTACTCCATTGAACACACAAATGATAAGAAGGCGAAACAGCCTTATTGCAGATATGGAGAAAGCTTTAGTGGACTGGACAGAAGATCAAAGCAGCCACAACATTCCCTTAAGCCAAAGCCTAATCCTTAGCAAGGCATTAACTCTCCTCAATTCTATGAAGGCTGAGAGAGGTGAAGAAGCTGCGGAAGAAAAATTTGAAGCTAACAGAGGTTGATTAATGAGGTTTAAGGAAAGCAGCTGTCTCTATAACAGAAAAGTATAAGGGGAAGCAGCAAGTGCTGATGTAGAAACTGCAACATTGTCCAGAAGATCTATCTAAGATCACTGATGGAACTGGCTACACTAAACTACAGATTTTCAGTGGAGACAAAACAGCCTTCTGTTGGAAGAAGATGCCATGTAAGACTTTCATAGCTATAGAAGAGAAGTCAATGTCTGGCTTCAAATCTTCAAAGGACATGCTGACTCTTGTTAGGGGCTAATGCAACTGGCGTCTTTAAGTAGAAGCCAATGATTATTTACCATTCCGAAAATCTCAGAGCCCTTAAGAATTATGCTAAATCTGCTCCGCCTGGGCTCTCTATAAATGGAACAATAAAACATGATAATAGCACATCTGTTTACGTCATGGTTTACTGAATATTTTAAGCCCACCGTTGAAACTTACTGTTCAAAAAAAGATTCATTTCAAAATATTACTGCCCACTGACAATGTACTTAGTCACCTAAGAGCTCTGATGGAGATGTATGAGATTGATGTTGTTTTCATGCCTGATAACACAACATACATTCTGCAGCCCATAGATCCAAGAGTAAGTTTTACTTTCAAGTCTTCTTATTTAAGAAATACACTTTATAAGGCTAGAGCTCCCACAGACAGTGATTCCTCTGATGGATCTGGGCAAAGTAAATTGAGAACCTTCTGGAAAGAACTCACCATCCTAGATGCCATTAAGAGCATTCGTAATCCAGCCAGGCGTGGTGGCTCATGCCTGTAATCCCAGCACTTTGGGAGGCCAAGGTGGGCAGATCACAAGGTCAAGAGATAGAGACCATCCTGGCCAACATGGTGAAACCCCGTCTCTACTAAAAATACAAAAATTAGCTGGGCATGGTGGCATGTGCCTGTAATCCCAGCTACTTGGGGGGCTGAGGCAGGAGAATCGCTTGAACCTGGGAGGTGGAGGTTGCAGTGAGCTGAGATCGCACCACTGCATTCCAGCCTGGCCACAGAGCGAGGCTCCGTCTAAAAACAAAAAAAAAAAAACAAAACAAAACAACAACAAAAAAAGAACATTTGTAATCCATGGGGGGTCAAAATATCAACATCAACAGGAGTTTGGAAGAAGTTGATTATTCAACTCTCATGGATGACTTTGAGCAGTTCAAGACTTCAGGGGAGGAAGTCACTGTAGATGTGGTGGAAATGATGAGAACTAAGAATTAGGAGTGGAGCCTAAAGGTGTGACTGAATTGCTGCAATCTCATGATTAAAACCTGAATGGACAAGAAGTTGCTTCTTATGGCTGAGCAAAGAAAGTGGTTTCTTGAGATAAAATATACTCCTGATGAAGATGCTGTGAACATTGTTGCAATGACAACAAAGGATTTAGAATATTACATAAACTTAGTTGATAAAGCAGCATCCGGATTTGAGCGGATTGACTCCAATTTTGAAAAAATTTCTACTGTGGGTAAAATGCTATCAAGGAGCATTGCATGCTACAGAGAAATCTTTCATGAAGGAAGAATCAATCAGTGTGGCAAACTTTATTGTTGTCTCATTTTAAGAAATTGCCACAATCACTTTAACCTTCAGCAGCCACGACCTGATCAGTCAGAAGCCATTAACAAGACCCTCCACCAGCGAAGATACTGTGAAGATATTGTATGACTTGTTGAAGGCTCACATGATGACTAGCTTTTTTTTTCTTTTTTTCTTTTTTTAGCAATAAGGCATTTTAAAATTAAGCTCTGTACTTTTAGCAAAGACAATTATATTGCAAACTTAATAGACTACAGTATAGTATAAACATAACTTTTATATACACTGGAAAACCAAAAAATTAGTGTGACTTGCTTATTATGATAATCATTTTATTGTGGTGGTCTAGAACTGAACCCACAATATCTGCAAGGTTTGCCTGTACCACAAACTTCATGACTTAAAGCAACACAGATGAATTCTCTTATGAATCTAGAGATTAGAAGTCTGAAATCAAGATGTCAGCAGGGCCATGCTCCCTTCCTTTCTTCCTTCTTTCCTTCCTTCTTTCCTTCCTTCCTTCCTTCCTTCCTTCCTTCCTTCCTTCCTTCCTTCCCTCCTTCTTTCCTTCCTTCCTTCCCTCCTCCCTTTTTTCCTATTATTCAACAAATATTTGTCATATGCCAACTATGTGGCAGAGACTGAATTCGGAGAATTAGGGAGATATAGGAGGCAGCTTTTAGCTGATTAAGAAAGGACTTTATAATGCTCAGACCTTCCCAGAGACAACAATTACCATTTGTACCAAAACTTTGCAATTTACAAATTGCCTGTTTGCACATATGACCTTATTTTCCCTTCACAGCAATGCGCAATGGTAGGCACTATTATTATCTTCATCAATCAAGAACCTGAGCTTTAACAAGAATTTTAGCCAGGGTAACTTAGTCAATTTTGTGCTGCTGTAACAGAATACCTGAGACTGGGTAATTTATAAACAACAGAAATTTATTCTCTCATAATTCTAGGGGCTAAGAAATCCAAGATTAAGGCACCAGAAAGTTAGAGCCCGGTTTCTCTGTTTCCAAGATGGTACCTTGAATGCTGTGTCCTCCAGAGGGGAGGAATGCCATGGCCTTAAATGGCAGAAAAGCAAAGAGAAAGAGAGGATGTCTACTCCCATGAGCTGTTTTTATAGCAGCATTAAACCATTAATGAGAGCTCTGCCTAAACACTGCCCATTAGGCCATACCTCCCAATACTGTTGTTCTGGGGATTAAGTTTTCAACACATAACTTTTTGGGGACATATTTAAATCATAGCAATAATTCAGCTGCTAAATGAGGATAGGTGTTGTCTCATGTTTTTCTGGTATTAAACCTTTTGTATGACCTTTCCATTACCTAATATGCCACATCACCTATCCCTTCCCTGCTCCCTGTGTGATGGGCATACCCTATCAATCTGTGTGTGTTTCCATTTCACTCAGACAAACTTTTTATTCAGAATGTGAATAACATTTCACATAGTGTCATTTCTATTTTTATTCTCTGTGACTTCAAAGCCAACAGCAATATGCCAAATATATTCTTGCTTTCATGCTTCAAAGGTTTGTTTCAGGAGACAGCATCTTCCACACAGGGACCATATGAATACTGGTTGGAAAACAGGTGGCTCAGTATGGCGGTCCCTCAACACTGCATTAGCTGCAACAGAAAGTTTTTCAGTCACCACACACCACCACCTCTACCTGGGAGGTGAAGTCTAGTTTGCTTTTCATATATGAGCATATTGTGTGTTGTCTTAGGGAAGGTAAAGCCACGTGTTCTGGAACAAAGCTAGTGCTTGTTACAGTGTGCCCAAGTAGCAACTATTAAGGCACTTCTTTCTCCAAAGCCAATATAAACTGGGAGAGCATTAATATTTATTTATTTATTTATTTTTTGATACAAAGTTCCAGTCTTGTTGCCCAGGCTGGAGTGCAATGGCATGATCTCGGCTCACCGCAACCTCCACTTCTTGGGTTCAAGTGATTCTCCTGCCTCAGCCTCCTGAGTAGCTGGGATTATAGGCAGGTGCCACCATGCCTGGCTAATTTTGTATTTTTAGTAGAGACGGGGTTTCTCCATGTTGGTCAGGCTGGTCTCAAACTCCCAACCTCAGGTGATCCACCCGCAGCCTCCCAAAGTGCTGGGATTACAGGTGTGAGCCACCGTGCCTGGCCATTATTATTTTTTGATAGTGGGGTTGGGGAGCTTCCTCACTATGTTCATATTTAGCATGGAGAAATAAAAACGTCTAGGCATTATTTATTTGAAGGTAACTTAAATCATCCCTTTTTTCCTTTCCTTAATCTCATCTTATCTTACTGAAATTCCTCAAAACTATGACTTGTGGATGACATTCTTCCTTAGCTTTCAGAGAGATGCAATTTCCCTCTATTTTAATGGTCCTTTTGTCATTACAAAATGTAAGACCCTGCATGTGGTGTATCAGTCATGGAAAATTAGGTTATACTTGTGGTAATAATCTACCTCAATAAACAAAAGTTTACTTCTTGCCTGTGTCCACTGTGGGTCAACTGGGGGATTTGGTCCTCACTGTCTTTGCCATGGAACCCAAATGGATAGAGTAACCATCTAATAGGTGCAGGTTGCTGTGGCAGAGTGAAAAGGAGTGTCACAACCCATGCATTGACTCTTAAAACTTAAATTCACTGAAGCAAATCACATTACCACATCTAACTTCAGAGAGCAGGAAAGTGTAAGTCCACTGTATGCCCATGTGGAAAACTTGTGCTGTCTGCTGAAGTGAATTAGATACCTGTGCTACACTCGAATCGTATCTGGAAATTTCAGCATATATAATTTTGGCAAAAATCATGGAAAGTTCTACTAGGATTTTGTAATCTGGAGACTTACAACACAGGGAGATCCCATCTCTACAAAAATAAAAAAAATTAGCCAGTCGTGGTGGCATGCACCTCTGGTCTCAGCTACTTGGGAGACTGAGGTGGGAAGATCACTTGGGTCAATATCTCCAAGTGGGTAGCATATTTGCCTCTCAAAAGCTAGCCCTTTGTTATTATCATCTTTCATTCACTAAACACTAATTAAAAGCATCAAGCACTGTGCTAGTGACCAAGCTAGTATGGATGCAAGATTAATAAGACCAACTTGCCCATGAGCAGTTAACATCAAATGGAGGAGACTGTGATGCAAGTAACGATTCCATGCACATGTTAGAGATGTCTGAGAAGTGTGTCTGAGTGTCCTGGCACTGTAGACAAGGGGAGCCTACCAGTCTTTGGAGGTCAGGAAGAGCTTCTAGTGTGAAATAAAATGCACATTGAATCTTGAGAATGACCAAATGGCTGTCAATACAGAGAAAGAGAATTAGGGGCAAAGAAGTAGAACATATAAAGACCTAGAGCCTGGGAAGACTTTATGTTATGAAATTTGTATAACTGGGGTCATGATGCCCTGCAGAGCTAGAAGGGCAGGCAGGATTAGCTGTCTGCCAGGGAGGCCCGAGTCTCACTCAGAACCAATTATCACAATCCTGACAGGGAAGGTTAAACAAAAATGTAGTATATATGCATGACAGCTTGCGTTGCGGCACAGAGAACGTTTCCAAAGTTTCCCTCCCTTTTTTCTCTTCTGCTCTTCTGCCTCCTGCCCAGCCTCTAATTCCACTCCCTGGGCTCTGGTTCCATTGAGCTGCTACTCCTTACAGTGAAGCTCAGGACCTCTCCATTCCTTTGGTCTGAGGTTGGAGAATCTTGGGAAGATTAACAGTGGCTCCTTGCATCCTTCAGAACAGGGCACCAACCAGAAAAATTCATCTCTCTCTTGCTAATGCTCATTACCTTGAAAATTTAATTTTGATTCATTATTATGCTAAAGGAATTTCTTCCCATAAGGGAAGAAGACAGGAAGAGACAAACATGCGAACAATACAGAGAAGCACATCTGTTTACTTTCTGAGGAGGAGATGACGATCTCAGACATCTTTGCAGCTACATCTTTGCATTTGCTCTGCTCACAGCTGTCTCTGCCAACTTCATCTTATCATGGTAAGACAGATGAGCCCTGCTCTTGGGACAGGGATGATACAAGTTCAAGAGCTTACTTAGCCAGCTCATTCCCAAGGACAAGATTTCTGTTAGACTCTTCCATGTTGTATAAGCCAATGGTGTGGAACTCTGACTTGGGGTAGGCAGAATAAACAAAAGAAAAAGTTAGTTTTAATGTCTTGGCAAGGCATTTGGTCTTAGACCATTGGCAGTTGTTCTTTGGAATGTTGAGAAAGGCTGCAGGTCTAGTTATCCCCTGGGCAAAGGTTCTGTTCTTTTGCTTAGCTCCTGTCCTAACTAACAAGTGTTAAAGGCTGAAATGATCCTAAATGATTCTCTGTATTTTCAGCCAGGTCCCAGCTGGTCATTTTTTGTCAGTTGTGCCTGCTGAAAATGAAAAAAAAAAAAAAAAAATAGTGCAGCTGACCCATATTACAAAGGCTGCTGTATTCTTAGAGATTTGTTGATCTGATTTTAAAGTCCCGGAAGCTAGCACTGCATTTTGAAACGGCACATTGCTTGACATTAGATTTAAATTCATTCTGGAGTGAACTCTTCACTTCCTGCCCAGGTTCTTACCGACATGTCCTTGAAGCAGCTATCAGAGCGAGTGCCACTCACCTCTTTCCCCCATGATATGGTTTGGCTTTGTGTCCCCACCCAAATCTCATCTTGAAAATTGTGATCCCATAATCCCCACATGTTGTGGGAGGGACCTAGTGGGAGGTAATTGAATTATGAAGGCAGTTTCCCCTCATGCTGCTCTTGTGATAGTGAGTGAATTCTCATGAGATCTGATGCTTTTATAAGGGAGCTTCCCCCTTTGCTTGGCATTCACTGATTCTCTCTTCTGCTGCCCTGTGAAGAGGTACCTTCTGCCATGTTTGTAAGTTTCCTGAGGCCTTCCAAGCCATGTGGAACTGTGAGTCAATTAAACCTCTTTCCTTTATAAGTTACCCAGTCTTGGGTATTTCTTCATAGCAGTGCAAGGATGGACTAATACCCCCCACATACCATTACATTGTCTTTCAGCTTGCCACTTTGCACTGTGATCAAATTATGCAGTGATTATAACTCAGTAATATCTGTTTTCAAATTTCTCCCCTCTGTGCCAGCATTTAGAGCAGCAACTATGACTCCTTTGCTTACCAGTAGGTTTCTAATTCCACCACCATGCCTGGTACATAGTAGGTGCTCAGTAAACATTTGTTCAATAAATTTTATAACGTCTCTGCTTACAAATTTTCAATGGCTTCCCGTAGACTTCCTGCTGACTTAGGCATAATTAAGAATCATGTTGTGTAGGGTGGGGCAGAGGGATTCAAAGGATTTCCTTGGGTCTATGACCCAAGGCTTCTTTTATTACTCCTAAATACTTATAGAATCTAATAAAACTAGGAAGGCTACTCCACCTCAGATCCTCCCTAGTTCTCACCTGAATTATTATTAAGCCTCCTTGCCTCCTGACTCTCCCTCATTTTACTCACTCAGCCTCCATCTCCTGAGTTAAGGAGCAGTCACATAATTTGCAGGGCCCAGTGCAAAATGAAGGGCCCCTTATTCAAAAGTATTGAAACTTTCAACACAATAGCAGTGCATTAACCAAGTGCAAGGCCCTTCTGTGCATGGGGCTCTTTGTGTCTATGTGACTGCACTGGTTGTATATCCATGAAGCCAGTCCTTTCAGAGTTCAATTCTTTTAAAGCACAGTTTTGGTCATGGTAAGCCCTTGCTCAAAAACTTTCAATAGCTCTACATTGTCTAGGGTGCTAATTTTAGGGTCCTGTGAATTCTGATCCCAGTCAACCTTCCCTGCTTCCTCTCCTAGAAGTCCCTTTATATGCCTTAGGTGCCTTCCAAACAGAACTACTCAACCTTCCCCAGAGGTATCCTTTCCTGTATCTGTGCCTTTATTTGTACTATTCCATTGCTTAGAATGTAGAACCTCCCACTTCCCATCAACACAAATCCTTTACGAAGTCTTCCCTGATCCTTTCATTTTTCAGAAATCTTTTCTCCATTTGAATTTCGAATAGAATTTTAGCAGAGTTCTTTTTGTGTTCATTCATTCCCTAGTGAGCTCTCAAGATTGTGCTAGACACTGTGGAAGGTACTGAAACGAGTGCTGCCTATTCTGTTCTGTGACTTTGCTGCTAGACTCCTTTAAGCTCCCGAGGGCAGGTTTTGCCTAGATTCGCCTATGTCTGGCCTTCCAGTCAGTGGGTACGTACTCACTAAATATTTGTCAATTCAATAAAAGAATGAATAAACCAATGGCTGCCAGACAACTTTCAAGAAAGGAGCATACCAAATCAAACCTACAGTGAGATGTCACCTCACACCTGTTAGAATGGCTATTATCAAAAAGTCAAGAGATAACAAGTATTGATGAGGGTGTTGAAAAAAGGGAGCCCTAGTACACTGTTGGTGGGAATGTAAATTAGTACAGCCATTATGGAAAAGAGTATGGAGGTTCCTCAAACAATTAAAAATAGAACTACCACATGAACCAGCAATCCCTTCACTGAGTATATGCCTAAAAGAAATGATATCAGTATCTCAAAGAGATATCTGCACCCTCATGAACATTGTAGCATTATTCACAATAATTAAGATATGGAAACAACCAAAACATTCATTGATGGATAATGAGAGAAGAAAATGTGATACATGTATATATCATAGTACATATACAATGGAATACTGTTCAGCCTTAAAAAAGGAAAATGCTGCAATTTGTGACAACGTGCGTGAACCTGAAGAACATTGTGCTAAGTGAAATAAGCCAGACATAGAAAGACAAATACTGCATGACCTCACTTATATGTGGAATCTTAAAAAGAAGGACACATAGAAACAGAGTAGAACGGTGCTTTCCAGGGATGGGGAGGGGAAGGAAATGGGAAGCTATAGGTCAAAGGGTACAAACTTGCAGTTATGTAGGGTAAGTCTAGAGATCTAATGTACAATACGAGGACTACAGTTAATAATATTGTATTATATATTGAAAGCTTGCTAAGAGAGATTTTATGTGCTTTTACCACACAAACACACGCACAACCATACACACACATACGCACACACAGTTAATTATGGAAGATGACGGATATGTTAAATTGCTTAGTTGTAGTAGTCATTTAAGTATGGACACATATCAAGACATCATATTGTACATCTTAAATTTATACAATAAAAATAAATTTAAAAAGAAAAGGGCATACATTCATTTGTTAAGTAAATATTTTTTGAGCATCTACTATGTGTTAGACTCTAAGTGTTGGGAATATAGAAATGCAAAAGGCAGATTGGTCCATGTTTGCATGAAGCTTACAGTTTTTATGGGGGAGGCATAGAATAAACGACAAACAATCAAAGAAACAAACCAGAAAAATAATAACTGCTCCTAAGTGTGTTGGATGTCATTATGAATGGATGGTGTGTTTGAGGGTGTCTGAGAGATTCTTTTGGATTGAATTATCAGGGAGGTTGATACCACCAGGTGACATTTAAGCTGAGCTCTGAGTGTCAAGAAGGAGAAGCTTTGGGAAAGTAAAGAGCAGAGGGTTTAATGCAGAGAATCTGGGCAGTGAAAAGTCCTCAAGGTGAAGATTAGCTTAGGGTATCAAGGAAGAGAAAGGTCAGAGTGGCCAGAGCAAAGTGGACATAGCGAGAGAACTGAGATGAGCTGAGAGGCAGTCAGAGTGGGCACTTAGGACTCTATAAGCCGGAAAAAGAGTTTTGATTTTTATTCTAAGTGTGAAGGAATGCCTTTGTGGACTGAGAAGGTTGGGCCTAAGCACAGGAAGAATGATTTGAATTCCATACTGTGGCTTGTGAAGTGGCAAGAATGGAAAGAAGGAGAGTTTAGGCTGAAATAGTCCAGGTGAGAATCACTAGTGGCTTGGACTAGGGTAGTAGCGACTTAATTACCCAGGTGTTTGTGCTGTTCTGGGAGATAGAGGAGATTAGGAGGGATACTACAGAGAAGTTCCACCAAGCAGATAAGGAAAGTCTGGATGGGTGTGGCATGCAATAAAGGATTAACCTTGCCCAAAAGCAGGTCTGGCATGTGTCCTTGGCCACTGGGAGGTAACCTCTAATGCCTTGGAATGTCCCGCCTGATTTGTTTACCTGGGAGCCTTGGGCCATGCTAGATAGTCCATGCTAACCATATGATTTATAATGGGGGGCCTTGGGCCATGAAGTATCAGCTCATCATCTGGAAGGGCTGGAGACTAAGGTCAGTTAAGGGGACAGCCAAACATGTCCATGTTACTGAGTCCCAGTAGAAACTTTTGGACACCAAGATTCAGATGAGATTGCCTGATTGGCAATACTCTGTGTGCATTGTTATACATCACAGCTGTGAAAGTAAGCACTAGCTGCACAACTCCCCTGGGAGAGGACAACTGGAAGCTCCATGCTTGGAACTCTCCTGAACCCTGCCCTATGTTCCTCTCCTCACGGCTGCTTTTAATCTGTAGCCCTCTGCTGTGATTAACTGTAATCTTGAGTGTAATGGCTTTCAGTGGGTTTTGTGCATCTTTCTAGCAAATTATCAAATCTGAGGATGGTCTTGGAGCCCCCTGAACTTGCAGTTGGTATCATAAGTGAGGGTGGTCATGGGGATCCCCAAACTTTGCGATGGGGGTAAAAAAACCTGACAAAGGGAAGCCCTGAGTGACCAATATCAGCTTATATGCCATTGGTCAGCTGAGTCTTAGGAGGATTGAGGAGTGAGAAGAGAGTAACGAACCCTGCTGTCCCTTGGCAATTGTCTCAGGGAATTTTTTTCTCCTCTACACCCATGTTACATTGAGAATAATCTAAACTCTTCTGGCCAGAGAGCTATCTATAATGTAACCTGGAGAGACAGCAATGAAGGATAATGTCTTTAGTCATTGCATGTGTGGATATCTGTGGGCAGAAATAGCATTTTTGATAAGCCAGTCACCAATATGGTCTTCATCTAATTGAATTCATTCACTGCTACATTAAAAAAGAAGCTGACACAATTGAAGAATGAGTTCAATAAACCTATCTTGCCACAGAGACAGTTGTGTGTGTGTGTGTGTGTGTGTGTGTGTGTGCTGACATGGATCTCATCCTAAAGAAAAAATAAATCTTGGCTTCAATCAAATGAAGACTCATTTCACATGGCAGCCTCCTCGCATACAGCTGATGGTTGAAGCATGTGGAATTATTTAAAATTGAAGCCTTTGAAAATGAGGACATGACACTCAATATATCATCCTCTTCTCTGAGGTTTAAAGGGTTCTTCAAAACATAAGCCAGACCAGTTGCTATTTTAATAAAGCTGTAAGTATCATTTCATGGGCTTAATGAGGGCTTCCCCATTTGGCATCTCTCAGCATCCCCACAAACTTGGCTGTAGATGTTGCCATAGATGTGTTGGATAGAGGCTGCTTGGGAAAGTGTGTCTTGTTTCACAGGCTCTACCATGGACAAGGGCAGCCATAACAATTGTTCAGAACTTCAAAAACCAGATATTCCCTCCTGGATACCTCAGCTTGGATCAGGATTGTATTAGTTTTCTACTGCTCCATAGTAAATCACCACAAGATTAGTGGCTTAAAGCTTCTCTGGGTCAGGAGTCTGGGCTCGGTGAGCTGAGTCCTCTGCTTTAGGGTTTCTCACAAGGCTGCAATCAAGTTGTCAGCCAGGGCTGTGGTCTCATCTGAAAGTTCAACTGCAGAAGAATCCATGCTCTGCTTCTCAGCCCATTCAGGTTGGCAGAATTCAGTTCCTGGAGGACTGTTTGATTGAGAGCCTTAGGTCATTGCTGGCTATTTGCTATAAGCCACCCTCAGATCTTTTCCATGTGGGCCTCTCCAACATGGCCATCTCCTTTATCAAAATACGCAAGTGAGGAAGCAAGAAAGAAAGTTTGCTAGCCAATGTGGAGATTATAACCTCATCACATCCCATCACCTCTGCTGTATCCTATTGGCCAACTCACACTCAAGGGGAGAGGATTGCACAAGGGAGTGATACCAGGACATGGAGATCACTGGGGACTATTTTAGCATCAGCCTGCCATGAGGAGGCTATCCCTGATTGGAGAAGTCACAGCAGTATCCTTTTATAAAAAATATGCTGCATATTCCTGAGTTTCAAAAATATTCATGCAGCAGGCAAATTATATCTTTGAAGAAACTGTGATGTCCTGGTGGCAAACTTATGTCTCTATATTTTCATTTATCTTCTCATCTTTCTCATGAAATGCTATTTTCTATTCTCTCCAGAATCTATTTCCTTTTATTCCTCCCCTTATCACTAACCTAGTTGGGGAAATAGCTGGTCAAATTATAATCTGGGAAGAGCTCTGATTCCTAGAGGTTGGACAGAGTAGACTAGAACTTAGCTGGTGGGTGGTATTGTGTCTGCTTAGGGAAGCTTCCTGACCTTGGATTTCACAGTTTCACCATTTCTCTTTTATGCTTATGAGGCTCTGAATCAGACACCCACACAGTTCCAGAGCTGTTTCCTAGAGCTGTCTTCATGACAAAGGATTTCCAGGGAATTCCATGCTCTATCTTCTGTAGTTTTAAAACATATTGAATCTGTTCCTGCCAGTTTTCCTGAGATGTGAGTTAAAGTTACAGATGGCATTCAAATAGAAAAACCTACACGTCTTTTTCAAATGGTCAGTTATATCAGGGATTAGAAAATTGTTGTTATTGTTTTGTTTGCCGTAACAATCAAACACTAGACTAATTCATTCAATCTCTCATTCACACAGTCACCTTCTACTCATTCAAGAATAGTCATTGGCTGCCCACTGCAGCTGCTGAGAGTGACAAGATATCAAAGGCAAAGTTACTGCTCTTACTGGTCCTTGCTCTCCCCATCCTCATGGTATTTCTTCTTAGTGCGAACAAAGGTACCTGCACACTGCTCTGCCCTTTCCTAGAAATAGTATTTTATCTCTAGTGCCTGGTATGGAATTAACATTTCCTTTGTCTGAACAGAGGGAGTCAAGGGCAATTCTTAGGCCCAATCAAATCAGCAGCCCCTTCTGCAGGTTCTTCTGGGGACCCAGGTGCTATCAGGAGCCCGCCTGCACTGGGTTTGGGTCTGACCCAAGAGTTTGCAAGGTTCCTCCTTTCATAACCTGGTTGGGGGTAGAGGATGGAGAAGAGAGGGAAATGGGAGGGATGTTAGGATCTTGCAGGCTAGAGAGGGTATTAGAGCCTTTAAAAGACAAGACAAGATGGTGGATCCCTGAGCCTGTAGGGGTCTAGAGGTAGTTCTCAAACACATTAGTGCACATTAGAATCCTTTGGGGGAAGGTTTTTTGAAATGAAAATTATCTGTCTCCATTCACAGGTATTTTGACTCAGGGGCCCAAATATGGCCTAGGAGTCTGCATTTGCATTTTGCATTTCTCATAATTCGGATGCTGGAGGTCCACGTTTAGAAACAGTGGGACTTTAGCAAAATAGATAGATTACATGTAAACCGTAAGAAGAAAGAATCCAAGGAATACATTTACTGCTTGTTTTTCCCTTCATTGATTTCAGATATATAATCCCAAACTCAATACAGTCTACTTGTTTTTGACCAGAGGTAGAGTGACTGCAGGGCTTATTAGATGAGTGAGATCTGAAAGCTGAAATGAAACCAACTGGCTACTTAATTCAGTTATTCATCTACTCCAGGCAAGGAGCATTCATTCACTTCCTTTCTTTTCTTTCATTCAAGAACGTAGTCACCTATACTTTATGAATGAAAGCCAGCAGCCTTTCACAGCTAGACAAATAATGCCAGCTTTGGACAACCAGACAATGTCTCCTCTGTATTGATGTCTCTAAATCACGCCCTGAGTACCCACTGCTGTTATTCTCTCTGAAAGAAACCAAACCAAAGTTTTGGAATTGCAAAGACTGAGAGTGGGAATTCTATGGGCTACTAAAGAGAAAAAGAACAAGTCTAAGATGACGAATATAATACAATGTAATACAACACAATATAATAAAATATCCATCCATATATGTGTATACATGTTTTAATATTTCATGATGTAAACTTGTGACTTTTAAGAAATATTATGGTATAATATTTTTATGAGAGAAACAGGTGGAAGAAAAACTCCATGCTATTAATATTGTTTTTTTTAATCCTAATTGGGGGATTGGGGATGTAGGAAATTATTACTGCTTTTCCTATCTTTGTAACATTTTTCCTAAGGTAGAATTCATATTTTTGTATTAAAATTTTTAATAATAGAATATTATATAATAATTACAAGGAAGAGGTCTCAGGCATGTCAAAGTTAAAGGAAGAGCCCAAGTTCAAAGTAGATACACTTCCTAGAGAAGATGTGTTTTTGTTTTGTTTTGTTTGCAATTTCACTTGAAATCTGGGTTGCCTTGGCTTCCTTTAATTTAAGATTTTATTACCAATGATTGTGTAGGACCTGGATTTTATTAAAGAAAAGATTTTACTATGAATGAATAATTCAAATAAGGAAATGGTGCAGACCAGGCTTAAGGACATAATGCAGAGGCTGACTGTTTTGAATGTGTCAGAGCTAACCCCTGAAGTCTTCTGGAGAATACATAGACAACTGAAATTGCTTCCTTTGACAACCCATTCGGCTGCCCTAGGGTAGAGGCCCCAGACTGGCCTTTTTGCTAGCTTCCAGCTAAGTAATGTTTTACCCAGAGCATGAAAATCTAAGTTTGTGTTCCAAAGTGACTTAGTTTTTCTGTTTTCCTTCTTCCTTTTCTTATATGTAAATCCTGTGAGGTTTTGTTTTTTGCCTTGATTAGAGGAAATCAACCTATTATTATTTTTCACTATATACAAATAAACAGTATGCTAATAATTTTACTGTATGTTCTTGAATTATTTTTTGTTATCCTGGAGATTCTGCTGTGATATAGCCCTTCAGAAAAATGTGCAGATTCAAGGGCACCTGGTCTGAATCTGGTCTGTACCTGGTCCTCTTGGATCCTTGGCTCATCTCTTGGCTCCTGTGGTAAGTCTTGGGTGGCAACTGAGCTCTTTGGCTCTCACACGCTAAATCTGATTCTTGGTTACATCTGTTTCTGATTCTGATTCTTGGTCTGCTTGAACAGAGCTGATTTAATCCATCATGGTGGGAACTATGGTGGAACCTGGGTTTTCATCTTATGGCCAGACCGTTGAATGACTTCTGTTAATTGGCAGCTGACAGGAAATATGAAATCTAGTGTCTGTTAACTTTTTGTTATTTGGCTGAGAATTCTGATGGTTCTTGGTCCTTGATAATATAGAGTCATAAAGTTTTTGGAGTTTTTCTTACTATTGGTAGAATTCTCTGTGTTTACATGTTTTGGTTTGTATGAATTTGATGTCCTCTATCTGATTCTAAAGCTCAGAGACTTTTTCCTTATTCCAAAATTAAGTTTTCATGTACATTTATTCTAAACCCAATAGTGCCAATATCTGTAAAGCTAAAATTCTTGCACCAAAATTGAAAGGAAGTAGAACCCCTAGTATTCAATGATTTACTTTTATTTCTCTACACAACTGAATAATTCCAAAATTCCTCTCTTCAGGACTTATAAAATAAGGTTAATGAAAGGATATTATCACTATTGCAAAAATATAGGCACTGGAAAAACAGAAAAAAATACTATTTTGGTAAATTTAGAGGGAAATTGCAAAAGCATATAGATTTATCAGCAATGATGCTTCCCCAAAGGAAATAGTGTTGATTAATTGCATATCTTATAGTATTTGAAATTGAGAATATTGTTTACTTGACCAATATCCTTAATACTGGTGCTCTATATTTCTGCCTTAAATTCTGCTGCTTCTAATGTATAGATTCAATGCTATTTCCAAATTAAATTAAACTACCATTGGGATACTTCAGAGAACTAGAAAAAACCATCTTAAAATTCACATGGAACCAAAAAAGAGCTTGAATAGCCAAGGCAGTCCTAGATAAAAAAAACAAGACAGAAACTCGACCCCTTTCTTATGCCATATATAAAAATCAACTCAAGATGGATTAAAGACTTAAATGTAAAACCCAAAACTATAAAAACCCTGGAAGACAATCCAGACAATACCATTCTGGACATAGGAACAGGCAAAGATTTCATGATGAAGATGTCAAAAGCAATTGCAACAAAAGCAAAAATTGACAAATGAGATCTGGTTAAACCTAAAGAGCTTCTGCGTGGCAAAGGAAACTATCAACAGAATAAGCAGACAACCTACAAAATGGGAGAAAATTTTTGCAAACTATGCATCCAACAAAGATCTAATATGCAGCATCTATAAGGAACTTAAACAAATATGCCAGTAAAAAACAAACAACCCCATTAAGAAGTGGGCAAAGGACATGAACAGATACTTTTCAAAAGAAGACATACATGCAGCCAACAATCATAAAAAAAAAAGCTCAACATCACCAATTATTCAAGAAATGCAAATCAAAACCACAATAAGGCACCATCTCACATCAGTCAGAATGGCTATTATTAAAAAGTCAAAAAATAACATGCTGGCAATGTTGTGGAGAAAAAAGAATGCTTATACACTGTTGGTGGGAGTGTAAATTAGTTCAACCATTGTGGAAGACAGTGTAGCGATTCCTCAAAGACCTAAAAACAGAAATACCACTAGACCCAGCAATCCCATTACTGGGTATATACCCAGAGGAATGTAAATTTTTCTAAAGATACATGGACACATGTGTTTATTGCAGCACTATTCACAATAGCAAAGGCATAGAATCAACCTATATGCCCGTCAATGATAGACTGGGTAAAGAAAATGTGGTACATATACACCATGGAATACTATGCAGCCATAAAAAAGAATGAGATCATGTCCTTAGCAGGAACATGGATGGAGCTGGAGGCCATTATCCTCAGTAAACTAAAGCAGGAACAGAAAACCAAATACCACATGTTCTCACTTACGAGTGGGAGCTAAACAATGAGAACACATGGACACATAGAGGGGAACAACACACAGTGGGGCCTATCAGAAGGCGGAGGATGGGAGGAAAAAGATGATCAGGAAAAATAACTAATGGGTGTTGGGCTTAATACCTGAGTGATGAAATAATCCATACAACAAACCCCTGTGACATGAGTTTATATAACAAACCTGCACATGTACCCCTAAACTTAATATAAACGTTTAAAAAAATTCTGCTGCTTCTCATAATTAGCTTCTCTGACTCGTATAAGAGTTGATAAAAATTCCCTGTTTATAAATATAAAATAGTTTTTGAGCAAATAAACAGATATACTTTCTGCCTCTAGAGACAGTTATTAGTAACAGATTGTAAGAGCTTCTAATATCTAATGGAGCAAGTACCTTTTCCAGTTAGTTTTTATTAAAAATATCAAAATATTAAGTGGTTATAAAAATGTAAGGTAAGATAAATTTAAAATTCTAAATAGATTTACGTATGTTGACTATAAAATCTTTTTCTTGCTAAAACTGTAACTCTGGGGGGAAAAAGTTACACTGTAAGTTTCATTAATGACCTGGTTACTAAGTTAGAATATAAAATACAAATATTTCTTTTTAAACATGTCAGGTGATTTAATATATGACAATTTAAAGGTATAGAAAAGAGCTTTTAAAATATTCATAATCAAGATGACTGTGATAATTGGACTGATTTAATTAATTTGTTTAAGGACAACTTTACCTCTTCCCTCCATGACAGCCTTGAATATATTTTTTCATGAAAAGCCTAATAAATTTTATTTTCCTAAGTTCTTTCTATTCATAGATAAACTAGCATCACTCTGTTAGATGCCAGGTAAACTAACATCACTTTGTTTAAAATCATAAAATTACAAAATTATGTGTTCAACTAAATTCAATTATAAAAGGTAATTGCTTTATAAAAAGAAATAATGTTACTGTGAACAAAAATAGCTATATAGTCCTTGGTTTTCTGCTTTCAGGCTTTCTGTGGAGAAAATGTTGGTTTCTTTGGTTAAAAATAGCAATTAATAAAAATGCTGAGATTATACAGTGTAACAATTTAAAAAATAAATATATGTATACAAAGATAATATGTTTTGTCTTTATCAAGGAAATTGTTACAGTTTATTAATATGACAAATATACACGGTCTGATATATTATACAGATTAGACAATTACAAACTTATAGAAAAGTTGGAAATACTACAAAGACCTTTACCTTTTATTTTATGAGCCATTTGAGAATAATGGCTATCCCATTACCCAATACCCTATCACTCTGATTATTATGTACACTATTTTCTACAAACAAAGCTATTCTTGCATAAAACCACAATACAACTGTTAAAATTGGGAAATTAAACTTGATATATTATTACCATAAAACTATTACCATACAATCACTGAATGGCATTCAAATTTCCTAATAATATCCTTGATAGCAAAAGGATCCAGTTCAGAATTACAAGTCACATTTAGTTGTCATTTCTCTCTTATCTCCTTCAGTCTGGAACAGTTCTTCACTCTTTGCTTGATTTTCATGACCTTGACAATTATAGGTCAGTTATTTTATAGAATGTCCTTCAGTTTGACTTCGTCCAATGTTCCCTAGTGACTAACACAGGTTCTGAGCCTTTGGCAGGAATATCATAGAAGTGATGATGTGTTCTTCTCACTGCACTCCCTCGGATGGTACATAATGTCAATTTGTCCTATCACTGGTGATGTTCACTTTGGTCACGAGGTAAAGGTGGCATCTGCCTGCCTTCTCCACTGGAAAGGTACCTGTATTAGTCTATTCCTAGGCTGCTAATAAAGACATACCTGAGACTGGGTAATTTATAAAGAAAAAGAGGTTAATGGACTCACAGTTCCACATGGCAAGGGAGGCCTCACCAGTCATGGTGGAAAGCAAAGGAGGAGCAAAGGCACATCTTACATGGTGACATGCAAGAGGGCATGTGCAGGGGAACTGCCCTTTATAAAACCATCAGATCTCATGAGACTTATTCACTATCAAGAGAACAGTATGGGGAAAAACCTGCCCCCATGATTCAGTTACCTCCCACTGGGTCCCTCCCATGACATGAGAGGATTATTACAATTCAAGGTGAGATTTGGGTGGGGACACAGAGCCAAATCATATCAGTACCCTTCTCCATAACCCATTTGTCATACAACTAAGCCTTTTTCCCTCCCTCCTTCCCTTCCCTTCCTTCCCTCCCTCCCTCCTTCCATTCTATTGACTCATGGATTTGTATTTTATTCAATGGTTCATAATCTGCTTCTGTCATTTTTTTTCTATTGCCCCTAATTTGACCCTTGAGAGAAGATCAATTCAAGTGGGTCCCTATGTTCTTTTGAAATGTTCCATCATCCTTTGAGTACTTCTTTGCTTTCTGGCACAAGCCGTTTTAGGCTCATCTTGCACTTTTCCAGTCCTAGCTCTGGAATGAGTCATTTCTCCAAGGAGCTTTGGTTCCTTTTTGTGGAGAATCATATCTGGAAACCCAGATTTGTGGGCCAAGTATCCTCATTTTTATTGGGATATTACTGCTCCCAGACCCTCTCTTAGTGGACAGAACTAGGGAATATATGTTTGTATGTACATATTACATGTACATACAGATATGCATACATTTGTTTCTATCTATCTATCTGTCTATCTATCTATCTGTCATCTATCTATCACCGTGTATTAACACCAATACCACTAATTCCAATCCAACCCCACAGGTTTCATTCTAGTTTTTCCCTTTCTGTCTATATAACTCCCTTCTCTGACACTGAGAAACCCAGCTCCCTTATCCATAATGTATTCACTTATTTGCTCAATCTTCCTGCCAGTAACAAATCTCCCATCTGTGCCACTATCTTCATTTTGACTAGATGGATGTTCAACCTTGATGATAATCCTAATATGATATTGTTGGATAATGCTTAACATATGAAAAATAAGGTATACTTTGTTCTGAGATACTATAAATTTAAAATACTTTATTATACATACATATATACATAAACATATTTTACTTACAGCTTATTCCATTCAGATAGCCACATTACTAGAGGTTCAAGAGTTAACATTTATACCAATAGTGAATATGTCTTCAGGATTGGTTGTGACTTTGACATGGTGTAAAATTTTTTTTAAAAAGGGTAATAACCTATTAAAGATACTTCAACATCTAAAGAAAATCTCAGTTATTAAGATAAAAGCTTCAATGAGAGAAAATGCTCCAAATGAGTGATACATGAACATCTAATCATGGTTCATATGGACTCCAGGATTCTGTCAAGGCAGAATGAGCTACAGGTATGTTAAAATCAAAACTATCTGGATTTCTAGAAAAGCTTATTCATTACATTTAGCTGTAATTATAACAATACAACTGATCCATGAAAACTCCTGTGTTCTCACCCTATAAATGCTTACAGGAGGACCTATTGGACTTCCTTGACTCTTCCCTTCACAAACTCTACCTCATTGGACTTCAATTATGCAACTAGTGAGATTCATCATATTTTTTGGGTTTCTTGGGATTCTCACCTTGTACCGGCTCAAGTTTGCTGGCTGTGACCTCAGGCTCTTGCTAATTCTTGTGTCCTCCCTCACCTCTGCTTAGACGTGGCAGACTGCTTTTGTTTCAGTCCCTGACTTGGCTCTGGAAGTGCTGACTGGGGCAGGGACCACTCTCTTTTTCACAAGGGAATGAAAGGCACAGAGCAGAACATATTCTAGAATGTTTTTGCCTTGTAGCACAGAGAGTCAAAGCCCAGAACTATTCTAAAAAGGCTAGCTAGCATTTAATTTAGATGGGAGAGTCCTGTGATTTGTACAGTGTTAAATTTGATCTGGTCAACCTTGCTCCTTTATACTGTAATTTAATATTCATTTTAAAAAGTGATATTATTTGAGAGCCTTTCCTGGACCAAATTATTTTTCTTGAGACCAGTCACAGTGTTTGACATCAGAACATCAGAGATTCATCTGATGAAAAAGGAGAGCTTTAAAATATTCTTGGTCCTTAATTGCCCTCCATGGAAATATTAATTTCCAAGGAAGTACTGTGAGGCTGAGAAAGGTTCTGGAGTTCTTGAGATAAATTTCATGTTTCAGAGCCAGACTGTCTCCTGCCCACTATTTTTGTTTTAACTTCTCAAATACTTTTTAATGTTTTGGTTTAGGAGTGCAGTGGAAATGATGCTTATGAATATGAAAAATTAAAAGGGAAGCAGGACAAACACATTTAGTTCAAGTTCATCTTTTTAAGTTGTTGGCAGAGAAGGGTTTTATCTTAAGTTAAGGAATGCCTAGGAAAAAAAAATCTGTAATGTTAAATAGAACCACATGTCAAGGCAGGGGGCCCAGAGAATAGGGGAATAGTTTGGAGAGGCCTCAAGGATGGCTCAGGAAGCAGAATTGCCACACTGGGCAGAGGGTCTAACCATTGGGACAAAGGGGCTTCTGAGCACCATCTCACACATCACGCCTACAATCGACAGAGCAGCCTTCAGGGCAGTCATCTCATGGCCAAGGACTGCTGCCACCCTGAGTCTGTGAGAGGCACCTCATTCCCCTCCTCTCCACTGATCGGCTCAGAGCCCAGAAAGTGGCATGTCCTGAAACCCTTGACTCCGACAAGCAACCTTGTGTGTGCCCTGAATGCTTTTACTTCCTAACAACTGACACCTTTTAAAGAAGCCCAGCACCTACCTCTTCTAATCCATCACTAAGTAGCCATGGAGTGTATGTAAACTGTGTGATTCTGCAGGAAAGCTATGAAAATTGATGTGGTCTGTGAAATTCAAACCCATCGCAGCTGATCCCTTAAACCAGAGCTGACCCCTTAAACCAAAATGGCCACAGGATCCACCAGATTACTTTAAAACTTTTACTTGTCATTTTCTAGGGGGAGATTTTGTACAAAGATAAAGATTTTTCTTGTTTTCCTAGAGAAAATTCAGGAGATCTGGACACAGCAGATCTGTCTATACTCCTGCATGGTGATGGTTGACTGGCCTGAGTAGAGGTTAACCCTGTATATGGTGTATAGTCTCCTTGTCACCACCCCCATCATTTCCTATGGTCCCTCTACCTGGCCCACTTTACTTTTTAAAATGCCTGACTTCTGTTTGCTGAACTCTCAAAACTCACCCCAAATTATCCTGGCCGGGTTGGGGTAAGGTAAGAGAAAATAACTCAGAGGATGAAAAAGGGATGGGGAAGACTCCAGAACAAAATTACCCTATTTCAAAATGTTTAAGCAGGACATTCCCCTGCCTGCAGGCTACAGAACCTTAGCCTGATCCTGACTTGGACGTTCTCACTGACTCAGGTTCACTGCCCAGATCTGTGTCAGTGTCATTGGGCAAATATTGGAGGTGGGGGGTGTCAGCATCCTCTCTCACTCATTGGAAAGAGGCCAGGGTGTAGTTCCATTTTCACAAAACAGTCTTACAGTTCAGGGACCAAGAATATGGGGTCAGGGAAGCAAGGAGAGAAGCTGCCCTTGTTCCATACCTTCCATCCACTTCTGCTCCACAAACCTGTGTCCCCAGGGATAGCTAACACATCAGGCGTGGCTGTGAGGGAGACAGCAAGTAGAGTGTGGGAGTGGTACTGCACTGTCCCTTTCCCAGGATTTGATCCTCAACCCAGGAGTACCCCTGCTATTTTCATGTTGCAGTAAGTTTGTAGGTCATGTTTGCATTTGGCATGCGAACATGAAACCTGTTGGGAGTAGTTGGCTGGAGTAAAATGGAGGTAAAGTTTTTGACGTTGAAGAGGTCAAGGAACTTTGAAGGAAGGTTTGCATAAGGCATTCACACCGCCATTTAAGTCAGTGATATGAGGATGATATAGGCAGAAAGAAGAGTTCTTGGGGTGTTAATGAAGGTGGGCAACTGGAAAAGGAAGTGGGAGGGAAAAGTTGGTATAATTCACTTGGTTAAAAGGAAGACATTTAAAAGTTTTATCTGAGAATGGAGGTATAACAGGAAGAAGTGGCAACCAGTAGCTAAAAAATGCCTAGCCCAATTTGCTGATCTTTCTAATGATAGAAAGTTTACTACCTGAAAGCCAAGTTATTTCTTATTGGGAGTGACTTACTTAGTTCTCTAGATTAACATATAACAGAAAATGCTACTTGTGAATAACCAGTTGCATTACTTATTTTCCCCCAAGCCCTCTGATACTATAATTTCACAGCTCTCCAGGAGAGTGTATTGCAGAAAATCAAGTTCAATCAATACCTCAAACATTCCAGACTTCTTTGCACAGCTCTAATGCAAAAAGCGTGAGATATGTCATAGGTCACACACAGAATACAAGGTGGTCCTAGTCCAGAGGAAAGTGATGATAAGCTGCTGTTCATTTGCTGAGGTCAGGATCCTCTAATGGCACCTGTGGGCCTCTCTTGATGCTCTGCGGAGCTCAGTTGGTGCTATCGACTTTCAAACTGAGTCATTCAAGCCGTGAGAATCAGGCTCAATGCCTTTCTCTTACCCACACATTCTGAGTCCTGGCATATTTCTTGATTCTCTTTCCTTTCCATGCCAACTTTCACTGCCCTAATTTAGGATCTCATCATTGCTTGTCTAAACTATTGCAGCAGCCTTCTCACTAGCTTTCCTGCCTCCAGTCTTGTGTAAACTAAAATCCACCATCTACACTGCATGCCAGTACCTTGTGGACATGACACAGAAGCCATAGCATAAGACTGAGTGGGAGATACGAGGTGCAACCTCCAGATGATACTTTCCTCCACGTCACAATATACTGTCCCAGTTTCCCAGTGGGGAGAAAATCTAAACTACTTGAAATGAGATAGAATATAAATTATGATTATAGATAAAACCAGCTATGTCAATCATGAAACATGGTTCTATTTGTTCTGAATGTGTCTCAAAAATTTCAAGGAAATAAAAATTATAAACTAAGGAAGACTATGACTGTCTCCAGTTATGATGGTCTGCTTGTCATTTGGAGGTGAGCTCAGTTAAGCTTCTGCATTCAAATCCACTTAGTCTCATTTCCAGCCTTAGCTTCAGCCTCATCTTTAACCACTTCCTTCAGGACCACTGCATTGCACAACCCCAGGGGGCACCATCACCCTGTATTTTAAGTTAATGGTACCACTGGAATTGAGCAATAGTGTGGTCCTTCTCTGTGCCTCACATTCAAGCAATTGCCAGAAATATGTAGACTTCATCCTACTGATTCTTGTTCCTTGGTCTTTGATTTTGCTGGTCTCTCTACCTGGAAAACGTTCTCATGACATTTTTCTAAATTCTTGGACACACAGGCACACAGATGCACACACACACACACACACACACACACTCTCTCTCTCTCTCTCTCTGTCTTTCCTGATCAAGTATTAAAGACATAGTCTAAGTATCAGCCACTCCAGTAAGTTTTACCTATTTATCTACTCATCGTCATCTCTGTCATCACTAACAACCTTGAACTGCAATTTTAATCATATATGTAATCAGATGATTTTGATTAGATTTATTTAAAATATACATTTATATTTATAGATATATAAAAATATACTTATATTTATAGATATATAAATATATGTATTTCCCCCACTCAACCCTGAGTTCCTTAGGGGCATGTCTTATGCACCATTGCAGTCCCATATTCTACTATAGGACCTGACACCATTTTTCCTTTAACTCGGTGCTAAAAACCCTCTTGGCAGTTTTCCTATCCTGAAACTGACCCTTTCCCAGAATGAGAGCGATACTATCTATTCCCTTCACTGGAAACCCTGCCCTATCTATAGGGATATGATCTGATCCTATGGATTATACATTATACATAATACTTGTTCCCAAACATATTCCCAAAGTCTAGGTTAATTGAGTCTTAATACTATGGGTGGAACATTAACAATCTAGACCATGTTGTACTGCCTCAAATGTAGTTAAGTTCCTTTTCATAATTTTCTCCAACATCAAATGAAGAGAAGACAGATTTGCATGTTTTCCTGCATATCGTGCATGTGTGTGTGTGTGTGAGTGTGTGTGTGTTCACATGGGTCATGTTCTTGATCCCTTAGCTAGCAACATACACACACAAAACAGATAACACTATACAGGCATAAGGCAGTCAGTGCATGCTTAGAGAAAAAAACATTTCTATGGGAGCCATCAACTGTAATGACTTCGATTTGATTAAAGGTGCATCTAAGAAAGTACAACTTCTTGGGGTCTTGCTCAGGAGGAATTTTTTCATTATTTTATTCAACAAATATTTATTGAGATCCTACTATGTGATAGGTACTATTGCAGGGAACATATGAATAAATAAAATTGAAAAATAAATCCTCAACCCCTCAGGGCTTACATTCAAATGAGTCCTTGACTATATTTGTAGAAGATGTTCCACTCACATTTTTCCAAGGGCTAGATAACATTCTGCCTCAGGAATAAACCCCAATTTTCCACTCTCAGAAGGGAGAAATGAGTTTTAAGTTTCATATGATCCTCCTCAAAAGAGTTTCCAAAAAAAATTTGAGGTCCATCTCTGTTGTGGGAAGTCAGGGACCCCGAATGGAGGGACCAGCTGAAGCCATGGCAGAAGAACGTGGATTGTGAAGATTTCATGGATATTTATTAGTTCCCCAAATTAATATTTTTATAATTTCTGATGCCTGTCTTTACTGCAATCTCTAAACATAAGTTGTGAAGATTTCAGGGACACTTATCACTTCCCCAGTCAATACCCTTGTGATTTCCTATGCCTGTCTTTACTTTAATCTCTTAATCCTGTCATCTTGTAAGCTGAGGAGGATGTATGTCACCTCAGGACCCTGTGATGATTGCGTTAACTGCACAAATTGTAGAGCATGTGTGTTTGAACAATATGAAATCTGGGCACCTTGAAAAAAGAACAGGATAACAGCAATGTTCAGGGAACAAAAGAGATAACCTTAAATTCTGACCGCCAGTGAGCTGGGCGGAACAGAGCCATATTTCTCTTCTTTCAAAAGCAAATGGGAGAAATATCGCTGAATTCTTTTTCTCTGCAAGGAACATCCCTGAGAAAGAGAATGCACCTCTAAGGGTGGGCCTCTAAAATGGCCCCCTTGGGTGTGACCATCTTCTACGGTTGAGACTGTAGGGATGAAATAAGCCCCAGCCTCCCATAGTGCTCCCAGGCTTATTAGGATGAGGAAATTCCCACCTAATAAATTTTGGTCAGACCAGTTGCTCTCAAACCCTGTCTCCTGATAAGATGTTATCAATGACAATGGTGCCCGAAACTTCATTAGCAATTTTAATTTCACCCTGGTCCTGTGGTCCTGTGATCTCGCCCTGCCTCCATTTGCCTTGTGAAGGCACGTGAAGTACATGATCTCTGTGACCCACACCCTATTCGTACACTCCCTCCCCTTTTGAAAATCCCTAATAAAAACTTGCTGGTTTTGCGGCTCATGGGGCATCATGGAACCTACTGACATATGATGTCTCCCCGGGATGCCCAGCTTTAAAATTTCTCTCTTTTGTACTCTGTCCCTTTATTCCTCAAACTGGCTGATGCTTAGGGAAAATAGAAAAGAACCTACGTGAAATATCGGGGGTAAATTTTCCCCAATATCTGGCTGAATTTCCCCCGATAATCTCTGCCACAGTTGCTTTTAATATTGACATTTATCCTGTGCACAGTGGCTCATGCCTGTAATCCCAGCACTTTGGGAGGCGGAGGTGGGCGGATCACAAGGTCTGGAGTTCAAGACCAGCCTGACCAACATGGCAAAACCCTGTCTCTACTAAAAATACAAAAATCAGCCAGGCGTGGTGGCAGCGCCTGTAATCCCAGCTACTCAGGAGGCTGAGGCAGGAGAATCACTTGTACCCAGGAGGTGGAGGTTGCAGTGAGCCGAGATCGTGTCACTGCAATTCAGCCTGGGCAACAGAGCAAGACTACATCTCAAAAAAAATTGACATTTAATATTGTATTAGATGAAAGTATTTAATGATGATATACATAAGCCTCCCTTCAAAGATACCACAAAGTAACCAAATAGCTTCTCCATCTTCATGCAGGATGGTGGAGCTGATAGGATTATACTGAGTTAAGTATTAATGGCCTTATATCAATTAAACATCACTGATGTCTTCTGGCTCTCAGCTTAACCAATGTGCAGCATATCCAGATGACATTGCCCTTGCCTCTCTCTAATGTGTGGTTAAGGGGCAGCTATTTTCCTCGGCAAAGTCCCCTTGATGAGTCCATGGTGTCACTGGGTTATCTCTGAGAGGTCATTGTTCTTCTTCCATCATAGGTCAGACTTGGCAGTGGTGAAATAAATGTTCTTGCTACATCTGTACACACATAATCATGAGCTGTTCTGAACACATACGTCATTTTGTGGATATGTGAGTGGATTCTCAAAACAAAAAACAAATAGGTCTTTTCAGCTTTCTGAGCTAGAAAAAACAATAAGTATGCTGCAACAAAGAGGATGATCCCAGGTCAAGTGCAGAAGTTTGTGTTGGCTGTGGGACTAAGTCACCCCCAGGATCCCTCCATCCTCAATAGACTATGATTCCAAGAATTATCCAGAGTCAGAAGCCAATGCTTTCAGTGTCTGAAGTGAGCATACCCATAAATATATATAGAAATCAATAGAAAGACTGTGAAGGGGAGAGATCAATTTTGCCCATGTTTAACCAAAGAAAAGACTGATTTGCATTTTCCCAACATCCTGTCACAATCTATAGCCCACTTTTACCCAACGTATGCAGAATTGCAAGAGACCATTTGAGTGATGTATTTCAGAGAGAACTTATTAGTGGTAGAAGACTAAGACATGAAGGCTAACAGTGACTCCATGATATTAACTCCAGCCCTATAACCAAGTGGGAAGTCTACAGATGAACGAAACTCCATCCATTATTTATTTACTTATTGAGACAGGGTCTTGCTCTGTTGTCCAGGCTGGACCACAGTCATGTCAAGTACTCTAGTAATGTCAGGTAGATGAGAAGACTGCCTGTTTTTATATTTTAATTATCAATCTGATGGTTTGCTTTTGGTATGTTAATATGTTTATATTATAAAGTATTATAAATTTGTTTATTTATTGTAACAGGGTCTTGCTCTGTCGTCCAGGCTGGAGTGTAATGGCTCTATCATAGCTCATTTCAGTCTCAAACTCCTGGACTCAAACAGTCCTCCTGATTCAGCCTCCCAAAGTACTGGGATTATAGGCATGAGCCACTGTGCCCAGAACCATAAATTATTGAATTACACCCTCTGACCCCCCCTCCACCATACAGCGCTAGATGAACAAATACCTAACTTCAGTTAGAGATGTTTCTTTTCTACACGTCTCTAACAGTAGCATTATGTACATGGTAATATAAAAAGGCAAAACAGTGCATGGTATAAAAAGTAAAAAAGTACAGGAAGCTCCATAGGATATAATACTTCCTACTGTAGGAATACAACTGAAATCCACTAATACCAAGTAGATGAGAAGACTACTTGTTTTTACATTTTGATTATCAATCTAGTGGTTTGCTTTTGGTTTGTTAATACATTGGAAAGCTGCATTGAGCTTGACAGTGATTGTGCTCGTTCTTATTCCCATCATACTCAGATAGACATTTTAAATTATGGTGATATGTCCATCCATCCAACACTGACAAGGAACAACAATGCCACCTGAATATGGAAATGAATACATTTTCCAAACAACTAAATTTTAGCCTAGCCAAATTGGAAACATGAAGAGCCTACTCTGAATGGAAAATTGTGACAGCCTGTTTAGTTAAACACGGGTGCTGAACATTGTTACTGCTTAATGTTCTCGGGAACTACTGAGATATGTAAGCCTGTGTATTCCCCTTTTAAACAACCTTCACACATGTTGAAGTGTGGTCCCGAACTGATGTTTTGGTGGCTGTTGTTGCCTTGTGTGCATTTTCACAGTTTTCTTCCTTGTAGTGGTTACTGCCTAAAGTACCACTTTTCCTGTTTTTCTCCAACCCCTTCTCATGTGTGTTTCTATTTTTAGTAAACCAGAAAACCATTTAACCAAACATACTAAGTGTTATATCTAGTCATATATAGAGTTGTGTTTGTTTGTTTTGAATCAGGGAACACTGAGATCCTGGTGAGAAGTGTGGACCCCTCTTCTCTATCCCCTACCTCCTCCCAAGCCATAATTCTATCTATAGTCTCAGCCAAATCCCTGACACCCATACATGGCCCCCAGTTTAGGAATTTCTGTTCTAGTATGGATGTTCTTTAAAGAACTAAAAATAGAACTTCCATTCCATCCAGCAATGCCACTACTTGATAATTATTTGAAGGAAAATAAATCATTATATGAAAAAGACACATGCACACACATGTTTATAGCAGCACAATTCACAATTGCAAAGATAAAGAACTAACCTAAGTGCCCATCAACCAAAGAAAATACGGTGTATATATACACCATGAAATACTACTCAACCACAAAAACTGACAAAATAATGTCTTTTGCAGCAACTTGGATGGAGCTGGAGGCCATTATTCTAAGTGAAGTAACTCAGGAATGGAAAACCAAATATTGTATGTTCTTGCTTGTAAGTGGAAGCTCAGCTATCAGGATGCAAAGGCATAAGAATGATATAATGGACTCTGGGAACTTGAGGGGGAAGGTTGGGAGGGAGGTGAGGGATAGAAGACTACATATTGGGTGTAGTGTACACTGCTTGGGTGACAGGTGCACTAAAATCTCAGAAATCACCACTAAAGAATTGATCCACGTAACCAAAAACCACCTGTACCCTCAAAACTATTAAAAAAATTTTAAGAAAGTATTTCTGTTGTAAAGCTCATGCATTTTGCCTATGTGAAATCCCATTAGGTTTTGCTGTCCAAGGTGAATCATTCTTTGATAGATCAGGAGGTTGAAGACTTCGGTTCTGTTGATAAATTTGACTCTTACTGCTATGACTTGGATAAG
Source organism: Homo sapiens (assembly GCF_000001405.40). Classification (NCBI taxonomy): domain Eukaryota; kingdom Metazoa; phylum Chordata; class Mammalia; order Primates; family Hominidae; genus Homo; species Homo sapiens. The sequence continues at coordinate 109,635,659 of NC_000009.12, forward strand.
TTTTTAACTACTCTAAACTTAAGTTTTTTCATCTATAAAATGATGATAATAAATAACTGTCCTATAGGATAATTGCAGGATGAATATAAAACAACATATAAGCAAGGAAATTGCAAATTTCAGACTAGAAGAACTTAGCCCAAGGTCCATGGACAAGGGATGAGCTTCAGAGCATCAGCAAATGCCCTGATATTTTCAGCAAAATGTGGGTTTGTGCCACCTGTGTGTTTTTCATCAGAAGTTTATGACCTCAAGAAAGTAAGAATAAGTGCTTCTAGCATGGACTTTATGATATCATTGTTTTGCTTATTTCCCAATTCTAAACTACATTTCAGATAGGAAGAGCTGTTAATTTACTGACTTCCAGGTTAGAGAGGCATTAATATGTACTTGGTGTGCAAAGGATCCTCAGTGAACTCAGCTTAATGAATTAACTATGATTTCACTAATTAACTAGCTAATGAATTAACTATTAGAGAATGTGTACCCATGTATCTGCATAGTCATACTCTGCTACTTTGTAGCTGATATGGTCTGAGTGTGTGTCTCCTCCAAATCTCATGTTAACATGTGATCCCTAGTGTTGGAGGTGGGGCCTAGTGGGAGGTATTGGATCATGGAGGTGGATCCCTCACGAATGGCTTAGAGCCATTTCCTTGGTGATGAGTGAGTTCTTGCTCTGTTAGTTCATGCGATATCTGGTGGTTTAAGAGTCTGGGACCGCTACTCTCTCTTGTTCCCTCTCTCTTGCTCCCACTCTTGCCATGTGATATACTGGCTCCCCGTTTGCTTTCTACCACAAGTGTAAGCTTCCTAAGACCTCACTAGGAGCAGAGGCCAGCATCATGCTTCCTGTACAGTCTGTAGAACTGTGACCCAAAATAAGCCTCTTTTATTGATAAATTACCCAGTCTCAGGTATTCCTTTATAGCAATGTAAATGGACTAACACCGTTAGTGATAACATATAGTTCACAAATAGACTAATGGATGTAGATAGCTATGCTATATTTACCAGTAGAATCTATATTATTTTAAGTAAATAAATAGATTACCTGGGCTAACATTCTTACTTCATTAACGAAAATAAACAAATTGGTCTTCTCAGTGTCTGTTATCTGTACTGGTTTCCTTTCTTCAAAGGGATATCATGAAGATAAATAAAGATATAGCTATTAAAATGTTTGAAATTTCAGGGAAAATTGCAATGTAATGAGGATGATGATGAGGATTAGCTAATTAGATTATTGTTTATTGAGTATCTACTAAGTACCAGACTCTGTTCTAGGCATTTAATACACTTTGTGTTTAATTTTCAAAACAACATTTAAAGATAGGTATTATTGCCCTCATTTTATAGGTAAAGAAACCTGAGACTTAGGTTAAGTAATAGATCCAAGTTCACAAAGCTAGTAAATGTAAAGCTGGAATTTTAATAAAAGTCTGTTTGACTCTACAGTCTGTTATTTTTTTTCTACAGTTAATATAGCAGAAAATATATTTGTGACTCTTAATAAGGCATAACCCAGCCCTATAAAATGAATTTTTCTTATTTTCCTATTGCATTTGAAAATTGTAATAGTCAGTCTACTAACTTTAAAAAACTTAGGATGTACCTAAAACTCAATTTAACCTTTATATTAAAGTTAAGAAATGCCCTTGAAAGGTTTCAGGCAGGGGGATGATATGATCAGATTAGTGTCTTTGGAAGTTTGCTCTGGCTGTAGGGTTGAGTGGGTTGCTTTGGATGTGACTGGGGGCAAGGAGGCCGAGAGAGGCTTTTTTAACAATAGCAATGGGGTTGGAGAGAAGTGAATGGCCTTGATGACTATTTAGAGGATAGCCTGGATAAATCTTGTTCATTGACTGGATATGGGAGGTCAGGATGGTTAGAAATCAAGACAGACACCCAGATTTTTGGGTGAGGCCTTACATCCTTTCTGGTATTAGGATAGGGGGCAGGTTATTAGGGAGAGATTTATAGGTGAAAATGACAAGTGCTTCTGGGACATACTGGGTTTGAGGTGTTTGTGAAGATGTTACAATGACCTTTGGGAATCGGTTTTGAAGTTTAAGAGCATGATCTGGACGACAAACTTAGTTTTGGAAGTCAGCATCATATTGGTGGTTAAGTTAAGCCATAAAAGTAGATGAAATTGCTCGAGGAGGGTATGTAGAGTGAGAAGTGAAGAGAATTTAGGCAAGAATCCTCCAGAACACCAAGATTTAAGAGACAAATAGAAGGGGTAGCTAGAGAGGTGTGGTACTGTGTTGTCACAGAAGACTGTTTCAAGATGGAAGGGATGACTCTAAATATTTACCCCAAAAAGAATACATTTATTCACATAAAGACCTGTACATGAATGTTTATAGCAGTTTTATTTCATAATTGCCATAAACTGAAAACAACAAATATTCCTCAAGTGGTGAATGGATAGACACATTGTGGTGCATCTGTACAATTGAAAGCTGTACTTATCAATGAAAAGGACCTACCTACCTATATACACAACATGGATGGATCTCAAAAGCATTTGCAATGTGAAAGAAATTGAACATGAAAGGCTACATACTGTCTGATTCCATTTATATGATATTCTAGAAGAAGCAAAATCATGAGAACAGAGATGAGACCAGTGGTTGCCAGAGGCTGGAGTTAGGAGGAGTGGATTGACTATGAAGGGACTTAAAAGAACTGTTTGGGGGTGATGGTCATGTAATATATTGACTATGGTGGTAGTTACATGATTGCATAATGTATCTAAACTCATAGGCCTGTACACCTACAAAGGGTGAATTCCACTGCCTATAAATTATACCTGAATAAACCTGACTTCAAGTAAAAAAATCAAAAACAAAAGGGAGCTGTTAAAATGTTCAACACAGCTTTAAAATGACATAAGAAGAGGACTGAGACATATCCATTTGGCATTGGGGACTTTACAGGGAGCAGTGGCAGCGGCATGGGGGAGGCAGAAGCCAGAACGCTAAGCATTGAGGAGAATGGCAAAGATTACTGGTTGTCTGTCCCCCATACCAATTTTCCCCTTCTTACATGGGAATGGAGGTCTCAACTTTTGGATAGGCTCATGACTATGCAGAGTAAAGACTTCTTTGTCTACTCTCCCTGGAAACTGAATGTAGCCATGTGACTGAATTCTGGCCAAGGAGATCTAAGTGTCCTGAGGCAGCTTCTGGGAGCCTTTCTTAAGAGGCATCAGGCGTGCTTCCTTTACCTACTTTTCTTTCCTCTTTCCACATTTATGTTGGCTGGAATGCAGACATAAGGGCTAGAGCCAGAGCAGCCAACTTGGACCATGAAACAATTTTAGGAAGGGAGACCACATATGATAGAGCAATGTTTTGTAGGAGCCTGGATCTCTTTGCTCTTTCAGGAGTTGAGCTGATAAACTGGCCCAGGACAGCTTATCTCTGAACTTTTAAGACACAAAAGCACATCTTTTTCCTGTTTAAGCCTCTTAATTATTCACACATGAACTTAATCCTATATGCAACTGGAAAGGGACATGGACTGGGGGAGGGTTTTATGATCTCCGAATTCACATAGAATTTCTCTGTGAAGGGAAACCTGGAGTTGATACAGAATTTCCTTCCACAAAACAGCTCTTTGAATCTTCACTGGGTTTGACTTTGCATCTCACTCTCCTGAGGAAAACGAGGAGCAGTGAATCCACTGAGAACATTTTGCACGGTTCTCTTCCCAGCCCCTTGACATATGGAGCAGTCTCCCATCTAGAGCCACCATACAGAGTTGACTGGCAGGAAAGCCCTAGCCCTGTGGCTTGCATATCTGAGCCCTCTCCCCTTTCAACCCCAGTCCCTCAGGAAGGCTTTCCCTGAACACCTACCTAGGCACATCCACTTCCCTTTTATTCTCCATCAAAGCATTTTTTTAAAAAAACACGTCTTTATTAAGACATAATTCATAGACCACAAAATTCACCCAGAGTGTATAATTCAATAGCTTTCAGTATGTTCAGTTGCACAATCATCACCAAAAATTAATTCTAGAACATTCATCACAGCATCTAATTACTTAATTTTTATAGCAATATTTTCAGCCTGTGACGATATGTTTATTTTTGTCTTTATCTGTGCTTTGCCTTTCTACTTTAACCCGTGAGCTCCTGCAGGGCAGGGACTGTGATGGCTATGCTTATGCTTGGTGCTGCGTTTTCAGCACCTGGCAGACACCGACTCACAGAGGGACCCGGCTGCAAGATAGAAGAAAAGCCTGAAGCTGTCCCATCTACTCTGTATTGTAGCAGGTGCAGGACACCTGGATGACAACCAGGTCCCTGCTCTGGAAACCGTTAGGAGTAGAGGATTCTCAGAGGGGGTGGAGGCAGGGTGTGCGTACTCCAGGTGGCTTATTACCGCGGGGCCGGGGCCGTGGTAATTTGGGAAACCATAGTCAATATAGCTATTGTTTTCAAATAGCAGACTAGGGAAACTGACCCTGGACAATGTCTTCCTGGCAGGCGGGAACACGCAGAATTTGGAGTGAAACGGAAAGGGGCATGGGGTCGCCAAGGTGGTGAAACGCCGCATTAAGGCGCTTCAAGATAGCTGGAGTTTTGCTTGGGAAACTCAGAGGGATCTCGCCCGGCCGGCACAATGGCGTTTCTGAACCCATGCCCAGCCCACTGGGGGCAGTCCTTGCTGCTTGCAGAGGCCAGACGCTTCTTGCAACTTCTAAGCGGCGAGAGCTGCCACCTTGCCAATGACTCAACCGTTTGCCTATGCCCTCTGGGCTGTGCCACCAGCCGCAGCCGCCCTGCTCCCCCACCCACCCTTCTCCCCAGGCTCCGCGCCGCGCCGCCAGTCCCAGGGGAGCCGCCGGCGCACCTGGCGCCTAGGGCGCACGGCACTGCGCGCTGGTGGGCACCTCACCCGACGCCAGCTGCCAGCGCGCTCCCTCCCCGAAACCCTGAAGTGGGGTGTCTTGTCTAGCGCCCAGCGAACAACATTATCCAATTGCTTCCCGTTTTATTCGCAGGCTGGGAGCTGAGAGAGCCTGAGCATTCACTTTCAACCCTCCAGGGGAGGAGGGGGTGCGGGTGGGGAGGGGAGACGGCTCCCAGCTCCACCTCGCGCGCGGCGCGGCCAGTGCACTCGGCTCCGGGAGAGGCGAGCAGCGCCGGTGAGCCCCGCAGCAGCGCACCCGGCCGCGGAGCCCCGCGATGGAGTGAGTATCCCCGAGCCGCGCCGCCAGCTGCTCTCCTCTCGGCATGTTGCCATGGTGACCGCGGCGGCAGGCAGATCCCGCTCGGGTCCGCGTCCAGGATGGGTGTTTAATTTCAGCCCCGTGTGTACGCCTGGTGTTTCTATAGCAGCCGCCGCGGCGGCAGGAGGCAAGGGGTGGGAGCCCCGGGTGGCGTGGTTTTTGCGGCTGCCCCTTGGCTAGCAGGGCCTGGGGGGCGAGTGAGGGGAGTAGATGATGTTGCTAAGGACGGAGGCATATTCTAGGCTTTCCTATCTCTGCCCCAAGCTTCCGCTTATCGGGGAGTTGGCCGCAATAGCCATGACTTCCGATTCCTAACCATGTCAGCATTATTGGACTGCAGTTAAAAAAAGAGGGAGGGGGTCACTGCGGATCGGAAGCAAACGCGGTTCAGTGTGAAGCGTGTAATGGAAGGATGAGTTAGTGGGTAATATGAGCCAGGGCTGCAATGTCCTGGCTACTAGAAACCATCAGAAGACCCAAAAGAATTGATTTGTTCCTGGGGTATTGGAGAAATAAGACAAACATATTGGCGGCAGCCCGGAGTGGAATTACAACGTTTGGCACCGTGAATACGGCATGGATGGGTGGGGAAGACAAGAGAGGCATTAACCAGAAAAGACATTAAATAAAGGGCTCCGGTTGTGGGTCTGGTCTAGGATTCCTCTCTTCTCTGTGTTTGCATCCCTACATTGCTTTTTGGACACTCTCTCGAGCTGCTGCCACAGCAGGACCACTCTGACAGGCGACAGCCAGCCACTCCAAGGAAGGGTCATTTTTGGAGCCAGCTATTAGATCCCGCTCACTTGGTCAGCTTCTCCTCTTCCGTTCTCTTCCCACACTACTCCTTGACATTGAGGCCGTCTGAAATCATATTTCAAGTTAGAGATAAAGTCATGTTTTCAGACATCAGGACCTTCGTACCAAACCCAAGAAACCTTAGATGCAGCCTTTATCCCTCTGCGTATCTGATTGTGTAGATGCAATTTAATCCTCAGAAAGGCTGCTAAAGCAGAAGTGAGAGATGGTGTAGCATTGTAGGAGTCACAGTCATGGATTTCAGGCCCCACCTAGCCTGATACTGCTGTTATTGATTTCCTACTCCAGCAATTGAATGTCTCTGAGCCTCAGTTTCCCTATCTCTGCAATGGAAACAAAGATGTTCCTTACTCACTTTGAAGCATTATTGAGAGGATCATGTAATATCTGTATCTCTTCCAAAGGGCTTTGTAAATTGTAAGATATGTACAAATTTAAGGAACTAGTGTCATGTTTAAGAGCTGGGCTCTAGAGTCAGATTGGCTGGTTTGAGGCTTCTGACACTTTGCTGAATGATGTTAATCTCCCTGGGCCTCATTTTCCCCATCTGGAAAATGGGAATAATAATAGTAACTATTTCATGTACTTTTTGTGAACATTAAGGAAGTTAATGATGTAAATTGATACATACACATATAAGGTTCTTAGAACAGAGCCTGGCATAAAATAAGCTCAATAAATATCATCTATTATCTATGAATATTATCTATTATTATTAGGTTGGTGCAACAGTAATTGCAGTTTTTGCCATTACTTTCAACGGCAAAAACCGCAAATTACTGTTGCACCAACCTAATACTACAGTCTACAGCATTTATTGGGGTTTCGGATTGGCACCAAGCTATTCTTCATTTTAGACAGGGTCTCACTCTGTCACCCAGGCTGGAGTGCAATGGCGCTATCATGGCTCACTGCAGTATTGACCTCCTGGGCTCAAACAATCCTCCCACCTCAGCCTTCTGATGGGACTACAGGCATGCACAACCATGCCCAGCTAATTTTTAATTTTTCATACAGACGGGATTGTCCTATGTTGCTCAGGCTAGTCTTGAACTCCTGGGCTCAAGCAATCCTCCTGCCCCGGTCTTGCTGGGATTATAGGTGTGAGCCACCATGCCCAGTCTTTTTTTTTTTTTTTTAATTTATAAAGAAATACATGGTGTGGTGGTTCATGACTGCAATCTCAGTGCTTTGAGGACAGAGGTGGTAGGAAGTCTTGATGAGCCCAGGAGTTTGAGAATGCGCTGAGCTATAATTGCACCACTGCACTGGGTGACAGAGCAAAACCTCATCTCAAAAAAAGAAAGAAAGGAAGGAAGGAAGGAAGAAGAAAAAGAGAAAGAAAGAAAGAGAAAGAAAGAAAGAAAGAGGGGGAGGGAGGGAGTGAGGGAGGGAAGGAAGGAAAGAAAGGGAAAGACAATGCCTGAAGGGCAATTGAGAGTAACATAATTCCCAAGATACCACTGTTGATGTGAGAACTAGCAAGAAGCCACAGCAGGCTTGGATATACGGAACAGACTCGGCCTGATGCACACTTCATTCTTGTTCCTCACTGTCATTTTCTTAGACATGGAGACTGTCCTTTACAAGAGACTGAACATAGATCTAGTCCTCTCACTGGGTAGCGCTAAAGGAGAGCCTGGTCATTTGCCAGGGCAGCAACTTTCATCTTTATGCTCTCACATGGATAATCTAATATTTGATATGTTTCTCCCAGACTTAGCACTTGGGTGCTCAATAACTGGAACAGCACACAGGATTGGTAAGTTTACAAAGGTCCTCAGCTTTTTCCCACATTCCCTCTGAGTCTCCTGGCTAAGGTTTCCTCCAGGTGTGCTAAGCTCACACCTGGAACTCCTTGTGAACAAAGACCTTCCTCATCACATTCTTCTTGCTCCACAGGATCCAAATTACTGCCTCAATTAGCCTCCTTCTCCCTAATCAACTTGGCCTCAGCTTTCCCATTCCCAAGCAACATTCCAAAGTTCTCACTTCCTGGTTAACCTTCCCAATTTCCAACTCTGTTTTCTGCCCTACTTCGTTTGCTTCCTTAATGTATTAGGCTGTTCCTGCATTGTTATAAAGAAATACCTGAGACAGGGTAATTTATGAAGAAAAGAGCTTTAATTGGCTGATGATTCTGCAGGCTGTATAGAAGTGTGGTACAGGAGTCAGCTCAGCTTCCGGTGAGGCCTCAGGAAGCTTTCAGTCATGGAGAAAGGTGAAGCAGAAGGCTGGCAAGTTGTATGGTGGGAGCAGGAGCAAGAGCAAGGGGTGGCGGGGGTGTCACAGACTTTAAACAACCAGATCTCAGGGGAACTCACTCACTATTGCGAGTGAACACCAAGGCCCCATCCCCAGGATTCACCCCCAGGACCAAAACACTTCCCACCAGGCCCCATGTACAACACTGGGGATTACATCTCAACATGATACCTGGAGGGGGACATCCAATCTACATCACTTAATATAGTGAGCTTTTTCTTTCTTTTTTCCCTTTTAGAATATCATCTTTTCCTGTCCCTCCTTGGGTCTCACAACATTTCCCTTGTGCCAAATACTGCCCCTACCCTTCAATCTAAACACTCCCCAGATTTCATCTCCGGTAGAAAAGCCCACTTTGAATATGAGTGAAATAGGGACTCCATTCCCCTTACTTACTGTAACCAACTTATATTTATAAACATTTATTAAAAGAGGGAATTAAATTCACTTCTTTTATGTTTTAATTTAACCAACAAACGTTTGTTGAGATTAGCACTGGTCAACAAAACAGTCATGATTCTCTTTGTCTGATGAGAGATAGATGTTAAATCAGTAAATATGTGTGTATACTGATTGAATTTCTCCTCAGAAAAGGGGTTTTTCTTTTCTATCACATTGTCAGGCTGCAAATTTTCTCAACTTTTATGCTCTGCTTCCCTTATAAAACCGAATGCCTTTAACAGCACCCAAGTCACCTCTTGAATGCTTTGCTGCTTAGGAATTTCTTCCACCAGATGCCCTAAATCATCTCTCTCAAGTTCAAAGTTCCACAAATCTCTAGGGCAAGGGAAAAATGCTGCCAGTTTCTTTGCTAAAACATAACAAGAGTCACCTTTGCTCCAGTTCCCAACAAAATTTTCATTTCCATCTGAGACCTCCTCAGCCTGGATTTCATTGTCCATATCGTTATCAGCATTTTGGTCAAGGCCATTCAGCAAGTCTCTAGGGAGTTCCGAACTTTCCCACATTTTCCTGTCTTCTTCTGAGCCCTCCAAACTGTTTCAACCTCTGCCTGTTACCCAATTCCAAAGTTGGCTTCACAGTTTTGACTATTTTTTCAGCAACACCCAACTCTACTGGTACCAATGTACTGTATTAGTCTGTTTTCATGCTGCTGATTAAGACATACCTGAGACTGGGCAATTTACAAAGGAAAGAGGTTTAATGGTGAACTCACAGTTCCATGTGGCTGGGGAAGCCTCACAATCATGGCAGAAGGCAAGGAGGAGCAAGTCACATCTTATGTGGAGGGCAGCAGGCAAAAAGAAAGCTTGTGCAGAGAAACTTCAATTTTAAAAACCACCAGATCTCATGAGACCCATTCACTATCATGAGACCAGCAAGGGAAAGGCCTGCCCCCATGATTCAATCATCTCCCACCAGGTGCTTTCCAACACATGGGAATTGTGGGAGCTACAAGACGAGATTTGGGTGGGGACACAGAGAGAAACCATATCACCAAGGTTTCCAATTTAAAATGAAACCTAGTGAAAATGAGGATACATAGTCATTTTTTTCACAAGTATTGTTGGTTTTAGTAAAATAAGAGCTTCTTAGTTTAAGAAAAAAAAAAAAACCCCAGCCATAAAAGAGAATAAAATCATGTCCTTTACAGCAATGTGGATGGAGCTGGATGCCATTATCCTAAATGAGCTAACTCAGAAACAGAAAACCAAATATTGCATGTTCTCATTTATAAGTGAGAGCTAAATGATGTGTACACATGGACATAAAGATGAAAATAATAGATACTGGGAACCTCAAAACAGGGAAGGGTGGGAAGGCACAAGGGTTGAAAAATTACCTATTGAGTACAGTGTTCACTATTTGGGTAATGGGTACATTAGAAGCCCAGTCCCCACCAGTATACAATATACCCATGTAACAAACTTGCGCATGTACTCACCTGAATCTAAAATAAAATAAAATTTACAAAAGGTCTATCTTGGAAAAGAAGAAAAGTCTAATTTCCACCTTAAGAGGCTAGAAGAGCAAACTAAATCCAAAGCAAGCAGAAAAAGAAATAAAAGAAAGAAAGAAAAATCTAGGTAATAAACAAGAAAAGAGGGTACTAACTGATTGAAGTTAAAATTTTTCTTAGTGACATGCTCTGTACTGGATGTGTAGAACAGAGAAGACCTACTGGAAAACCAGAAGGTAGGGTTGGTGTCATGTTCTGTACCATGTCAGTGTTCTTGTGTGGTACATGAAACATCAGGCAATGGCAGGTACTTGCTGCCCTCCTGGGTGGGTTGGGTATGAGATCCATGTGTTTGTAGGAATGCACTTTAACACCTGCAGTTATTAATTTGATGCCACACCTATAGATTTTGCCTCACACTTCTCTGGAATGGTCTTCAAAACAGTATGGGATCCAAAAGGCACAAAGAACATAACACGAGAACTCTAAGTTGTTGCGATCCCTGTAAGCCCTGGGGCTCTGACAATGTGGGTGGCAGCCTTGGACCAGAAGTGGCATTCCCCATCACCAGTCAGATGCCTGTTATCACATGGACTTAGGCTTATAGCATCCAGTGGTGATCATGAAACATCTGAAGTTTGATTCTGCAAATGAATAAATCTAGGTTCATGAAAGAATAAGTGCAGTAGGGACATTAAGTTACAGATAACTTAAGGTTCTTAACATATGCCTTCATTCATTCATCCAGTAACTCATTTAGTTAGCAAATATTTATTGAATACTTTCTATGTATGAAGCACTGTGATAGGTACTTGCGATAAATGGTGATTAAAAACATCCCTTACCCTGTCTTCAAGGAGCTTACGGCTTAGTCTATGTGTGACTATGGATACTTTGTGAGTTTGAACTATTTTTCTTGCTGAATCAGTCTTCTGATGACACAAAATGTGGCATTTCGTGTGCTCAGCATATGGTGGGCATTAAACAAATGTGTTTAGAAATGTGTAAGACTTTTAGAAGTTAATTTCTATGATGAAAGTAATGTATGCTTTTTAAAACAATTCAAATATTACGGAAGTTTATGAAGTAAATATCCCCATTTTCCATTCTCTCACTCATATCTCAGTTCCTAGAGGTGATTACCATGAACGCTTGGGAAACCTCTTTCCAGATATTTTCCATGCAAACATCATAGAGTTGGAAACACTTATATATATATATAGGTTTAAATATTTCTTTTACATAAATGAAATCATACCACATATGTTGTTCTGCAGCTTGCTTTTTCCACTTCATATTATATTCTACATACTTTTTCTTATCAATGTATGTCAGCCTGTGTAGCTCAGTGGTAAAGCACATGCTTTGAATATCAATATATACACATCTACTTCATTCACTTTTATAAAACTGCTTAGTATTTACTTTTGGAATATCATTAACCAGTTCTTCATGATGAAGAGTTAGACTTGTTTCCACTTTTTGCTACTATTTTCAATGCTACAATGAACATCCTTGTCCACACTGCAAATAAGTCTGCATACAATTTTCTAGAAATGAAATTGCTGGGTGAGTGAATATGCACATTGTGAATTTTGTTAGATATTGCCCAGGTGCCTCCGGAAGTATTGTATCCCTTTACATTGCCATTCATCATGTTTGAGAGCCCCTGTTTCCCCAAATCCTTGACAACCCTAGCCACATTATATATTCATATTTGAATATTTATGTTTGACTAGTCTAACTTGATGTACATCATCACTGTCAGTGGTCGTGGTCTGTGCTCTTGCTCTGTCTACTTGTCACTTTCTCAGAGAGCCCTAGTAAGCCACAAGGTGCAAATGTTCAGAAGACAGTGAAAATCACTTACAAAGACAAAGCTTAAAATATCTCATTGACTTTTAAAAGTGATCAAGTGATTGTTTTACAGTTCATCAAATTTAGACTTTATTGATAGATTTCTTACCTTAAAGTTGAGGAAATGAGCACATGTCACTTAGCCCCCCTTTTACCATTTGTTGCAGTTATAGTGTGATATAGTTTGGCTCTGTGTCCCCACCCAAATATCATCTCAAACTGTAGTCCCCATGTGTTCAGGAAGGGACCTGGTAGGAGGTGACTGGATTATGGGGATGGTTTCCCCCATGCTGTTCTCATGATAGTGAGTGAATTCTCACAAGATCTGATAGTTTAAAAGTGGCAGTTTCCCCTGCTCTTTCTCTCTGTCCTGCTGCCATGTAAGACGTGCCTGCTTCCCCTTCCACCATGATTGTAAGTTTCCTGAGGCCTCTCCAGCCATGCAGAACTGTGAGTCAATAAAACCTCTTTGTTTACAAATTATCTAGTCTCAGGTAGTATCTTTATAATAGTGTGAAAATGGACTAATACTTAGTGTTAGTTTTATGTTTTCAAAGTTTTTAGCATTTGCAAATTTGAACATAATTCTCTTAATTCATTCAATCGACGGATTCTTTTTGAGTGCCCTTTTCATCCTAGGCACTGCTCCAAGCACTGAGAATACAGCAGTAAATTGTCAAAGAGGCAAAGGAGCTTATATTGTGTTAGAGGAGACAGACAATACATATATTACATATATACTTTGTCAGGAAGCAATAAATGTTAAAAAAATTAAGCACATTAGGAGACTGGAGAGTGATGGGAGGGTTATTTTTGATAGTGTCATCAGGGAACAGGTTTCTGACTTGGTAAGTTTGGATAGAGACTTGAACAAGGTGAGGGGATGAGACATACAGAAGAAGGAAGAGCAGTTGCAAAGGTCCTGAGGCAGGGCCATGCTTTGTGGGCTCAGTGTTAGTCTTGGATCTAAATGCAGTCAGAACACCACCAGCCCTTTCATCAATGACATCCTCTTTTTTGAGCATCTTATAGGTTGATTTAGTGTTTAGTTAAAAGGGTTTGTTTTCAAACAGGGCCAAAGTGTATTAAATTCTAAATGCCTGTTGGTTGTTTCTATGAACAAACAAGTTGAATGTGTATAAAATTATAGAATCATGTTTTTAGCCCCTCATAATTCTCCAAGATGTCATTCCATTGTGTTCTGGCATTGACCCTTGCTCTGGGAAGGTCTGAGGCTAGACTATTTCTTCTTTGTAGATGGCTTGCCTACTCCCATCCCTCCCACTCCTGCAATTTTTTTTTTTGGCTTTGATGCTGATCAAGTTATTTTTAAACACTGAAAGTTTGGTAACTTCTCTTTGATATTTCTTACTGTAAGTCATTGTGTTGTTGTTTTTTTTTTCTGGAAAATGGTAGTTCCTTTGTTCTGAAGAGTCATATTTTCCTTTATTTTTTTGTAAAGATATTTTCCCTGTGGCTTTCAATTGAAGAATCTATTTGTTCTGTTATCTACCACAGGGACATCTATTACCCATTGCTCTCCATAACTATTAATTCTGAATTTTTCTCATTTTTTTCCTGATGTTCCTATGAGTTTCCTTACATTTAAAAGTCTGTCATGTAGATAGTTGACTCTCTTTTTAAGCAGCAGTTTCTAAGTAGGGCTCACTTCTGAAATGGTTTTATGGTTATCTTCAATTTATTTTCTGGCTTGGCTAGCACATTTTGCACTTTTTAAAATAAAGAGTTCATGTATCCAATTTTTTTGAATGTATGGAGAGTAGTTTATCAGAAAATTATCTGTATTTTTTGGGCTATTTTTCTGAAATGTATTTATCTGCCATTTGCTGGTAACTCATTTTTATAAAAATAATAACTCTGCATATAGAATCTATGCATGTTAATGGCTTTGCATTTATTATCCATTTCCAAATAGAGGTAATTCTATCCAAACCTACTATTTGCCCAAGAATAGGTAGAGGGGATGGAGACAGTGATTTGGGGGAGACATTAGCTTTGGATTGGATATTTTGTCTCATAAAAAATTCTTACAACTCTGCAATATCTTCTGTTCAAAAAAGTTGTGTAGAGAGTGAGCAGATCATTCAGACAGATCACATATCCCAGCTTACTGAGTGTGTGTGAGTTGCGGGAGGGTAGACAGATTTTTGGTGCTTTACCACTACTTGATGACTTGGTTTAGCATTTATGAAGAGAGTGGCAGGGCAAATCGACTACAAAGGTAATTGCTCTTTTCCTTCTATTTTCCTACATCTCTTGCCTTGAGATGATTCCTCCATGTTAAGGTTTTCAGTTTTCGGGTTTTGCAGATAATAAACATTAAGGATTCACACAGTAGTGCCATCGGTGTCACTTTCTCCATCAGTTCACTCTGGTAGGGAACCAGCCCCTTCACACAGATGTCCCCCACGTTTTGCCAGTTCTCACCACCAAACATTGGGCCTTTGTGTACTCTCTCCTTACTTAGAGAGAAATTTGAAAGCCAGTTAAGATCTGTAGAGGACTATATCACCTTTTAGGGTTGTCCACTGATTTAATAAAAATTATACTCTGTTTGGCAGATAATTCTTATAGCTTGTGATTTGAGAATTGTAGCTCTTTGCTAGTTTCATAGTAGATCAATTTATTCATTTATTTATTTGTTTTTTAGAGATGAAGACTTGCTCTGTCACCTAGGCTGGAGCATAGTAGCACAATCAGAGCTCACTGCAGCCTTGAATTCCTGGGCTCAAGAGATCTTCTTGCCGCAGGGCCCAAAGTAGATGGGACTATAGGCATACACCATCATGCCTGGCTAATTTTTAAATTATTTTCATTTTTATTAGAGATAGGCTCTCACTAAGTTGTCCAAGTTGGTCTCAAATTCCTGGCCTTAAGCAATCCTCCCACTTCAGCATCCCAAAGTGCTGGGATTATAGAGGTGAGCCACCATACCTAGCCTCACAGTAGACACAATTTTCCTTCCAATTTTTCCTTCTTTTAGTTCATTTCAGCGGCTTTGAGGGAAGCACAGAGAAGACTTTACCATATCTTTGAGTTAATGAATCAATGAATCTTGTGTTTCTACGAAAATAATATTAGTAACTACCAAATGTCATTGTTATTAACAAATCTGTTGTTATTATATATCTTTATTCTCTCTCAATTCTTAGGAATGTGTATGGCAAAAAAAGAGTTCATGAATGAGATTATAAATACTTTGCAGTAGAAGTATTTTGGAAAGGGTGTATCTGGTGATGTTCTCCATCTCATCCTTCAAATCCATTTTCTACCCTTCCCTGCCTATGTGCCTCATGAGGCTGTGCTTTGTGCCCTGTGAGGCTGACCTCTATGGACTCCCTCAGCTTGCCTCTCTTACTCTTTGACTTCCTGTTGAGTTGGCTCAATGGAAGGCACCAGCAGGAGAACCATGGATGAGAGAAAATTGAGGTCAGTGTACGGTTTAATCTATGGTTTCTCTTCCTACAGGGCAGTGGGTTGGCCAGGGCATCTTTCCTCTTCTGAAGGCCACAGCAGCCCTTCCTACTGCTACAGCTACAGCTCTCTCCCACTGCTGGTAGCCACTTCCTTCCTTTGCTCCTCTGGGACTTGATGTGGCGATGGCTCCCTTATCACTTTGTTAGCCCCTGGGTGCTTCACCATTGCTGTGGGTTACTGTCAGCTCTGCCTTTGCCTTTGTAAAGCAGTCTCTTTATTAAGATTATTTCAATTATCCAGTTGGAGTATGCCATCTGCTTCCAGCTGGGATCCTAGCTCACACAGCATGTGAGGATAGAAGCACTGAAAGTCTTATGAGAACCCTTCTTATTGCCGGGATGGAATCTGGTGATTTCTGTTTGTTCATACATTCTGGTCATTGGACCTCAAGGTTCCAATATAGGGAAGAGATATTGAGTGTTGTTATGTGCACACTCAAATATTTAAGAAGGAGACACTCCTATTCCACAGATATCAAAGTGCTCATTTACTTCCCACTGAAAGATGTCATTTTCTTATATATAACTTATAATAAAAATTCCCCAAATTTGATGCCTTAGAGGGAAGACCAATCTCAGTTATGAGTAGGCTTAATCAAAATTTTATTTTATTTAAAGAAATGAAATCTCATTTCTCTTCATTATAGGAAGGAACATTCCTGGTCGAAATTCTGTTTTTGTAAATAGGTCTTTATAGTATTTGATGTGCTATTTAAAAATGTGATAATTTAACCTATTAATAGTACATAAATGGATGCTACCTAAATTACTGCCAAGTCAATTAAGTCTATACCATCATGTGTAATCTTTTTCACAGATAGTACAAAAGCATAAAATATAGTGTAATGAAAATGTGTGTTTCACAAGTTCTGAATAAATGGGTTATAAATTAAATATATCACAATCCACTGACTTTTATATAGTATTTTGATATAGTTTGGATATTTGTCCTCCCACCCAGATCTCATGTTGAAATGTGATCCCCAGTGTTGGCAGTGGGGCCTAGTGAGAAGTGTTTGAGTCATGAGGGTGGATCCCTCATGAATGGCTTGGTACCTTCCCTGAAGTAATAAATTAGCTCATGCAAGAGCTGACTGTTTAACAGAGCCTGGCACCTCCTCCCCTCTCTCTTGCCATGTGACACTCCTGCTCCCCTTCACCTTCTGCCGTGAGTGGAAGCTTCCTGAGGCCTCACCAGAAGCAGATGCTGGTGTTATGCTTCTTGAACAGTCTGCAGAACTGTGAGCCAAATAAATCTGTTTTCCTTATAAATTACCTAGTCTCCAGTATTTCTTTATAGCAATGCAAAAACAGACTAATACATATCTCATACTTGAAAAGTCAGTTGTTGTTTAGACTGCTTGCCCTACTTTTAATACTTCAATTTCTCTGTCAATCATGTTTATTTATTAATTCATTCAACTCATAATTATTAAGTACCTGGTATGTGCCAGACACTTTTATGGGTATCTGTGGTACAAATAGGAGTAAGACATTGTCTTTGCCTTCATAGGGGTCACAATCTAATGAGAAACATAGTTGGTCAGGTAATTATAATAAAACATGGCAAGTGTTTATTCAAAGGAAAGGTTTGATGGAATACTATCTGTCAGAGGCACATAGCCTTGGGGCAGGAGCCTAAATGAATTTTAGGAGTCCAGGGATTCTAAGATGAGGTCAAAATCCAAGCCTATTTCATAGCCCTTGAAATTAATTTAGCATAAAAAAATCTTTAATGTTTGGACTAGTCATCTTACAACTGGTTAAGTCATTTACTTAAAAAATTAGCAACCCAAATCCTGTATTAAAACTAGTTTGAATAACCGACTTAACCTTCAACTCTTTTAGTTTGCACTATGACTAATGCTGCCTCCGTGATCATGGGTGAGGCAGCATTGTGGAGAATGCCTGCCCCCTTGAGGAATCAGAAACTCAGCTTTCAGATGATGGTGCAAAGTGGGATCACAAACAAAATGAAACAAAAAACAAAGAACAAAAAGGAAACAACACAAAAACCAAAACAGAACAAACAAAACGATATGAAGATTTGGTGGGCACTGCTAAACCCTTTGTAGATACTTGGTTTTAGTCACGTTTGCTGAGATCACATCGAAAGCCTCTGAACCTCTGAAAGGCATTAAAAGTTGTCCCACTGCACCTATGAGCCATCCAGAGAAACGTTAAATAAGTTGGTCCAGAAACACTTTTGAAGTCCTCCATCCTTTCAATACTTTTCTTACTTCTTTGCTTCTGAGCGGGAGGTGCAGCATTTAAAATCAAAGACATTAATAATAAGGTCTCATTTCCTAAGACAGCATCTTTCCCACTGCAATGTGCATATGAATCATTTGGGGTCATGTTGAAAAGCAGATCCTGATTCTGTAGATAGGGGGTGTAGTTGGGGGGTTCCTGTGTTCCCAACAAGCTTCCCAGGAGGTGATGCTGATGCTGCTGGTCTGCAGACCACACTCTGAGTAGCAACATTCTCAGTGCAAATATAGAGCACAGGGCTTTATATAACACAAGATGTGGGTGTGGGGTTCCTCATCCTTTTACATTTCCCATCCTAAGACAATCTCATAGTAGGCGAGTCTGATGATGAATTGGAGTTCAACAATCTGTGTGTGGAACAAGTAAACACACAGAGCAAAACCTGGCTCTTCATTTTAATTGGCACAACTTAGCAGTTACATGTGGATAGGCAAAGTCTCTATTTTTTGGGAAATCAGAATGGGGTAGGGGTTAGCCAATAAGTGTATATGAGATAGATAAATGCAATCTTATCTTTTAAAATATGATTTGAAAATTTTGTGGTCATAAATAATTTATATCCTAAAAATATTCTTCTTTGGTCAGTCCTTTAATATTTTAAAAGTAGTGAATCTAATTGTTTATGGCCTCATGTGGCTGTAAGCCATAATATCTTGGTATAAATCTCTAGTTATGATTATATGGATATAATATGAATATGATGTGTTAGGCCCAAGAAGCTCGTGGTATTCCATTTTCTGAACAAGATCAATAAACTCTGGGATCCTTACTATTAAAAGCAAGGGAAAAGCAACTTGTTTTGTAAAAGATAATTCAAACATGTTAGTAAGTTGTGTTTTCATTTATGTGAGATGAGAATTATCTCCAAAACTCTTTCATTGTAATGGGAGCTAAGCTTTATAAAGACAATGCATATTTGTTAATTAGACTGCACAGAACAAGGTTCAGTTATGGATTCTTGATTGCTTGGTAAAATGATGGCTCTTCAAACCTAATTACATTTGGGTGAGCTAAAGCACAGTTCTGAAGGACTCAATATGTTCACTCCCAGCCTTCATCAGCTGTACAATTTGCTTTCCTGTTAGTTTTACTTTAGATCTTGAAATTAAAAGCATTTTGTTATATCAGGATGGTGTGTCTATGACTTCAGTGCAAGTAGAGGAGGAGTGTTCTACCCTGGAATAACACAAATTAGAGGTGCCTGTATGTATGTGTATGGTGTGTGTGTGTGTGTGTGTGTGTGTGTATATGTATTAAACTTCATGCTTTTTAAAGCCTCCTTCTAAAATGCCATCTTTCAGATGTGCCTATCTGTGTCTTATTTTGGTAGTTTTTCTTTTCTTTCCCCATTCAACCGTCTCTTGGGAATTAGAAAAGGATTCCTAAGATCAAAATCCCCAATTTTCTGGAAAAGCTTTGGCACTTGTTACTCTCTCCCCACATTTTCCTGCTTCCTAAGATTGGTCAAGGGCAGGGGCCGGGCGCGGTGGCTCACGCCTGTAATCCCAGCACTTTGGGAGGCCGAGGCAGGTGGATCACGAGGTCAGGAGATTGAGACCATCCTGGCTGATGGTCTCAGGGTTTCACCATGTCTCTACTAAAAGTACAAAAAAATTAGCCGGGTGTGGTGGCGGGCGCCTGTAGTCCCAGCTACTCGGGAGGCTGAGGCAGGAGAATGGCATGAACCTGGGAGGTGGAGCTTGCACCGCGTGAGCCGAGATCGGCCACTGCACTCCAGGCTGGGCGACAGAGCGAGACTCGGTCTCAAAAAAAAAAAAAAAAAAAAGATTGCTCAAGGGCAGCCATAGGCCCTCTGGGTGACAAGGAACAGAGATTTATATAGTCCATCTTACAAAATATGGATAAAGGGTCTCTTTCTCTCTATATATATGTATTTTGTGTGTGTGGTAAAATATACATAGCATAAAATTTACCATTGTAACCATTTATAAGTGCATAATTCAGTGGCATTAAGTACATTAACCATGTTGTGCAATCATCACCATTTCCAGAACTTTTTCATCATCCCAGACTGAAACTCTCTACCCATAAAACATCATCTCCCTATTCTCCCCACCCCCTACCCCCCATTCTACTTTTGGTTTCTGTGAAACTGCCTACTCTAGGTGCCCCATATATGTAGAATCAAACACTATTTATTCTTTTGTGTCTGGATAATTTCACTTTGTGTAATGCTTTGAAGGTTTATCCCTGTTGTAGCCTGTGTCAAAATTTTATTCCTTTTTAAGGCTGAATAATATTCCATTGTATGGCTATACCACGTTTTATTATTCATTCATCTATTGATGGACATTTGGGTTGTTTCCCCCTTTTGGGTATCATGAATAGTGCTGCCATGAACACTGGTGTACAAGTATGTGTTTGAGCTTTATATTCTTTTGGGCATAAGGGTTAATAGATATTTATTGAAAGCCTATTATGAGCCAGTACAGTATTTTCTAGAAGTTGAGGCTATTGAGGAAATGGACAGCATCCCAGCCCTTGTATAAACACAAGAATGATAAATAAGCAATTCTAGATACCAATAAAATCCTACCAGAAAAAGAAAATTTAAAAATGGGTTAGAGTATCTGACGTTGGGGCAAAAAGTGGGTATGGGCAACCTCATGTAACATAGGAGGAAGGAGAGCTCCAGGCAAAAGGAATGGCCAGTGCGAAGCCTGAGCTAGAAAGGGCGCCATGGTGGTGGAAGGGGCTCGAGGGTGGTGACTGGGGGAGATGCTGGGGGAGAAGAGGTCAGAGGCTAGGTCAGCCAGACCTTCTAGGCCACTTAGGTCCAGGTGTCACAAGGCTCAAAGTTTATGCAACTTTGAAGGCCCTTGCAGAGGAAGAATAAAAACATATCTTCCTTTTGCAAACTTTACAAAAACATGCCCATCCCTTGAAAACACATTACTAGGTCCCTTCCAGAGTTTTCAGGGGCTCCAAGTGAGGGGCCGTGGCTCTTAAGCTTCAGTGGGTCCACAGTGATCTGTCTCTGAGTGCTGTAGCAAGAGTCTGGCTTTTGTTTAGATGATGAAAGGAAACTATTGGGGGATTTTAAGCAGAGGAGTTACACAATCTGATATGTAGTTTAACAAGATGGTTATGGTTGTTGTGTGAAGAACGGGCTGTAGAGGGCAAAGAGGAATTAGGGGATGAGAGGAGGCTGGAGACCTGTTGCAGGTGAGAACTGAAGGGTGTGATTGATGGCTGTGCCAGTCCGGATGGTGAGAAGTGGTCGGATTTCACAACAGTCTCTGAGGAGAGAATTCAAAATTGGTACTGCTAATGATGGCATAATAGACAAACACACTGTGATATTGATGAGGAGGATTCTTCCTTTCCTTTCATCTTAGCCTCCTCAAGCCTCTGGTCTCACCATTATATTGTAGCAATATTGTCAATCATTTGAGTTTAGGAGCTAAGAGGTCCCTCCCAACTATATTGAAGCTGTATGATGTTCACCTTGGCTACAGTCAACACTTATTTCTCAAATGAAGTTACATTGCCTTGTGGCTAAAAGCTTTGACACTGAAAAATGTATTCTCTGTAAAAGAGATGTCAGTGTATCATATTAAAGGTCAGAGATGCCCCAGGGTCAGAATCTCTGTGGTCCTAGCCAAACATTTTGTAAGAAAAAAATTCTCAACCACTGTGAGATTGTTTCAGATTCAGGAGCAAAGCAACCATTTGTCATTTGCAATTTATGATATTTTGCTTCTTCAGGCACCAGCCTGATGGCCTTTCATCTGGACCATGAAATATCATGACTGATTGGTTTTTTGAGGAGGGAGAATGTTCACACTTTTCAAACCAGCACATCTGGGGGCTAAGAAGGAAGCTTTGCTTGGGAGGAATCAGCCAGTTGTTTAGTGTGGTGGCTTTATGTTTTCTGAGAACAAAAGCAATATGGTATTTGTGTGTGTGTGTGTGTGTGTGTGTGTAAAATCAATGGAGGGTCTTGGGAGCAGGGGAGACAGAGGGAGAGAAATACAGCGGAAGAGAGGATGACAGAGAGAGAGAGACAGACAGACAGAGACAGAAAGAACATACCCATACTGTGTAAACACATTTCTAGGAAACAGAAACGGAAAGACAGGTTGATTGCCTTGAGGGAGCGAGTTGGTATAGTTAAATGATAGGGTTTGGGGGTTTGAATCCTCAGAGAAGCTCAGGTAGAGGCAATGATAGTTGGGTGTTTGCTGATGAGCAGAAGGCTAGGTAACTGAGTGCTAGAACCTAAGCTCTCCCTGCTCATAGCAGTTTTTCTTTGGGTCTCAGGATGTCAGGCAAGAAGTGAGGATGGCTGGGAGCTAGGGAGTGGCATGTCATCCCTGGGGAGATGAGAAAGGGTCAGACTTGGTGTAAGTTTTGGAGATTGAGCTCACAGATTTGTGTGTGTTTGTGTGTGTGTGTGTGTGTGTGTGTGTGTGTGTGTGTCAGGTTGTATGTATATTGTGGCAAAAAGAGAGGACTCACAGAGGAGGCCAAAGTATTTTGGCTTGAGCAGTAGGTAAATGATGTGCAATTTGCTCAAATAGGGAACCCTTGTTTGGGGGTGGGAAAGTAAGATTTGGTTTGGGAGCGTGTTAAGTTTGAAATGCTTATTAGACATTCAGATGGAAATGCTGAGAGGGTGGTTGGCTGTATGAGTCTTGTGTTCAGGGAGGTTCAGGAGTTCAACTGGGGAATCGTTAGTCCATGGATGGTGTTTAAGGCCATGGGATGAATGATATCACTTTGGTATTGAGTGTAGGTAGTATAGACAGAGACAAGATTCAAGTTGATAGGCAGAAGTTTCTAGTATTCTGTAATCAGGTTT
This sequence comes from Homo sapiens, assembly GCF_000001405.40. Taxonomy (NCBI): domain Eukaryota; kingdom Metazoa; phylum Chordata; class Mammalia; order Primates; family Hominidae; genus Homo; species Homo sapiens. Next base: position 109,658,358 of record NC_000009.12, read on the forward strand.
TCATTCCCTGTATCAATATAGCCAATTTTATAAATATCCCTTCTGACCTCTCCAAAAATCTTATAAAGATATAAAGATAAATAAATAATATGTTCATGTCTCAAGGGAATTTAGGAATAATGAGTTTAGCACATGAGTGTCCGTACATAATAAAAAACTCTTAGCAAACTAGAAATAGAAGAAAGTTATTTTATTAGTTCACTTACATACTGCTGATAAAGACATACCTGAGACTGGGTAATTTATAAAGTAAAAGAGGTTTAATGGACTCACAATTGCACACGGCTGAGGAGGCCTCACAATCATGGTGGAGGGCAAAAGGCACATCTTACATGGCAGCAAGCAAGAGGGAGAATTAGAGCCAAGTGAAAGGGATTTCCCCTTGAAAAACCATCAGTTCGTGTGAGACTTTAATATGGTTGCTAGATACATGATGAATATAAAAAATCAATTTCATTTCAACAGTCCCATAATAAGTAGAAAATCTAATTTTTAAGAAAAAATACAATTTCAGTAATAACAAAATCCGAAAAGTACTTATAAATAAATATAGCACAAACTTGCAGGACCTTTATGTGAAAAAATAAAGTTTAGTACATTTACAGATTGTTTAACTCCATGTATCTCTACAGAAGGTTGCCTTTGAGAGTAAATAAAGCAAATATCTTCCAAGCAAACATGAACTATGAATGGAAAAGATATTAATGCTCAATCTTTCATCATTATGTCCACCTCCAAATACATATTTCATATCCTAAAAATGGTAAAAATGCTATGTAATGGGATTTTTTTGTGTGTGAAGGAGGGATTGCTTCAGAGAATAGGTTAAACCAAACTAAGCAGAATTTTTAAACAGCTTTTTTGAGAGATGATTTAAATACCACACAATGAATCCATTTATAAAGTGTACTGTTCAATGGCTTTTAGTGGTGTATCCACAAAGTTGCCCATAAAGTCCATCCACAAAGCCATGTTGCCCAGGCATCCTTCATCAAAATCAATTTTAGAACACTTTTTTAAGCCCAAGAATCCCCCCTACTCCCTTACCCACCCCCTCCCAATACCCTATCTTTCCAGCCTTAGGCAGTCACTAATCTACTTTCTATCTATATAGATTTTTAAATTCTGGACATTTCGTATAAATGGAATAACACAATACGTGGTCCTTTGTGACTGGCTTCTTCCACTTAGCATAATGTTTTCAAGGTCCTTCTACACCATAGTATATTATCAGTATTCCAGGTCTTTTATTGCTGAGTAATATTTCAATGTATAGTAGAATTTTATAAACATTTAACACTTTGCAAAGATGTGAGTCAGCTCTAAGTAAAATGATGTATCCATAATTATAAATTAGATTGTTTTCTAACTAAAATTCATATTGCTCCACTAAAAAACTTTTTATAGAAAATTCAGATAAAATGCTTACACAAAGCATACAACTGTGCATTAATACAAATACAATAAGTGCACTTCGAAAAAACTTTTTATTTATTTTTTTGAGACAGAGTCTTGCTCAGTTGCCCAGGCTGGAGTGCAGTGGTGTGATCATGGTTTACTTCACCCTTTACCTCTCAGGCTCAAGTGATTCCCCTCCCTCAGTATCCCAAGTAGCTGGAACTACAGGCATGCACTACTGCACTCAGCTAATTTTTTGTAGAGATGGTGGTCTCGCCATGTTGCCCAGGCTGGTCTCAAACTCCTGGGCTCAAGGAGTCCTCCCATGTTGGCCTTCCAAAATGCTGGGATTATAGGTATAAGCTACTGCACCTGACCCAAAAACAACTCTTTCAGAAAAATGTGTGGCTTCTTGAGATACAAACCCTAGCAAAGTATCTTTTTTAAAATTATTATTATACTTTAAGTTCTAGGGTACATGTGCACAACGTGCAGGTTTGATACATAGGTATACATGTGCCATGTTGGTTTGCTGCACCCATCAACTCATCATTTACATTAGGTATTTCTCCTAATGCTATCCCTCCCCAACCCCCCCAACTCCCGACAGGCCCTGGTGTGTGATATTCCCCACCCAGTGTCCAAGTAATCTCATTGTTCAGTTCCCACCTGTGAGTGAGAACATGCTGTGTTTGGTTTTCTGTCCTTGTGATAGTTTGCTGAGAATGATGCTTTCCAGCTTCATCCATTTTCCTGCAAAGGACATGAACTCATCCTTTTTTATGGCTGCATAGTATTCCATGGTGTATATGTGCCACATTTTCTTAATCCAGTCTATCATTGATGGACATTTGGGTTGTTTCCAAGTCTTTTCTATTGTGAATAGTGCCGCAATAAATATACGTGTGCATGTGTCTTTATAGTAGCATGATTTATGATCCTTGTCAAATGGTAATTCTAGTTCTAGATCCTTGAGGAAACCCCACACTGTCTTCCACAATGGTTGAAATAATTTACACTGCCATCAACAGTGTAAAAGCATTCCTATTTCTCCATATCCTCTCCAGCATCTGTTGTTTCCTGACTTTTTAATGATTGCCATTCTAACTGGCATGAGATGGTATCTCATTGTGGTTTTGATTTGCATTTCTCTGATGACCAGTGATGATGAGCATTTTTTCATGGGTCTGTTGGCTGCATAGATGTCTTCCTTTGAGAAGTGTCTATTCATATACCTTGCCCACTTTTTGATAGGGTTGTTTTTTTCTTGTAAACTTGTTTGAGTTCTTTGTAGATTCTGGATATTAGCCCTTTGTCAGATGGGTAGATTGCAAAAATTTTCTCCCATTCTGTAGGTTGCCTGTTCATTCTGATGGTTGTTTCTTTTGCCATGCAGAAGCTCTTTAGTTTAATTAGATCCCATTTGTCTGTTTTGGCTTTTGTTGCCATTGTTTTTGGTGCTTTAGACATGAAGTCCTTGCCCATGCCTATGTCCTGAATGGTATTGCCTAGGTTTTCTTCTAGGGTTTTCATGGTTTTAGGTCTACCATTTAAGTCTTTAATCCATCTTGAATTAATTTTTGTGTAAGGTGTAAGGAAGGGATCCAGTTTCAGCTTTATACATTTGACTAGCCAGTTTTCCCAGCACCATTTATTTAATAGGGAATCCTTTCCCCATTGCTTGTTTTTGTCAGGTTTGTCAAAGATCAGATGGTTGTAGATGTGTGGTGTTATTTCTGAGGCCTCTGTTCTTTTACATTGGTCTTTATATCTGTTTTGGTACCAGTACCATGCTGTTTTGGTTACTGCAGCCTTGTAGTATAGTTTGAAGTCAGGTAGCGTGATGCCTCCAGCTTTGTGCTTTTTGCTTAGGATTGTCTTGGCAATGTGGGCTCTTTTTTGGTTCCATATGAACTTTAAAGTAGTTTTTCCCAATTCTGTGAAGAAAGTCATTGGTAGCTTGATGGGGATGGCATTTTGAATCTATAAATTACTTTGGGCAGCAAGGCGATTTTCAAGATATTGATTTTTCCTGTCCATGAGCATGGAATATTCTTCCATTTGTTTGTGTCCTGTTTTATTTTGTTGAGCAGTGGTTTGTAATTCTCCTTGAAGAGGTCCTTCACATCCCTTGTAAGTTGGATTCCTAGGTATTTTATTCTCTTTGAAGCAATTGTGAATGGGAGTTCACTCATGATTTGGCTCTCTGTTTGTCTGTTAATGGTGTATAAGAATGCTTGTGATTTTTGCACATTGATTTTGTATCCTGAGACTTTGCTGAAGTTGCTTATCAGCTTAAGGAGATTTTGGGCTGAGATGATGGGGTTTTCTAAATATACAATCATGTCATCTGCAAACAGGGACAATTTGACTTCCTCTTTTCCTAATTGAATACCCTTTATTTCTTTCTCCTGCCTGATTGCCCTGGCCAGAACTTCCAACACTATGTTGAATAGGAGTGGTGAGAGAGGGCATCCCTGTCTTGTGCCAGTTTTCAAAGGGAATGCTTCCAGTTTTTGCCCATTCAATATGATATTGGCTGTGGATTTGTCACAAATAGCTCTTATTATTTTGAAATATGTTCCATCAGTACCTTGTTTTTTGAGAGTTTTTAGCCTGAAGCGCTGTTGAATTTTGTCAAAGGCCTTTTCTGCATCTATTGAGATAATCATGTGGTTTTTGTCTTTGGTTCTGTTTATGTGATGGATTACGTTTATTGATTTGTGTATATTGAACCAGCTTTGCATCCCAGGGATGAAGCCAACTTGATCATGGTGGATAAGCTTTTTGATGTGCTGCTGGATTTGGTTTGCCAGTATTTTATTGAGGATTTTTGCATCGATGTTCATCAGGGATATTGGTCTAAAATTCTCTTTTTTTTGTTGTGTCTCTGCCAGGTTTTGATATCAGGATGATGTTGGCCTCATAAAATGAGTTAGGGAGGAGTCCCTCTTTTTCTATTGATTGGAATAGTTTCAGAAGGAATGGTACCAGCTCCTCTTTGTATCTCTGGTAGAATTCAGCTGTGAATCTGTCTGGTCCTGGACTTTTTTTGGTTGGTAGGCTATTAATTATTGCCTCAATTTCAGAGCCTGTTATTGGTCTATTCAAAGATTCAGCTTCTTCCTGGTTTAGTCTTGGGAGGGTGTATTGTCCAGGAATTTATCCATTTCTTCTAGATTTTCAAGTTTATTTGCGTAGAGGTGTTTATAGTATTCTCTGATGATAGCTTGTATTTTTGTGGGATTGGTGCTGATATCCCCTTTATCATTTTTTTATTGCATCTATTTGATTCTTCTCTCCTTGTATTTGATTCTTCTCTCCTTTCTTCTTTATTAGTTTGGCTAGCGGTCTACCAATTTTGTTGATCTTTTCAAAAACAAGCTTCCGGATTCATTGATTTTTTGAAAGGTTTTTTGTGTCTCTATCTCTTTCAGTTCTGCTCTGATCTTAGTTATTTCTTGCCTTCTGCTAGCTTTTGAATGTGTTTGCTTGCTTCTCTAGTTCTTTTAATTGTGATGTTAGGGTGTTGATTTTAGATCTTTCCTGCTTTCTCTTGTGGGCATTTAGTGCTATAAATTTCCCTCTACACACTGCTTTAAATGTGTCCCAGAGATTCTGGTACACTGTGTCTTTGTTCTCATTGGTTTCAAAGAACTTCTTTATTTCTGCCTTCACTTTCTTATTTACCCAGTAGTCATTCAGGAGCAAGTTGTTCAGTTTCCATGTAGTTGTGTGGTTTTGAGTGAGTTTCTTAATCCTGAGTTCTAATTTGATTGCACTGTGGTCTGACAGACAGTTTGTTGTGATTTCTGTTCTTTTACATTTGCTGAGGAGGGCTTTACTTCTAATTATGTGGTCAATTTTATAATAAGTGTGATGTGGTGCTAAGAAGAATGTATATTCTGTTGATTTGGGGTGGAGAGTTCTGTAGATGTCTATTAGGTCTGCTTGTTGCAGAGCTGAGTTCAGGTCCTGGATATCCTTGTTAACCTTCCATCTCATTGATCTGTCTGATATTGACAGTGGGGTGTTATAGTCTCCCATTATTATTGTGTGGGAGTCTAAGTCTCTTTGTAGGTCTCTAAGGACTTGCTTTATGACTCTGGGTGCTGCTGTATTGGGTGCATATCTATTTAGGATAGTTAGGTCTTCTTGTTGAATTGATCCCTTTACCATTATGTAATGGCCTTCTTTGTCTCTTTTGATCTTTGTTGGTTTAAAGTCTGTTTTATCAGAGACTAGGATTGCAACCCCTGCCTTTTTTTTGTTTTTCATTTGCTTGGTAGATCTTCCTCCATCCGTTTATTTTGAGCCTGTGTGTGTCTTTGCACGTGAGATGGGTGTCCTGAATACAACACACTGATGGGTCTTGACTCTTTCTCCAATTTGCCAGTCTGTGTCTTTTAATTGGGGCATTTAGCCCATTTACATTTAATGTTAATATTGTTATGTGTGTATTTGATTCTGTCATTATGATATTTGCTGGTTATTTTGCCCATTAATTGATGCAGTTTCTTCATAGCATTGATGGTCTTTACAGTTTTGCCTGTTTTTGCGGTGGCTGGTACCGGTTGTTTCTTTCCATGTTTAGTGCCTCCTTCAGGAGCTCTTGTAAGGCAGGCCTGGTGGTGACAAAATCTCTCAGCATTTGCTTCTCTGTAAAGGATTTTATTTCTCATTCACTTTTGAAGCTTGGTTTGACTGGATATGAAATTCTGGGTTGAAAATTCTTTTCTTTAAGAATGTTGAATATTGGTCCCCACTCTCTTCTGGCTTGTAGAGTTTCTGCTAAGAGATCTGCTGTTAGTCTGATGGGCTTCCCTTTGTGGGTAACTCAACCTTTCTCTCTGGCTGCCCTTAACACTTTTTCCTTCATTTCAACCTTGGTGAATCTGACAATTATGTGTGTTGGGGTTGCTCTTCTTGAGGAGTATCTTTGTGGTGTTCTCTGTATTTCCTGAATTTGAGTGTTGGCCTGCCTTGCTATGTTGGGGAAGTTCTCCTGGATAATACCCTGAAGAGTGTTTTACAACTTGGTTCCATTCTCCCCATCACTTTCTGGTACACCAATCAAATGTAGTTTGGTCTTTTCACATAGTCCCATATTTCTTGGAAGCTTTGTTTGTTCCTTTTTGCTCTTTTTTCTCTAACTTTATCACTTCATTTCATTAATTTGATCTTCAGTCACTGATACCCTTTCTTCCACTTGATTGAATCGGCTATTGAAGCTTGTGCATGTGTCACAAAGTTCTCGTGCCAAGGTTTTCAGCTCCATCAGGTCATTTAAGTTCTTCTCTACAGTGTTTGTTCTAGTTAGTCGTTCATCTAATCTTTTTTCAAAGTTTTTGGCTTCCTTGCGATGGGTTCGAACCTCCTCCTTTAGCTCTGAGAAGTTTGTTATTACCGACCTTCTGAAGCCTCCTTCTGTCAACTCGTCAAAGTCATTCTCCGTCCATCTTTGTTCCATTGCTGGCAAGTACCCGCGCTCCTTTGGAGGAGAAGAGGCGTTCTGATTTTTAGAATTTTCAGCTTTTCTCCTCTGGTTTCTACCCATCTTGTTGGTTTTATCTACCTTTGGTCTTTGATATTGGTGACCTACAGATGGGGTTTTGGTGTAGATGACCTTTTTGTTGATGTTGATGCTATTCCTTTCTGTTTGTTAGTTTTCCTTCTAACAGTCAGGTCCTTTAGATGCAGGTCTGTTGGAGTTTGCTAGAGTTGCACTCCGGACACTGTTTGCCTGGGTATCGCCAGCGGAGGCTGCAGAACAGCAAATATTGCTGCCTGATCCTTCCTCTGGAAGCTTTGTCCCAGAGGGGCAGCCGCCTATATGAGGTGTCTGTTTACCCCTACTGGGAGGTGTCTCCCAGTTAGGCTACGTGGCGGTCAGGGACCCACTTGAGGAGGCAGTCTGTCCGTTGTTGGAGCTCAAATGCTGTGCTGGGAGAACCACTGCTCTCTTCAGAGCTGTCAGACTGGGACGTTTAAATCTGCAGAAGTTGTCTGCTGCCTTTTGTTCAGCTATGCCCTGCCCACAGAGGTGGAGTCTAGAGACAGTAGGCCTTGTTGAGCTGCAGTGGGCTCCACCCAGTTCGAGCTTCCCTGCTGCTTTGTTTACCTACTCAAGCCTCAGCAATGGCGGATGCCCCTCCCCCAGCCAGGCTGCTGTCTCACAGATCATCTCAGACTGCTGCGCTAGCAGTGAGCAAGGCTCCATGGGTGTGGGAGGTGCACAGCCAGGTACGGGAGAGAATCACCTTGTCTGCCGGTTGCTAAGACCTTGGGAACAGCACAGTATTTGGGCGGGAGTGTCCTGTTTTTCCAGGTAGTCTGTCATGGCTTCCCTTGGCTAGGAAAGGGAAATCCCCTGACTCCTTGAGCTTCCCTGGTGAGGTGATGCCCTGCCCTGCTTCGGCTCACCCTCTGTGGGCTGCATCCACTCTCCAACCAGCCCCAGTGAGATGAACCAGGTACCTCAGTTGGAAATGCAGAAATCACCCATCTTCTGCATTGATCATGCTAGGAGCTGCAGATCGGAGCTGTTCCTATTCGGCCATCTTGGAAAGCCCTCACAAAGTATCTTTTTAAATGCAGTTGGAGGTCTTTTGTGCCTCTTTTTGATGAATCTCAATTTGGAAAAACAACTCTTAAATGCTTTCTGTATTTTTCATTAAATGGAAGGGTATAGGAAGGGTATAGGCCCAGGTGAATGAATGAAAATGCTCTTATACTGTTATTTTACACAGAAACCAGAGATGATATCACAACCAGTTAAGCTTATTTCACATTTGTTGATTGTAGAAAATTTCACTTCTCTCCCACTCTCAGTTCTGGTGGGCTGACTCCATGCTTTATGCCGTTGCTCTTGGTTCTAAATGTCCAGGCTCCCACTTGCAATTTGGATTTGCCATTACAGGTGTCTGCTCCTTATGGGTCTGGCACCCTTGTTAGCAGAAGCCTTGGGAGTCAGCAGAAGGCTCCCAATGAATAACCAAGCTGGATTACCAGAGGAAAAAAACATAGCAAAAGCTGGACAAAGGTGGTGACCCAGAGAAGAATCAGGCATAAGAGCCAGCCCACCAAAGAAGCACAACAGGAACAAAGCAGTTAGATGTGTTCTGTGTGTGCAGGCGACAGAAGCAAGCAACAGAAACCAGCTCTGCATAACTTGTGCAGAAAATAAATGTTTAGAAAGGATGTTGGGGACCTAACAGCCCCCTTCCTAACAGAAGGAAGTGGTGAACATCAGTCTTTGGAAAAGACAGAAGCGAAGGCAACTGCAGGCATCTAAGTACCAGGATTCAGTGGACAGTTCTTCAAGGACCCACAGCTGGAATGAACAACCTCCAACCATGCTCGTATTCTGAGCCACTCAATTGAAGATTCATAGGCCCTCCTCTGGAATCAGAGGGAGAGTGGAGGAGAGAGAGAAATAGGAGAACAAGGAAAATGTAAGCTATGTTGCTGGAAGAAAAGAGAATGATGACAGATAGATAAAAAGAACAGCTATCCCCTAAAGGAAGACACAGACACCACCCTACTGACACCCAGAGATGACCTGAACGAGTACCTAGCTGTAGGCTAGGCCAAGATGTTTTTCAAAAATTACTTTTGGATTTTTTTCTAATACAGAAAGACAGGACAGACCTAGGCCCGAAGATCTACACCAGAGGTCATGGTTCAATAATTTTATTCTAAAAGCAAAACGAAGGAAACAAACAAGCAAGACCTTTTAAACGAATGTAACCCAGCTGGGCGTGGTGGCTCACGCCTGTAATCCCAGCACTTTGGGAGGTCAAGGCAGGTGTATCACTTGAGGTCAGGAGTTCGAGACCAGCCTGGCCAACATGGTGAAACCCCATCTCTACTAAAAAAAATACAAAAATAAGCTGGGCATGGTGGCACACACCTGTAATCCCAGTTACTCAGGAGGCTGAGGTGAGAGAATCACTTGACACTGGGAGGCAGAGGTTGCAGTGAGCCAAGATGTTGCCACTGCACTCCAGCCTGGGCATTGGAGTGAGACCCTGTCTCACACAAATAGCAACAACAACAATAAGGTAAATATAACCAGAAGCCTATAGCTCAGGATAGGTTAGTTGTAAAATATAAACAAATGAGGTAATATGCATGGAATTATTGGGAATACCTTTGAAAATGATGGCTTTGGTTTTTTTTTTTTTTTTTTTTTTTTTTGAGACGGAGTCTCGCTCTGTCGCCCAGGCTGGAGTGCAGTGGCGGGATCTCGGCTCACTGCAAGCTCTGCCTCCCGGATTCACGCCATTCTCCTGCCTCAGCCTCCCAAGTAGCTGGGACTACAGGCGCCCGCCACTACGCCCGGCTAATTTTTTGTATTTTTAGTAGAGACGGGGTTTCACCGTTTTAGCCGGGATGGTCTCGATCTCCTGACCTCGTGATCCGCCCGCCTCGGCCTCCCAAAGTGCTGGGATTACAGGCGTGAGCCACCGCGCCCGGCCGGCTTTGGTTTTAAAGTAATTGAGCTACATATCCCTCTGCCAACAACTAGAGAGAAAAGATGGAAACTCACTACTAATCTGTTTATAAAACTGTCATTTGCATATAGAGGAAAACTTAATTTGCTGTTTCTTTCTAGCAGGAGGGCTTACAATTAGCTCATCCCAAAGAGAAAGGAACAAAACACATTCTTGTTTTATCCCACTGGAAAATATCATGCTCTCTGTTAGAAGCCTGTCAAAGCATAACTCAGACTTTTAGTCAGAGCACAGCTGAAGCTTAATCATATGTATTGGGAGATTAATTATGTATAGATTGTGTGTCTGGGCAAAGGCAAAGCAGAGTGCAGGATACATAAAAGGAAAATCCATTGTCTGGGGCACATAGAGTCTGTCTGTCTCTGTCTTTTTTTTATTTGGTCTGTGGGCAAACTGATTAGCCAACCAACACTATCAAGAAGGTATATGATTAGGGAAGGCAGTTTTAGTTATATGAGGGCTTCCAGAGAGTGTTGTGATTTCAGGTTGGAGGGTATACGATGTTATTTGTCTGCTCTCTTTCCATTGGTGCCTCCACCTTGGTTAGACAAGGTCTGCACCATTTTCTGATTGTGTCTTAAGACCTGTCCCTAGACCTTGACTTTCCAGGTAGCACTAAGGTGCAGATTCCATGTGATCATCAACAGCTGGGACCTATCTTGATACTCTCAAAGCTTAGGTCATCACTGATTTTCATTCCTAAAATTCTATGGGGTGGAAAAGTATAAACCAGAGATCATGGGTAATATCATTGCCTCAAGTCTGCTTAGCACTGGAATGGAAGATTTGGCTTGCAATCGATGAAGAAAACTCACCTATACTTTAGGGACGTAGAGGTAAGCTTAAACACAGGTCTACATTTGTGGAGGGTAAAAGAACTGCCCTTTTCACTATTAAGTAGGATTTTAGTTGTAGGTTTTTCATAGGTACTCTGTATCATCTTCAGAATGTTCTCATTTATTCCTAGTTTCCTGAAAGTGTTTTTTTTGTTTTTCCTTTTTTTTTCAATGAATACATGTTACATTTGTCATATACTTTTTTCTAGATCTAATGAGACAATCACATGGATTCCCTTTGCTAATATTCTGTCAGGCTTCTTTATCTATGTTCGTGAACAAATATTGTTGTAATTTTTTTTCTTATAATGCCTCTATCAAATTTTGGTTCAGAGTTATGTTGGCATCATAAAACTAGCTGGAATGGGGTGTCTTCCTCTTTTATTTTCTGAAAGAGTTTAGGTTGAAGTGCTATTGTTTCTTCCTTAAATGTTTGATAGAAATCACTAGTGAAATGATCTGGATTGAATTTTTCTTGGTTGAAAGGTTTCTAATTACAAATTCAATTTATTTAATAGATATAGAACTACTCAGATATTTATATTTCTTTTTGTATTCTTTCAATAAGTCGCATTTTTCAGGAAATTTTTGGTAATATCATCTACTTTTTAAAATTTATTGACATAAAGTTTTTCATAATGTCCTCTTAATCTTTTTAATGTGCATAGGAATCTATACTGATGCCCCCTTTCATTCCTGATATTTGTTTTGTTTCTTTTCTATTAATTTTAAGAGATTTATTAACTATTCCAAAGTACCAACTTTTGTTTTTATTGACTTTTTTATTGTTTATCTTTCATTTTCATTCTTTTTTTTATTTTTCTTCTATGTATTTTGGGTTTAATTTTTTCTTTAGCTAGCATCTTAAAAACTTAGGCCATTCAAACATCTTTTTCCTTTTCTAATATTAATATTTCAAGTTATACATTTCCTTTTAAGTACATTAGATGCATGCCACAAATTTTGATTTGTTTTATTTTAGCTGTCATTTAGCTTGAAATATTTTATTTTTTTAAAAAAACTTTTGATTTCAGGGGTACATATGCCAGTTTGTTACATAGGTAGACTTGTGTCATGGGAGTTTGTTGTACAGATTATTTCATCACCCAGGTATTATGTCTAGTACCCATTAGTTGTTTTTCCTGATCCTCTCCCTCCTCTTACCCTCTACTATCCAATAGGCCCCAGTGCGTGTTGTTCCCCTCTATGTGTCCATGTGTTCTCATCATTTAGCTCCCACTTATAAATGAGAACATGAGGTATTTGGTTGTCTGTTCCTGTGTTAATTTGCTATGGATAATGGCCTTCAGCTCCATCCATGTCCCTGCAAATGACATGATCTTGTTCTTTTGTGTGGCTACATAATATCCCATGGTGTATCTGTAACACATTTTCTTTATCCAGTCTACCATTGATGGATATTTAGGTTGATTCCATTTCTTTGCTATTGTGAATAGTGCTGAAATGAACATATGCATGCTTATGTTTTTATAATAGAATGATTTCTATTCCTTTGGGCATATATTCAGTAATGGGACTGCTGGGTCAAATGGTGTTTCTGTCTTTAGGTCTTTGAGGAATTGCCACACTGTCTTCCACGATGGTTGAACTAATTTACACTTCCACCAACAATGTATAAGGATTCCTTTTTCTCCACAACCTCACCAGCATCTTTTATTTTTTGACTATTTAATAATAGCCATTCTGAATGGTGTGAGATGGTATCTCATTATGTTTTTGATTTGCACTTCTCTAATAATCAGTGATGTTGAGCCTTTTTCATATAATTGTTGGCCACATGTATGTCTTCTTTTGAAAAATGTCTGTTCATGTCCTTTGCCCACTTCTTAATGGGGTTGTTTGGTTTCTTTTCTTGCAAATTTGTTTAAGTTCCTTATTTATGCTGGATATTAGACCTTTGTCAGATGCATAGTATGCAGAAATTTCTCTGATTCTTTAGGTTGTCTGTTTACTTTGTTGATAGTTTCCTTTGCTATGCAGAAGCTCTTTAGGTTTAATTAGATCCCACATGTCATTTTTTTGCTTTTGTTGTCTTCATCATAAAATCTTTGCCTGTGCCTATGTCCTGAACATATTGCCAGGTTGTCTTCTAGAGTTTTTATAGCTTTGGGTTTTACATTTGTCTTTAATCCATCTTGAGTTAATTTCTGTATATAGTATAAGAAAGGGATCAAGTTTTAATCTTCTGCATATGGCTGGCCAGTTATCCTAGCACCATTTATTGAATAGAGATTTCTTTCCTTATTGCTTGTTTTGTCAGGTTTGTTGAAGAACGGATAGTTGTAGGTGTACAGTCTTATTCTTGGGTTCTGTATTCTATTCCATTGGTCTATGTGTCTGTTTTTGTACCAGTACCATGTTGTTTTGGTTACTGTAGCCCTGTAGCATAGTTCGAAGTCAGGTAGTGTGATGCCTACAGCTTTGTTCTTTTTGCTTATGATTGCCTTGGCATTTTTGGTTCCATATGAATTTTAAAATAGTTTTTTTTCTAGTTCTGTGGAGAATATCAATGATAGTTTAATAGGAATAACATTGAATCGGTAAATTGTTTTGGACAGTGTGGCTATTTTAATGATATTGATTCTTCTTATCCATGAGCATGGAATATTTTTCCACATGTTTGCATCATCTCTGATTTCTTTGAGCAGTGTTTTGTAGTTCTCCTTGTAGAGATTTTTCACCTTTAACACAGTTAGCTGTATTCCTAGGAATTTTATTATTTTTGTGGCAATTGTGAATGGGAGTGCATTTCTGATTTGGCTCTCAGCTTGACTGTTGTTGGTGTATAAAACTGCTAGTGATTTTTGCACATTGATTTTGTATCTTGAGATTTTGCTGAAGTTGTTTATCAGCATCAGCTTCAGAAGCTTTTTGGCTGAGACTATGTGGTTTTCTAGCTATAGGATCATGTTGTCTGCAAACAGGGATAGTTCAACTTCCTGTCTTCCTATATGGATGCTCTTTATTTCTTTCTCTTGCCTGATTACCCTGCAGGGACTTCCACTACTACATTAAACAGGAACGGTGAAAGAGGGCATCCTTGTCTTGTGCCGGTTTTCAAGGGGAATGCTTCCAGCTTTTGCCCATTCAGTATGATATTGGCTGTGGGTTTGTCATAGATGGCTCTTATGATTTTGAGTTGTGTTCCTTCAATACCTATTTTACTGAGAGTTTTTAACGTGGATCAATGTTGAATTTTATCAAAAGCCTTTCTGTATCTATTGAGATAATAATGCGGTTTTTGTCTTTAATTCTGTTTCTGTGATGAATCACATTTATTAATTTGCATATGTTGAACCAACCTTGCATCCTAGGGATAAATCCTACTTGATTATGATGGATAAGCTTTTTGATGTGCTGCTGGATTTGGATTGCCAGTATCGTGTTGAGGATTTTTGCATTGATTTTCATCAAGAATATTGGCTTAAAGTTTTCTTTTTTTGTTGTTGTATCTCTGTCAAATTTTGGTATCAGGATGATGCTGGCCTCATAGAAAGAGTTAGGGAGAAGTCTCTCCTGCTCATTTTTTGGGAATAGTTTTAGTAGAAGTGGTACCAGCTATTCTTTGTACATCTGGTAGAATTTGGCTATGAATCCTTCTGGTCCTGGGCTTTTTTGGTTGGTAGGCTGTTTATTACTGCCTCAATTTCAGAGCTCATTATTAGTCTGTTCAGGGATTCCATTTCTTCCCGGATCAGTCTTAGGAGGGTATATGTGTCCAGGAATTTATCCATTTCTTCTACATTTTCTAGTATAGGTGCATAGAGGTGTTCATAATATTCTCTTGGTGGTTTGTATTTCTGTGAGGTCAGTGATGATATCCTCCTTGGTGTTTCTGATTGTGTTTATTAAATCTTTTCTCTCTTCTTTATTAGTCTAGCTAGCAGTCTATCTATTAAGTTTTTCAAAAAACCAACTCCTGGATTTGTTGATCTTTTGAATGCTTTTTGTGTACGTGTGTGTGTGTCTCAATCTCTTTCAGTTCAGCTCTGATTTTTGTTATTTCTTGTCTTCTGCTAGATTTGGGATTCGTTTGCTCTTACTTCTCTAGTTCTTTTAGTTGTGATATTAGGTTGTTAACTTGGGATCTCTCTAAATTTTTGATGTGGGCATTTAATGCTATAAATTTCCTCTTAACAATGACTTAGCTGTGTCCCAGAGATTCTGGCATGTTGTATCTTTGTTCCCGTTAGTTTCAGAGATCTTGACTACTGCCTTAATTTCATTATTTACCCAAAAGTCATTCAGGAGGAGGTGATTCAATTTCCATGTAATTGTATGGTTTTGAGTAAATTTCTTGGTTTTGATTTCAAATTTGATTGCTCTGTAGTCTGAGAGACTGTTACGATTTCAGTTGTATTGCATTTGCTGAGGAGTGTTTTACTTTTTATGTGACTGATTTTAGAGTATGTGCCACGTGGCAATGAGAGGAATATATATTCTGTTGTTTTTGGTTGAAGAGTTCTGTAGATGTCTGTCATTTCCATTTAATCGAGTGCTGAGTTTGGATCCTGAGTATTTTTGTTAATTTTCTGTCTTGATGATCAGTCTAATATTGTCAGTGGGGTGTTAATAGTCTCCTACTATTATTGTGTGGGGACCTAAGTCTCTTTGTAGGGCTCTAAGAACTTGCTTCATAAATCTGAGTGCTCTTGTGTTGGGTGAATATATATTTAAAATAGTTACATTATCTTGTTGAATTGAACCCTTTACCATTATGTAATGCCCTTCTTTGTCTTTTTTGACCTTTGTTGGTTTAAAGTCTGTTTTGTCAGGAACTAGGATTGCAACCCCTGCTTTTTTCTGTTTTTCATTCACTTGGTAGATTTTTCTCCATACCTTTATTTTGAGTCTATGTTTGTCATTTCATGTGAGGTGAGTCTCTTGAAGACAGAATACCAATGGGTCTTTCATTTTGATAATTTCTTTTGACCTGTGTTTGAGTTCAGTGGTGTTTTTCTTCTGTACTGTCCAGTCTGCTGTTAATTTCATTCAATGAATTTTTGGTTCCAGATACTTTAGCTTTCTGTTCTAGGATTTCTTTTTTGTTTTTTTGTTAGATTTCATATCTTTCCTAAGTTTTCTTATCTTTTTATTCATCATATCCATATATGCCTATAGATTCCTTGACATACTTAATATAGGTATTCTAAAGTCCTTATTTGCTAATTTCAATATCTGAGTCATCTGTAAGTCTGTTTCAGTTTACTATTTTTTTCTTTGTGGCTACAGGTCACATTTTCCTTCTTTATATGTTTAGTGATTTTTAATTATATGCCGTACATTAAAAATAATATATTGAGGAGACCTGGGATTTATCTTCCTCTGAAGACTGTTGAACTTTCAGGCAGTTAAGTTACTGGTGGCCTCCCTTAACTTTGTGGAGGGTTGATTTTGGGCTTTGTTAGACTGTCCTAAACTGATGTTGCTCTTAGGCTTAGGGTATACTTTCTTCTAATGTGTGGACCTTTTGGGGGTTTAATGGGAAGTCCAAGGTGTTCAACAAGTCCCTTTATATAGGTAATTGGCAAGAACATATGTAATTATATTATGGGGGAGTCTTGCCACATAGGCTACTTTCTATTCCATTTAGGCCCTAGGCTTGGCTTGTTTATTTGTTTTAATCACATATGTTTTTAAGAAACATTTATAAGAATATGAATAAAATAAATATTACCTGAATAGAGGAGATCCCGCATCTTAAAAATCAAATATAGATAGTCCCTGACTGATGATGGTTTGACTTATAATTTTTTTTACTTTATGATGGTTCAAAAGCAATACTCTTTCAGTAGATATCATACTACAAGTACACATATAACCACTCTGTTTTTCACTTTCAGTATAATACTCAATAAATTACATGAGATACTCAACATTTTGTTATAAAATATTCTTTGTGTTAGATGATTTTGCCCAAATGTAGGCTAATGTAAGTATTCTGAGCATATTTGAAGTAAGCTAGCCTAAGCTATGATGCTTGAGAGGTTAGGTGTATTAAGTGCATTTTTGACTTACAATATTTTCACTTATGATGGGTTTATTGGGATGGAACTCTGATGTAAGTAAAGGAGCGTCTGTATTTTCTGACCCAAATAGAAAACTTATCATGTTCAAATTTGGTGGGTGAATGCAAGCCCACTGCTCTTTCAATTGCTTTATGTTTTATTTGTAATATTTTCAAACATCTTAAGCCCATTATCTATTAAAAGACACTAAGATACTTAAATTTTCTTCTGAAAATATGTGTATATCTTTCTGGCTGTTAATTACCAATTTTGGTGATTATTGATAAGCTATATATTGGTAGGCTAAATGCCAATCTAATATAATAATTGGAAAAGTTCTGAGTAGGCAAAAGTTGCCTCCATACTTGTTTGGCCATGGTTGGCATACGTATTTAGTTTTTTAATCATCTCTTTTTCTTTTTACTACATATTAACAAAATGTCTCCTCATTATGTTAGCAGAATCCTGCCTATTATTTAGGCACAGAGTTATTCAGCTGTAACATTGCAGTCAACTAGGTGTATTTCTACTTTAGCATCCCTATCATCATTGTTTTAATTATAACATTTGTTCTTACAAAGATGTTCATACATTTTTGACAGGAACATTTTCCCATCAGACTTTTCTTAGTCCATACTGTCTCCAATTATGCCTGGACACAAGTGGGCATTTTGCGTACCTCTTCTCCAGTTGTGCTAGTCAACACTTACCTATGCCTTGTCCCCCTTTGATGACTGTTTACCTTTACCACATTTATAGAAATTTTTCAAATGATGATGGAAAACTGCCACATTAAATGGTATCCTAAGAGCTCTTAAAGAATGCTAAATTTCTTAATAAAATATCGAAAGATACCAAAAACAAAAATTTTCAACATCCCAAATTGAGACAAATGACCTATTGTTACCTTCTAGAAGGAATTTTCACTAATTATAGTCAATGGAGTTGGGTAGAGAAAAGTAGTCAGGGTCTTAACCATGCTCTGCTTCAGGAAAAGAGAACAGCTTCACATTCCTTAAAGAGGTAGAGCAAGAGTTCCTCACTTCCTCACGCTCTGCTCCTTCATCTGTATTATTCAAAAAATTGGGCAGCTTTATCTCTATTCATTTCAAGGCATGTATTCTATGATCTTGTATTATACTAGAAGAAAATAGGGAGGAATTATTGTTTGTCCACTGTAATCTTGGAGTGTAGCTAATGAGAAAAGTAGTCCAGGACGAGGAAAAGAGAGTAGCGTAGATGGAGGCACCTTAATGAAGATAGGGAACATGGGATGGAAGAGCAAATTTGGATGAAATATGATTACTTCAGTTTTGTATATACTGTGTTTTACTGCAATCATTGAGACTTGAGGCACTTCACATTTTATCATCGTTGAGACTTTTCATATAGAATCAGGTGAAATTATTGGTAGGAACTTGGCCAGTTGAATAGACTTTAAGGTGGAAGTGATATGGATTTGGAAAACATGTCATAGTTGAAACCATGGATATAGATGAGAAAAGAGAAAAGGGCTTGCATAAATCCCCAAGATGCACCAACTTTAAATTTAGGCAAAGGAAAAGGAGCAGGCTGAGTTAAGGAGGGACAGAAAGAGAGATGGAAACAAGTCAAAGAGAGAGTGATCTCTCAGAATCCAAGGGAGAAAAGTGTTTCAAGAAAGAAGGAATAGATCACAGTGTGAAATGCTTCAGATTAAGTAGGTATGTAAGTTGTGTGTATGCATTAAGCAAGTATTAAATAAGAGTAAGTAAGATGAATGCTGGGAAGTGCTTACTGTAATTGAGTGTTATTTAGTCATTGATTATCTTTGGCAAAAACATTTCAGAGGAATGGTGGAGGTAGGAGAGATTCCCATGAGTTGAGTGCATGAGAGGGCCGAAATAAGGGTCACAAAAGTCTTTCTAGAAATTTCACTTTTAAAGTAAAATAAGGGGCAGTAGCTAGAAGGTTATGCAGGATCAAGGGAGGTTTTTATTGTTTGTGAGAAAGACTTGAATACATTTATATTTTTGAGGGAAGGAAGCAAAGAGATTGACAGGAGAGAGAATAAACAGCATGTTCATTCTCTGAACCTAGAGAGGAACAGGTACATTTATTGACAAAGAGACAACTTACTCTGTGATTCACAGGACCCAACTTAGAGATTTTTGGATCCTTGAGTTCTCAAGTGAAATTAGGTTGGTGCTAGGGCTCATAGAGGGCTTTAACGTAAAGTTTGACTTGGCTATAGAATTTTTGCCATACCAGGTTGGGCGCGGTGGCTCATGCCTGTAATCCCAGCACTTTGGGAGGCCGAGGCTGGTGGATCACCTGAGCTCAGGAGTTGAAGACCAGCCTGGCCAACATGGTGAAACCCCGTCTCTACTAAAAATACAAAACTCAGCTAGGCGCAGTGGCGGGCACCTGTAATCCAAGCTACTCTGGAAGCTGAGGCAGGAGAATCACTTGAACCCAGGAGGCAGAGGTTGCAGTGAGCAGAGATCGTGCCACTGCACTCCAGCCTGGGTAACAGAGTGGGACTCTGTCTCAAAAAAAAAAAAAAAAAGAATTTTTGCCATACCAAGAATGGGGTTGACTTGGTCCTGCATTTTAAGACAGAGGTTTCTTCTGCCTCAAGCCCCTAACTTCAGCCTGAAATCATCAACATCCATCACAGTAGCGGAACAACCTAGAAGGAATTGTTTCATTCTGAAAAGACTTTGAGATGATTAAAATATGCAATACAAATGGGTGAAAAGAAATAGGTGATAAAATCAAGACAAATGGGAAATTAAGTTTGGGAATATTAATTAAAGCTGGGCAAAATTAGTACCCGATAAACTCATAGTACACTGTTCTGTTCAGCTGTTACAGGGAGCCTGCAAATTGCCTCTAAGCTTGTTAGTGGCCTGAGCAAGGAGGGGGGAAAACAATTGGTTACAAGATTCAGAATGTCTAAATGACGAAAACAAACTAGTCATTAAGGAGGCCACACAGCTTTTCTTAGTAGTGAGGCTTGAGAGAAGGGTTCTTTCATGGATGTTCTGCATTTCCACAATAAATACACAAGCAGGTTTTATAGGGATTTTCTTACAATACCCCTCACTGAAAGTGGACGGCAACATGACTGTCCACATCACTTTTTGTAGAATGAAGTGTCAGCAAGGGCCATGTAATAGGTACTAAATACTTAAAAGATTTTGATCATTTTAATGGGTCTTATTACTTACACTGAATTGTTCCTCAAACAACATCTGTCCAGTGTTCCACTCTTAATTTTCATTTTCTTTAAAACTCCTGAGATGAAGATGATTCCCATTTCACTTTAGAATGGATTTAAAAATTGTCTCAATTTCAATTGCCTTTCTCATTGTTTACCATGCTTTATATTCAAGGTGAGCGAAGCAAAGCACTTGTTACTAGGAGATAACAGCGTTGGGTTTCATTTATAATCGTTAAGATTTTCAGATAGATGCTGTTTTGGGGGGTGCATCCTTATCTAGGAGAGGTGATCAATGAGCCTTTGCTAGTGCCCAGCAGAGACAAGGTACAGACAGAGGAAATTAAAATTCTGGGAAGAGGAAATCATTGTTAGTCCCAATGTTATAGTGTTGTTTTCTTTTCTTTTTTTCTGGCCGGAGGTAAGCCAAAATTTAATTACACTCCTGATGGTTTGGGCTTGATAAGTGTAATGGATGATAAGTCATAGGTGGCTGAAAATCAATATGTTTTTTCAGCAGATAATAACATGTTTGCTTTGGAATATTTTATCTAAGTGTGAGATACAACGTGCAAAGGCTTTCATATTCCTTTGAGGTGAGAGCTCTGGAAAATGCAATAGGGCAAAGGCAAACTCACGTTTAGGGCTTAGATATGCCCTGGTAGACCCTTGTCTTTGAATAATTATTTTAGAAATCTTCATGCACCAAAAGCTTTGCCTCTGGTTACTGGGAACAAGGTCTTTATGTGTCTGAAACTACATTAGCTTTCTGCTTATGCTGCTTCTCATGAGTTTTCCAGATTATGTATTGCCAGGCTGTGGCTGTGCTTCCTGCCGAGAACACCAACTTAAATGAAAGTGTTTTTATTTTGGAGCTGTACCAGATTAGAGGGAAGGTATTCTCAGAAATAGCTGTTGCAGAAGTGAGAAGAGCAAAGATTTACAAAGAGACAAGTGGTATGAGAACAAGAGCAGTCAATGTGTAGAGCAAGAAGCCATCAGAAGAACTTGGATCTGGTTCCTTCCCTAGCCAGATGACTTTGTTCTCTTCTGTTCCATGGATATAGACCTTGTCTTTCACCAGGTGGGAGTAAATTGCCACTTCCCTTTTAAGAAGAGAACCCATGTATACCTTAGATCCCAATCACTGAGTTTTGCCATCGAAAACTCTGACTTATAATATGATGTTTAGAAAGTAATTGAACTTCTGGGCTTCAGATGCCTCTTGAGTATGATCTAGACTAATAATATTGGGTTTTTCTTACCCCAATGGGAGATGCAGAGCTACTCAAAGCATGGAATTCTAAAGCTCAAAAGTCATCTGGCTTAGTCTAGCCCCAGGTATGTGAGCTCAGGGGTATGAGCTCTCCATCACAATTGGACCTGCGCTAAAAAACAAAAACAAAAAAACCAAAACTCTCCTCTTCTCCCCTAGGGTAAAGAAACTTCTCTGGTTGATTATTAGACTATCTTATTGGTCTTATGCAAGTATATGCTCTTTGTTATAAGAAATATGGTTACTGGAGCTGGAAGTAAGATAATATAGATAGTATCCTTTAGTTTGACAAGATGCTTCATTTATTAGCTGTGTGACTTGGTAAATTACCTTGATCATTCTGAATTGTTCATCTGTAAAATGGAATAATAATCCTACCTCTCTAGTTTCATGCAAAAGGAGAGAGTTTTTCAACTCATATGTGCTAATGTTACTTTATATTTGGTTCACATTTATTCTGGGAACTAACCACTTTTGATCAATGACTCACATTTGCTTTGTGGTGCACCAAGATATCCAGGTGCCTCTGGCTACATCTGGGGCTGTCCAGTTAATTTCTTCCCACCTAGGATATATATGGTTTGGTTTTGATTCAAATGATGCAGATTATGTTTAAACTCCTTTCTCTGAACGAAGCCCGGGCACACAGGCAGGCAGGCCCAGAGATACGTACAGATGGGTCCATTTTATCTCATGGGTGGTCAGAGCAGAACAGTCACACGAGGTGTATAGATGAGTGATGTCTCACCTGCTCCCAACACATGGCTGTTCCACAGCAGGTAACCCAAAGCTCAGCTCTGTCTTTGGACATTAACTCAAAGAAAGGTCTCAAATGTGTGTTAAGAATTGAGAATACTACCCTCAGGGCATAAGAGGTCATAAACTTTTTCTGTGCCATGGATCTCTTTGGCAGTTTGGTGGAGCCTATGGACTCCTTGAATCCTATAAAATGTCTAGGATTACAATTTTTTTAAAGAAGGAATTATATTGAAAATCATTAAAATATTTTAAAAACAAATCTGTGCTATTGTAAGGCATGTATTTTTTATTCATTAACTAAATACTAAGCCAAACAGCAAATAGAATAACTAATTTAAAAGCTGTGGTGTGCATAATAGTTATTTTAACATATCTACAAAAAGCATAATATAATATGAAAGTGTCTGTGGTTTCCGTTGGTGACAAGGTCACAGGTACTGCTAATCCTCCTGAGGTTTGTTATCTACAATTGCAACTGAGAGAAATGCTAAAATTCCATTCGAGATTAATGAAAGTAAATATATAATTTTTTACTATCCAAGTTCATAGATTCCCCTGGATTCCATCCCAGGTAAAGATCCCAGAGTTAGACAATAAGGAAAACAGAAGAAAAAGTAAGTATAAGGAAAATGGAAAGTCTTATTTTTCAATGTAAAGTTATCTGACAGTTAATTATATTTCAAACAAATAACATTAAATGTGTTCCAGTTTAGTGATTAGCACAGCTTTTTACATAGTTTTCTCTCAATAAATATCTTTTGAAGAAATTAACAAAAACATTGTTTTGCATTGTAATTCTCCATCTACTTGTCTTTTTCTTCCACTGGTCTATGAGCTCATTGAGGACACATTAACTGCCCACACATCATTTGTACAGCTTTTTAACATCCTGTTAGATAGGAAAGAGAGAGCTCTCATGAATTTCTGGTAGAATTCTGTTCAATAGCTGTAATTGGTTATTTATTATAAGTCAGAGATATAATGTCATTTAATACTCACAATAAGCTTAGAGGTATACATTATTCCAACTCAACGATGCAATTCAAATGTTGTTGAGGGTTTATGTGTGGTAAGCCAGGGCAGGCATTGCACTAAGCACAATGTCACAGTGGGGTTGTAGAGATGAAAAGGATTCCTGCCTGCAGATAACATACAATCCAGTAGGGTGGAAAGACATGGATATGCCTAATTATGAGACAAGGTAAACAAGGGCAGGCTGGGGGATCAGCATGACAAAAGACACTAGGGCAGGATGGAGTTTTCATTTTTACAATGGGTTTTTCAGAGAAAGCTGAATGGATAGGCTGAAATTTGAACTGCAGAGCGAAGTATTTTAGACTTATTATATGGGTAGTTCAAAAATATCACTGTTTCCTTCAAACCACATACCAATTGTATATCTCATTCCAAATCACTGTACACTAGATGATAATGATTTTGTAGGAGCCTCTGAGAAGACCATTATGAATTTTGATGTTTTCAGATTAAGTTTAATCAGCACCCCTCTCCCCATCCCTAATGTAAGTGTTGCTCAAGGCATTCAGGTGACTGGGTTTCTCACAAGAACAGAAGCATTTAAATGCCTTCTGTTACCAACCCAATAATGCTAACCTGAAGCCCTGCTTTGCTGTTGGATTCAGTGGTTAAGCATCATAGTAGTGGTTCCTGGTAATTTTTCCAAATCAAAAGTTTAAGAGAATTAATAACATGTAGTAATTTGATCCAACTTTATTCTCTTGGACCAGTCAAGACCAATTAAGGAGCCACCATCCATGCCATGCCTCTGTTTATCCTAATGAGAAGTGCATGGATTGATAATGAAGGCTGGCAGCTTAATGTAGCTCAAAACATAATTTGTAAACTCTAATGACCAGAATGTTAGCCATAAGAATGGTATAAATGGAACTGCTTCTCAGAATATATTCTGTTTTGGTGTTTCTGGATCACTTTGCTTCATTCACTCAAGGAAAAATATTGCCTTGTACATAATGCACTAGGTAATCATACAGTTGCATCTTCTACTGAAAATGTTTCTCTCAGAATCATCTGTTTATGTACATATTTGGGTTTTGCATATGTAAAGTCATGGGATATTTGAGTAGAAAGGGCTTACAGGCTCTCTCATCAAATTGTCTTATTTTACAGTTAAGATTCTGAGGCCCAGAGAGAAAGGACTTAACCAAGGCCATTTGACGACTTACTACTAGACCTGGGATGGGACTCAGGCCCACACATTTGTTCCACACTGAGTAGTTTTTAGGGCACTTGACCTTTTATTTTTTTGGAGTACCTTATGTTGCACAATAACATTTTTCTCTGTCAGGTTTCCAGAATCTTCTGGCCTAGTGCCATTTTGTATTTTGCACCAAGTGGAGAGATAACGTCGTTGGCGAAGCATCCTTTCCTCTCCTTTGACTTCTTGCCTTTATTTCTGAATATCCTTCTTGCAGTGGGTTGAATAGTGGCCCTCCAAAAAACATACTTATGTCCTAATCCCTGAAACCTGTGAACATGACATTATTTGGAAAAAGAGTCTTCGCAGAGGTAATTATTGTAATCCCCAATGTTGGAGGTAGGACCTGGTAGGAGGTGATTGGACCACGAGGGTGGATTTCTCATGAATAGTTTAGCACCATGTCCTTGGTGCTGTTCTTATGTTAGTGAGTGAGTTCTTTCGAGATCTGGTTGTTTAAAAGTGTGGCACCTCCCCTCCCCGCTTGCTCCTGCTTTCACCATGTGAAGTGCCTGCTCTTTCTTTGCCTTCCACCATGATTGTAAGTTTCCTGAGGCCTCCCCAGAAGCCGAGCAGATGCCACTATGCTTTCTGTACAGCCTGCAGAATGGTGAGCCAATTAAACCTCTTTTCTTTATAAATTACCCAATTTCAGGTATTTCTGTATAACATAGCAAGAATGGATTAATACAGATCTTGAGATGAGATCATTCTTGATTTAATCCAATGTCAGATATCCTTATAAGAGAAGTGCAGAGGGAGATTTGAGACACATGAGAGAAGGTCATGTGGAAATGGAGGCAGAGATTGGAGTTCTCCTGCTACAAGCCAAGGGACAGAAAGGATTGCTAACCTCCACCAGAAGCAGGGAGAGAAGGCAGGAATAGATTCTTCCTCATAACCTCCAAAAGGACCAAACCTGCTGACACCCAGATTTCAGACTTCGGCTTTCAGCACTGTAGAGAATACATCTTTGCTGTTTTAAGTCATCCAGTGTGTGGTGATTAGTTACAGCAGCCCTAGGAATCAAATATGCTTCATAAGCCATTTTCCTTGGGCCACACTGAGGACTGGGCACTGTAGAGGCCACGTGTGTGAGCATTGAGGGGAGCTGACTCATGTTCGTGTTCTTGCTCCCACAATGACTAGAGCTATGATGCTGGTAGGTTAGATTACTGCTCTGTGACTCAGGTTTTTCAACTATAAAATGGGGATCATTATTGGTTATGATAATGTGCATTAATTATACATGATAATGTATAATATACATTATATAGTGTATATTGGTTATATTATAACTGATAATGATCCCCATTTTACAGTTGAAAAAAATGAGATAATGAGATAATGTATATCTCATAATAAGACAGTGTATATTAATGCTTAGCATGGGTCCTGGAACACACCAAATGTTTAACAATGTGAGCTGATATTATTATAATGTCGCCAGCCTCTTTTGCTTGCTTCTTTGCTTGTAGAAAGGGGATTCATAAGCATTTCCTAGCCTGATGAATGGCATATGTGCTGTTGCTTGTGGTGTGGCAAACTCTGTGTAGGAAGGTAGTCCTTTCTGATACATGGGCTCTGCCCTCCTTTCTATCAGTGGGTTCTCATGGCCCCAACACACCCTTGGCCCTGATGAACCCTCCTTGAGAAACTCTCTTCCTGCAGCATCTAGGGCAGTGGTGCTCATCTCTGGCTATGCGTTGGAACCACCTGTGGAGTTTCTAATGCGCTAATGCCCGGGCCCCACTCTAGACCCCTCTGAATCAGAGTGTTTTCAATAGAACAGGCTCAGTGACCACAGGGAGAAGGGCTCAGCTATGGTTCAGGTAACACACCTCATTGGAGTTTCTAATCTGAGAAACTGCAGGGGGCAGGCAAGGAAATAGGAGCTGTCACCTAGAGCAGAATTTTTCTATCCAAGGTGAATTACCAACTTCAAGAAAATTTCTAATCCATCACAGCCAATATGTTAGTAAAATACAATAAAAAGTTGACTACACAAATTCTACCAAGTACCCGACAAGTACTCCTCATAAATGAATTACTTAAAAAACAAAATTTAAAACACACACAAAATAAAACCTCTTTTTGATTATTACATTAAACAGATATAAATCATTTTGTCAAATTGCTGAAAAGAGGTTAAACATATACTTACTATATGAACTAGCAATTCCATTCTAGGTATTTACCTAAGAGAAGTGAAAACATATAAGCATACAAAGAGTTGCACATGAATGTCCATGGCAGCTTCATTCTTAAGAATCCTAAACTGGAAATGATCGAAATGTCCATCAGCAGGTGAGTAGATAAGAAAACTGTGGCACATCCGTACAATAAAATGTTACTGAACCATAAAAATAAATAAATTACTGATACACACAAAACATGAATGAATCTTAAAGGATTATACTAAGTAGAGAAACCAGATCTCAAAGATTACAGTCTATATGATCCATTTATGTGCAATTCTAGAAGATACAAAATTATAGTGATAAAAAGCAGATTAGTGATTACCTGAGTCTAAGGGGTGGTCATAGGAATGGAGTGCAAAGGGACAGAAGGGAGTATTTTGTGGTGATAGAAATGTTCTGTATCTTGACCATAGTGGAAATCCCATGACTGTGTATGTTTATACACATACCGTGTATGTCATTGAACTGGACACTTAAAATATATGAATTTCATTTTATGCAAATTATACCTTGAAAAAGCCGATTTTTTACTTGCTGTAAAACTTTCTAAATATACACAGTTATATGTCAGAGATATTGTGAGTTCAGTTCCAGACCACCACGATAAAGTGACTATTGCAATAAAGCAAGTCACACAAGTTTTTTTTGGTTTCCCAGTGCATGTAAAATTTATGTTTACACTATACTATACTAAAGTAGTTATAGTATACTATACTGTAACTACACTATACTCTAAAGACTATAGTCTTTTAAGTGTGCAATAGAATTCTGTCATATATATATTTACACACATATATATACCTTAATTTAAAAAATACTTTATTGCTAAAAAATGTGGACAATTACTTGAACCCTCAGTGAATTATATTTTTTTTTTGGTGGTAGGGTCTTGCCTTGATGCTGATGGCTACTGACTGATCAGGATGGTGGTTGCCAAAGGTTGGGGTGGCTGTAGCAATTTCTTAAAATAAGACAACAATGATGTTTGCTGCATTGATGGACTTTTCCTTTCATGAAAGATTTCTCTGTAGCATGCAATGCTGTTCGATAGTATTTTACACATAGTAATTTTTTTTTCAAAATTGGTGTCCATCTTCTCAAACCCTGCCTTGTAAACTAAGTTTATGTAATATTCTAAATCCTTTCTGTGATTTCAACAATGCTCACAGCATCTTCACCAGGAGTAGATTCCAAGGAACCATTTTCTTTGCTTATTTGTAAGAAGCAACTCTCTGTCCATTCAAGTTTGATAATGAGATTGCAGCAATTTAGTTACATCTTCAGACTTCACTTCTAATTTGAGTTCTCTTGCTATTTCAACCACATCTGCAGTTACTTCCTCCACTAAAGTCTTGAACTTCTCAAAGTCATTTACGAGGGTTGGAATCAACCTCTTCCAAACTCCCATTAACGTTGATATCATGAATGTTCTTAATGGCATCTAGAATGGGTAATCCTTTCCAGAAGGTTTTCAATTTACTTTGACCAGATTAATCAAAGGAATCATTATCTGTGACAGTTATAGCCTTATAAAACGTATTTCTTAAACAATAAGACTTGAAAGTTGAAATTACTCCTTGATCCATGGGCTGCAGAATGCACATTGTGTTAGCAGGCATGAAAACAACATCAATCTCCTTGTACATCTCCATCAAAGTCTTGGGTGACCAGGTGCATTGTCAAGGAACAGTAATATTTTGACAGGTGTCTTCATTCTGAGCAGTAGATCTTAAAAATGGGCTTAAAATATTCAGTAAACCATGCTGTAAACAGCAGATGTGCTGCCATCCAGGCTTTGTTGTTCCATTTATTTATTTATTTATTTATTTTATTTTTTTACTTTTATTTTTTAGAGCATTAACCTTTGCAATTTATTTTTTTTATTATACTTTAAGTTTTAGGGTACATGTACACAACATGCAGGTTTGTTACATATGTATACATGTGCCATGTTGGTGTGCTGCACCCACTAACTCCTCATTTAACATTAGGTATATCTCCTAGTGCTATCCCTCCCCCCTCCCTCCACCCCACAACAGGCCCCGGTGTGTGATGTTCCCCTTCCTGTGTCCATGTGTTCTCATTGTTCAATTCCCACCTATGAGTGAGAATATGCAGTGTTTGGTTTTTTGTCCTTGTGATAGTTTGCTGAGAATGATAGTTTCCAGCTTCATCCATGTCCCTACAAAGGACATGAACTCATCATTTTTTATGGCTGCATAGTATTCCATGGTGTATATGTGCCACATTTTCTTAATCCAGTATATCATTGTTGGTCATTTAGGCTGGTTCCAAGTCTTTGCTATTGTGAATAGTGCCGATAGAACACAGGCAGAGTAGATTCGCATAATTCTTAAGAGCTCTAGGATTTGGGGGATAGTCAATGAGCATTAGCCTCAATTTAAAGTCACCAGCTATATTAGCCCCCAAAAAGAGAGTCAGCCTGTCCTTTGAAATGTTGAAGTCATGCATTGACTTCTCCTCTCTAGCTGTGAAAGTGCTAGATAACCTCTTCTTCTAATAGAAGGCTGTTTTGTCCTTATAGTGAAAATCTGTTGTTTAGTGAAGCCACCTTCATTCCTTATCTTAGTTAGATCTTCTGGATTATTTGCTGAAGCTTCTACAAGAGCACTTGCTACTTTGTCTTGCACTTTTATGTTATGCAGAGAGCTTCTTTCCTCAAACCTCATGAACGAACCTCTGCTGGCTTCCAACCTTTTTCCTGCAGCTTCCTCACCTTTCTCGGCCTTCATAGAATTGAAGACAGTTAGAGCCTTGATCTGGATTAGGCTTTGGCTAAAGGGAATGTTGTGGCTGGTTTGACCACTAAATCTTTCTTGATATCAGCAATAAGACTGCTTCACTTTCTTATTCATGCATTCACTGGAGTAGCACTTTTAATTTCCTTCAAGAGCGTTTCCTTTGCATTCACAACTTGGCTAACTGTTTGGCACAAGAGGCCTAGTTTTCAGCCTGTCTTGGCTTTCAACATGCCTTTCTCACTAAGCTTAGTTATTTCTAGCTTTTGATTCAAAATGAGGGATGTTGTGACTCTTCCTTTCACTTGAACACCTAGAGACCATTGTAGGGTTATTAGTTGGCCTGTTTTCAAAACTGCTGTGTCTCAGGAAATAGAGAGGCTTAAGGAGAGGGAGAGAGACAAAGGAATGGTTGATCAGTGGAGCAATCAGACAACACACAGCATTCATTAAGTTCACCATCTTACATGTGAGTGGTTTGTAGCACCCCGAAACAATTACGATGGTAACATCAAAGATCACGGATCACAGATCACCATAACAGATATGATAATGATGAAAAAGTTGAAATATTGCAAGAATGACCAAAATGCGACATAGAGACACGAAGTGTGCACAAGCTCTTGGAAGAATGGTGCTGATAGATTTATTCATCACAGGGTTGCTGCAAACTTTCAATTTGTAAAAAATGTAATATTTGGGAAGCACAATACAATAAGGTATGCCTGTGTTCTTGATTTCTGTATGTATCTTGTTGCAAATGAACAATAAATCATTTGTAAACCCATACTGGTCTGTGAACCAAACTTTGAGAAGCATTGAACTAGATGATGGAGCGCCCATAGGGTGGCATTCAGAGCCTTGCTCTATCTTGAGTGTCTTAGGAGGTTATTGTCAAGGACTTTAGTGCAAGGGCCAGCACTGCAGCCTGATCCCTCAGAATAGCCCTGCAAAGGGTTTGAAATTGCTGCTCAGGCCCATATTTGGAAACACCAGGTTGGATGTCTGCTTGGCTGCAAATACAATCCAAGAACAGACATTTAAGCCCCACTTGAGTTACGATGAGGCCATCAGACCTCCAGTTTTAAGAAGATATTTAATTTTGACCTCCCTGAAAAGGGGCAGAGAGATTAAGCTTGCAGTATGAGTAGGGATATACTTTATGGAAAGTAGATGCTAACAAATAATTATAGGTTGAATGAAAGGCAAATAAATGCTTGCTTCTAAAAAGTACATAATGGTCCAATTCATCAGCCTGCCAAGAAATTAGGCCCTGTAGAGAAGATAATAGAAGGTTGAAACTCTCAAAGGAGAGGCAAATTCCGTTGTAATCTTTTTGATGCCAAATGTATTTTTCTGCAATAATCGATTATGTGAGTTTGAGACTCCAGTTGTTATCGTCATCTGGGAAAGATCCTGCAGTTCTTCCATACTTCGCCACCATCAGTCAGTAGGAGGATTACTGTTTTTTCTTCAGGGTGGAGGTAGGCTCTGAAGGATCACATTCCCATAAGAGGGCTAGTGGTAATAAGAAGAACTAAGCGAGTTCAGTGGTTGACTCTGGGTCTTTTAATAACTTCTGATCTTCAATTTTTTCATCTGTAAAATGGAACAATACCTTCTTTTTTCTTTTCTTTTTTTTTTTTTTTTTTTTTAGATGGAGTCTGGCTCTGTCACCCAGGCTGGAGTGCAATGGTGCCATCTCAGCTCACTGCAACCTCCGCCTGCTGGGTTCAAGCGATTCTCCTGCCTCAGCCTCCTGAGTAGATGGGATTACAGGCGCCCACCATGCCCAGCTAATTTTTGTATTTCTGGTAGAGACTGGGTTTCACCAAGTTGATCAGGCTGGTCTCAAACTCCTGACCTCAGGTGATCCACCCGCCTCGGCCACCCAAAGTGCTGGGATTACAGGCGTGAGCCACTGCTCCTGGCCAAAAACAATACCTTCTTTAAAGCCTTGTAGAGATCCCAACGTGAGATGGGTGTGATATATATTTTTAGGAGAACACAATAAATAGCACTCCATTACTTGCCTGAGTTCTGAACACATTGAGAAATAGGACAAAAGAATCAATAGATGGAAAATGAAAGTATCATCTTCATGGTTAATAAAGGCTAAGATGAGCTCAGTGTGAGACTCACATGAGGCTGTAAATCCCAGCCTGGGGAGGACCTACCTTTCCAGTCTCAGGCCACATTGGACCCTGCTGTGGGGACAGAGCCTGTCTCTGGAGGAGCTGGGTAAACTTCACGTTCTCTATGATCTGGCCAACTTCCGAGAGGAAGAGGCAGGATTATGCATGTTAAATTTATGTCACCAAGTTCACCACCCAACTGAATGACTCCCAGGGGAGGAGTAAGCTAGAAGTGGAATGAGGCCAGGAATGTCATGGAGATAGAGAGTCTTCCATACAGAAAGAGACATCAAGAATGGGGAAGAGTTTTTTTTTTTTTTCCTCTTAAACAATCAGGACTAACCCCTAAACCTGTGCTTATCCATGGAGTGGTTTTCCCCCTGCCGGAGGGGATCAGTGGGTCAGCAGGGCTGTCCCATTCCCATCCTCAGGAGGCTGTTCCCCATACCAGCCACTGCTCACCAGCACAGCATCTTGCCTTGGTTTATATACAAGATAATGCTTGTAGTTTAGTTCACAATCTAGAAATATGTACTTTTAAAATTTCTAATAGTTGGTATAGATCTTGAAAGAAATCAGCTGTAGGTAAATATATCTTGATAATTATGAAGTTAGAGGAATAAATCTTTTTCTTTTTAGGATATTGGCTAAAAAGGGAGGTTGAGAATTCTCTCTTTTTCTGTCTCTCTCCGTCTCTTTCTTGCCTTCCTCCAAAGGCCCATCTGTTCTCTGCTCCAAATTTATGTCTCTCAATCCCAAAAAATATAGTTGGCTTTAAAACTCTTTATAATTTTGAAATGGTCTTCTATTTTCCTATAGTTGTTATAGCTTAATACTATGCAATCAGGAAGATTGCCTAATGCTCATAATTTGTAATAGATATGCAATTGTAATTGATCTTGGATACACATTTATGATTTTTCCCTCTTCAAACTGAATTCAAAGATAACATTAACCTAGGGTACATGGAGACCTGGGATTAAATGTTTTGAAGAACTAAGTATAGCTGAATTAGTATAGCTTACAAGTATGTAAATTATAAAGACTCTCTCCCTTTATGTGCACCCAGTACCCTTGGGAACTGGTTATTAAGTTCGGATCACATCCTATACCTTTAAAGATGAAACAAGATCTCAATTTTACATGTTTTTTGTTCTGTGACAGCAATTCTGCTTGTCTGTGATATGTCTCCTAACTTCAGCATATGCACACTGGCCACTTCTCAGCATGAGGAATGGATGTATATGTTTCAGAACAAAAGCTGTAAAAATGGATTTTTAGTGCCCTGTAAAGAAGCCTGGAAAATCTTGAAAGAAACAGAAGGGGGGAAGTTGAAGGGGCAGTGGAAGAATTTGCTATTGGCACTAAATCAGAGGAGGCTAAAACATAATCGCAGTATAAGATTTGCAAATGTTCTCTTTCAAAAGTGCTTCGATCTCTGAGAGGTACCAATGTTGCATTACTTTGAATTTTACACACACACACACACACACACACACACACATGCACACACAGCTTCATATATCCTGCAGTGAACTGTAATCTGTCAGCACAATAGCTGGGATGGAGTGAGAATCAGTATCTGATTTAACAGTAAAGTAGAAAATTTCCTTCCTGTCTTTTTCTTTCCTCTTTGAATATTCTACCTATGTTTATTTACAACATAGCCTCTTGGATCTTTGAGAGATAGAGGGGACCTTACTTAGAAAGACAGTCTAATTTCCCAGCAAATTTAAGAATGCTCTTTCTAGCATTTCAAATTGTGATCTTCCTACCTGTATTTGAACAGGTAGGAAAGGGATGCTCCCAAATGCTAAGGACAATGGTGTTCTTTGTAGATGCTGCTAACAATTAGAAAACTCTTATATCAAATTTGACCTTTCTCTCCCCATAATTTCTAGTCTATGGTCTTCATTCAGTCTTTTGGAAGTTAGGAACCAAAAAGACTAAATTTAGTTTCCCCCAACCCCTCCTTCTCACAAGACTCTTCGATGTTGGAAGTAACCTCTCATATTATGGTAAGCCTGCCCCCACACCACCCATGCTTATATTCAAATACTGCCCATAGCGGGAAGTGGCATTTCTAGGGGAGAATTAACATCTTAATATCAATTTTCCAATCCAGAAAGACGATATATATATATATATATATATATATATATATATACACACACACACACATATATATATATATATATATACACACACACATATATATATATACACATATATATATATACACATATATATATATACATATATATCTCCATCTCAGTATTCATTAGTTTGCTTCAGTAATGCTTTTAATCATTTTAATGTGCAGGTTTGATATAATTTAGTTAAATTTATCTCTAAGTATTTAAATTTTTTTAAATTTTTAAAAAATTTTTAAATTGAGATATAATTCACACATGATAAAATTTATCCCTGTAAAGTATGTAAGTCAATGGTTTTTACTATATTCATAAAGTTGTGCAAAAATCACCATTTCATAGTTTTAAAATTTTATTGTAAATTTCAATTTCCAATTATTTACATATAGTATCATAGTTGGTACTACCTAGATATACAATTGAGTTTTGCATTTTGACTTTGTATCTTGAGACCTTGCTAAACTCATTAATTAGTTCTAATAAGGTTTGGGTTTTTTTTACATTCCATAGGATTTTCTATACAATCATGTCATCATTGAAAAATATAGTCTTAATTATTCTTTTCTTATATCTATCTTTTACTTCTTTACTTTGTATTATTATTAAACTTCCATTAAAATGGTGAATGGCAGTGGTGAGAGCAAGCATATTTGCCTCATTCCTGATCTTAGGAGAAAGCATTTAGTTTTTCACCATTAGGTATCATGTAGCTATAGGTTTTTTATACATGCCCTTTATGAAATTGTAGTTTCCTTCAACTCTTAGTTTGCTGAGAGTTATTTTAATAAATGGATATTTAATTTTGTCAAATGGTTTTTCTGCACCTGTTGGTATTACTATATGGTTTTCCTTTTAAAATATGTTAATATGGTGAATTACATTAGTAAATTAATTTGAAAATGTTAAATGAACCTTGCCTTTGGGGATGAACCTCCCTTGGTCATGATGTATTATACTTTTTCTATATTGGTTTATTTGATTTTTAAAAAAATTTAAAAGTTTTGCATCTATGTGCACAAGGAATATTGATCTGTGATTTCTTTCCCTTCCCCCCACCTCCATCTCTCTTTTCTCTCCTTCCTTTCCTTCCTTTCTTTTTCTTCTTTCTTTTGCTAACCATTTAATGGTGGCCTTATAAAATAAACTTGAAAGTGTTCCCTTTCTTTCTGTTTTCTGGAAGATTTGTGTAGAATTGGCATTGCACTCCTGTAAATGCTTAGTAGAAATTACCTAGAGAAACATTTGGGGCTTGATATTTCTTTGTGAGAATGTTTCCAATGCTGAACTCAATTTATTTAATAGATATAGGCCTATAGGTTATTTATTTATTTATTTCTTGAGTGAGTTTTGGTGGTTTATATCTTTAAAAAATTGCCAATTTAATCTTTGTCAAATTTGTTGTCACAAAGTTTTCTTGCAATTCTCTCATTATTCTGTCTGTAGGATCTCTGAGCAGTTTTCTTTCTTTCACTGCTAATATTGGTAATTTGTCTGCTCTTTTCTGATCAGTCTACCTAGTGTTTTATCAATTTTGCTGACTTTTTCAAAGAACTGTAATTGATTTGCTTTATTTTTTCTTGGTTTTTTATTTTTCCAATTTCTGATCTTATCTTTATTACTTCCTTTCTTCCACTTACATTAGATTTAACTTACTTTTTAATTCTGGTCCCGTAAGGTGGAAGATTAGATAATTGATTTTAAACTTATCTTCTCTAATATTGATATTCTACACTATAAATTCTCTCTAGTCGTTAGTTTAGCTGCCTCTCATAATTGTAACACACTGTGTTATCATTTTCATTCAGTTTTAAATATTTTCCAAATTCCTTTGTGATTATTTTTTGATTCATGCATTATTTAGAAATATGTTGTTTAATTTTTAAATATTTGGGACTTTTTCAGATATTCTTCTAACATTGATTTCTAGTTCAATTCCATTGTGGTAAAATTTCAGTCCTTAAACTTATTGATACTTGTTTTATGGTCTAGACTATAGTGTCTTCGTAAATGTTTCATGTATACTTGAAATGAATATACATTCTACATTCTGCCAGTTCTGAGTAGTGTGTTCTTTACCACAACAGGTTTCCTTTATTCATTCCACATCACTTATACCACCATATGATATGATATTATAGATTTATTTCTTTACTTGGCTTGTTTTCTGCTCCCCCAATCTCCCCCTTCCCCACCGTACAATTGGAATGTATACTCTGTGAGGGCAGGAGCTTGACTGTTTTGTTTACTCCAGTATTCTCAGTTCCTGAATGATTAAATAAATGAGTGGATGAATTCATGAACTTTTCTCAAAACATCAAGAAAGTGTATATACTAGAAGTTATGTACAGGCTAGACCATAGGGCTCAGATGAGTACTTTAAAACTTTCCCTCTTTGGTTAGAATAAAAAATGTGAAAACTTACATCATGTACATATTTACCTAAAAAATCAGCCATTAAGAAAAATAATTTGTATGTGTCACACACAATTACTTCTTAAATTCAGAATTCAAGAAAATACTAACCCACTTCATTTGTCAAAATTTATTTATAGAATTAAGAGGGGAAATATAAACAACAACCACTATAAAATGTAATGTAAAATGATCTCATTTACATTAGCAACATTAAAGAAAATCTAGTGATACACTTAACAAAAATGTTTAAGATCTACATGAAGAAATCTTCAAAACACTATTAAGAGATAGAAAAGTTTAAATAAATGCTTATTTCTTGGAAAGGAATACTCAATATTATCAGCTGTCTATTCATATTATATTAATCTACAAAGTTAAAATAATGCCAAAATAAATACTAAAGGTTTCTCTGGTGTATCAGGAAAAAGAAATCTGCCAGAGTAGAAAGGAAGATTCTGAAAAAGAAGACCAAGAGTCAGTGGTAACTGGCCCTCCATGTGTTCAAGTTTATAACTGCTGTAATTCAAACTCTGTAGTACAGAATCAGACTTAGACAATGAAAAAGTCAATGAAAAAGAAAGGGAGTCCAGAAATACACCCAAATACTTATAGGAACTTATGCTATCCCAAAGACACCATTTCATTTTAGTGAAGAAATGATGACTTAATTAATGCATGGTATTAGGACAAGTGAGATGTCACCTGGAAAAAAAAGTATTTTAAAAAGTTGGATTCCTACTTTACTCCTTATACCACAATAAATTCCAGCCAGATCAAATATTTAAATGTAAAAAATAAAGCCATAAATTTCAAGACAAAAATAACTGAATAATTTTTTATAATCTTGGAGACTTTGGAAACATGACACAAAATTGAAATGCTATTAAAAAGAATAACACTTGACTATTAAAATGTTTTAAATTGTCTTATAAAATGCCATAAGCAAAGTCAAAAGCGACTTAGGCTATAGTGAATAGTAGCTGCAAAAAACATGGGAATGAAGATGTCCCTTCTATAACTGATTTCGTTTCTTTTGGATGTATTCCCAGCGGTGGGATTGCTGGGTCATGT
Organism: Homo sapiens; assembly: GCF_000001405.40. Classification (NCBI taxonomy): domain Eukaryota; kingdom Metazoa; phylum Chordata; class Mammalia; order Primates; family Hominidae; genus Homo; species Homo sapiens. Next base: position 109,695,341 of record NC_000009.12, read on the forward strand.
GGCAGTTCTATTTTTAGTTTTTTGAGAAACCTCCATACTGTTTTCTATGGTGGCTGTACTACTTTACATTCCCACCACCATATAAGCATGCTCCTTTCTCTGCATCCTCATCAGCATTGTCATTTTTTGTCTTTTTGATAATAGTCATTTTAACTGTGGTGAGAGGGTATCTTACTACGGTTTTGATTTGCGTTTCCCTGATGATTAGTGTTGTTGAACATTTTTCATACACCTGTTGGCCATTTGTATGTCTTCTTTTGAGTAATGTCTATTCAGGTTTTCCCACATGTCCGTCAATGAATGAATGAGTAAAGAAAATGTGTTATATGGACGCAATGGAATGTTATTCCATATAAAAAAGAATGAAATACTGTAATTTTCAACAACATGCATAGAACTGGAGGTCATTATTTAAAGTGAAATAAGCCAGGCACAGAAAGACAAATATTGCAAGTTCTCACTCATATGTGGGAGCTAAAACCGTAGATCTCATGGAGGTAGAGAGTAGAACAGTGGTTACCAGAGGTTGACAAGGGTGGGGGTGATGAAGAGAGGTTGGTTAAGGGGTACAAACATACAGTTAGAAGGAATAAGTTCTAGTGTTTGATAAAACACTAGGGAGACTATAGTTCACCATAATTTATTGTATATTTCCAAATAACTGGAAGAGAAGAATTGGAATGTTTCCAATACAAAGATCGGATAAATATTTGAAGTAGTAGACTCCCAGTTATCCTGATTTGATCATTACACATTGCATAAATGTATCAAAATATCAAATGTACCCCCAAAATATGTACAACTATCACATATACATAGAAAAGTCACTTTGAAAAAAACTGTGAATATTTTTGACAAAGAAAGGCTAACATCATTGATGTCATCAAGAGCACTCATGTTTCAGCAAGAAAAAAAAGCCCAGTAGCCAAATTTTAAAAGTGGGCAAAGGACACAATCAGTTCATTGAAATGGAAATAAAAATAGCTTTAAAACATATTGAAAAATATTCAGAACTTCTCATAGTAAGAGAAATGTGAATTAAAGTTGCAACAAGATGCCATCTTCTGTCTATCAGATTGACAAAGATTAAAAAATTTAGTAGCATATGTTTTCAGCAAGGGTGCGAGGAGACAGAAACTCATATGTTTTGGGTCAGAATGTAAATTGGAGAGCAATTTGGCAATATCTATCAGAATTTTAAAGTTTATAGCTTTTGACCTGGTTATTTCGCTTCTAGTCATTGATCACTCAGTGGTGTTGGTACACATATACAAAGACATGTATCTACAAGGATATCAGCATTGCCTGTCCTTACAAAATTGGAAAGGACCTAATATCCAATGTGGTGTTCCACCTGCATCCCCTTCCCTGGGCCAGTGCATCTGTCTCCCGCCACTGTGAGTGTTGGCTGCTGACGGCTCACAGCTCACCCTTCCCCAGAGAATTACCCTCAACTGACCAGGAACTTCCTCACCTGGAAGTAGCTGGGAGGTTATCCAGACGACCATTTCTTTGTATATTGGCAATATACAAAGCCAATATCTATTGTATATTGTGGTACAAAAACTCAAAATGTTTTCCTGCTGCCATGCATGCTCCAGTGCTCCCCATGGGATCAGGTTTGACTTGACTAAAACCTCATCTTTCCTTAGCTTCTTCCCCAGCCTAACTTTTCTCTCTGGTTTCTATATAAGATTCTCTTGAAAGCACTTCTCGATAAATCGCTGGCATGAGAGTCTCCCCCTTAGGTTGTGCTTCTAGAGAATCTCACCTAAGACATTCATCAACAGGGTACTGGTTAAATAAATGACAGTATTCCATATAATGGAGTACCACCTAGACATTAAGAAGAGAGAAGCAACTATTCTCTATATACTGACATGGAAGTCTCAAAATAGAGTGAAAAAAGCAAGTTATAGATTAATATGAATAATATATTACCATTTATGTTAAAATGGCAATTTACAAATATAGTTGAATATTCATAGAATATCTCTTTGTATAGAATATCTCTGCATAACAGTGTTTGCTTGTTGCAGAGGGGAGGCCAATTGGGGTCTATGAAATTAGAAGGAAGAAGATAGAGTGAATTTTGCACTATATACTTTTTCTACCTTTTAAATATTCTACTATGTAAATAAATTATCTGTTATATTATTTCAACAGTGGTAAAAAAGCATTAGTATTTTCAAATAGCTTCAGTGTTTTGAAACAAAGCATTAGTAGTATCAAATATCTTCAGTTTAGGATAATATCATTTATCAGAAATATTTCTTCTGCCCTTAGGAATAAATTACATTTAAAAAAATTAGCATGTCAGTACTCTAAATGAAAAAGTATGTTTTTGAAGTCCCTAGAGGGTGCAAAAAAACTATCTCATTATCTATATCTTAAGAATTATCTCTGCAATTCTGTTAATTTTCTTAGTAAACACTTCCCTTATAGATAATGGCATTGCAACTTCCAGCTGGCCCTTTTTAAATGATCACAAATTGCCATGTATCTCCATTTAAATGAATTGTGCTTTTTGTTAACCTGAGTTTAATTACCATTCATTTTACCGCATTAATTATGATAGATTTCCTGCCTCCTTCATACCTGTGGCCACATAGACATTGCACCATTATTAGTGCTTTTGGCATCTGGTTACAAATTATACACACACATCTGCTGTGAATTGTGGATTACATTAAGAATCAAACATACTGGATTTAGGGCTTCAACACAGAAAGTGATGTCAATGCACAGTCCTGAAACATGAGACCACACATTGTCTCTGCCTCATAGAACAGAGGTCATGACTATACAAAAAACCTTTTTGCAGCTGAGACATGGTTGAATATATTTCATACATCTCTCACTGTCCATTTCATGAGACCAGGGTATATAACAGCCCCCAGTGGCCTTACCCTTCACCTGCATGTGTGCTACATTTTTTTTTTTTTTTTTTTTTTGAGACGGAGTTTCGCTTTTGTCACCCAGCCTGGAGTGCAATGGCGTGATCTCAGCTTGCAGCAACCTCCGCCTCTCGGGTTCAAGCGATTCTTGTGCCTCAGCCTCCTGAGTAGCTGGGATTATAGGCGCATGCCACCACGCCTGGCTAATATTTTGTATTTTTAGTAGAGACAGAGTTTCGGCATATTGGCCAGGCTGGTCTTGAACCCCTGACCTCAAGTGATCTGCCAGCCTCGGTCTCTCAAAGTATTGGGATTATAGGCGTGAGCCACCACACCCAGCCGGGTTGCTAATCTTTGAGGCAGGCAACACACATCCAAAATGCTTTACCCTACCATCTCCCCTCCCTGCCTCTCACTCCCGCCACATTGGTATATCCATTCAGAGACGGCACAGGAAATGCAGAGTGGGAAGGCTGGTACGAATGCTATTGTGGCAGTGGTGGTCATTTATTTGTTCACGTGTTCTTTCATTCAATAAGCATTTAATGATTCCTGTGATGTGCCGGGCACTGTGCTAAAGGAAAGGACAAGCCATAGTGAATATAGTATCTAGCCTTGAGGGGTAGAGACTTACTTTTGAGAGTCAGAGAGTAAGTAAATGTCTTTTCAATGTACAAAAAGGAGAGGGGGAAAAACTGTGAAATTTAATGCTATATGCATGTATAATTATATAAGTAATTTGACTACATAACATTTCAAAATTCTGTGCACAAGAAATAGAAGAAATAAAGTTGAAAGGCTAAAGATGACAACTTGATTGCAGCACATAGGACATTTTTATGGGCAAGTCGTGCTTAAAAATAACAGAACGACAAATGGGCAAAAAGAAAAATGGGCAAAGACACAAACAGATGATTCACAAAGAATGATCACATTAAATCAAACACAAGATACCATTTTCACCCACTGAACTGGCAAAATGTTGTAACTGTATTACCTTATGAAGCAAGAATGTAGTTGAAAAGATTCAACACAGCTGTTAGTAGAATTGGTACCTCTTTTCTGATGCCTGTCTGGTGGACAATCAGGCAGTATAAATCAAAAGCTTGAAACTAGTTCTTGCCATTGGAGTCATAATTCCACTTTTCAGAATTTTATATTGAGGGAATAATCAGAGATGTAAATAAAGATTTTTGTACAAGGATGTTTATTGTAGCATTATTTATAATTAGGAAAAATTGCAAGCAATCTATTCCAAAATTAGATGATTAAATTTGCTGACAAAATTATAGGCCAGAACATTATTCCACCATTAAAATCCATATTTTCAGAGTAAAAATATGAGAAAGCACTTAAAGTATATTATTAAGTGAAGAAAGCATGACAACACAGTAAGAACCCAAATGGACAGACAGAGAAGAGGAAGCCAAAATATTAAGATTGATTATTCAGAGGTGATTGAATAAGAAGTGATTTTTATTTCCATTTTTTTTCCCCTGTATTTTCCAATATCAACTGTCAGCAGCCATTACCTTTATTTATTTTTTTTTTTTTTGAGATGGAGTCTCACTCTGTCGCCCAGGCTGGAGTGCAGTGGGCATGATCTCGGCTCACTGCAACCTCCGCCTCCCGGGTTCAAGCAATTCTTCTGCCTCAGCCTACTGAGTAGCTGGGACTACAGGCATGTGCCGCCACACCCGGCTAATTTTTGTATTTTTAGTAGAGACAGAGTTTCACCATGTTGGCCAGGATGATCTTGATCTCCTGACCTCGTAATCTGCCCACCTCAGCCTCCCAGATTGCTGAGATTACAGGCTTGAGCCACTGTGCCTGGCCTACTCTTATAATACATTAAAATATTGTACCAAATGGGAAGGAAGAGATATAAATACCACCAAATTCATTCTGCACTTGATGTGGTTTGGCTGTGTCCCCACCCAAATCTCATCTTGAATTGTAGCTCCCATAATCCCCACGTGTCATGGGAGGGACGTGGTGGAAGGTAATTGAATCATGGGGGTGGGTTTTTCCTGTGCTGCTCTCCTGATACTGAACAAGTTTCACAAGATCTGATGGTTTTATAAAGGGTAGTTCCCCTCCACATACTCTCTTGCCTGCTATCATGTAAGACGTGACTTTGCTCCTCCTTCGCCTTCCGCCATGATTTTGAGGCCTCCCCAGTCATGTGGAACTGTGAGTCCGTTAAACATCTTTCCTTTATAAATTACCCAGTCTTGAGTATGTCTTTGTTAGCTGCATGAGAACAGACTAATACAGCACTCAATCCAATATTTTAAATGATTTTTTGCTCAAACTCTTTAATGATTTCTTATGTCCTTCTGAATACAACTGCCCCATGACATCTCAAAATTCCTCTCGGATAGATTGCTTGTTCACAATTACACTTTGTTGTCTCACTGGAAAGCTTGGGCTCTTTCTAAAAACTTACTCTAAAAAGCTCTTGGCATCCTCCCCAAATATTTATTTGAAAATTTTTGCTGGGCTGTGTCTGTCTCACCTGGAGCTCTTTGGATGCTTCATATCCTTTTAATCCAGGAAAGCAGATGTATTATTTCTCTGTTTTCTTTTTCACCACTCTCTTATGTTTTCAAAGTGTTCATTTTAACACCAAATAAAATTAGCCTTTCACTGGAAGGTCAAACATGAGTGTAGCTGGCAAAAATGTACTATGTCAATAATATGACTGGAATCGTAACAATAACAAAGTATGGGATATTGCATATGATAGGCATGGAAATAAAAGCTGAAATGCAACATTTTGTAGTTGGAAAAGGGAATATTTTAAAGAATATTTTGTATTAAGTATTAAATTTTAAGAGATAATGTAAGGTTGGGGTATATATATTATGGATACAGACAACAAAACAATCTACAAGATACCACGGTTAGAAAATAAATCCTTGGGCATGCCAAGGTAATTTATAGATTCAATGCCATCCCCATCAAACTACCAATGACTTTCTTCACAGAATTGGAAAAAACTACTTTAAAGTTCATATGGAACCAAAAAAGAGCCCACATTGCCAAGTCAATCCTAAGCCAAAAGAACAAAGCTGGAGGCATCACACTACCTGACTTCAAACTATACTACAAGGCTATAGTAACCAAAACAGCATGGTACTGATACCAAAACAGAGATATAGACCAATGGAACAGAACAGAGCCCTCAGAAATAATACCACACATCTGCAACCATTTGATCTTTGACAAACCTGACAAAAACAAGAAATGGGGAAAGGATTACCTATTTAATAAATGATGCTGGGAAAACTGGCTAGCCATATGTAGAAAGCTGAAACTGGATCCCTTCCTTACACCTTATACAAAAATTAATTCAAGATGGATTGAAGACTTAAATGGTAGACCTAAAACCATAAAAATCCTAGAAGAAAACCTAGGCAATACCATTCAGCACATAGGCATGGGCAAGGACTTCATGTCTAAAACACCAAAAGCAATGGCAACAAAAGCCAAAATTGACAAATGGGATCTAATTAAACTAAAGAGCTTCTGCACGGCAAAAGAAACTACCATCAGAGTGAACAGTCAACCTACAGAATGGGAGAAAATTTTTGCAATCTACTCATCTGACAAAGGGCTAATATCCAGAATCTACAATGAACTCAAACAAATTTACAAGAAAAAAACAACCCCATCAAAAAGTGGGCAAAGGATATGAACAGACACTTCTCAAAAGAAGACATTTATGCAGCCAAAAGACACACGAAAAAATGCTCATCATCACTGGCCATCAGAGAAATGCAAATCAAAACCACAATGAGCTACCATCTCACACCAGTTAGAATGGCAATCATTAAAAAGTCAGGAAACAACAGGTGCTGGAGAGGATGTGGAGAAATAGGAACATTTTTACAGTGTTGGTGGGACTGTAAACTAGTTCAACCATTGTGAAAGTCAGTGTGGCGATTCCTCAGGGATCTAGAACTAGAAATACCATTTGACCCAGCCATCCCATTACTGGGTATATACCCAAAGGATTATAAATCATGCTGCTATAAAGACATATGCACACGTATGTTTTATTGTGGCACTATTCACAATAGCAAAGACTTGGAACCAACCCAAATGTCCAACAATGATATACTGGATTAAGAAAATGTGGCACATATACACCATGGAATACTATGCTGCCATAAAAAAGGATGAGTTCGTGTCCTTTGTAGGGACATGGATGAAGCTGGAAGCCATCATTCTCAGCAAACTATTGCAAGGACAAAAAACCAAACACCACATGTTCTCACTCATAGGTGGGAATTGAACAATGAGAACACATGGACACAGGAAGGGGAACATCACACACCGGGGCCTGTTGTGGGGGTGGGGGTAGGGGGGAGGGATAGCATTAGGAGATATACCTAATGTTAAATGAGGAGTTAATGGGTGCAGCACACCAACATAGCACATGTATACATATGTAACTAACATGTACCTGCATGTTGTGCACATGTGCCCTAAAACTTAAGGTATAATAATAAAAAAAAAAAAAGAAAATAAATCCTTGGGCATGATGATGTAACTTTTGTTTTTTACTTTTTCTTTTCTTTCTTTTTTTTTTTTGAGACAGAGTCTCACTTGGTCGCCTAGGCTGGAGTGCAGTGCTGTGATCTTGGTTCACGGCAACCTCCGCTTCCCAGGTTCAAGCGATTTTCCTGCCTTAGCCTCCCATGTAGCTGGGAGTACAGGCACATGCCAACAGGCCCAGATAATTTTTGTATTTTTAGTAGAGATGGGGTTTCACCAAGTTGGCCAGGTTGATCTTGAACTCCTGACCTCAAGTGATCTGCCCGCCTCGGCCTCTCAAAGTGCTGGAATTATAGGCGTGAGCCACTGTGCCTGGCCTATTTTTTACCATTTCTAAAAGACATTTCCCATTTGGTTGAATTCAGAAATTCAAATATACATATATATAACTTGGAGTTGTCTTTTGCAATATTGCTGATATTCAGGTCAGTATTCCCAGTAAAATGTATTCAGCATGATATAACTTAACATAAAAATATTTTCCAGGCTTTATCTGAAGTGTGTAGTTTCAGTTTGGTATGTATTTCTGTTGTGACTAAAGAGAAGGATTTTTCTTACTATCTAAGTTTTCTATATATAAGATCCTAGAGTGGTTCTCATTCATTCAAAATATATTTATTGCATACCCAGTATGTTTCTGGCAATATGTTTTTATGATAATTCTATTATGTCCTGAAAATGTCTTACAGTGGTATTTTATAATGGCAAAATTTTTGGCAAGTTTCACAAGTATGTACTTTTTTCAAAATAGCTTCTTTATTCAATGCCAAAAAAATAGAAATTGGACAAATCATCTTGTCAACTTTAATGACTAATTTGGAATCACCGAGAATAACTGCTTATTTATGAAAATCAGAAATAAACCCATTCTCTAAAAGACAGGGGGATGGTGTTAGTGTGAAAGATCCTGCAGTGTGATTGTGTTTCATGAACATATATAAACTTTAGATATATCAGTTTAATATTTGTTAATGATGGGCAGGTACTGAGGTAAAAAAATTAACCTACTTGAGAATATGTTAACTAATCTACAGAGGACATTAGTTTATGCAGTCCTTGGATATAAGAAAATTTGTATTATTTTATTTCCTGAAACTATGTTAGACTGAAGGTCATACAAAAATTAAGAGGTCTTTCATAGTCCAGACCCCTGGAGAAGGATCCACTTGCCTTCAGTCCACACTGGTCACTTTTGAAAGGCTCCTTGGCCAGGTTCTTGTATCTTGGACCTCACTCTGTGAGCCTTGCAGTTTTAGGACAGTGGTGAGGGGACATCTCTGAGAGAATAGATAGATGAGTTCCTGGCACTGGGAGCTTGAGATGGAGTATAGAGCAGAAAAAGCAGGTACTCAGGGGCTGAAAGAAAGAACAGAAGATGCCCTTCTTCAGGCCGGATATTTACCAGCTGGGCAGGTGGGTTGGTGCTCAGAGAAGTTCTCAACTATGACCATGAAGTCAGCAGATTCATACTTCTTCCAAATTTCCCCCCTTTTTAGCCTGTAAAGCCACAGCTAAGCCAGTGCTGGTTCTGAATTACTTCCCTATGCACGATGTGTAAATGATTGAAATCAGATGAGCCATAGACTGTAAATTCACTTGTATAAATGTGTGAATTATTGACATGGATCCAATTAAATGGGGAATGGTAGCAAGAAGTAGTCCTTGGTCCTTCATTGTAGGGAGAAAAAGTTTTAGAGGGAGGATACTGCAGAATGGAGTTTCTGATGGAAAATGTTTCCACCCTCACAGATTTTAAATAACTCTTCTTTAGGGAGGTCAGTGAGGCTACAGGGAGCCAGAGGGTGGCCCCTGCTGACTGTTTCAAGGCTGTCCTTCCCCTCTTCTCAGGCCTTTCACCTGTTGGTGTCATTTCACATGCGTGATAATCTTCAAACCCAGCTCTGCCACCATCTACCTTCCCCATTGCTGCCCTTCTGCCCCAAAGGATTTGAGAACAACATAAAACAATAAATACTCAGCTCCCCATGAGCTGCCATTCACTTCAACTTGGCTCTCACCAGTGCTTGACACATCTTCTCTCCATTTCTCCCTGGCAGGTCTCCAAAAGGGCTGCTTTAAACCATTCCTCTCTCCTTAGCCCCCAGTCCCACATGCTGAGAGTCAAGAGAACATGTGTGAGAACGTAGGTGTGGGCATCAGATGGAACTCAGCACTCACCAGCTGCAGGACCTTGGTTGCATTTCCTAACTACATCTGGAAAAGAAAGATGATCATAACTAGAACTTAACCTTTGAAGGTTTTATGAGCATGAAAAGATGTCTGGAAAGAACTTAGCCCACCAGGACAGGGCTCCGTGAATGTCATCTGTGACTGTGGGTACCCTTCCTTCAAATGAGTGAACAATACCCTCCTCATTGACTTGGAAAACAAGTGCCCCTAGCATGCTCCTTCAACTACTTGATATTAATTTCCACATATAACTCACTCTTTCCACTTAATCGCCTTTTCCAAAATGTACCTCCACCCCTGTGTTACTGGATGCCATTGTTTGTGCCTCAGGCTCCTTGTTGTTGTCATTATCCCACCTTCTCTGGGACTTTCCTTGGCCTTTAGGAAAACTTTATACTTTGAAACAAGTGGGCTGAAATTCTGTCTTCTCTTGGATGACCTGGCACCATCGCTACTATGTGTCACTTGTGTCCCCCACTTCTTCCTGTGTCATCTCCTGTGGTTCAGTTCTTAGTGTTTCAGTCTTTGCTTTTGACCCATTCACTCCAAGGGCTTCCAGAGGATGTTGAATGGGACAAAATATTGCTATGTGACCCACATTTGAGAAGATCCAATGACAGTTGGATCCAGGCACCTCCCTATGACTTACCACTGGGAGGCAGAACTACCCAGTTAAGGAAGGTGGTATTTGTCCTTTTCCAAAGATAGCATAGTGGTTAAGTGCACAGATATTTGGAGTCAGACTACTTGGGTTTGAATCCAGCCTCTGCCACTTACTAACTGTATGCTTTTAGTTGAGTCACTTAACCTAGTTGAATTATTTAACTTCTCTGTGCCTCTGGTTTCTCATTTGTTAAATAGAGATAATAAAAGTTTCTTACTCCATAGGTCAATTGAATTAACTGAATCCACTATTAAGAACAGCAATTATGTCACTATAATTCCCCAATCCTTCTGCCCTGCCCCAAGTCCCACTAAGGGAGGAGAGAAGAAAAGAAGGAATGAACCATGCTTGCCTCTAACTTCAAGTCTCCCCAGCAAGGGATCAAAATCGTGTAGAAGGGAAGGGGAGGGGAAGAGGTGAGATTTCAATCACATTTGAGATAGAAACATTTAACTGGTTTGAAATTTTAATACCTTTTCAAAAAACATGCCTGGAAAGCTATGAGATATGTTCAAGATGTAATTATGAACTAAAAAGGCTGTATTGCAGTTTTTTAGAAAAATAAAAATGATTTCATTTAAATTCACCAACTTGATTCCTCAGTAATACTCATAATAATGATGATGATGGTAGCTAGCTGAATTCAGGATTATTTTTTTGATATTCACTACCATGGCAAACTGTCAAACTTAAAAAATCATTTATAACTCATATCCACTACAATGGATATTATGAAAGATACAAATAATAACAAGTATTGGTAAGGATGTAGAGAAACCCAAATACTCATACATTACTGGTGGGGATATAAAGTGGTGCAGCCACTTTGGAAAAAAGTTTGACTCTTTCACAAAATGCTAAACATAGAGTTACAATATGAGCTGGGAATTCTACTACCTAGATATATTTCCAGGAGAAATGCAAACATACGTTCACACAAAAACTTGTCCACAAATGTTCATAGCAGCATTATCCATAATTGCCAAAAAAGTAGAAACAACACAAATGTCTGTCAATGGAAAAATAGATAAAGAAAATTTGGTATGTCCATAAATAAAATATTGTTTTGCCATGAAAAGAATGACATATTTATACATGCTACAACCTGGATGCACCTTAACAAACACGCTAAATGAAAGAAGCAAGTCACAAAACCTATATACTGTGTGATCCCATTTATTTTAAATGTCCAGAATAAGTAAATCTAGAGAGGCAGAAGTTAGATTAGTGGTTTCCTAGAGCTGAGTGTGGGCTGGGGTGGGAAGTGACTACTAAGGGTATTTTGGGTGATAAAAATATTCTAAATTTAGATTATGGTGGTGGTTGCACAATTATTTTAATATGCTAAAAACCATTGACTAGTACACTAAGTGAGTGAGCTTTATAGAGTATGTAAAATTTATATCTCAGTAAGTTATTAAGAATCAGCTTATTATTCTCCAAGTTTTGAAAACAGAGTCACAGTTTCCCTGACCTTGGGCTTTAATCTTTACAATAAATAACCTTAGCCTCCTCTCTCTGCATGGCCTCTCTTTCCACTTGGTGATGGCAGTGGACATGTGTCATTTTTCTGGCTGCCAGCATTTGAATCCATTTCCAAGTTTAGAGAACTGCCCCCCTACCACCACCATTTATGAGTCTTGGTGGAGTGCATCAGCCGCCTCCCATTATAAAATGGAAAACGCTGGTACCTGCTTGCTAAAGTTTAGAGGCCCCCACCCTGCCCCAGCTTTGAAGTCAGGCACTTCAAATACAAAGATACACTTCAGATACAAAGAAGTGAGGACAGTGGGAAATCCATTCTGATGGCAGGTGAGCAGTGACAACAGCCAACTTGGTTTCCAGGGACAGCGTCCGTGTCCAGTGCCAGGTAGTGCAAGGCATGGCCACACTGTGCTCAGCAGGAGTGATCTCACCACATTGACTTTTGGCTTGATTTTGCCTGTGACTAAATGCTACTTAGTCTTCTGGTCCTGCCTGTTTCCAAGCCTGTTTCTTTAACTTTCCCACTAATTGTGTGAGTTTATTAATAGCCTTCCGATCAGTTCCTTTCCTTCCATGCTCAGTTTCTCTGCTTGCTCCTAAGAATCCTGTTTGATACAGTCAGCAAGGAAGGATAATTTTCACCCCAGTCTCCAGGATCTTTCTTTAGATTCTGTAAGCATTTACTTATTTAGTGACTACTTTGTGCCATCCAATAAATGATCTCATAATCGCATAGTGGCACCGATACCAATAGCTCCCATTTCACAGATGAGGAAACAGGCTCATTGAAATGAATAGCTTGTAGATTCAAACCCAGGCCAAGCCCAGTGCCTTTCCCATAAGATCTTCATGGCCCCTTCTCCATTTTCACTGACACCACATCTCGCTCATTATTTACAGAACAAAAGGTCCCACTCCTCTCCCTCCCTCCACTATCTTTCTTCTTTAAATCGCTGTGGGCATCATTGTCATATTTCATCATAAGAGTATTGTTGATTCCTTTGTACAACAGCTGATGATGACTCCCTACTGTTTAGGTGATCAGACCTCAGGAAGGTATTTCCTGATCACATCCAATGCCTCCTTTGTCTCTGGCCACATCTTTTACTAATTCTAAACAAGCCCATCACATGCTACAAGAGTAAGTCCTGTTTTCTCTTAGTCTGGCTCAACTTACTATAGACAGCAGGACCTCAATCAATACCCTTAATCTGGAGGCTGACTAAAGACAAAATATTGAATTCACTCTTCATATTTTCATCATAAACCCCAAATTCTATGACAATGATGATTTTGGAAACAATAAATTAAGCATCAAGCATCATATGGCAAAATCTATTGGAATGTAATATTTTTGGCAGGAAATCATTTCAGAGTGGAAAATGTTTGCTAAATATAAACACTGCAAAGCCATGTGCACCGCCAAGACTTTATTATTAGATTCTCAGGGATTTTTATTTAGAAGCTGAGGAACTTGCGAGGCTGTACAATTCCTGGAATGGAATTTAGGTTTGCTTTCTGAAATCAATCCAGGCAAGCCTTTTTGCACATGAGCATTCTTAGAAAGTCTTTGAATGTCTATTCTTACTCACTTCTATGGGTGGCACAAAATCCAAAAATAAAATTACCATGAGGTTCTGCTTGCTTCCTGCTTTAGCGACACTGGAAATCCTCCAGGGATAGCTCATGTACTTTGTAAGTTCTCCTTTGCCTCTCTCATTGCCAGCATTGGGTAGTTGAAACCTAGACTCAGGACAAGATCTGGGATGGTGTGAACGTCAGGAAGGCTGTGCAGGAGAATTCAGAGGACTGGGCCACAACTGCTAAGGGTAGACCTGGAATGCAAGGGCAATTCACAGAGGGTTGGTCAGCAGGGATGGGGCCAGCTATAGTGGTACTTGAGCCTGTCAAGGGGCTGAGCAGAGAGGCCTGGCCTGACTCCTACCTTGCACTACTCTTCTCTCAAATGGGAATACTGGGGGAATCCAAACAGATCCTGGCCATTAGCAGGAGAGATTGAAGAGACCACAGCCCACATCCTGGGGCACTGTAGCATGTTCCTTTTATTGCTGGATCTGGCTGTAACTTTGGGACCTGACTGTGACACCCTGTGTAGTTATCTTGTCAAATCCCCTTGTAAGGCCCAGCCTAGTGCTTGGATGCCTGACACTTGCATCTTCTTTCTGTATGCTTCTTCCTGCCTCCCATGTGACTTTGTCAAGATGGCTGTCACTCCATCTTTGTTGCTATGAGCTTTGAGCCCCTTTGGACAACTCCCCTGGATGCTGCTTGCTCACCTGGGCCACTGCCTGTTGTTCAGGCCATGGCTTTCCATCAACACTATCTTTTACCGTCTCTTGCCAAGTCAAGCCTGTGCCCTCAGGGCCAGTCTTCCTTCATACAACTCTGTGAACAGACCTAATTTCAGACCCTGACCATGTGTTGACTTCACCAGGCTCTACTCCTCAGAGGGGTAGCAGGAGCTGAGGAGGCTGTCAGGGGCCCAGGCATGGGTTAAAGGCTTTGGTAGCATGAATAGAAAGAATGGGTCAGAAGCCCAGACTGATGGACACAGGCATCAGGGAATGCACCAAGGAGACCAGGGCTTCATTGGCTCACAGGTCCCTGTGCTAAAGAGGAAAGCACATCCACAGTTAAAAAAAGCTGCTCTTCCTTCAGGTGTATACAACCTGTAGCGATTTGAATGTTGGCCCCAAAAGGATATGTGCAAGTCCTAACCCCTACTACCTGTGAATATGATCTTATTTGGAAAAAGGATCTTTGCAGATGTAATTAAGGATCTTGAGATTGAGATCATCGTGGATTACCCAGATGGGCCCTAAATCCAATGACAGGTGTCCTTATAAGAAGAAAAGAAACAGTGAGAAGAAGGCCATTTGATGATGGAAGCAGAGATTGGAGTGGCGTAACTACAAGCCAAGGAATGCCAAGTATTGCTGGCAGCTGGCAGAAGCTAGGAGAAAGGCAGGGAACAAATGCTTCCTCAGAGCCTATAGAAGGACCCAATCGTGCCAACACCTTAGGACTTCTGGCCTCCAGAACTGTGAGAGGATAAATTTCTGTTGTTTTTGGTCAGTTTGTGGTAATTTGTTAAAGCAGACTTTGGAAAGTAATGCACAGCCCCAGAAGGAGACATGGCTTTTTGGGTAGAGCACAGGCTAACTTTCAGCCCTTCCTGCCCAGCAGTCTGGTTTCTTTGTGCAAGGCACAAACTACACCACAATTTATCAAGGCTCTGATGGAGACTGAGAAACCAGAGCCCAAATCCACAGAAAGAATTAAAGGAGTCAGCATTTGGTAACAGGAAAAGAATGAACTCTATAGGCAGATGGAAGCCTGGGATTCTGACACTGTCGCAAGTTAGTATGATGTTGAGCATCAGTTTTTTTCACCTGCAAGACGGGGTGGGAAGGGAAGTAGCACTTGTTGATCACCTTTTGGGAATGATGATTCCCTTGAATTCACTGGATGGCTCTCAGGATTGGATGACAGAGTACAGTGCTTGGTTTCCCGTCTGTCCTCAACAGATATTTATTTCCTGTCCCCTCCTCTCCTCACCTTGGGTAACTGGTATTAGTGTTGCAGGAGCAATAAGGATACTTGAACTCTGCTACAACTTTGCTTAAGCTCAGAAATGTTTGGAGCCTCTTGAAATTGCAGCCAATGGTGTCTGCCATTGGCTCCATGGGCCTTGCAGGGAGAATGAAGTTGATATACCTTCTGGAAAAGAAAGAGCAGGGAAAAAGCAGGAGCTACAGTTTATAAATTCTGTTTCTCCAACGTGGCCACAATTTGAAATCTACACTGCATGTTTATTCTGTTTGTAGCACTACATGCATGCAAAACTGGTTGAAGACAGTTTCCATGATGAACACAAGCATTATAATTGCCATGTTGATCTCCATAGGAATTCAAGTGGAAAAAAGGTTCTTTATTCCAGGATGCCCATATTTGGACATTGTTGCCCTTGCCAGACAAGAGGGAATGACCTTGTTCTTAATTTAAAAAAAAAATGGAAAGGTGGTGGTAGTAGCCTGGTAGTAGCCTTGGTTAAAAGATTATGGGTTCACACTTTTCTACCAAGTGGAATCTGTCTGGCTATTCTGAAGCATAGAGACATTCTATGTCTTCTGAACATAAACAGGAGAGTTTGTTGAAATACAATATTAATATGCACTACTGAGAAGATTTTGATGGTTCATAAAACCCTCATGAATCATGGATGAGAGAGTTACTGGAGTCTCACAGATCAATTAATTAGATGTACAAAGTGTATACATTTTTCATTTGATTATATTTTGGTGTTGTGTTATAGATATTTGGTAGATAAAGTGAATCCAAGTATTTATTTAAAAAACTACTTCAAGACGACATTGGAGGGTGGTTAGTGAGTCTGAGTTGAAGGATTATGAGGGCCCCAAGGCTGGTCCTGAGTGTGCTGGTTAAAGGGGTGCACAGGCACCTGACATAACAGAGCTGGGAGTCCAGCAACTAACAGGAGAGAGAAAAGGTGGCATCCTTCTCCCTGTGAAAGTCGCCTTAAGAAAGCTTAGGCTCCACTTATGGCACAGAGAGCTAAACATACATCAGCTTTTCCCTCCAGGGAAATCCTTCGGGGTACTCTGAACACATTTCTGTTGGATTAACAGGGCCCTTAGTGAGATGGTGTTAGGCTGTCCAGCGACTGGGATCTTCCATTTCTTTCAGAGCAGGAGACAGCAAAATCATGGCTTTTGTTATCTATCTATATATACTTATTAATGAAGACATTCCAAATGAATGATGACTTCCTGAGCTATCCTTGTGGCATGTGCCTGTCCTTGTGTGAGTGCTTGTGTGTGTGTGTGTGTGTGTGTGTGTGAGCAACTCACCTAAAAAGTAGGCTCTAGAGTAGGCTCTAAAGAGCTTGGCTGTGCCTTTTGAACTGACAGATACATATACTTTATAGAACTGTGAACTTTTTCACCCAATAAAACAGGGGTAATACAAGAGTCTTCTAAATCTTTATGTTTCATGTCAGTATTACCAGGAATTCTGAGGCCGAAGTTCATTGCTTACAGGGTAGTTAAATAAAGATGTTAAAGGATTAGCTAAAACATTATCCATGTATTATCCTAGAGTCAGTGGTAATATCTACTGACAAAAGAGAAGATTAACCTCAGAGCTTTTTGCTAAACAGCAAGCTGATGCTCAAGTCACGTTTCAACATATTTCTTTTGCAAGGAGGCTCTTTTATCTCTATCCAAGGTGATACTAATAGACTTATGGAATACGTTTTCCCGGTCTCCAGAAGTGTGTCAGCTTTCCAATGACGTGTTTTTTCCAATAATTCAACTCATCAGATTCATCTGGAAACAGTTGTTTTGATGCCTTCTGTCTTTCATGTGGTGCCCTAATAAAGGCTGCAGAAGGAATATGGTTTGCAGAAAGATTAAGGTGACCCAAAGATGTATTAATGCCCTGCTGATGTTCAAACAAGCCAATGGCTTTTTCTTTGGAAGTTTAGGTGTTAGTAGAAGGAGGCACAGAGGCTTGGAGTTACAGAATGTTTGGCCCAGAAGAGCTTAGAGATCCCATACCCATCTCACATTTGGGAGCCCTCTGTGGCTCCCCATTTAGGTGGTCTCCAGCCATAGTTTCTGCACATTCAGGGCAGAGAAAGCTCACTACTTCCCCAAGGCAGTCTATTTCCACTGTTAGACCATGATAACACAAGAAAAGTACTTCTGAGCTGAGCTGAAGTGAAATATGCTTATGCAACATTTGGTCCTAGTCCTGCTTTCTAAAGCACAAAGAATAAATCTCTTTCACCCTGATGGGCCACACAGTCCAGATGAATGGATGGAGATATTGGGTTTGACTCTGCTCCATCACTTAAGTAGCAGAGCATGTTAGAATCTCTCAGAATCTTGGCTTTCTGGTCTCTTAGACGAAGATCAGGATCCCCATCACCTGGGCCATTGTGGAGTTTGGGCCAAATAATATATTTTAACCATCTATCATGGTACTTGGCACATGGCAGGCATTTATTGAATGCTCCCTTCTTCCTTCTTCTTGGGAGCTCTTCAAACACTTGGAGGCAGCAAGTCTATTTTCCTTTGGTTTTCTCTTTTCCCAGCCTTCATGCTGCAGATCAAAGGAATGGAACTGAAAGTGGGGGCTGGGAAATATCTAAGTCAGTGTCTCCTAAAGTGTGGGCATCAACAGGTGGTAAGAAAGGTTATTTTTAGATAGCACATGCATGATCATTTTATAATTTAAATATAAATCTATCTATCTATTTAAATGATATATTTCATAGCTGTCCTGTATTATGTCAGGGAATACTATTTTTCTATATATGCTAGTGATATAAAGTCTCCTTTAAAATAAGGTTATTTAAGAATAAAGGCAAATCAAGTACAACAAAAGCTGTTATTATTACCTTGTTGAAAATCAAATGAGTTTCCAAGCAAATCAAAGTCTATTTCAAAAATCTCATTAGCAAGCAGATCTGAAGAAACGACATGGTGTATGACTCCAACTATGTGATATTCTGGAAAAGGCAAAACTAGAAAGACAGTAAAAAGATCAATGGTTGCCAGGAACCTGGAAGGAGGAAGGGATGAATAGGCAGAGCACAGGGGATTTTTAGGGCAGTGAAACTACTCTGTATGATACTGTAATGGTGGATATTTTTACATATTACATTTTTCAAAGCCCATAGAATGTACAACACAAAGAATAGGTCTAGTAAACTATAAGATATTAATATTAGCTCATCAACTGTAGCACATGTATCATACTAATGCAAGATATTAATAATAGGAGAAACTTGAGGGTATATGGACACTCTTTGTACTTTCTGTTCAGTTTTTTTGTAAGCCTAATACTGCAGAAAGAGTCTATTAATTAAAAAAAATTAATTAGCTAGACAACTTTCCAGCCTGATTGTTTATTCACTGCCATTTCTCCATCTGTCTCAGGGACATTTCATGTCAAAAACCAAATTAGTCACCTTTCTCTACAGAAGAGTACTGCTATCTAGTTACTTCCAATTGTTAACCTCTGAGATCCTCCCAACCTTAGAGAATATTGTGCTCCTATTCCTCCTTAATTTACCACCTTAGGTTCATTACGAAATCTCTCTGTCCCTCTACTCCCTCCCTTTACTGTCTCTGGAATCCCAAACCTTCACAATTTCCACAACTATTGCCATGGACTGGGAGCTCTCATCACTCCAAGCCTGGGCTACTCTGATTGCCTCTTGGATGGTCTTCTTATCTTTAATTTCTCCTCCATTCCAAGATCATCCATGAACAGCTGTTAAAATCAGGTTTGAATACCAATTTCACCCCATTCCTTCTTTGCTTGAGAATTTGCAAACCTCTGTTTCCAACCATCCAAGTGGGTGGAATGGTCAAAGACCTGGATATTACCTGTGCCCACCAAGTCAAGACAAGGACTTGGATGAGCAGCTACTAGCTGATCCAACAAAGATAATTAACACCGATAATTATGACCATGTATTGAACACCAGTAGAGGATGCTGTGGTTCGTGCCCAGGATGAGGTTCTCATTCCCTCACCCAGTGGCTGGCACTCTCAGGTGAGCCCCTCTCTAGGAATTGCCCTCACCTGAAGGCAGCCACCTCCCAGGGCCAGCACAGACTTGATGACTGGTGGATGAGGAGGAATAACGGCCCCATCTCCTAGCCATGAAGCAAGATACTTCAGAAGGGTCAGCTGAGCATGAGAGTTCCCATGGGATGGGCTGCCCCTGTTGTGACTGCATCAAAGTTTAGCTTCTCCCCAACTTCCTCACAGCACTTGCATCCTACTGTGCCAGCCAATAATCTCCCTGTGCACAAATCCCATCTGGGCATCTGCTTTGTGGAGAATAAGCCCTGCAACAGCATCCAAAGTCAGTTGGACTCTGAGTTTGTGCTATGTCCACTGATCTACACTATCTTTTGAAAACAGGCATAATAATAGCTGTCTGCTGTCAAATACTTTCTCGGTTCCAGGTGCTCTCCTAGGATATTTTATTTATACAAATTCTAATCTTCACATCAACCCTGTGAGATAGGCCCGCTTTCCAGATGAGAATACCTAAGAATTAGAGAATTTGGAAATGTACAAAAGTGGTCCAGTCAAAAAGGTTTTGGGGACTTAGGGAAGGCCAGTCCGTGGCACCTGGGAGGCATGAAATACAAGTGACTTGACATTGAATTATTCACTTCAGACTCATTTACTTCTCCCTGCCCAGGGACAGATCCTAAGAGGGGTTAGGAGGGCTGGGCAGTCGTTCAACGTTCCCTGCTTATCTCCGTTCTTCTTCCCAGGGATGCATCCTTATTAGCTCTTCTTCTGACTACATGTGAGCATTCCATTCCAATCCAGCCGCTCAGCCTGCTGTCCACTCCCTGCAGTGCAACCCAGCCCAGCCCCTGCCTTATGTGCGTGTCGTGTTTTGTCTTCTGAAATGCTCATTCCTCTGCCCATGCCCATCATGTTCCTTTCAGTTTGGTTAAAAAAGGATCTCCTTCTGAAAGGACTTTCTGGTGCTATTTCCAGAGAGACAATTCACCTCCCCAAGTACTTAAACACTCATTGTAGCCCCAGTTGTTCTAGCCTATTTCATATCCATTAGAGGTCATGCTTAGAATTCAGACCATTTCTTCTTCTTCTTTCTTTTCTTCTTCCTTCTTCCTTCTTTCTTCTTCTTTGTTAAGCAAATATACTCTTCTCTATGTGTTACCACTTCTGTGGTGCCCGTGTGATTTTGAAGTGTTTTTCGTATGCCATTAGACCTGGTCTTTTCTGCCAGATTGACTGGAACTGGTAGAACATTTAGCATCTGCAGCTGGGAAATCATAGAAGAAATGCCTGAATGTTTTCCTATGTGAGTGATTCTTATCTCAGCCAAAGAAGAAGTAAGATTTTAAATGAGCCAAAACTGTTCCAGAAGGCAATTCTAGGAGTGAGCATTGTGTAAAAATCTGGAAAAATAAAAAGTTTAATTGTGACAACTGGGGTTTTATGTGGTAACTCTCTCCTCTT
Source organism: Homo sapiens (assembly GCF_000001405.40). NCBI lineage: Eukaryota > Metazoa > Chordata > Mammalia > Primates > Hominidae > Homo > Homo sapiens. The sequence goes on from NC_000009.12 coordinate 109,716,202, forward strand.
TATGTCGTGTTATACCCAAGAAAATCTTAATATCTCTTCCTATATTTATAATATTATTGAGGGTCAAAATTACATGATGAAGGCGTAACTGTGCATGGTTCCTGTGGCCACTGAATCCAGATAAATAGATAGATAAACTCTATGTCCAGAACCAAGGAGTCTATTTTGGTTGTCTATTGTCTGGATCCACTCATTAGGCTGGAGAAGGGTTACCAGATAAAATACAGGATTCCCAGTTACAAGTGAATTTCCAATAAACAGCAGTATAAATGTCAAGTATCACATGGGCTATACTTATACTGCTGTTTATCTGAATTTCAAACGTAAATGGGCATTCTGTATTTCACTTGCTAAATCTGGCATCTGTAAGCTGGCAGGTACCTGGAAAGACTCCTCCTTCCAAGGAGGAAACCAGGTCATGGGTGAAGGCTTTAGTCAGGGATAGGGGGAAGGAATATTTCTTAGTGGCAGCCAAGTAGGTCAAAGTAATGCATGTTGTCCCATCAAATGCCTTTCTCCCTTTGAAAAACAGAAGCAATTACAGGAAGGTGAGCCTAACCAATGATCTGTGAAAGTCGGAGGTTGAGACAGAGGTCCCACATGTGTACATCTAGAAAACCAGTTGGGTGATGTGGTTAGGTTTGGCTTTTGGTTATGTGGATATCCTAGCAATATTATGAGTAAGTGAAGAAAAATGAGGTTTTGGGGAATCAGAAGGGCAGGGCTGGCTTGCCAGAAGGACTAACTCCTGATGGGATGTCTGGTTTTCTTAACATCTAGTATTGAAAGTTACAGGGCAAATTTGGCCTTGGTATGGGCAAGCTATGCAATTCAATGAGATCCAATGTGGCAGGCTGGTTGTGGGAGAAAGGCTTGGCTCCCACAGACAGCGCTGGCAAGTTAGGGTTAAGTGTCATAACTCTTGACCCAGTAGGGGCCTGGAGAACATAAAAGGTCATGATGAAAGAAGATGAAGGCTGGAGAAGGGAGTTAATGAGGACACCAGCTTAAAGCTCTTGGACTCCTAGGCTTCTCCCAACACTCTAAGGATCCTTCTAGGGAAGCCTGTTTAATTCTGGGTCTAGCCTAGGGGTGGAGTTGAGGCAGTTCATGGCCTATCTGCTTTGGTCAGGCTGGCTCAGAGTTTAGGAGGTGGGAGGCCCATGAGATAGACCAAACAGTCAAGATCTGAGTAGCTCACAGGAAGCTAGAGGAACAGCTCCCAAATCATCTTCATTTGTGCCAGGAAGGTGTGTGGGGTAGAGAGTAGGCAATGTACCAGACACCACATGAAGGAGTAGCAGAAACAGTTGGAGAGGCAAGACTGATTGAAACAGGAAAGTACAGGCCAAAGAGGCAGATGAGTCATCATATAAAGATAGCACTAGACGCCATAGAAGGTCTTCTTCTTTTGAAAAGCAGAAACAATTATGAAAAGGTGCGGATAGGCTTTTGAAGGTTGTGTCTGATCTCTGGCTAGGCTCACAAGCCCAGCAGGAGCCTGTCCTACAAAGCCTTTCCCTGAGGAGAGCTTGCAGGTTGGGCAGCCTAAGCCCTCGACAGAAAAGCACATGTTTCCATGAAGTCTGAAGTCTCAAATGATTGCATTTCATGGAGTTTGCCTTGTGCAAAGTCATAGAAACAAATGCAGGTGCACTGTGGGCACCAGAGCTAATAAAGAAGAGAATCTTGTAGACATGAAAGAGAGAAAGTAAGAGAGATAAAAGGAGATATGTGGAAAGAGAGAGAGAGAAAGGGAGGCCATAAACTTTGGTGGTTTTTGCCTTTAGTTTCACTTATGTAGGCCTTTTTGACTAAAAATTCTGAAGATTAGTGTTTGCTATACCTTCAGTTACCTTATTTTTCGTTTCTTTCTTTCTTTTTTTTAAATTTTGCTGAGACAGGGTCTCATTCTGTCGCCCAGGCTGGAGGGCAGTGGCACGATCTTGGCTCACTGCAGCCTCAACTTCTCAGGCTCAAGTGATCCTCCCACCTCTGCTTCCCGAGTAGCTGAGACTGCAGGTGCATGCCACCATGCCTGCCTAATTTTTTTGTATTTGTAGAGATGGGGTTTTGCCATGTTTTCCAGGCTGGTCTCCAACTCCTGAGCTCAAGAGATCCACCTGCCTCGGTCTCCCAAAGTGCTGGGATTACCATGCCCGGCCCCAGTTACCTTCTTTTTCAATATTTAAGTTAGGTATTACACAAAAATGTTTGCAATGTAATTATCAACTTCTATAAGGCATTCCTTACTTGTTTACTTTGCACTAAGTTGATTTATATTACAGTGTTGAGAAGCTCACTGTCTGGATGTGGACTGTGCTGGGCCCTGAACACTTGCTTGTCTAACTTCTTTTTTTTTAACATTTAAAAAATAAGCTTTATTTTGGAGTAATACTAGATTTGCAGAAGAGTTGCAAAGGTAGTACAGAGAAGTCTCATATGCCCCTTGCCTAGTTTCCCCATTGTTAACATCTTAACAATACCAAGTATATTTGTCACAACTGAGAAACTGGCTTGTCTAACTTCTAAATGTGCTTCTAAATGCCCAGGCTTTCAGGAGTGGAGAAATGCCCTACTCAGGTTGATGTTTTTTCTTGCTCCGGGAGCCTGAACTTTCCACCCTTGGCTTTGGTATCCATGTGTGGTCCCTTTTCCAATGGTGTTTTCCTTTCTTATTTGATTTTTGTATTTATCATATCTCGATTTACATTCCCAAATGTAAAATAAACTATTTCAAAATGATTTTTTCGTACTTCTAGAGTTGAAACAGAGGAAAAAAATGCATTGTTCTGGCAAGGAAAAATATACTAACAGGAGTAAAATAAAAACAGTCACTTCATATTCAAGGCCAAACTCTGGAATTTAATCATCTCTTATAAAAAAATAAACAATTTTTGAAAATTACTTAATTCATCACTGATTGAGCCTGGAAATTAGATATCGAGGAACAAAAACAATAAAACTCTGTTAGTTAGCATGAAAAGGCCAAAGCATGTTTAGTCTAAGTGTTTAGGTTAATAGACAATCACTGTGTGTTCACTCTAAAATAAGAGATCAGTTGTGAAAGAGGGCTCTAGTGAGTGGGTTAGGAAGGTACAATACATGAGAGCACTGGGCTGAGAGTCTACTTCCAGTTTCTCAGGCTAATTCTGCTACAAATGCTTTGTATCCTCCAAGGCAAGCAACTTTATCTCAAGCCCTGATGTCTTCACTTGTAAATAAGAGATAGTTAGAGATAAAGAAGTGGCTCAAGATTTCCCCAAATTCTAGATTCTGATTCCATAACAAAATCCAATTCCCTAAACACTCAGGAGTTTAATTGAGTATTATTGGATGATTCACTTGGCAGTTAGGATCTTGCTGTGGAAGAGGGTCACCAGTATGAATATTCACTATTGTGATGATGAAATGTATAGGTGAGAATTCATGGATAGTTGGAGGATCAAACACAAGATCAATGCTTTCAAATCTGCTTTATGATGTGGCATACATAGAAATCAGGGGTAAACAGATGAGGATGCCTAGACCTGGGGCATACTTAGATTCTCTAAACTATTCCCAGTTCCTCCATGGGCTCATACTTAGATTCCCTAAGCTCTTCCTAGATCCTCCAAGGGCTGAGAGGATTGATTTCTTAGGTAACAACTTATAACCCAGTAATGGCATAGCCTAGCCCAACAGTCAGGAAGCTCTTGACTATGGACCAGAATTTGCTCTAGAATGGAGAGTGACATGTAACACAATAAACATGATAGCTACTAAAGATAACATGCCTTTATATTTTTATTCCTTTTTTTTTTTTGAGATGGAGTCTCACTCTGTCACCCAGGCTAGAGTGCAGTGGCGTGATCTCCGCTCACCACAACCTCTGCCTCCTGGGTTCAAGTGATTCTCCTGCCTCAGCCTCCTGAGTAGCTGAGCTTACGGGCACATGCTACTGCGCCCAGCTAATTTTTGTATTTTTAGTAGAGATGGGGTTTCACCATGTTGGCCAGGCTGGTCTTCAACTCCAGACCTCAGGTCATCTGCCTGCCTTGGCTTCCCAAAGTGCTGGGATTACAGGCATGAGCTGCTGTGCCTGGCCTATATTTTCATTCTTTAGTTCTTGTAAAAAAAAAATTCAGAATAAATGAGAGGGAACAGATGATGTGAAGGGGGTGGATAGTAAATACAGTTGGTGACACACTGATTCTGAGATACCTCTGAAGCATCTGAATGTAGATATTGAGACTATTGGTAGATCCTCAGAGCTGGAAGTCATGAGGGAATTGTGGGCTGCAGAGAGTTTTGGAAGTCATTAGCCTATATAGATGAGAGTTGAAGCCATGGATGAGGTTTCTCTGAAAGAGAGAAAATGAGAAGAAGCCAAGGATAAAGCTCAGGGGAACACTAATATTTAAGGAGCTGGCAAAGAGAAGGAGCTAGCAAAATCTATAGGGTTCATTTACAGCTACTTACACAGTGATTTAAAGTCATTTCATATGTGAAAAACATAAGACCAATGGATATCCACATATAGATTTGATTTGTGTTGTGTAAGGATATACACAAATGCAGGCAAAGGAACCCACATGCTGTGGATTTGTTCACTCATTCACTCATTCACAGTGGATGCATTGATTCTTTCAATGAATGTTTACTGAGCACTTACTGTGTTCCTGGCATTATTCTAACCACTAGGGATAGAGCAGTAAGCCAAACAGGTTACGTCCCTTCCCTAGCGGAGTTTTACTATGGCACATACCACCACACACACCACTAAATACTTTAGAGCTTGCTCTCCAAGAGGGAGAGCAGAATGTAGACAGGCTCTGTATTTTTACCTCTCAAGAATCCTGTGTCTTCCTAAAGGATTGCTTGTCATCACACCAACTCATAGCTTTGGCCCTGGTGCTGTATTTGACTTTTATTCACTTAAAAGGTTAACTGGATGGCTGAATTACAGGATTCTAGCCAAAGTGTGCTCCCTAGAGGATTCCCAGCTAATCAGTCAGCTGAGCTGAGCTGACGACTGTCTTCCATTCCTAAGGAGCTGGGCATTTGCAGGCTGAGCTCACACTGTGAAGGCTCAGCAAGACCTTGATCTCCCTTCCCAAGTCATGGCTGAGTGACAGGGAGCAGCAAAGGTCATGGTTCAAATCTGAGGTGGCAGATTCTGAGGACAAAGCCTGCAGAGATCGCTTTCTATTGGGAACTTTCTCATTTTAATTCCTTGTCAGAATATTCCAACTCCAGGCCTTCCAACTCCAAGGAAACTGAGGCAAAAATCTACCTTCTATCTTGTTATTTCCCCCAGATTAATATTTTTCTTAAAATTTTCTCAGATAATTAGTAGATCAGAGATTTTCTTTATTTTGGGGCTGGTATGTTTTGGGTTTTCATTGGCTAATTAGCCAACTTCATCTCTAGAACTTTCTGTTTCTATCAATATCTATCCAAGGATGTCTCTAATCTCCCTGGTTCTTTAACGTAATTCCCATGCATGAAGCCCCCCACACCCGCTTCTTTCTCCATTGTCTGGTTGAGATCTAGTGGAAAGCCTACATGGCAGTGGAGATTGGAAAGTAGTCTTTGGGTGAAAATATGCTCCATTATGGCTAAAGTGTTGGCTATGCCAGTCCTTTTAATTAATGAACTTAAAGTAACCTTAGACTCCTTCCTCTTCCATCATCTGTCATACCTAAATAATTATATATGAATTAGATTTCTTAAAATGCTATATGTACATGCATGCTTTAGCAAGTAACTTTTAATGCATCCCTATTACAGACTGGAACCCAAATTTATTAGCCTATTCTTTGACCTAGTGATGAGTGCTTTCAGGATTTATCTTACCAATAGAGTCATACATGCAAAATAACCTATTTGAAAAATTATTTATTGTAGCATTATATGTAATAGCAAAATACAGGAAGTGATTTAACTGTCCATTTATTGGGGACTGTTAATAAATTATGATTCATCTCTACAGTGGAGTACTATGCAGCTGTTAAAAAGGAAATTATTTATATACTGATGATAATGACCTCTAAACTATACTGTAAAATGAAAACAGCTAAAATTTGTGAAAAAAGAATACACACGCATACACACATGCATATCCAATTTCTTGTAATATGCACTTAATATCCCTGGAAGCATACATAAGAAACATCAGTTTCCTCAGGAGTGGAGAGTTGGGTAACTGAGGAATAGGAGTGGGAGGGGAACTTTTCACTATAATATGCTATGGGGACTTTTGATTTTTGAGCCATGTAAATTGTTACAGATAAATATACAAATAGGAGCTAGGCGAGATGCCTCACACCTGTAATCTCAACACTTTGGTAGGCTGAGATAGGCGGGTTGCCTGAATCCAGGAGCTCAATACTAGCCTGGGCAACATGGAAAATCCCCATCTCTACAAAAAATATGAAAATTAGCCAGGCGTGGTGGCATGCACCCGTAGACCCAGCTTTTCGTGAGGCTGAGGTGGGGGGATCACTTGAACCCAGGAGGTTGAAGCCGTAGTGAGCCTTGGTTGCATCACTGCACTCCAGCCTGGTAGACAGAGTGAGACCCTGTCTCATAAATAAATAAACAAACAAAAACACTTTAAATTTTAAAATTCTTCACCTGGCATTTGAAAGCCCCTCACAATCTGCCCTTGATTATATTATCAGGCATATTTCTAGAATATCACATTTTCCCTTGCACAAGCCGTCTGCTCTGCCCACCAAGCACCTCCTGCCTCATGTGTGATTCCATTTAGGTCCTTTCAAAGCCAAGTTGCCAGGTTCTAGTTCCAATTCTACCCAACTCGCGTTTTCTGGAAACTCCGCAAAAAGCACTGTGCCTGCAGCTGCAGGCTATACTCTCAACTTAGCCTTTTCTCACTTTGTATTCCCTGGGCATGTAAAATTTGTTAGGGCAACATCCTTGATCTTAGACCCTTTTGTGGAGGGAAGGAAAATAAATGGGGTAGAAAGAGCTGACAAAAGCTTCAAACTTCTTCAGTATCTGCTTAAAGGCCCATCTCCGCTAGGAAACCAGGCCTATCCATTCAGCCATGGAGATCTCCTCCCCTGGCTCCTATAAGTCTAATTATGATGACCCATACCACCGCCCAGCACCGACCTTATGTAGCCATACATTGACATGTGTGATCATGCTGTGTCCCCCCACCAACTCAATCTATGTCTTTACCAAATATTTAATGAACACCACCATGCTACCATGTTACCAGGTAGCAAAAGATGACCGAGACCCCATTCCTGCTGACAATGGAACTCATAGGAGAATCAAATAACAATTGTACTTGAAGAAATTGTCTCTAAGATAGTGCGACATGGAATTGAGACCTCTGTGCTCTGCATGGAAGACCCGAGAGGGCTGCTAAGGGGATACTGTCCTTGACATGAGTCATGAGGATATATATGTATCACTTTTCAAGTGGAAACAAGCGGAAAAAGAAAAAGGCATTTAACAAGAAGGTGTTTCAGGAGAATTCCAACTAATTCAGTATGGCTGAAGTACACAGCACCTGCAAAAAAGCAAAGGTGGTGAGGGTGGATCCATAGGCATGAGCTAAAACAAATTCCTCCTGTGTGTAGGCTCCTTAGCAGCAGAGATTTTTGTGTGTTTATTGATGGATCCTGGGTGCTCCATAGTGCCTGGCACAGAACAGGTACTAAATATATATTTGTTGTATAGGAAAACAAATCAATGTTGGAAATGGATTAATAAATGTATGTCAGGACCAGAAGTTTGGACTTTGACCTAAAGGGTTATTGAAGGACTTTAGTCAGCTCAATGGCTAGGTCATACGTTCATTTCAGATAAGCACGTAATCAACTGGAAAACAAATGAAAGTATATAAAGGGGCTCAATGTGAAGGCTTACAGAGAACACACAGACATCATCTCTTTATACATATATGTAATGTCCAATAATAAAATAAATAGCAATAAAAATTTAAAACACCAAGTAAAATTAAAATGTGCAAGATGTACATCTTTAAAAACAATAAAACTTAATAAAAGAATAAAAAGAAGAAGACTTGACTAAATAAAGGGAAACATCATGTTCTTGGGCAGGAAGTCTCATATTGTAAAGATGTCACGCTTCCCTAAAGTAATATATAAATGTAATACAGTTTCAATTAAAATCCCAGTGAGGTTTTGTGGTACTTGACGAATAGCTTTTAAAATTCATTTATATGTACAGGTGAATGAAAACGGCCAAGAAAAACTTGAAAAACCAATAAAAATGAGAAAGGAGCTTGCTTAACCAGATCAAAAGACACCAAATAAATTTATGGTAACTAAAACAGTAAGGTACTAGAGCAGGAACACAGAAATTGAACAGAGTCAAGTATCTAAAAACAAATCTTGTGTATAGTTAGCAGTGGTGATAGCTCACATTTATTGAGAGCTTACTATGTGCCTGGCATTTTTCTAAGCATTTTGTGTTACTCATTTTATTCTCATAAAACCCTCTGAAGGGTGTCTTGTTATTATCCCCATTTTATATATGACAAAGCACACATAGATTATGCTACATGCCTATGGTTTCAGAGCTGGTGAGTGACATCCAGGCTGTCTGACTCAAAAGCCTTCATTTTCAATCACAATAAAATGGTCTTTCTGCAGGTAAAAAGCAGAGGCATTCAAAACATAAGAGACAAATTTGACTATATAAATATTTAAGGCATTGATCCTGAAAAAAACAGTGTTAAATGAAAAGCGAAAAGCTAGGAAAATATTTGCAAAGTACGGGAATTCTTACACATCAATAAAATATGAACACCTAAATAGACAAAGTAAACAATCATTATGAACAAGACAATTTATACAAGAAGAAATGCAAATGGCCAATAAACATATAAGATGCTCAATCTCAATGGCAATCAAAAAAAAGAAAATTAAAATGAGATGTCATTTTTCTCCCATCAGAATGATAAGAATTAAAGGTAGGAGCCTAGGGTTGGCAAGAACATGGTGGGAACAGTATCAAGCCAACAATATTGGAGCTTGAGGTAAAAGGAAAAATCAATAATATTGATTCTACCTTTATTTCAAATGTTGATATTTTGTTCATCATGGACTTTTCTTGCATGAATTTTGATTTAAAAATATTGTATCAAAATATTTGTTTTGATTACTGAGGTTTGTTTATAGCACGTTAAATTTTGTGTCCAAGGAAAAGTGCCTCACTCGTGTCATATTAGTCCCAACTCTGCATGGACAGTCTGCAAATATAAATCAAAATGTTTAGGTATGCTTAGCCACTACTAGCACAGCAATTCTTTTTCTAGGAATTTAACCTAAAGGAATAACTCATCAAGCACACAGAGATAAAAGTACAGAGATGCTCGTTATGGTATGACTCGTAAGAAAAAGTTGTAAACTATCATTAAGAGATTGGTTAAAGTATGATATATTTGTACGCTAGAATACTATACAGGCATTAAAAATGATGTCATAGAGGTGTGCATATTTAAAGGAAAAGATATCCGTGTTGCATTAAAGAGTACATAAAAAAGCAAGAATATGTACAATGTGTACAATAATTCCAATTATGCAACACACACATGTAACTCCAAAAAAAGTCTTAAAAAGTAATAAGTTTTTATTGGAGTGACATGAAAAAGTAGCAAAATGGAATGTCACACTTCACACAGTCTCTCATCGTGGCAGCTATTTTATTTTCTCTCACAAAACTCCCTTTTGCTAACATACCCTCTTACAATTTTTTGACATATTTCAATTTCCCCATGGTAGCACGTAGTGCCTCATATGCCTGCATTTAATCTGCCCCCATGTTTTCAATTCTATAGCTCTGCCCATCACCCAGGAGGACTAGTACCTTTAACACATTAGCCTTCTTTCCTACAAGGCAGGTGTAACAGACATTTATTTTTCTTAGGGGAACTCCTTGGCTTATGAGTCTGCCTCCCTCTATAGAAGCCAGACTCTTTTTATTCCAGCCTCCCTTTCCACTTGAGCATAGACATATGACCTGGGCTCAGTCAATCAGCTGCCCCTGCCCAAGACTTGCAATCAGAAGCTAGTGACTGAAAGCAGCAGGTGCCATGTAGAATCCAGTCTGGTTGTGGTGGTGGCAGCTGATGCCTTCAGTTTTCAGAAGCAGCAATTGCAGGGCTCCCGGTGGAGGCAACCAGTGCCCAGCATCTGCCGGGTCAGCAGAGCAGGCTCCTGTACTGCGTTCAGTGGTGGGGCTGTTGTGTTTCCTCCAGACCAGCTCTGCAGTATGACTGGGACTTCTCTGGCCATGCAGCCTCCACGCCTGGGTTGCTGACCATTCCAGAGATTCTGTGAGTGACTTCACATTCTTTAACAAATCTCTTTCCTGCTTAAATTAAATGTTTGCTTTCCATTGTTTTCAACTAAGAATCCTCACTAATACATAGTTATTTTTGGTACTGCCATATATATGTGTGTATGTGTGTAGAAATCTGATTTCAACACCCATTATAGCTTACTCTCCCAAAGAAAAACAAGTGTATAGGTTAAATCAAGTTGATATGCTTAGGGAAGCTTCATTCATCTAGAACTGTATAGTCAAATACAATAGCTACTAGGCATGCATGGCTATTCAAATTTAAATTAATTAAAAGTAAATAAAATTTAAATTCAGTTTCTCAGCAACTCTAGCCATATTTCAAGTGTTGAAAACCCACATGTGGCTATGGGTACCAAACCGGACAGTGAGATTTAGAACATTTTCATTATTGCAGAAAGTTCCATTGGACAGGACAATCTAGAGGGATCTTGAGATTTCACCAGCCCACCTCACTGAACCATCACAGAGAGTGAAAAACCACTTTGGGTTACATGCATTGCACTATCTAACCATATCGCAGAAATTTTGTGTCAACAGAGAAGTAACCTTGCTAACTAGATTAGAGTGTGTTTTACTTCTCTATTTAAATTATTCTTGTTTTCTTGCTCTCTGCCTCCCAGCCTCCCATTCTCTTTCTTTCCTTGCCAGGACTTTGAATTTTTTCAGGTTACTTGGCCATATGCTTTAAGTCTTCTTGTGATAGTATCTGCCCCACCAACTTTACAGGATTGCTGTGAGCCAATAATATAATTTGGGAGGGAATTTTATATTCATGATTGGTCTGAAATGAGCCCTGATATTAGATGATTCTATGATTCAAGCCATCTGACTTTGAGCAAATCACTCAACTTTCCTGGATTCCTGTTTCCTCACCAGTCAATTGAAGAAGTTGAATAAGATAATTTCTAAGTTCCATTAACAACATTAAAAAATTATTTTATATAGAGCCCCAAATACTTTATTTATGATCTCTTCAGCAGAGCTGAGGAGTTCTGATGCAGGTGGCCAATGATGAGGCAGGTAGAGATGACAATAATCAAGAATGAGTCTTTTTTCAGGATTTGATGGGCACTAGCCCATTTTACTAGAGGCAAAATGAATATAAAAGGCAGAACAGCAAAGTGAAAGCTTATACTACAACCTCTTTCTCTCAAATCACTCAATGGTCATATTTTTCATGCACCGTAGTTAATGTTTAAATGTTCAGAAGAAATTGCAAATACGTGAAGTTTTTAATCTCTTTCTTTTTGAGATGCCCAGCTTCATGCTTGGCAATGCATTCCTTGCTACGGGAACACAGTCTACCTGAAAATGATTCCATTGTTGTTCTAACTAACTATATGTTCTTCTAAAAAATGTAAACACATATTTCAGAGGTAACCCCTTTAGATCAGTGCCAGGTCCATCCCAGAGAAAACCTCTTGGGCCTCCGCAAAGGGCTTTCTATTCAGGAATTCAAATACACACGAGAGTGTCAACCTGTCTCTCTTGAGTCTCCTCCACTACAGTTTCTATTACCAGATTAAAATGTTAAGCTGAAGCTTCTTGAGAAGCAAGGGTATTCTAGGTGAGAATGTGTTCAAGTCTTGCAGATTGGATAGCTTAGAATATCTTTTTAGAACTTTCTATCAGGAAAATGGACAGTCCTTATTGTTATTAGGGAATTGTGTTATGATAACAACATTCATTAAGCATTTCTACGTGTTAAGCACTTTATATGCATTATAGCATTCCCATTTTACAGATGTAGAAACAGGGATGCAGAGTGGTTTGGCAACTGCCTTGCCTTACATCTCATAGTTAATCAATGGTGTGAAGTTGAGAGGATTTGAAGCTTGGAGCTGCTGCAACCATCTTGCTCCTACTTCCAGGTGGAAAGTGATCACAACACACAGAAGGAAGAAGTAAAAGAAGCGAGCTGAGAAAAATCTCATCCTGATGCAGCAAGTGAGCCCTAAAATCAGTTGTGCCTGAAGCCAGCTCTATCCCTGCACACTGAAGCTTTGACGAATCAGTCCCAACCCTTTTCACTTAAGCTTTGGGTGTTAGTTCTTCTTTAATATGTACTCTCGAGAATTTTACTTGATCTAAACTTGTTTTATTTAATGTTACCAGTGAAAATATACATAACCTTATCCAAGGGATAAGTTTTAATTCAGGAGTGTGCAGAAAAATAGTTCAAATTTTTTTTATTGTGGTTGAATTTAAAACCACACCACCCCCATTGTGGCTCCCATAAGCTGGCTGGACATGGAGGTTTGTATGTCACACTCACCCCCTATTTCCTCATTCAGGAACCTAAGCCCTGAATTGCACTGGAGAAATAATTTACTGTGGCATTTTACTGAAACATCCTGTGGATATTTTAGGTATTTGCACAGAGAACTTTTTGACCTTTGAATAATATATGTGCTGAGAAAGGTCTTGGGATATTTTAACAACATGTTAAACTGAGATAGTCCTGATGAGATTTATTTTGGTCTCTGTTGGCTGCTACGTTTTTTCAAATCCTGTTGGAATTTTTAGTTTCTATGAGGACATTTCCAAGATTTTTTTACTGCAGCATATTTCATGCTATTTAATGGTCCCTTTATCAAAGATGACAGGCAGGCAGTTGATAAGCTCTCCAGAGAGTGACTCCTCATAAAGCCTTTCCTCCGTTAATGTGCTAGGTACATTGCCACCGACTCCCATGGCCACCTGAGCCTCCAGTAGTCCCCTCCAACTTGATGTGTCCTAAAGTGGGTGCTGGGTACTTAAAATGAATACACAATTTTCTAACATTTAAAACCGCTGATTAATTCTCTGAAAACATAAGTGCAGGTGATCACAGGCATAAACTGGCCAGTATAGCCAAAGGCATCATGAGGATTGGATCGCTTCCACAGGCAGTGGACATTAGATGATTCTATGATTCTAGCCATCTGACTTTGAGCAAATCACTCAACTTTCCTCGATTCCTGTTTCCTCACCAGTTGATTGAGGAAGCAAATATTAATTAGATTAATTAATTGAAGAAATAAATATGATCAGACTTTCCCCAACAGCCCCTTGGTAGAGGAGGCCAGAAGTAATTCTGTCAGTGCGGTATGACAGACTGCAGCTTAAACAGAGGATTAATTGAAGGTGCATGCATTTAAACCACAAGGTGCATATTCTCCCAGAATGCAGGATGGTTCCTAGGCTAGGGTTTGGTATCTTTGAAGGACCTGTTTAAATTTCTGTGCAAGTAGGCTGCCAGGAAATACATTCCTGCCCCGGAGGACACTTTGTCTCCTACAGAAAGGAACTAGCATTGTGGAAATTTGTGGGTGAGAATGCAATAGGTTGATTCTAAATTATGTTAACTGGATTTTCTTCCAAATTAATAAAAGAGCATGGACTGGACCTGATTGCTCATTGCTGAGTTCCTAGAAATGATCACTTGTTTGCATACAACAAGCGTGTACTAATTATTTCTTGAGTGAACAAATGTGCTAAAGTGGTGAGCAAATGTCTTGAGGAGACAGAAGTTACCTTGCAAAGGAGACTTTTGGAACTGGGTGTTCAAGAATGAGTAGGGGCTCTCTTGATGAAAGGAAAGAGGAGTAATAGGAGAAAAAGAATTGTAGTCAAGGAAACAGAATGCACAAGGGAATGGAGACATGGATTTCAAGCTTCTAGTAATTCATAGCAGGAATCTATAAGGAAAATCTTGCACAAAGTTATGAATGACAAACCTTCACAATAAAAGTGCAAACAAAATCCCAATTCATAAATGTCTTGCTGTGAATATTGGTCAGAAGCTGGACTTTCGCCAAAACATAAGCATTATACTAGGTCAATTACCTTTGTGAGGTGATGAAACATTTCTAGAAGTTGGCAGGGTCCTCCGTGCTGGTTTTATAGGCTATTGCATAATGTCAACTTATTCTAGAATGTTGCCTGAGGCTGCATCACTGGGATTCAAGGATTGGTCAGGAACATACATTAACCGTCTGTGTTTGATAAAGTGGGAAATTCTTCTACAATTGGTCTTTGGCTGATTGCTGTGTTTTTGCCAGTAGTGTACTTCTGACAGTTTGGATTTGGCTTAAGAAATCTAAGACAATTTTTAGAAATCAATGTGTCTTAGAAACCATTAAACACATTTATCTCCTTTTATAAGTTTAGGATATGAATAAGAAGAGTCCTTAAGGAATGATAATCACCCTTTTCTCAGGCCAATGGGATGTGTTGCAAAAGAGAATGGGGATAATCTCCAAAGATGTTAGGCTGCTGGGCACACCAGAGCATATTCCCTACTCAAGCAAGGGTGGAGATGTCTGCAATCTTTCTAACCAACAACATATCTTGAATAGCGCTCATTTGCCAGTGGAAAAAAAAAAAGGATAACATAACATCCCTTATACTAATTAACAAACCATCTGGTGCATATTTAGATAACTATTCCTGAAGTGCTTTCCTTTGCTTTCCAACCGGGGACTGTCAAATGCTAACCAACCATCCTGAAGCATGAATTGTGTGAATTTCTTATTAGGAAATGCAGATGTTAAACTAATTACACCTGGAGTGTATATTGACGTTAACTTATATACATGTATACATACAGACACCCACTGTCTATGCTGAACTACTCTGAAGTAATTACAGAGGAGATTGTGTCTTAATTCCTGATTTTTTCCTAATGGTTCCATCTCTACCTCTACTGCCAGCAAATAATGGAATCAATAAGGCTGCATGAATTAACCAACTTATACTGGACATGATTTTGCTCTTTTCTGTGTCAAATGATGCAGTTGTCAAACTTCTTATAGTAGTTTAGTTCTCAACAAATTCATTCGTTATCCTGTTGATCTCATCTTCCTACTCTTCTGAAAATGAAGAAAAGTAAACTGAAGAAAAAAACTAGTCATGGCTCCAATACCCTAACACAATCACCTTTTGAATCCAGTAAAAAGAATGGTGAACTAGAATGTTTAAACTGGAGTGAAATTGTAAATTAAAATATGCTTTTCTTTGTATAGTCTGATTGCCTGATTATCTTTTACCTCAGTGGACATTAGGGGTGAGTTATGTTACATCTAATTTATTACCAATGCTATTATTATTAATAGTAGTATTTCTTGACTATAAACAATAATTTATAATTTATAAGTAAATAGTATTATTTATGAAATGCTGAACATTGTGAAAAATTTTGTAATATAAACTGGAATAGAATAAGCATGTTATACTCCTACACATGTTCTCAGGTGAGGAAATGTTGAAGTTAGCCATGGTGCAGGTTAATATTCATATGTGTGGCATGTGCATCAGGGGAGAAGAGAGGGTAAGATCTGTGTCTTGTTTTGGCCTGAGATGCTTATGTATGAGATGACATTGGCTTTGATTCTGCTCCAGCCACAGAGCTGGATGGGGACTGTGGATGGTGCCACAAATAACGTCCTGGCCAGATTTCAGCCAGGTCTGCGATTTGAGAAGCTGGGTACTTTCGTGCCTTCAGCAGGAGCCACTTTGGCAGGAAGGACAATGAGACAGGAAGACCCCAACGAGACCTGTCTTCCTCAAAGCAAATTCAAATTACCTGCGTCATTATGTGCAGGGCTGGAAATTGTGCAAAGACCAATGTACAGATCAATGGAAGTGAAAGACATTGCACGTAAGAATAGCATTCCTTCCACGTGTACCTAGCTCTGTGGTTTCCCCAAAGCTCTCAGGTATATTGCCTCAGAAGGCTGGGAAGGTAGTGTGCTGTGATGGGAATAGCACCAGCTTTGGAGTCAAACAGTCTGAAAGCTCAGCTGTGTCTTCACTGTGTCCCTGCATGTTCATTATTTATAATAACATATCCATGACAAGGTTCCTGTGATGATTAATGAGGTATCTTTGGGGGAAAATAGCTTTTATTTATAATTGATTGCTGTCACCTAAGAATGGGTGGATGACAGTAGTTGGAAGACTTTTTGTTTGTTTATTAGATTGATGGGTGGTGGGCACGCAAGGTTAGACTAGTTAGGAAAGAGCTAAATTGTTTCCACTCATTCATTCAACACATGGATATTTGGGATATAGATGAACAAGGCAGACAAAGACCCTGATGATACGGTGATTACCTTCTAGTTGGGGAAAGACAGATAATAAAGAAATAGTCAAATAGAAAAACCATATAATGCGGGTAATGATGAGTGCTATGGAGAAAAAGAAAGTCAGGGGAGGGGTTAGAGAATGGCTGAAATGGAAAGGGTAGCAGGGAGAAGGTCTCCCTTTCAAGATGCTCAGAGAAGTCCTCTTTCTGAGGTGGTGGAGCAAGTTGTGCAAAATTCAGTGTTGAAGAGTGTTCCTGGCAGAGGTTGCTGAGGTATAAAGACCCTGCAGTGGGCATGGGGTGGGTATGTGTGACAAATTCCCCAGGGAGATCAAGGGATCAGGAGTAGAATGAGGCATGCATGGTAAGAAGTGAGTTCTGAGAGGTAGACAGGACCCAGATAATATTGAGAGGCTCAAGTTAGGGGTTCAGATTATATTCTATAGGGGCTGGGAAGCCATTGAAATGATTTGAAAAGAATGATTCCATTAATGTATATAAGAAAAGGGCAGGGATTTAGAGGCCTAGAAGGAAGAATGAGGAAACTAGAATGGGAAATAGAGTAATTTAGATGCATCCTGGAAAGGGGTTGAGGGAAAAATATATCCCTTACCTTATCTTCCCACTGGCTTGGTCAAAGAGGGTCGTTGGGGAGAAGAGAAGTGACAAAAGAACATTTGTTAGATTGTTCAAAGTATGGTGTATAATGAGAGCTCTTGCCTCTATCTCTGCTACAGAATCTTCAAGAAATCTCACACTGGTTAACAATACTTTAGGGTGAGTAGATCCTGAATGGTGAGTGGGAGGAAGTGTTGTGTCTGGCTTAATGGCTAGGCAGAGTGAGAACAGAGGCTGGAACACACGTGGAAATACCCTGGTGTGGTACAAAGCAGAGACTCAAGAAGTGTGCCTTTCCCCTTCCGTAGTCCTTACTTCGTTTTCAATCTGTGTGTAGGGCCATCTCCTTGTTTATGGAATGACATTCAACCAGCCTGAGTTCCTTTCAAGGCTGTCAGTTTATAACCCTATGGCCTATGGCTTTTATCTCCCAGACAAGGGAACTCTCTCTAAATGTAATTTTTCCCTCAATTTTAATCACAGCATTTAATGTAATCATTTGGGGGAATCAATCTGAAAATCATCAGGGATTCTTTTTTCTTTTTACTGCTACCACGAATAGTGATTGTGCAACAGAGTTGGGGAAAGACTTTTGTTTTTGATGTTGCAATAGCAGGAAATAGAAAGTTGCTGCTGTCAGCCACTTGGTCAGAGTTACATTTCTTTTGCACCACAAAAGAAGACTTGTAGGAGACTGGAATATGGTTCCAGGTAACCCAACTATACATTCAATGATGAATGCACCACTGCAAAGGAGAGGTGTGGCCATTGTTGAGTAATTTGATGAAAGAACAACTAAAACAGATTCTAGATGATTTAACCTTGACTTAAAGTAAGCCCGAGGGGGAGACCATAATTATAACTAACTTCCATTTTTCTTGGCAGAGTCTACAGTCCATTTTGTTTTCATTTCATTTAAAGTATTCCCACTACTGGATTATCTCCATTTTAGATCAATAATCCTCTTCCTCCCTTTGCAGTGGCTTTAAATGTTTTAAGAATTTGTAGTCATTTTTTTTTTAAGCTATCCTGAGGAATCAATCTAGACTATCACTTAGGAACAAGAAATGCATCATAACTGGCATCTTGCAGCTAGTATAAAGAGAGTAAATTACAAATTAAATATTGAAACTAACATTGAACTGTGCTGATAGATAGCCAATAGGCACATTTGTCAATTTAAATTTAAATGAATTACAATTAAATAATATTAAAATTCAGTCCTTTATTTGTCACATTTCAGGTGCTCAAAACAGCCACATGTGTCTAGTGTCTACCACATTGATGTAATAGATATGGAATATTTTCCTCTTTGCAGACAATTCAATTGGACAGCCTGATTTAGGAATTTTAATAGTTGGAGTCAAGAGAAGAGTCCTTTAGAGTGTATAAAGAGGCAGGAGAGTCTCATCAAACAGATTCCATGACATTTTAATTTCATTAAACATGACTTCTTCAGCAACGGATCCATGTGTTAGAACCAATTAGCTATCCCAAAGGAAGAAAAGTGAAGATAACTTTCCCACAATTTCCAATGTGTTAGTATTGCCCAGATTGTAGGTTACTTTGCAAAATGGCCAAAAGCATTTGCAGCACACGGAAAGAGGGTCCCTCTGCCAAATAATCACGAGGACCTTCCCCTCCCTGGAGAAATAGATTGAAACCTCTTCCCCTCCCTGGAGAAATAGATCCAAGCCTCTCCACTGCCATCTTGTCAAACATATTTACATTGCTCAACTGACTTGGGAAGAAAACAAATTTCCAGTATGAGACTCTCTGGTGGGCCAAGCTGTTTCTCAAGGAGCATTGAGAAATAATAGCAACTCCAAATATTACCTTGGGCAAGACAAGGCAAATGATATCCTTAACTTTGTTATCCAAGCATAGTTGAAAGAGTGTCTTCTTCCAGTTCTCTGTGTCTTTGACTCTGGCTAGACCCTCAGGGCCTGGCTACTGCCTTGCATACTAGATTCATGGGTATTTTCCTGAAGCTCCTTTGTAGCTCAAGCTGGGCCTGCTCTCCAGCAACTCAAACTCAAGTAGAGCTTTTGGCCCACCATCTTTTATGATCTCCTAGCACTGTAGGGAAGGACACACTGTGTATATATGCACATTCGCACACTTGGGATACATGCTCTCTGAGGGGCTCTGGGAGGTCATGTTTCAAAGGCTTCCTGCATCTGGGGAGTCTGGGTTAAAGGCAGTTTCATGGGACAAACTCTCAGCTCAAATCTTGTCCTGCAGGGAGCTATGAGCCCTGAGTCCAGTAACTTTAATCTTCAATGCTATGGAATTGGGTAGAAAAAGACTAAATGAAATGCCTGTAATCACACAGCAAGTTAATTATGGAATCAAAAAATGATTTTTTGGCTGAAATGTCTGTTGCATGATTAAGAAGTTTCCTCTTTTCATTTTGCACTGCTCTTTATAAAGGAGCTTTATGTGCCCAGAGGAAAAGGGAAGATGGTGTAGATACTGATTTTCACTTAATAGAGTTCCCTTGGGATGTTTGTTAGTTTTGTCCCAGGCATTAATGGTAGGTCTGCCTTCATGCACCTTTTCATCATGCTGATAGGAGGAAGAGAAACAAAAAAGAATCCTTCTTTCCCTGCTGCTTAAGACTGTAACTTGGGTTTGCCTTCTGTTTGTGTGCAACAGGCTTGGGAAGACAGGCCATCTCTCTCGTTCTCAGATGTTAAGGACTGGGACCAAATGAGAAGAAGAAAGCCAAGTAGGCGTTTCTCCCATGGTAGTTATCTTTAGTCTATGCTGAGGTCATGTCCCAGCATAAGAAAGTTGCCTGCTTATGGGCTTGGGGCCAAATTCACACTGATTCTTGAAGTCTGGAAAATCACCAACCATTCCAGCATCTAGGATCAGACTTCTTCACAGGCACAACGACGGTTAAAATCCCCTGTGTTTTTGTCTTGCGTTTGTATATTTATATGTGGAAAATAGGTCCCGGGGAACTAGTCTTGTACAAAAAAGTGAATTACTATAAATACATATAATTTGTGAATATATGCATGTACGTATAAACACACACTATAAAAGTTTTCTGTAGCGACAATGAACATGAGAGAAATTGATCATTTACATTTAAATTGAATAAATTGATGATTTATTGGAAGACATGTTCCAAGAATGGTCTAGGTGTTATGAAAGGGCTTAATCTTCCAAACCGAAAGTGAATTCAGACCACCACTCAGTCACTATTGGCCAAACAATAGTCTAAGCAAGATTAGTTATTCTTTCTTTAGTTTTAGTAGAAGGCCTTGACGTAGAGCCATTTTTGCTTCATGACTGAAAATATTTGACTGCCATTTTCTTTTTTTACTTTTATTTTTATATATTTTAAAATTTAATTTATTTTTAAGTTTTTATGTATTTAGGGGGTACAAGTGCAGATTTCTTAAATGTATCTATCGCGTAGTGGTGACATCTGGGCTTTTAGTGTACCCATCACGTGAATAGTGAACACTGTACCTAATAACAGGTGATTGTCAACCCTCACCCCAACCTTCCACTCTCCCGCCATCCCACCTTTTGTAGTCTCCAGTGTTTATTATTCTGGTCTGTATTTGACTGCCATTTTCTGAAGCCTGGAGAAAAGCATCTCTTCCCATGATTACAGCTAACATGTGGTGTGAATATGCAACCCAAGAGCAATTGACAGGAAATAGATAGCCTTAAGGAACTGAATCACTACCACTGTCGCCGTCTCTTTTGTATATTAGCCTTGGCCATGCTAATCTTTAACATCATTGGGAACTAGAAAGCATTTGAAAATTGATTATAAGGACAGCATAGTGTAAGATGATTTTATCGCTAGGGAGGCATCATCTAGGAAAGTCTTTGCCAGGAAGCGTTCTTTCTCATTCTAAATCCTAGGAGGCACAGGAGGAAAGCTAGGGATGAGTGCTCTGGATCATAAGGCACCAAAGGGATCCTGGAAACGCTATGATTACAGTGGCTTCCAGAGATGTGGTAGGAAAAATGTGAGCACCAGTGGTCAGCATGACCAACTTACAGGTCCAGCAAACTGGGTGGCCTGAGTGGTCATCACGATGGGAAAGACATGACCCATGGATCTATTTGTTCTGTGACAGCACAGTTAGGACTGTGCAGTCATGGGAGGTGACTAACAAACTCACTGACTCCATGGCCATGTGGCCAAGGGTGAGGTTCAGCTTGATTGTACAAAGTGTCACTCACTCTGCTGAGTGTGTATTTGGAAGAAGAGGCAAGTGAAATGTTAGAGACAGCAGCAGCCACTGTAAATGGAAATGAAGCATGCCAGGAGACCTGCCACAGATGAAAAGAAGCAAGCCAGGCACACAAGAAAGAAAGGTTGAAGGAAAACAGGACAAGGGCTGGAACTAGGGCTTTGCTAATTTTAGCTAGGTGCATCTACTGACCTCATAGTAACAGTAATTGACAGTCCAACAAGAACAATAACTAGTTAGCACACAGTCAATTAGTTATTTTTCATCCTACATTGTTTAGCAAATATGTAAGTAGTTCACTCATAGGGTTCCAAGGCTTGTGCTTTCAAAGAACCAAATTAAAGAACTCTGTTCAAACATTATTACTAATCTTAAAATGGGCAGTTGCCATCCAGTTTGAAGGTTTTATTCCAACTGTGTTTTCTCAAAACCATCATAACATTTGGGTGTTGGAAACAAAAGACATTAGGTGGATGGACACCAACCTGACTAGCATGGCTTTGATGCCTTGGCATGGAAAATCTTTATTGAGTCTTCCAGATGGCAAGAGGCACAGACAATCATTATATATTTGGCCTCTAAACTGAAAGTGTTCCTGGTACCAATATTGGAAAAAAAAGAAGTGGTACTCATTTACTGAGCACCAACTATATATAATCTATTGCACTTGCTATGAATTTCTTTATATACTCTTATGTTTCCCTCACAGTATATCTGGGAGGTAGAATTACTATTCCTCTATTAAAGATAAGGAAACAGTGGTGTAAAGTTTCAAGTGAGATCTTCAACCCACTTTCTCACAGTTGCCCCCAGAGCCTGCCGCTGAGAACTTACAATTTGGAGAAACGACAGCTGCCACCAGGGGCTTACTGATTGGTGTGCTCTTTTTGAAGAATGAACAGAAGTAAAAGTCATACAGTTAGGAAAAGAGAATAAAACTGTCTTTATTCATAGAATAATGATTGTTTAGGTAGGAAATTAAGAAATCTACAAAAAGTTACTAGAACCAATAAGTGAATTTAGCAAGGTCTCAGGATAAAAGATCAATATAAAAACGTCTATTTCTATACACTAGCAATGGATGATTGAAAAATGACATTTAAAAACATTTCACTTACAGAATTCCTGGAAAGCATTAGGATCTGAATCATTTATCATTACGGTAGTCTTCTATCCAGAAGAAAAAGGGAGTCAACAGAGAAGAGTTGCTAGGAAAGTCAAATGTCTACATTTTACTTCCAAAGAGTTGAGAATCCTCAGACTCTTTACACCATGCCCAGAGATACTAAATAATTTGCCCAAATCCACACAACTAGTAAGCCCAAAAACTGGGATTTGAATTTTGGCATCTTTGATTAAAAAAATGTCTAGTTTTTTCCACAGCGCCCCTGCAATTAATTAAAGTGTTTCCCTGTGTACTGCAAATGGTGGAACACCTTATCTGCTCTTTATTCCAAGAGCCCAAAGGTTCAAAAATTGTTTCCGAACTCTCAGAATTTCCATTTGGCTCTTGGTTGGCATTCAAAGTCCAATAGTATAATAATGCTGTCTCATATTTGAACAATATAGTTTATTAAACTTTCCCATGTATTACCTCATTTGGTTCTCACAATAACTTGTGGATAAGAAATGGTTAAAATTATCTCAATTTTATAGCTGATGCATAGCTAGACCCAGATGAAAATCTACTTTGAAAACATCAACTCAGAAAGAGCACCAGACTTTGCTGACATAGACAGGGTTTTGTTAATTCAAGTAGTTCATTGACTTAGACAACATCTAAGCATTGAAATTTATTTAAGAAAGTACAGGTTGTTATATTCATTTACTTAAACCAGTACTCTAAGGAAGATGGGGAAACGGAAGTGTGGCCTCATGTTTTAGAGAATGCCATCAATTGTAAAAAGAAATAGGAAACTCATTTTTAATATGCCTATTTAAAAAAAATAGATGTCATGACTGAAGGCTTTACTCATCCAAAGCTGAACTATTCCTTGGTATATAGGTGTATAGATCACTGATTCAAAACATTCAAGAGTTAGAAAGGGATCTTAGAGGTCTCCTAGTTGAACCTGCTCTTTCCTAGTTGAGGGAACAGAAGCTCCAGGATTTTCAATGATTATTTCTGGTCACACCACTAATTAGTGGCAGAATTGGTCTTGGAATCCAATTAGAGCCAGACTCCAGGCCAGTTCTATGATACACCCCAAGCTCAGGAATTTCTTCCTCCTCTTTTTAATTTCTATGAGACACTTTCAATAATAACTTTGAGGTCTCTAGTTCTGAGTGGCCATGATTTTGTAATGCAAGTGATGCTAGCTCAGAAACTCCATGCCTGGCCCTCTCTAGACACCCAAGGGAAGGGCTGCAGAACGTGGGCAACTCCCAGGGCTTTTGAGGCCCTGGAGCTTCCCACCCGGAACACAAAATACACTGTCATGTGTCATCTTGCTTTGTGACTTCTCATCTTAAGGTCTTGTCAAAGCTGGCCACGTAGGCCTTTGAAAATATCATAGAGTTCTTTGAAGTAGGTTGTTTACTTTTCTTGAAACACATCTGTGATTCATCTTATTTGCATTTTAAAATGTAAGTGTTTTGGCCAGCAATTTGAGGGAGAAGTCCAATAGAAAATCAGTATACCAGTCCAATTTGACAGCTTTCATCTAATCTATCATCACTTTCTATTCATTTGTTCACTCATTCATTCAGCAACTACCTAATGGGTATTTACTACATGCCAGGTACTGTTCTAGCTGCTTGGGAAACAGCAGTGAGCAAAGCAAGGTCAGGAAGGTTTCATTCCAGGGAAAAGGGACAGATAATAAACAAAGGTATAAATTTTTTATGTGTCAGATGTTGATGAGTACTATAGCAAATAAGTAGGGTGAGTGAGGATAGGGAGTGTGGTGTGGATGGTGCTGATTGGGATGGTTAAAAAGGCTTCTTTGCTAAGGTGACATTTTGTGTAGAGACCTGATGGAAGGGAAGAAACAAGCCATGTAGCCATTTGGGGTAACAATTTCCAGACAGAGGCAACAACAAGGACTGGCTCCTGAGGCTAGGAGACTGCTCGGTATGTCCAAGAAACAGCTAAAAAATACCAAGTGGAGTGAGTGAGGTCTGGAATGGTAGAAGACGAGGTCTGGGGAGGTTGCAGGGACCAGGTTTTATAGGGCTTTATAGAATAATATAAGGACTTTTGCCTTTTCTTTTTAGACGGAGTCTCACTGTGTTGTCAGGCTGGAGTGCAGTGGTGCGATCTTGGCTCACTGCAACCTCCGCCTGCCGGGTTCAAGCGATTCTCCTGCCTCAGCCTCCTGAGTAGCTGGGACTACAGGCGTGTGCCACCACACCCAGCTAATTTTGGTATTTTTGGTAGAGACGGGGTTTCACTGTGTTGGCCAGGATGGTCTCAATCTCTTGACCTCGTGATCTGCCCACCTCGGCCTCCCAAAGCGCTGGGATTACAGGTGTGAGCCACTGCACCCGGTCAGACTTTTGCTTTTTTAAAAAACTAGATTTTTTAAATTGAGGTATGATTTACATCCAAGGAAATGCACAGATCTCAAATTTGTTTTGAAGGTATCTGGCAATTTTATACTCTGCAACTATCATGCAAACCTAGACATAGAGGATTTTCATCACCTCAGAAAGTTTATTTGTGATGCTTTCTAGTCAATTCTCCACCTGCTCCCAGCCCAGAGGTAACCAGTGTTCTGATTTCTATCACTATTCTGGAACTTTGTAAAAATGAAATTATGCATGCTTTTGAGTCTGGGTTTCTTTCACTCAATGGAATGTTTTAGAGATTCACCTGTGTTGTTGCAAATATCCATCGTTCATTGCTGGGTAGTACTCCATTGTGTAATTATATCACCACAAGTTTATTCATTTTCCTGTTGATGGGTAATTAGATTGTTTCTTGGTTTTGGCTATTTTCAATAAAGCTGCCGTGAATATTCTTGAACAGGTCTTATTGTGCATATACGTTTGCATTTCTCTTGGGTACATACCTAGGATTGAAACTGCTGGGTCATAGGGCGACAGATGTTTTAACTTTATATGAAACTGCTGAACAGTTTTCCCAAGCGATGGAACAATTTTATGCTCCCACCAGCAAAGTGTAAGAGCTTCCATTGTTCCACATGTTCACTGACATTTGGTTATGTCTGGTGGGTTTGTTTGTTTTTGTTCTAATCATTCTGGACAGTGTTCTGTGTAAGAAATATCTGTCTACTCCAAGATCGTGAAAGGATTTTCTCGTAGAAACATTATAGGTCTTAGCATTTAGGTTTTAGCTCTAAGATCCATCTTAAATTAATTTTTGTGAATGCTGTAAGGTGGAGGAAAGAAGCAGATATCCAATTCCACATTATTTGTGAAAAACACTGTATTTTCCCATTGAATTGTCTCAGCAGAAGGAGTTTGCTTTTATTCCAAGTGAGAAGAAAGTTGCTGGGGTGTCTTAAATTTTCCTCAAGGCAATAATAGTTGTCTTGCATAATAGTGGTCTACTTTGCATATTAGATGTTTATTGCACTTTTAATACACATGTGCATGCACATTGCACACACTTTGAGAACAGGAACTACATCTTGCTTTTATTTTTATCCTCAACTTCAGTACCTAGAGCAGTGCTTGGCAAACCATAATCAATGAAAGAATGAATGAATGAATTCCAGCAAATGACATAACTTTTTATTTTCCTGTGTAGCCTGTGGATGTACTCATTTGTCTGTGATGTACTCACATGTATGTACTCACATGTACAAATGAGTACATGTGATGTATTCACACACACACACACACACACACACACACACACACACACACACACACACACTCTCACAGCCACTTGAGTCGACTGAAGAGATCAGAGAAGAAAAGAAGTGAGGCAGCATTTACTACAACCTAAAAGCCAAGCCTCAGAAGAAGTGAGAGCCTGGAACTATGAGCCTTATGTATGAGCAGCTCTTGTACAAAAGAGAAGTGAGATAAAATGGGTCAGGAGTCTAAAAGATGGCAATCCCAGTTTACCTTTGCTTTTATCCTACTTTGATCAAATAATGAGTACATGTGATGTTCTCTTTGTCAAATGTACTCATTTGTCTGTGTTCTATATGGCTCCCACACATACTATGACCATTTCCACTTGAGGTTGTTAGTCTCAGATTTATGGGTCATTGATAATGTACATGCAGGATTATATATTTCTTATATATACCACATAAACCTATGCTGGCCCCTTACATGGTTAACTTAGCTGCTATTTTTGTTTTCACTTCTACATGCCATATTTGGGGTAGAGAAGATTAAAAAGCATATGTGGACAACACAGAAATGGCATCTGGAAAGCAGCCGTGTTGCAGCACTCTCAACTTCCCTTGAAAATTTCCAGAAAGGCTCAGAAACAAGAAAAAAATCTCACCACAGCCACAAAAAGCATGCTTGTCAGACAGCCTGTTGCCAAGACCCAGGAGCCACCTCCCTGAGGGAAGCAGAGATAGAAGGAGTGGAGAAAGGCTTTTATGCCTCCCCTGGAGTTTTCCATTTACAGAGCCCCTTGGTCTATTCCAGCCAGAAAGCTGAGTCCCCCTCCCATTTTTCAAGGAGCTGATTCCTTTTAAGGCAGGCAAAAAGCTGCTTCCCATTCACCCTTCCTTCTTTCTCTATTCACCCAACCTCCACAACTCCCCAAATCCAGTAGGATAAAAAAAGGGAGGGATCTTTTTCCCTCCCTTGAAGCATGTGTAAAGCTTAACTGCATCCTGGGAAGTGTAGTTCCAGCACTTAGGTGGATCCAAGAAGTAAGATTTATGGCAGAAGTATTCTACATGCTGGGATTGTAGCTTTTCATGCACAGGGTGTTGAGTCAGCGTCTCAAAGAATCAGACAATGACGGTTAGGAGCAATACCCCACCCGTGCAGAGCTGCATTAGAATTTAGAGTTAGGTTAGAAGCTGCGCAAACACCTGTTCTGCAGCTGCAGGTGTGAGATCATCATACAAATGGAGGGCCGGCATTGATGAAGCCAACCCCATACCATGTATGACTGCTGCCTCAAAGTCTCAAGAAAGCTCACCTTATTTAAATATTTATATTGAAGAAGTAAGTTATAGGAAAGACTACTTGGAATCAGTGAAAAAATTGTTGAAGACCCCAGGATGTCTATTTCAGGAACCAGGAGAAAGTTTCAAAAATTTTCAAAATATCTTTTGAAATGTAAGCCTTCCTTAGGCAGGCAACACTTTCTACCTTGCATTATGGTTGTTTGTGTGCAACGTCTTAATACACATAGGCATATACATACATCTGCCTGCACACTTTGATAACAGGAGACATGTCTTTCTTTTATTTACATTCCTAACATCAGAGCCCAGCACACTGCTTGGAATGTCATAGGAACTCAGTGAATGAATAAAGAATGAATTCCAGCAAATGACAAAATTTGCTCTTTTTTTCTTATTGAGTATGTGGATGTTCTCATTTATCTATGTTCTATTTGGCCTTTAAGAAAACAGAAATGGAAAACCACAAGGTCATAGGCATGGGAGTGGGAGTGAGGTGAAAATGAAAATGTGAAATGGATAAAATCTGACTGAAAGTTAACAACTCAAGAGCAGAATTAAAATTCGTATTAGAGTCAACAAATAACTGAACTAAACCAGAGAAGAACTGAATAATGATTGGAGAGGATAAACTGGAAATCTCTCTCAGAATGCAGAGAAAAGGGAAAAAGCTATCCATGTGATAGGAGAGATATTGTTAGATGTGGAGGGCAGAGAATGGAGTTCCAACCTCAAAATTATAGGTATTTTGAGTTAGTAAGAATAACTGAAACAGAAATAATTATAAAGACTTTGAAGAAACAATTTTCTGTACTAAAACAAAGAATATGGTTGTCATACTCCAGGCAAAATGAATAACAATTTTTTTATGACAAAGAGAAAGAAAAATATCTTGCAGATCTCAGCTGATATCATCTAGCTGCATGGCGTGGGCAATTTTCGGAGCCTAATTTTCTTCATCTTTAAATGGGAAAGTTTCCAGAGAGTCACTAGATCCCTGCTAGACGTGACTATTTTATGATTTCATAAATGTTTGGAGGACTAGAGGGTCTAAGACAGCAATTGACTATTTTAACATCTCATTTGAGATAGAACAAGCAAAGAACAATTGCAAGTCCTCCCAAACAAGGCTTTATTGCCCCTTAATATAATTTGCTCCAGTGCATTAACTGGGATTCCAGGAATGTTCTAAGCACCCCAGATGTTCTCATAGTAACATCAGGACCTCACAGCCTCTGGCAACACTACCTGTTTTTGACTTCATGTGGAGCAGAAACCTCCTGATCACAATGATGTCTGTCAAATCCAGCATTAAGATTTTGAACACTAGGACCCTCCAACCTCCCAGCAGATTTTGGCACACTTCTTGCTCTCTCCTCTCTTCCGGAAGACTCTAGGACTAAGGCATCTTCTCCATGAGCTCCCTCTAAGTCCATGCATGCCCTCAGTCCCAATAATTTTTGGCTTCCAGAGCTCCTTCTTCTCAGCCCAGGCACCAAGCAACTTTTCAGCATTTATTCAGCATTTAAATCAACCTCAACAGTGAACACAGCCTTCCTTTTTGCTCATTTTCAGAGCCCAGCGATTTCATAGAATGGCAGGGCATCAGGTCCAGATCATTTAGACCACTGCCATGACCAGCGATAGGTATGGACTCCACTTAAAAATAAGGCTCGTAGCCGGGCATGGTGGCACAAGTCTGTCATCCTAGCTACTCAGGAGGCTGAGGCAGGAGAATTGCTTGAACCTAGGAGGCAGAGGTTGTAGTCAGCTGAGGTCGTGCCACTGCACTCCAGCCTGGGCATCAAAGTGAGACTCTGTCTCAAAAATAAAAAAAAATAAAAATAAGGCTCATAGTTCCAGGCTCTCATTTCTTCTGAGGCTTGGCTTCTAGGTTGGAGTGAATGCTGCCTCACTTCTTTTCTTCTCTGATCTCTTAAGTCGACTCTAGTGGCTGTCAGTGTGTGTGTGTGTGTGTGTGTGTGTGTAGGAATAGGCATGAATTTACCAGCCAGAATATACACACACACCCTTTCCTGTCTTGTCGTGTCCTGTTTTAGGTTATTCAAAATGTTATTCAGTGGCCACATTTACAGCAATAATAAAAATAGGCAGAAGTCATCAACACTATGAATAGTAAACACATTTAGAAAAAGGTGGCAGACAATAACGACGTCTGGGAAGTGTTTCAGTGGAGTCTTTCCTCACATGAGCACGCAGTGGTGTGGCTGCCAGAACTCCCTGGCTTCTGTACTTGATTTACGCAATGGTCTGGGTTGCCCTAGTTGTAACCATGCAGCTTGGCTCTGGGCTTCATAAATTCAGACCCCAGAATACAGTTTATTTATGTTATGACTCCATCCAAAACGTTGCAAAGAAGCCAACTCCCTTCATCCCATTAAAAAGGTATAATATGTATTTTTACTAGCCTGCAGAGCTTGGCATTCAGAGGTAACAATATGTGCTTTGTTACTCTGCAGGTTTGCCGTGAAGTGTGCTGTAATCTTTGCCAGGGGTGTGCTGCTCTCTCCCAGGAGGGTTCACAGCCCGGGAGGAACACTTCAGACTGCTTAACGACTTGCTCGGGCCTTGCCTTATATGGAATTTTTCCTTCTGCACAAGAGAATGACAACCACTTAGAGTGACAGCCAGCAGGGAACAGATGACAGCCAAAAATCCACTGTGCTCTTGGTCCCAGGATGTCCTATCTGACTTGAACTTTTGCTGTTTAGGCTTGCTCTCTGATAATGAATTTGGGAATGCCAACAGGTTTGGAGGAATAGGAGTCACTTAGAAAAGCTAGCCAGATAACTCCATTTTAGAAAGCATGGGGGAATGTCTTTCCCATTAATCCTGGTAAGTTAGTTAACAAGCACAGGGCACAATAGGTCCCCAAATAAATGGAAGAAATGGTGCAAAATGCAAGCTACAAAGTAGGTGTTTGATCATACACATTCATATTTTATTATTTAATTTGATTCAATCTTAGGGTCAGAGCTAACAGAAATAAATATATTTATTATTATTATTGATCAATAATTATTAGAACCATAAAGAAGTGTCCTCACACTCAGAGTCTAGTGTGCTAGCCCAGTAGAGAGACACCAATGATATCCCCAGGAGGTGGAAGGGAGGTTGGTGTGGATCTGGTTCAGGCACTGCTGTAAATGCTTTAGATCTACTGTCTCAGTGAATCATCACCACAACCCTATGAGATAGTCCTATTTTATCTTCATTTTGCAGATGAGGAAACTAAGGCACAGGGAGACTAAGAAACTTGCCCAAAGTCACACAGCTAGGTGTGGCTAGATGTGGCTTCTAGTTGGCAGCAGCCTAGAGTTCAAATACAGGCAGTCTTGCTCTATGAAGATTTTAACAGGCACAGGTGGAAGAGGGCAGTGCGTGTGGCAGAGATGTCAGCAAGAACATGAGAAAGGCATGGAGTAGAGAACAGGGACATGTCCAGTTGGATTGGAGTATGGGTAAGAGGGTTGGAGGAAAATTACACCATAAACACAAGCTACTGCCATATTGTGGAGGGCCATGAATGCTGATGTGAATATACTGTAATAAATATTGCTAATAATAAAAGCCAATATTTCTATGGTTTTATATTGTGTATAATATCTGTAATAGCCTAGCTTTGTTTTTACAGGTGCCCAAAAAGGCCACCAGCAGATGGATTCACTAGGCTCATTTCTCTTTGCCCTTGTCTTTCAAGTGGTTTATGTCAGGCTAGCCCCCAGGCCACCACGCTGATTTTCAGTTAAAAAGTCACTGGTATTGAGGTTTTTTAAAATTATAAATGCCTTCTTAAACAGATGTTTTACTCTAGAAATGTTTGTTAAAATATATTCTATTCAATTTCTAGTAATGGTTAGCAAATTTGCCTTGACGTTCTTGGGGTTCCTGTCTTGGCATTCATGCAGAATTTGATATAAAATTATATATACTCATAAGAAGAACCAAAGAACCAAATAGTTCTTCTTGCCAGTCACTTGGAGATTACAAAACAGCATTTCTGAGTAGAAGGCATAATCAAATATGATTTCATGAACTGATGCATATATGAGTTAGAGGCCAAGAAATATTGAATCATGAAGTAAAGTTCTTCTCATTTCTAAAATACTGTAACTCCATAATTTTTTTCTTTTTTTTTTGAGACAGAGTCTCACTCTGTCACCCAGGTTGGAGTACAGTGGCATGATCTCGGCTCACTGCAACCTCCACATCCCAGACTCAATGGATTCTCCCACCTCAGCCTCCCAAGTAGCTGGGAATACAGGTGCTCACCACCAGGCCTGGCTAATTTTTTGTATTTTTGGTAGAGACAGGGTTTTGGCATGTTGCCCAGGCTGGTCTTGAACTCCTGAGCTGAAGCGATCTGCCTGCCTCAGCCTCCCAAAGTGCTGGGATTACAGGCATGAGCCACTGAGCCCAGCTGGCTATATGTCCATAATTTTAAAGATTACAAATGACTCTATCAAAAGTTATTCTGTTGACAGTTTCAACACAATATTTACCAGTTGAAACTGATTTTTATGCTCTTGGAAGCTGGTGGCCACCTTCTTATATGTATGTTTGGTTTATTCTAGGATACTTAGTTGATTAACCACTTGGAATGAAGTAGAGTTGTGTTTTCTTTTTTTTCTTTTTTTAACTGTAGCAGAGTGACCAAGCATGCAAAGGAGGGAGAGAGAATATGATCCATGGCAAATGCAAATACCCCCTATACTCTTTCCATCTGGACTTGGTGAATTGGGCTGCCCTTCTGCAGTTGAGGGTACATGAACAGCCCAGTTTCTCATTCCCAAAAGGACACTAGGGTTTGCAGGGAATGACGCACTACAGGGGTTCCCAAGACAGCTGGGGCATCGGCCTTAAACATGAGGCGATAGGAGCAGCTCTTGTACAGAAGAGGAGTGAGATAACATGGGTCAGGAGTCTAAAAGATGGCGATCCCAGTTTACCTTTGCTTTTATTCTACTTTGATCAAATAATGTGTGATGCTAACATCATTGTATTGGAAATAGAATCATGATGCTTCCTAAGTTAAATGGCAGATTGCATGTACTGTCATGTGTCCTATCTGTCATGATGCTGACAGTTACACAATTTTGCTCTGGAAACTGGGAATTACACTTTGATTTTGGGGTAGAGGGTGTTATATTGGCTTGCTAGGCTGCCATAACAAAGTACCAGAGACTGGGTGGCTTAAACAACAGAAACTTTTTTGCTCACAATTCTGGAGTCTGGAAGGCCAAAATCAAAGTGTTGGCAGGATTAGTTTCTTCTGAGGCCTCTCTCTTTGGCTTATGGATGGCCATCTTCTCCCTGTGTCTTCACCTGGTCCTCCCTCTGTGCAAGGTTATGTCTTAATTTCCTATTCTTATAAAGACTCCAGCCATATTGGATTAAGGCCCACTCTGATGATCTCATTGTGACTTAATTGCCTCTTTAAAGACCTTATCTCCAAATACAGTCACATTCTGAGATACTGGGGATAAGGACATCAACAGATGAATTTTGGGAGGACACAATTCAGCCCATATCAGATGTGCTCTCCCTTAGGGGGTTCTAAGACAACTGGGGCATCAGCCTTAAACATGAGGCGATAGAAGCGGCTCTTGTATTTCTGTCTTTAGTCCCTTGGTCTGCCCGTTAGTCCTTCTAGAAGGAGTCCACTTGACAGATCATGATGCCCTTCAGAAGTACCCAGGTCTCTCACAGTATCTAGCAGGGCCTCCCCAGGCTACTCCAACAGACTATTGAAATTAGTCACGCGCCCCACCATATTAGAACCACTTTCCTGGGCCTAGGCAAGTCCCTAGTGCTGGGGAATAATCACTGGACTAGTGATCAAGAGATCTCGTTCTTGTCTAGATTGCTGCTGGCTTGCTCTTGGGCAAGTCTTTTTCTCATCTGGGGCTGATTTTCTTACCTAAGAAATGTTGAGCTTTATGATTTCTGAGGTTGGCTATATGTGAATTGCCCTAGTAAGTGCAAATGTGTTTTCATAGGTTAGAAAAAAAAAAAAAGCCCAAAAAGTATTTTCTGGGAATTGAGAGTTGTAAGCACCTACAATTCTAGAATATACTTTATTATAAAAGTTAAAATGTTATGCAATCCTATAGAAAAATTCAGGACCATTTTGCTGTTGTCTAAAATCAGATGTGTGATCTCCATCTTCTTAATTTGACAGACATTTGCCACAAGTCACTTCCACACCAGGCAGAGTGCTGAGCACTGTGAGAAGGATGTGGGAATTCAGAGGCTAATAAGTTCTAGTCCCCTGCTCCCAAGGAGTTCGTTGTCAACCTGTTTTCATCACTGGATGTTTAGAAGCCTTGGATAATATCAAAGGTATCTATGTTGGAGACCATGGGCTTCAATTTCTGGCTGTCTTTTGGCATTTAGAACCTAAACAGCTCTGGGCTGGTAGACATCACTGACATGACTTTATTGTTCCCATGAGTGAACATCTGCATGAGATCAAAAGTAGTGATTTCAGTGTCACCAATATTGAAAAATACAGAAATTGAAATTGTAGGTAAACCCCTGGATGGTTATAGTTAAGGACAGAAAGACAAGGAGTGAAAGAAACTCCGTGAAACAGGAAATGCCAAGAAAAGCCTATAGCTTCCCTGACTTGAGACAAAGGCTGTTGACTAGAATCTCTTGATTCTTAGTCCAGTGATTATTTTCTAGCAATAGGGACTTGCTCAAGCACAGGAAATTAGTTCCAATATGGTGGGGGCACATGGCCAATTTCAATAGCCTGTTGGAATAGCCTGGAGATGCCCTGTTGCATACTGGCATGTTTGATTCCTTATTGAAAACAGATAAAATATATACAATTGCAAAATTCATATAATTCTGCAAAAGTAATATAATGTAAAGGAAAAAGAGGAAAAAAAGTTCTGCTACCATGTTAAAAAAATCATGCAATGCTAAGTATGATACCTGAATTAGAATGGTCAAGGGTGGCCAACCAGTGGAGACAAAACTCATTTCCTTCTCATCCTCAGAGCTCTGCCCTAGGACGTGTGTGTGTGTGTGTGTGTGTGTGTGTGTATGTGTGTGTGTCTGTGTGTATACCAGGATGTTAGCCTGTATGAAATTTCTGGGCTAGATGAAAGAGAGGGGTTGGGATTGAGGCAAGTTCTGGAAAATAATTTGTTTTTTTCTAAAGGTCATGATAGCTACTTGGATCTAGCCAATTGTTACCATGAAGAAATTTTTAAAATGTTGGCAATCAACTTAAGAC
Source organism: Homo sapiens (assembly GCF_000001405.40). Taxonomy (NCBI): domain Eukaryota; kingdom Metazoa; phylum Chordata; class Mammalia; order Primates; family Hominidae; genus Homo; species Homo sapiens. The sequence continues at coordinate 109,750,795 of NC_000009.12, forward strand.
ATTCTTTTGTAAGATATAGTATGGTCCAAACAAAACCATGCCTTGGTCACTAATTTGCAATTTCTGTTCTACAGCATCTTCCAGATCTTTATGGTTACATTAATGATCTGAGGCAAAAAGTGCAATTCAAGACAGGTTTCTTTCCCAATGAAGAAATACAAGATAGGACCCAATACAGGCAGAGACCCTTGCATTCCACCCTCACCCCTGCTTCTGGCTTCCTAAGCAAACTGTACAATCTACTTAAGTGCGATGTCCATGTGAGTCTTTCAAAATATACCTGAATCCAGCCAGGCAACCCTAGATTTTCAGTTCTGTTTTGTTTGCTTTCAAATGATTTTCATTCAGTATTCCACTCAGAAAATGTCTAAACTGAGTGGGGAACTGCGGTTGAGTTGGGCATATACAAGGATATCCTCAGTTTGAATCTTCCCTAAATATCCATAAGGGAAAAAACCCCACTTTAATAATAAATTATTCAAATGTGCATTCGTTCTTGAAACATTTTAAGGATGTTTACATTGAAACCAGATGCCTGCTCCACAGACAGCCCCCGTTTCTGTTGATTTTACAGCTCTCCTGCTCACTTCAGTTTTCTCAGTAGGGTCTTTGTTTTACTCACTAGTAAAAAGAATGTTTCTTTTGTTTGCTTTTCTTTGCCATCCGCGCTGACCAGACTCTAGAGGGAACTCCAGCCATGCTGTGATTTGGCTAGCATCCCCTTCATTTCACTCCTAAAAGTCATATGTACACATAATAGTAAATCGTTTCTGAGACCTCATGCGCTTGGGCTTTTCCTAGCTCGTTCTTCTTCCATGTGGTTGGAGTTTTGCAGCAGTTTGAGTAACAGTTCAATCATGCTCTCAATTAAAGAAGTTGAGTCAGTTCATGATACCCATCTCATAGAGCAAGATGAAGCTAGGATTTCTAGGGAATTTCTGGCCGTTCAAAAATGTCATCTGAACCCAAAGCTTTTATTTCTAAGCTGAGCTGAATCCATCACCGAGTAAAGAGCAGGAGGGAGAACTCATTTGTTCAAATGCCTGCAGGTATTGGCCTGAGGGAATATGGGGAGAATAGCTATTCCCAAGGATACCCTTTTTCTTTCTTAGTGGTTGGCCATTCAAAGTGTAGCAAGAACCAGAAAGGTGAGCTATCTAAGTCTAAGAAAAAGTAAAAGTCATAAAGATAACTAAGCAAAGCTTTTCTACTCACACTCTATTTGGCCTGATTGGTCCTTTCATGTATTCATTTGTTTATTCAAAAAACATTTATTGAGCACCTACTATGTATTGCTAGGTCTGTGCTAGGTGCTGTAGTGCATATCTCTTGGTGGAGGTGGCAGAAGAGTCCAGAAAATTTTAGTGCGGTAACTTATATGGCGAGAAACACATAGGATAATGGGACACTGGAGAAAGGCATTCAATGAAGACCAGTTAGAGTGAAGGTAGAATGCAAGAAGACTTCTGGGAGGACGTGGAGCCTGAAGTGACCATGAGTAGGAATTAGCAAGCCACAGCTTTTCAAACTTTCACATGCACAGGAATCTCCTGGGAATCTTGCTATACTGGTGATTTTGACTCAGGTCTGGGATGGGTCCTGAGAGTCTGCATTTCTAAGGAGCTCCCATGTGAGGCCAATGCTACTTTGGGTAGGAAGGAGATAAATGATGACTTGACATGGGAAAAGAGAAAGAGGGATTGAAGAAAACATTTCAGGTAGAGGGAATGGTGTGTCAAAAAGCCTAGAGGTGTAGGAGCATGTGGAATGTTTGGTAAGTTGCAAATAACTCAGAATGGGAGAAGCCCAAGGGGATGAGGGGGAATGATGACCTTGAATCTGGAAGCAGCCATCATATTATGAAGGACCTTGAAGGTGGTGCTAAGGATTTGGGGCTATTTCCTAAGAACAAGAGGAAAACACTGAAGAGTTTTATATAAAGGAATGATAAGAACCACTTCATTTTGAAAGGATTACTCTGATTGCGATGCAACAGATGGACTGGGGAAAATGCCACCTAGAGGCAAGAGACCAGTAGCCGGGCAATCTTGTTCATCCAGTTGAGAAAAGATGAGGTCCTGAACATAAAGAGTAGCAGTGAGTAGAGAGAAAAAGCAACTGGCTTTGGAATATTACAGAGGTTAAATGATGAGGAGTACTAGCTGGTCAAGAAGAGGAGAGGCAAGTTCAAGAACTGCCTGTTTTCTGGCTTTAGATGAAGTTCACTCCATTTCAATCCTGGTCATAGTGTCCCGCTTCCTCAAGATAATGATTGGTGAACCAAGATGCCACTTGGAGTTTCCAAGAGAAAATACCAGAGCCAGGATTTGTACCCATGACTTCTTGATTCAAAGCCCATGTTCATTTTACCATACTCCATTGCTTCTCAGTGGCTTTCTTAAAGCCAGAGAGGAGAAATTCGGAAGTTCCCACCCAAGTTGAGTCTTAGAGATTTTACTACTGAGCGCTGAAGCACAGGGGAGGGATCAAGGCTTTAGGGAATCAGAGTGGCTGGGGTACTTAGTGGTTGTTTCCAAAACCGTTCCAGTTCTGCTCTAATAATGGGGGACGGGGAAAAAGAGGGTGCCTCCTTCCTCAGTTTGCCATCTTCTTTTTCCAGCTTCCAAAAGCATACTCGAGGAAAGCCATTGGAAACCTGTCAAGCTGTTCCCTAGTACTGAAAGACAGTTTGTGACAAAACAGGCTTTTCTGCGCCCTTGGGCTTTCTGTGACTTTCTCAAGATGTTTGCAGTTGATGATCTGCATGCAAGCAAGCCACGTTGACAGTTTCTGACCTGTTTCCAGCACCTTTGCAAGTGTGTGTGGAAGAACTGTTCAGATTCATTTTGGATGCTTTTCCATATATCATGGGGAATTTGATCTATATATCTCAGAGTCACTTAAAGTTAACTCATCGAGGCAGTTAGAGATTGTGCCTATCGTTTACTAAATTATAAAAAGGATTAACTAAGACTAAAAGCCATCCAAGCATTGGAGTTCTTCACTTCTTTAAAGTAATTGAATTCAGCTCTTAACTTTTTAAAAATCAAGGATACTACATTTTTCGGATTTCAAAAATGATACAAGTTTATTGTAGAAAGTTTGAAAAAAATACAGAAAAGACTAAAGAAGAGAAAAGAGTAATTATAATTTCACTGCCCCGGTATAACTACTGTCAACACCTTGGCATATGACCTTTCCATCTTTTAAATAAATCTGCATATACACAACTTTTCAGTGATTGTTACTGTACTCTGCACATTGCTTCCTCGCTTACTGTACATTAAAAGTTTTCCCTTGATTTTTCCTTTATTAGATTTTATTGGAGTGCCAAATACAAAACATGTGGCATGAAAGATAAAACAGAAAAAGTACCCTCTAAGGTATCCAAGGTAGCTTGGACTCTTATTTGTAAAATCAAGACCAGTTAAGCTACTTCTCTAAGATCACATTAGTTAGGAAATGAGCAGGACTACAAAGTAGAACTTATATTAAGTCCATTGTTTTGGTTACTGTGAATCCTATAACAGAATCCAAAAGCTGAGAACTAGAAGTAATTTTAGAAATTATCAAATTCAACTTCTTCATTCTCTCTTTTTTGTCTTGTTATGGTAAGAACACTTAATGGGAGATCTGCCCTCTTCACAGATTAAGCGTAGTATACAGTGTTGTTAATTATAGTCACAGTGTTCTATGGCAGATCTCTAGAACTTATTTATCTTGCATTTTGTCATTGACTTCCTCCTTCCCATCTGTCTTAGTCAGTTTGGGCTGCTACAACAAATTGCTATAGACTGAGATTTCTGAGACAACAGAAATTCATTTCTCACAGTTGTGGAGGCTGGGAAGTCCTAGATCAGGGTGCCAGCTTGGTGAGGGTTCTCTTCCTAGTTGGCAGATGGCCTTCTGGCTGCATTCTCACATAACTGAGAGGAGAAGCAAGCTCTCTTGTGTCTCTTCTTATATGGGCACTAATCTCATCATGAGGGCTCCACCCTCACAACCCAATTACTCCCCGAAGGCCTCAACTCCAAATACCATTACATTAGGGATTAGGGTTTCCACATACGAATGTTGGGGAACACAACATTCAGGCCATAGCACCATCCTAATAAATGGCACCACTATCCAACCAGTTGCACAGACTCCAAACCTAGTCATCATTGCTGCCTCTAGTTCCTCTTGCCCTATAGCCTGTGTATAAGCAAGTTCTGCTGACTCTCCTGCCAACACCAAGGGCTCCTTAGAACCTCCACCTCTGCCACCCGAGTCTAAGCCACCATCACCTCTTAGCTGCACAAATTCATTGGCCTTCTACCTGGTTTCCCTGCTTCCTCTCTCACTCACCCATCCCCACTCCCACATACGTAGCAGCCACAAGTATTTTTAAAATGTAAACCAGAAAATGCCACTTCCCTGCTCACACTCCTCCAACAGCTTCTCATTCAACTGAAATCCAAATTCCTTATCCTGACCAACAAGGCTCTTTATAACTGGTCCTGCCAGTTCCTCTTTCCTCACCTCCCACCACTCCCCCTCCATTCATGTTGTTCCAGCCACAGTGGCCTTCAGACTCTTTCTGTAATGTGTCCAGCTGGTTACCATCCTAGACTATTGGTCTCATTGTTCCCTCTGCCTGAAACCTCTTCTCCCTCATCTTTGCATGGCGCACACCTTGTCATTTGAGTATAGGAACATATTTCCTGACAACTCTATTGAAAACAGCCCACAGCCAGGTGTGGTCGCTGGTACTTGTAAGGTGGGAAGATCATTTGAACCCAGAAATTTCAGGCTGCAGTGAGCTATGATCATGCCACTGCACTCCAGCCTGAGCAACAGAGTGAAACCTTGTCTCTCAAAACAAAAAATAGAAAAGCAAAATAAAATAGTCCCCAGCCCCCACCTCCACCCCCTTAGTATCCCTTTACACTGCTTAACTTTTCCATAATGCCCTCATGACTATGTAACATTAAATATTTATTTATTTATTTATTATATGTGAGGAGAGCCTTGCTAGAATGTAAACCTGATGAAGACTTCAAAACCCCTGGAACAGTGCTTTTGCACAGAGTAATCATCATCAATACATACTTGGTGAAAAACTGTAAAAATGGCAGCACAATCTTTTATCACAGAGATGTACCATGATAAGCATGCAGATTCATTTTGATTTTTCATCACTGCACATGATGGTTTGATGAGCTTCCTTATACATAAACCCTTGTTCCCATCTCTAGTTATGTTCATTACTGATATTCCAAGGGGCAGAATCACCTAAATCAATGGGTATATATAGTTATAACACTTTTGATTCACATCACCAAATGGTTCACCAGAAGACTTGCACCATTTATATACATACAGATACCAACAGTATGTAAGTCTGTTCCTCAAACCTTCACTAATGCTGAGTGTGATTGCTTTTGAAATCCTGCCCACTTTGATAGTCAAAATAACAGCGTCACATTTTGTGTTTCTTTGGATATCTGTGAAATGAACATTTCTCTCGTGTCTGTTTGCCATAGGTATTTATTTGTATGTGAATGTGTGATTGGACCCATGTTCTACTATTAATCTTCATCTTTTTTCTTATTGATTCATAAGGGCTGAACTGTTGATCTGTTACATACAGATGTTGTGGATATGTTTTCCTATTTTGTTGTTTGCCTTTTGATTTTGATTGTGGTGCTATCTTTTATAGACATGTTCATTGGCTTTTGGCCAATTTTATCAGTTTGTTCTTTTAGGATATGTCCTGTTCCTTTTACACCCAAAAGTCACTTTTCACCCTGAAATTAGGTGTTTACTTTTTATGCTTAGCTCTCTAATCCATGTGGAGTTTATCTGAGTGCCAGTTGTGGGATATGGATTCAAACTGTAGTTAATTTCTCCCCAGAAGTTAACCAGATACTCTATGCACTTTACTGGATATCCCATTATTTCACCACCAGTTGGAATTTCAAGATTTATCATATACTGATTGCTTTGAATCACTTGAGATTGTTTTATGCATGGTTAGCTTTTAGTAATTCTGACCATCTTTAATTTTTTTTGATGAGTACATATTTATAGGGCACATGTGATATTTTGAGTACATGTATAGAAAACCTAATGATCAAATCTGGGTATTTAAGAAGTCTATCACCTCAAGCATTTATAGTTTCTATGTTTTGGGAACATTTCAAGTCCTCTTTCTAGCTATTTTGAAATATACAATACATTGCTGTTAACCATAAGTGACCTATTCTGCTATTGAACATAACGTGTTCTATCTATCTGTATGTTTGCGCCTATTCGCCAACCACTCTTTATCCCCACCTACCCTCATACACACCCTTCCCAGCTTCTAGTAACCATCATTCTAATCTCTACCTCCATGAGATTAACTTTTTTAGCTCCCACGTATGAGTGAGAAAATGCAAGATATGCCTTTCTGTGCCTGGATAATTTTACTTAACATAATAACCTCCAGTTCCATCACATTGCTTCAAGAGAACATTTAGTGGCAAAGAATACTTTGTAAGAATCCCATACTGTATCTCCTTCTTTCATACCAATGCGTGGTTTAATATATAATAACCTTGTTTGAAATAAAAGCCTTTGATGCCTGGTGCCCTTACCACTTATGAAGTAACCATCGGTTTCCACCACTAAAAGTCTCCTATGGTCACAAAGTCCTTTGTGAAAAAATCCAAAGGCAAAGAGAGAGGCAGGTCTGCCCCATACAGAAGTTCAAGCTGTGCATTGCACAACTCCAAGGAGTGTCTATCACATAGCAAGTTATATAAATGGTGCCCCAGAGTTTGATAGTCCGCAATATGTACAGTTGTGTGCATTGATCATGAAGAGAGAATCCATGTTCACTTCCCAATTCAGCCCTCAAGAAAACCAACACGAGGTCTTCGACAGCTTACTAGATCTTAGAGATCAACTTCATCATTTACAGCAAAACATGCCAAGGTTCACCAAAAATGTATAGGCTTGTCTATGGTCATAAGACTTAGTGATAGAAAAGGGATAGATCCCAGATTTCTCTTTTTTTCATTGATTTATCTATGTAACTTTTTATGTATTTCATTGATTTATCTATTTCATTTTTTCTTTACTTTCAAGAAGGTAATATATTCTCATGGCCCAAAATTCAAAATTTATATCCACAAAAACTGCTTTACCCATCCTAACCCCCTCCCAACCCCACTGAGAGTTCCCATAAACAAACCCTAATACCAGTTGGTGGCATATCTTTCCAGGGATAGTCCAAGTATATACAAGCAAATACAGCCATACATTCTCCAATCACTCCCCTTTTTAACCTAAATACTAACATACTGCACACTATTCTGCATTTTGACTTTTTGATTTATAATATATCTTCATGCTTGCTCCCCATCAGTGCATGAAGAGTTTTTCCATCCTGTCTTAAAGAGAAGTTGTGTACTATTGTATGATATACAACAACTCTTTTAACCCTATGGATGGACATTCATTTGCTATTAGAAATAGTACGACAGTGAATAATGTTGTTCTCATATCATTTTGAGCATGGGTCATCTGTAGGATAAAATTTGTGGAAGTGGGATTGCTGGGTCAAAGTACATTTGTAATTTTAATAGACATTGCCAAATGGTTCTCTATAAAGGTTGTTCCGTTATTAGCTGATTTTCTTATATCATCATTAACACTGCTAGCAAACTTGGTACATTTTGCCAGCCCAATGCATACAAGAGAGTGCAGTTTGTGTGTGTGTGTGTGTGTGTGTCAATGTAAAGACAAATATTTCTTTAAATAATAATGTATTTGTATTATTTTTTGCAGTGGAATTGGAAATTTTCTCACAGTCCTATCCAGATGTGCAAAGAAGTGGTAGTTTATTTCTATAAGTGACCTAATCATCCACTGTGTACATTTGCTGTTTAATGAAATCTCAGCTTCTCCCAGCTTTAACATGTATTCTCATTTAAAGATTTAGAAAGATAAAGTAAAAGGGTGGGGATCAGATTCTGCCCTTCCTCTATTCTTTCCTACAATTTGAGTCTCATGTTGGCTCTTTTGTTCATTTGTTTTTAATTGACTCATGATAGTTGTACCTATTTGTGGGGTATAATGTGAGATAGTGCAGCTTTCATTTGCCTTTCTCTTATTATGAGTATGTTTAAGCATCTTTTCTTGTGTTTCAAGCTATTTGTATTTTCTATTCTGTGAGCTATTTCGTTCCTTTGCTCATTTTCTTAAAAAACTGAGCTATTGGTCTTTTTGCTTACTAATTAATAGAAAGAGAAGTAACTTTTTCACTAGTTATATTGAAATAGAACATCTTTTCATAGTTTGAGAGCCAGTGTATTTTCTCTCCTGACCTGTCTGTTGGTATAGTTTTCCCTTCTCTTCTTTTGGGGTGTGAATCTTTTTGTTCTTGATGTATGGAGTCATTTATGCATTATAGAACCCAGATTTTTGGAACCCTATTCCCAGCCTCTTACACTTAGATGTGATGTATCCTCATTTCTTCATTGCACATTTCTTCATTTCATAGAATGGTAGAATGTTTTGTAAGTGTACATGTAAAAATTAATCAATTCCAGAATCACCACAAACTCAGAAAACATGGCATCAAAACGGTGATTCTTTAAGGTGCAAGATAGTGTGAATCATTTAGTCTCCAGCAAATGCATCCATCATAATATAAGACCTTTTAGAATTAGAAAAATAATCAAACCTGTAACAAATTTTGCAAGCAATTTATAAACAGGTGCTAGAATCTAAGATATTGGTGACAGTAGAGAAGCAAACAAACAACAACAACAACAGCAACAACAACAAAAACCAACCAGTGATTAATTGTAATCTTTTAGGCCCATTTTAAATGCGTCCTCCTCCATGAAATATTTCTTGGTTTCTCTGGACGGATGTTGTTTCTCTTGCCTCTGAATTCCCAGAGAACTTTGTACCTCTCTTAGGGAAATTATCAATCTCTGTCTTTTATTATAGTTAGTTATGTACATGAGTATTTCCAGGAGCACTGCCAATTTCCTATACTGATCATAGATTTTTCCTAATGAAAGGCTCAAAGGTCCCAAGGCAAAGTATTCTTTTTTGAAGTAAGGTTATTGTGGTGTAATTTATATATGGCAAAATTCACTCTTTTCAAATGTACAGTTCAACGTGTTTTGACAAATGTATACATGCATATAATTACCTCCAAAATGAAGATACAGAACATTTCCGTCACCACAGTGTTCTCTTGGTACTTCTGTTGTCAAGCCACCCTCTTCACCCTCAGCCCCTATTGATCACTGATTCGATTTTTGCCCCTATAGTTTTGCCTATTCCAGAATGTTGTATGAAAAGAATCATGCATCCTGTAGCATTTTGTGTCTATTTTTACTCTAAACCGCAGTACTTTAAAATTAAACACGGGAAATAATTTACTCATTGCTTTGTGGAATTTAGGTTAAGCAGACTTGCTCACCAAAATCATGCCAGTAGTTAGGCAGTGGTCAAAAGGAAGGAACAAAGAGGAAAAGGGAGGGAGAACAGAAATTGAGAAAAACACAGAAGGAAAGTTTAATGTTTATTATAATATTCTTTATTGTTTAGAAATTATTTTCTATAGAGCACGTCCAACGTCTCCAGCATTTTGTGTCATCTTCACGATAACTTTACAAACTGTTATTATTCCCATTCTGCAGATGAGGACGCTGAGGTTCAAGTTATTTGACTGACTTGTCCCCAAACAGAACCATAGAAAAATGAAAAATCAGCATTGAATAAACTCTGATTTGAAGGACATTGTTTTGTGGACTCCTTCAGGCTTCCTCTTCCCCAAATTCTAGTAAGAGAGAGTTAACGAGAAGAGCTGTCAGCTCTGGAAGGAAGAGCTTCTCGCTTTCACTCACCATTGTAAACCCAGAAACTAGCACTGTGTTAGCCCACTGTATAAGAGGTGTTCATTAAATATTGTTAAATGAACTCACGAAACAAGTATCTGTCCTTCAGATCCTTAGAGTACAAATGCACTCAATTTTCCTCCCCAAGAGCTCCCTGGGAGTTTTTTTCAACTGTTGCATTTTTTTTCTCATTTTTTAAAGTTTCCTTTTTTACTCAAAGTAAAACACAAATGATTTCTCAATTCCTGTAACTTTGTGTCAGGGCACATTATCCCAACACATGCATTGAAGGCGTGTGACTGAGTACCACCTTTTGGATTGTCTGTCATTTGAATAAAGAATATGGTTTATGTTCATTAAGGACCACTCCAGAGGTAACCTTCAGCTAATCATTTCTTATGTTCTTCATCTAGACCAGTGGAGTAATGATCAAACATAAAGTGATCTATTTGAATGAAAAACAGGCTATACATAAAATGGTTTTAAAATGAAAAGAAAATCTAATCTTATGGCATTTTAAGATGCTGACAAACCAACAGGGTATGTGGAAAATTCCATCCAAAATAATATTATTGCTTTCCTAAAACCAACCTGAATGTTTGAAGGCAGATGAATAGGTCAGGAATTATAACAGTATCTATTACTTTGTGGATTGTTGTAATGTCTGAAACAAGGATAGAATTTTTTTTTCAATTTTACTTTAAGTTTCGGGATACATGTGCAGAATGTGCAGGTTTGTTACACAGGTGTACATGTGCCATGGTGGTTTGCTGCACCAATCAACCTATCATCTAGGTTTTAAGCCCTGCATACATTAGGTATTTGTCCTAATACTCTCCCTCCCCTTGTCCCCCACCCCCAACAGGCCCTGGTGTGTGATGTTCACCTCCGTGTGTCCACGTGTTCTCATTGTTCACCTCCCACTTATGAGTGGAACATGCCGTGTTTGGTTTTCTGTTCCTGTATTAGTTTGCTGAGAATGATGGTTTCCAGTTTCATCCATATCCCTGCAAAGGACATGAACTCATTCTTTTTTATGGCTGCATAGTATTCCATGGTGTATATGTGCCACATTTTCTTTATCCAGTCTATCATTGATGGGCATTTTTGTTGGTTCCAAGTCTTTGCTATTGTAAATAGTGCTGCAATAAACATACATGTGCATGTATCTTTATAGGAGAATGATTTATAATCCTTTGGGTATATACCCAGTAATGAGATAGAAGACATTTATGCTGTCAACAAACATATGAAAAAAAGCTCATCATCACTGGTCATTAGAGAAATGCGAGTCAAAACCACAATGAGATACCATCTCATGCCAGTTAGAATGGCAATCATTAAAAAGTCAGGAAACAACAGATGCTGGAGAGGCTGTGGAAAAATAGGAATGCTTTTACACTGTTGGTGGGAGTGTAAATTAATTCAACCATTGTGGAAGACAGTGTGGCGATTCCTCAAGGATCTAGAAGGACAGAATTTTTTTTTTTTTAATGGTATTGTTTCATATAAACCTATGTAGTTCCCAAAGAGGTCTTCAAAGTGTTTTAGGTCCCTGGGAAGTTTTTGATCTTTTGAATTTCTCATTTTCTTTTTACATAATTATGTCTCCAAAATGGCTCCTCTTTTGGCAATAAACTTTGATCAGTGGAAGACTAGTGACACCTGGATTCTAGGTCTAAGTTTCCACTTTTAATTTAAATATTTGTCTATTTAACACCCTGGAACTTTCCAATGAAATTCCATCCTAGAGTATAAGAAAAGTCTTTATTAATCTAGATGTGTAGGGCAGTATAGATATTCACCTTTAAATTAATTGATCGATTATCCTCACTGAATTGCCACCCCAGACCCACAGAAGGGATTATTGGAGCTGGCAATGTCTTGAAATGGCAATGTCCACATGGAAGTGGCATTAATACAGCAGCCTTTGTGCTTTGTCATTGCAACCCAGGCCAATGTAAGTCACTCACTGTGAGGCAGGAAAAAAACCCTAAGTTATTATAAAGGGGCAAAAGCTACTTTTATATACTTTTCAGAAGTCTCTTGCCTTGGAGCTGAGATAATGGGAAATTTTAAAAAGGAAAATAGGAGAATGACATAGACAAGTGACTTTTTGCCTTGGCAGACATGGCTTTCCTACCCTCCTTTTATCTCAATGCCCCTCCTTCCCATTCCCCAGGGGGTGGAGGGGAGGAAAGAGATGGGAATGCTGAGAACAGAAACCAGAGTAAACATTAGGATTTTAGGGTCAGGAAAGAGCTCAAAGATGTTAAGACCATGTGGCCAGAGCTGGCCACATGATCAGAGCCAGGCACATGCCTATGTGGACAGAGAAGCCAAGAGAGACCAGAGGGCAGCACTTTCAGGGAGTCAATAAGGGTAGAGCCTTTTCAAGGATATAAGTGGAGAGAGCAAAGGACTCCTTGAGAAGCAGGTCCCAAAAGCAGGGCTAGAGAGTTGGACAGGTTAACATATCCCGGGGGTCACTGTGGCATGAAAAACAGAAGCTGAGGGAAACTCAGAGGGCGGAGGGACCACAAAAGCCTGAAACCCAGAAGGCTGGCCTCCTCCTGCCCACCATCCATTGCCAGGCCCTATTCATCCTCCCCGCCTCCTCAAATCTGCCCTTTTCTCTCCATCTCCATAGAGCTGAGACCACGGGCTATACTACCAGACTGTCGGTAGGTAAGACCCTGCCCTGCCTCCTACTTGCTTTGCAACCCTAGGTCAAATACCTAACTTCTCTGTGCCTCAGTTTCTTCATCTGAAAGATGGGAATGATACTACCATATCCAGTTTAGGAACTGTTTGGGGTGCCAAATGAATTGACACCTGTGAAGCATTCACAGGGTACTTAATATTAGTTTCTTAGCTATGTTAGTTTCCTAGGGATGCTGTAAGACATGACCACTCACTGGGTGGCTTAAAACAAGAGAAATTCACTCTCTCATAGTTCTGGGAGTGGGAAGTCTGAAATCAAGGTGTCAGCAGGGTTGGTTCCTTCTGGAGGCTCTAAGGAAGAATCTGTCCTTGCTTCTCTCCTAGCTTCTGGCAGCTGCTGGAATTTCAGAGATGCATAGGCCCTCAATGTGGGGTGGGAGGGAAGTAGGTGGAGGTCCTTGGCTCATGGACACATTGCTCCAATCTCTGCCTCTGTCTCCATGTGGCCTTCCCCTCTGGGTGTGTGTGTGTGTCTTAAATCTCTTTCTCTTATGAAGACATTGGTTATTGGGTTTAGGTCCCACCTTAAATTCAGGATGATTTATCTCAATATCCTTAACTAAATTACTTCTGCAAAGACTCTAAGTGAAGTCACATTCACAAGTACAAGGGGTAGGACTTGGACAGATCTTTTGGACAGCCACTATTCACCCAGGTACAGTCATCATAGTTATTACTTTCAATTCAGGCTCCTATTGTCTCTTGACTATACTCTTATAATAGTCTCCTTGCCTGCAGTCTTCACACAGCAACCCATTCTCAGTAAAGTATCCCCAGTGAGCTTTCCAAAACATCTTCCTCTTTTACACCCTCAAGTGGCTCCCTGTCACCTGCAGGGGAACATCTGACATGCTGAACTAGACCCAACCTGGAGCTTATCTCATCTCCCCAGGGCCATCTCCCACCCCCCTCCATCTTGTACATCCTTCTCCAAAACAGGGTGTCTCCCAGAACTCTAAACACACTGCGCTCTTTTACACCTCCTGGCCTTTGCACAGCTTGTTCTCTCTGCCTATATACTACCTCCCCCCTAGCCCCCATTGAGAGCCTATGCATCCTTGAAGTTCAGTTCTTATTTCATCTCCTCTGAGATGCCTTCCTGGACCCTTCTCTGGCAGTTCCCCTAGATCCCAAGAACTGCCTCCTTATCCTTACTGATTCTTGAGCTCACCCCTGTCATCAAACTGTATCAACTGATTCCCAAAGATCTATTAATGTTTCTGTTGCCCCTTGAGAGTTGCACCTTATTCAACTCTGCCTCACCGATGCCAGTGCAGTAGTGGAAGGTGTTGAATGATGAATGACTGGTGGATGGATGGATGAATGGATGGATGGACGGATGGATGGATGGGATGGGATGGATGGATAGATGGATGCATGGGTAGATGAATGAACGGATAAAGGGATGAATATTTTTTAAAAAAAAGAAAAGAAAACTCTGAGTCAGGAATCATTTGGAACTACAAGGTGAAACCTGGACTAAAGCTAGGACCATCTGTGATGAGAAGACCTGAGCAGTTATTAGTGAGGAAGGAATGTGGATACTCAGGATTCATATCTTTGTCATATAAATAATGAACAGCCATGTATCTGAACTGCCCCATAGATGATGCCAAAAGTAACTGCTGAGCAAACTCATTATAGCTCTGATTCTTTTTAATGTCTAAAGCCTTAAAATAAAGAAACCCCTTTGGGAGTGGATAAAACGTGGTTCTCACATCTTACACTTTAGTATGAATTAGATTTACCTGGTCCATAAGTTTAAAATGTGGACACCTAAGCTCCACCCCCAGAGATTCTGATGAAGTCAGTCTGAGGCAGGCTCAGTGATTTGTGAAGAGGTTAAAATTGCAAATTCTGGCTCTGCCACATCTGTGCTATATGACCTTAGGCAGTTCCTTAATTTTTCATGTCTTAAGTGGAGACAATGCTAGTACTTCTTCACAGAATTGTGATGAGTTAAATACTAGTAAGAAGAGTTCAGCACATGTAAGTGCTCAGTAATGTTACCTGCAGTCATTGCCGTCTTCATCACCATCATCATGATCACCATCATCATGATCATGATCATGATCATCATCATCATCATCATCATCATCATCATCATCATCATCAATGACATCTGTGGTTTTTAATAGTGGCTGCATAGTAAAATCACCTGAGAAATTTACAAATAGATCCTGATATAGTTAGTCTGGAGTGGGCATTGGGTAAGGGTATAATTTTAGAGCAACCCGCCTTTAAAAGTCTGATGTGCAGTCACAGTTGAGACCCAGCCTTGATCTGTGCTTCTCAAACTTGAATTGTGCACAGATCACTAGGGCAGTTTGTAAAAAATGCAGATTCTGATTCAGAAGGTCTCAGGGTGTTGATAATCTGCATTTCAAACAAGCTCCAGGTAATGCTGCTGCTGCTGTCACAGACCACAGTATGAGGCATCAGGTTTTAGGGGATGAGTAAAACCTCCTGAGCCTGAGATGCAATGCACAACATGGTCGGGGACTTGGTATCAACCCAGTGACCAATTGTGATGGAGGCCACATGGTTCCTGGTTATACCCAGGCCTGTCATATGCAGAGTGTCACATGCCTGCCTTCTGGAATTCCCCCAGCTCCTCACTAATGTCCCAGGGAGGAGAGGCAGGCAGGCTGTCTTGGGCTTCTCTGATAAGATATGTCAAGTGTACATGCATTACCTTCCCTACTGTCTGGGGAGTCCTTTCGGAAAGCACTTAAGGACATGCTATGCACTGAGCACTTAGCTCTTTATATTGTGGAGCTCAGGGTCAACGTTTTGCCCATAAAAGGGCCACTTGTGTAGGTCAAACTGCCGAGTCAATGACCCTGCCCAGTGGGAATAGTATTGTCACCCCTGTTTTTGGCACAAATGATTTGAGTGTTTTCCAAACATCATTAAATGCCAAGGTCCCTGACCCTAAATGTGGTTCAGGTGTAGGGACTCAGAGGCCCACAGCTAGACTGGGCAAGGGAGGGGTAGAAGATTAAAATGGGAATGACTGACAGGCATAGGCTATTAATTCTCAAAGGTTGGCTCTGCATCTTCTTGCAGACTCATTGCGATTTCCTCAAAGCAAGGCCTTCACTGCCTGGTTGTGCATCATAGAGTTCACAGCATTGTGAAATCACCCTTAAGGCAAAGCTGACAGCATCTTTATTTATTGTGCATGGATTTCATGTTAACCTCATCATCCTTTTGCTGCATGTTGATAAGGCAGAAATAGTGAGTCATTTAAATAGCGGATTACAAAGACTCTGATGTAGTAAATCTACCCTCTAGGTTTTCATTTCATAAAGAATCTGTGCATTATTTATCATCCTCATCAGCAGAATAATAAAAGCCAACACAGACCTTCTCATGAACCCCATAATGTAGATATTATTGTCCTCAGTTTACCCAGGATAAAATTGAGGCACAGAGAGGTTAAGTACCTTGCCCAGGGCTCCCCCATGCCAATAAATATGGAGCTGACGTTGGAACCCAGAGCCTTGCAGTGCCAGTGCTGTTAGCCACTGTCCCCGACTCCATTTGTGAGAATGCTGCTGACTGGCATTTATGAGAGTGCTTAGTACCTGCCAGACACTGTGCCTGGGGATTTACATGGATTATCTACTTTTACCCTCAAAACACCGATATGAGTTAGGCACTATTAATTTCATTTTCTGATTGAGAGAGCTGATGTGAGAGAAATGCAGTGATTTTCTCAAGTTTAAACTCACCTTGTAAGCTTCAAAGCTGTGATTGGAACCCTAGGGGTCCATGTTCCCCTTGCTCATGTGTTCTGGCCCCTCCTCAGCTGACTTTGGATTTTTGTCCCCTCCTACTGCTCCCTCCAACCCCAGAGTGAAGGTCTCCTGGCTTTGTCCAAACATTAGTTCCATCAGGGCCGCCCCACCGGCCTGTGCCCACCCTAATACCACTTCCTTGGAGTCCCTTTTGCCATTGGAGATGATGCATTCACAGGTTCCAGGGATTAGGGCGTGGGCATCTTTGGAGGCTGTTGCCCCATCTACCCCTACCACACCATTTTGCAGGTCTCTCACATGAATCCTGCAGGATCTTGCTGGTTTCCCTGCTTACATCTTCTTCCCTGCCTCATCCCTGGCAGCTGGAGTGACCTTTTAAAATGTAAATACATTACTTTGCAGTTTGCTTAACCCCTCCCAAGGCCGAGATCTGGTGGGGCCACCCTCTGGCCTCCTCTCCCTGAACCCCTCCCCTCGCTCCCTCTGCCCTGACATGACTCCATCGCTGGCTTCATTCGGGGCTGTCTGATTGTCACTTCCTCCTCCCATACCTAAACCATCACCCCCATGCCACTCTCTCCCCTTAGTGTTGGCTTGCTTCAGAGCATTCCTAAGTTACAGTGTGCACTTCTCTACTCTTAATGTCTCTCTCCCTTCCCTGGATTCTAGGTGGAAAAAAGGCAGCTGATCTCTAGCACATGGGACAATGCCTGGTTCAAAGCGTGGGCTAATACATTTAGCAGGATGGAAGGAGGGAAGGTGGGATGGAAGGAAAAGAGGGAGAGAGGGAGAAAAGAAGGAAGGAGAAAGGAAGGAAGGAAGGAGGGAGCAAAGGCAGGTAGGTAGGAAGAAAGGAAGGAAGGAAAGAAAAAGAGGGAAGGAAGGAAAGAAAAACAGTGAAGGAAGGAGGAAGGGAGGGAAGACAGGCAGGAAGAAAGGTAAGAAGAAAGGAAGGAAAGAAAGAAAGAAATGGAAGGAAAGAAGGAAGGAGGAAGGAAAGTAGGAGGGCAGGAGGGAGTAAAGCAGGCAGGCAGGGAGAAAAAAGGAAGGAAGGAAAGAAGGAAGGAAGGATGGGGGAGTCAGCTCAGTTGATTGTCCTTTTAATGTTTGTTATCTGAGGCCTTATTCCTTAGGATGACAGTCCAAGTACTTAAAAAAAAAGTATCCCTTTTGCCTCTTTCAAATGCATATTTTTTATTCTTAAATTTTTTATTGATACATAATGTTTGTACATATGTATGGGATTTATGTGATATTTTGTTACATGCATAAAATATGTAATGATTAAGTTAGGGTATGTGAGGTATCCAGCACCTCAAGCTTTTATGATTTTTATGTGTTGGGAACATTTCAAGTTCTCTCTTTTAGCTATTTTGAAATATGCAATTTTTTAAATAATACTGCTAAATGTTCCTGATACTTAAGTAGTTCCACACAGTCACATACTACAAACAGTAAGCTCATCACCTGATATTATTACATCTGCCACTTAGAAGCTGTGTGACTGGAAGCACTCTGTGCCTCAGTTACCTCATCTGTAAAATTCAGATAATAATAGTGCTACTCTCATAGGCTGATATGAGGTTTACATTAGTTAATATATGTAAAGCACTTTGAATGAATTCAGTAATATAGTCAGCACCATGTAAGTGTGTATTAAATTTAAAAATAGACCAGGCAAGGTGGCTCATGCCTATAATCCTAGCACTTCAGGAGGCCAAGGTGGGAGGATTGCTTGCACCTAAGAGTTTGAGACCAGCCTGGGCAACATAGTGAGACCCTATCTCTATTTATAATAAATAAATATAAAAACAACTTAAGTTCAAGACTATCCTCTCCAGTCTTCTATTCATACTTTTATTTAATTTAAAAAGACTGTTGGAAACTTTCAAGTTTTTACTTGCATTAGTTTGTTTCTGCCTTATCAGAACCCATAAAAATAGTAGTTTTTACTGACATTAGTTTGTTTCTGCCTTATAAGAACCCATAAAAATACTAGTTTTTTACTCCTACGAAAGTGAAATGGCAAAAGTGTACCTATGCACATTATTTTTCCCACCAATGGTCATATTCTTAGCAAATAAACGTTTCCTCTGTGGGCTGGGGGTGTTACAATGTTTTTAAATAGTGGGATTATCAAGTTTAGGGTTTTATTGGCTCAGAGGGCAAGTGTGAAATCTTGAGTCTGTCTGGTGCTGGGGTTTGAAACCTGATGCCCATGTGTCACTTGCTTTATTAAGTCACCACCTTGGAAGGGCTGCTTCCTCCTTATTAATGAAAAGCCTGCTCCATTTGTTTTGGCTTGCACCAACCTAACAGTGTCTTTAAATCAGCGACAGACTGTTTTCCTTGGAAGCCACAGAGTCCAATAGTTTTGGACTAAGCTCAGATTCTGGCTAGAACTTCCAAACTGGAAGTAAAATGACTTCACCCAACAGTGGTTGGGGGGAAAAGCCAGGCAGGCTTTTGGAAAGTGGATTTTTAATATTGGAGGATATTTGTGAAGGTGCCTGATGAGATGGACCTAACAGTGTTTGAGGGTGATGTGGACAAACCGTTTTATTATTCTGTTTCAACATAGTGCTATGTTTTATTTAAATGAATTTGCAACTTGGGGTCCTGAAATCTATTTTTGTTTTTGTTTCCACCTAGAATAGAAAGCACTTTCAAGCTTATCCTGGGAGGCAAGAATAGATTGAAAGGATAACTACTGTATGTAGATGCAAAGGAGGTACCTTCTCGGGGAGATCGGGTGAAGGCTGTTCTCCCTAGAAGAACTAAAGGCTGGGTAGACATGGAGTCAGAGGAAGCTTTGGTTGGGAGAAAGACAGTGGCAGTAACCCAAGCCCAGAGAGGGGATTCCTTGGCATTTGTGCCTTTTCTGTGCCATCAACAGTGAAAAGAACTAGAGAAGGGCAGCTCTCAGAGCTCAGACAGCCAATGGTTGGCTAGGTCAGAGGAGCTCTTGGGCTGGGTCGGAGTTGGCCAGACTTCTTGTGCTCTTCCATTCATACCCAAAAGGAGCTTCTGGGTCTTGAAGATAAACCACTTTCTCTTGTTCCTCTCAGTTGCTCTGATATTCTAAGACCCAGAGCAGATTTTTTTTTTTAACCAGGAGTCCATGAGTCTTCTAAGAATGTCCTTGGAAGAATTCAAGGAATTCCTGATACCCCAGAAACTATACATAAAATGCTGTATGCATGTGCACTGCTCTGAGAAGGAGTCTATAGTTCTTACCAGATTCTTGAAAGGATTCTGTGAACTCTTCTCCCCTAAAGCTTAGAATCACTGTTCTGGATGGTACCAAAAACCACACAGTAGAACACTTTATACTTTTGTCTCCCACCTCTGATAATAAATGCAGAATTTGGCATAGTCAAAATGTTACAAAAGGTTTGTACAGCATCAAAAGACCTTGGATTGCAAATTTTACAGGTAAGAGGCAATGACCAGGTTAGCAACCAGTCAAGAACATTCATGAGCAAATGCTGGTCTAGTCTGAAGGGCCATCTTGGGTACACTTGGGCACAACTGGTGCTGGGCTGAACATGCCACTCAGGAGTTTTTACTGGAACACAGGCATGTAGAAACACATCTAGAAGGATATAGGTGTCAACATCCAGAAGGATACAGGTGTCAACAGATAAGATTATGCTCATAATTAGAAAATAGAATTCATTGAGCATCTGCAATATGCCAGGAGCTTTGTATACATTATCTCATTTGTTTGTCACAATAATCTTATGAAATGAATACTATTGTATTTCCCATTTTACAGACAGCATAGCTTAAACTCAGAGAAGTCAAGTACAATTCTCAAGGTCATTAAGTGGTAAGAACTGGAAGATAAGGTCAGGTTTGTCCAATCTATGCTTCCTCCCAACTTAAGTAGCTTCATCACATGCAAACAATGATCATGGTGGCTTATGGGACACCAATTAATCTGACAAGAGCTCCTTCGAGGCTGTGACTTTATAATTTTTAGAATTAACTGAAAGAGTGGCAAGTTGAGCATTCAATTTGCAAGTCATGCTATGTTTGGAATTAGGAGGGATAACCCCTTTTCCTTCCCAAAGGGACTGACAAGCATACCAAGAGGGGGTGGGATTTCTGGAACTCTGTGAAGTTAACAAGAAGGGACTTGGAAAGTTAGAAGAAGGAGGGGGAGCTGCATTCCAAGCATAGCTCATGGTATGAGAAAGCACCAAATTTGGAATGGGACGAACAGATGAAGAAGGTGTCAAGTTCTCTGGGGAGGAGTGGAGGGTACTAGACACCAAATACAGGGTAAAACTCTGGCAAGATGCTGTGGTGACTTATCTGAGCCTAAAACAAAGGAGAACCATCCCAGAATCCTAGAAATCTCCCTTCCCCCAAATCAATGAAGGGAAGTTTCATAATGATGGACAGAGTCCCAGATGGAAATTGACTACCTGTTCTACAGAAAGGTCTTCAATTCTAACAGAGAACTCTCTGATCGCAGGAAAAGCTATCTCAATTTCAATGACTTGTCCACTGACAGAAAATAGTGTAAGAAGGGCTCACTCTGGGGGAGTGAGAAGTAAGGCATTAGAGGAGGAAAGATGATAACTGAGTGGGAAGAAAGAAAATCATGAAGGACCAACAGGAGGCACCTGGGTCGCAGCCCAGGGAGCATTAATGATCCTACCTCCAGTTTTAGGGGCACAATACTTAATCCGACCCAGAAGGTGGAATGCAACAACCTCCCTCTCCTCCCCTCCCACCCCAGAGGCATTACCGCAGCAGATAAACAACTGGCATGACCCTCCAATAGAAAGCAAGATCACCTTTGCAGCAGAAGTGGCCCTGCCAGCTGCCCTTCTTCTTTCCGTGGGGACAGACACTGTTTTCCCTGGGGAGGCCAGAGAGCTGCTGAGTCTTCATTTCCTGAAGGGTTGGGCCAGATTTGGGAGCTCATGGGAGTTATAGAACTGCTTTTTCTAATTTACAAGTTCTAAAGTCTTGTTCCTGGTCACTTCCTTCTCAAAAGCGAAGGGCGCAGAGGCTCCTGTGGAAACACCTTCCCTTGTGAAGTCTGCACAGAGTCCTCACAGAGCCTCTGGAGTGGCTACCTTCCATGTGCTGGCTACCACCGTCTTCTTCCAGGGAACTCCACAAGGCTCCTGGCTCCCAGTCAAGCAGCCGCCTTTGTGTCTGTTCTTTTTCCACCCCCACCTCCCCAAGTATGCCTTCTCTAGTGGGATAAATTTAGCTCTGAATGAATGCAGAAAGAAGAACACATTAAAGTAAACACAGACCAAACAGCATTCAAATATAGGTTTGGCACACACACACAACTGACAAAAGATCCAAGTTTTTCTGTTTCCTTCTCTTCTGCTTATCTCTGTTTCTCCCATCTCATCCTCTGACTGCTACACTCTTTTCTGCGTGTATTTAAGCTAATTAGATATGTAGATCAGAATGTGGGGCTGTTGGTCTTCAAACCCCATGAAGGGGAAATCACTGGAGTGACTGAGAAACATCAAGGAGTGAATGAGAGCCCCAGGTGGTGCTGGCATTTTCATTTACTGGCTTGATCATCTTAGAAACCCTTCCAAAAACTTGAAAGCATATTTTATCTTATGTGTTAGCACAACCTTTTCTCCCGGTGCACTGAGTCTACAGTGGCTATAGAATGTTGCAAGGTCGGGCCGGGTGTAGTGGTTCATGCCTGTAATCCCAGCACTTTGGGAGGCCGAAGCGGGCGGATCACGAGGTCAGGAGATGGAGACCATCCTGGCTAACACGGTGAAACCCCATCTCTACTAAAAAGACAAAAAATTAGCCGGGTGTGGTGGCGGGCGCCTGTAGTCCTAGCTACTTGGGAGGCTAAGGCCGGAGAATGGCGTGAACCTGGAAGGCAGAGCTTGCAGTGAGCCAAGATCGTGCCACTGCACTCCAGTCTGGGTGACAGAGCAAGACTCCATCTCAAAAAAAAAAGAATGTTGCAAAGTCTTTTTTTTTTGATATGGGGTTCTCATTCTCTCATCCAGGTTGGAGTGCAGTGGCACGATCATGATTCACTGCAGCCTCGACCTCCTGGGTTTAAATGATCCTCCTGCCTCAGCCTCCTGAGTAGGTGGGACTACAACCATATGCTGCCACACCTGGCTAATTTAAATTTTTTTTTGTAGAGGTAGGGTCTCACTATGTTGCCCAGGCTGGTCTTGAACTCCTGGCCTCAAGCTATCCTCCCACTTCAGCCTCCCAAAGTGCTGGGATTGTGGGCATGAGTCACTGCACCTGGCCTGCAACACCTTCTAAACATCTTCCCACCAACCAGTCAGCATGTCCCTAAGCCCTACTTTTGAAGTATTTTATTTCACTGTAGTTCTTCACTCTCACAGCATTTGTAGTTCTCAGAGCACTTTCTCATTCACGAACTTTAAACTTATAAGAATCTAATGGGACTAGTTAGCTATCCCTGTTCCCAGTTTACAGATGGAAAACCTATTCCCATTTTACAAATAGAGAACCTCAGTTCAGAGCAGGCAAGTGACTTGTACAAAGTCACACAGCAAGTGGCAGAGTTAGGATTAGGACCTAGGATTGATACTTTGTCTTATGTTCATTCCACTCTACCATGAGCTGCTTTGGGGAAAGGCAGTTTGTCCGGGAGGCCCTGGCTGGGAGGGTCACACATTAGTAATGAGCAATTTTTGAGACTGGCTAGGATCCATTTAGTCAATATATGGAGGGTGTGCAAGGGGCAGTTGAGACCTCTGTCATTCCCAAAGGTGTCAGGCAGGCACAGCATCCATAGGTGGTAGGAGCTGAAGCTAGGCTTTCCCAATTTCATTATTCATTCCCCAGCCAGCAGGGTGGACAGGATTTAGTAGGCAGGCCACCATCCCTCCACTGCCAACCCCGCAGGAAATTTCTCTCTTGTCAGCAGTGCTGACTTGCAGAATGTACACGGCATTATTGAAACATGGTTAACAATGAAAGTGTTGATGGCCACGCTACCAAAAGGGATTCCAAGCTGACGGAGCACATCGTGGTCATTGTGCTAAGGTAAACCAGACTGGCCCCTAAGCTCTCTGAGAAACCAATGACCTGACTGTGTCTACTGGCATCAGATAACCAGGCTGGAGTAGAACCTGGCCTTCCCAAAGACTTTCTAGTTTGTAGCTAATTCATAGCCAAACCTAGAATTGTTTCTACCACAGAGCACCTTCAATATGTAGGCATGTAGCTCTCTTCCTAATACTCAAAAATTAAGCTGTTCTTCCCATATTTTCCTAGGATTTAATCTATCTCCTCTTAAATTTTTAAATTCCTTCTTATTTATAATTGTTAGATTGACCCACACTAAAAGATAAGACTGTAGATGTCTAAGAATCATTAAAAGCAGAGTCTAGTAAAGGTGTTTCTAGATAATAAATGACATAGGGCAGAATCCTCTTGTTTAAAAGATGGAAAATGAGAAGTACTGACTAATGGGAGGAATGTTAAGAATACCGATAGCTCAACCCTTAAAAAAAAAAAAGCCTACATAAAAGGGTGGATAAAATGAAGTCATTCACTTAAGTTGGTCCATGGCATTTTTCATGAAGCAATGATTGGGTTGAGTGATCAAGATTACCATTTCCAGAGCACCTACCATGGCCAATCACAAGCCTTTTACATCTGTTAACCTTATTTATTACAACATCCCTGTGAGAGGGCTGAGATTCCAACTTGTCTTCAGAGTTCCTGTCTTTTCTGTGTCATATCTACCTCCTACTTCCTAATCCTACTTTTCAAAACTTTTGTCATTAACAGGACTACCACTCTGGACCAACATCTGAATAACACAGTATTTAAACTTATCAGATATGACAACCCAATGAGACTGGACATCACATATTTTCATTTCCATCTTAATGTAAGGAAACTGTCATTCTAATCTATTATGTGATTTGTCCATACTACCACAACAAAATAAATGTAGAATGATCTCTAACCATTTGGCTCTAATTGATTCCCGTACACTCTCCTTATCTACCCAGTTTCCTCTAGGGACTCATGTTGATCAACTGACATTGCCAAAGCTAACCAAGAGAAAAGGAAGTCATCACAGTGAAATATTGATATTCATTTCTAGCCAGATTTCCAATTGCTCATTTTCAATCTGCTATGTAAAGACCTTAGCCACTATATACCTTAAGCAACATTCAGCCTAGTTTATTTTTCACAATGGTGCTGTTTTCTGACTTCTTTCTATCTTCTTGCTCCATGGGGACTCCCTAAATGAATCTATCATTTGGATCCCATGGAGAAAAATAGCATATACTTGAAATCCCATCAACTTTCCCAAAGAGCTAACAACCACAGGAGCCAAGAGGACCACAGGCAATGTTCTCCTTCTTTTGATTCTGTGCAGCTATCACATATGTTTTAAATGACCATTTATTTTCAAAAGATCCCAGGCAAAAAAGAACTAACACAAATATAAACATTTGAGGGGATCCTGGCATTCCTTTCAAAATTACTTTTGTCCAAGGGAAGCTTCAGGTTGCTGGGAAATGTCACACTCATAGCTCTTGCTCAACAAGACTGACTTTTACTCACACAACGGGCCTTGGCAAGTCATTTCCCTTTTGGTATACAGAGCTCTTGTTTTCCCCACAAAGGAATTGGCTATGATCGTTTGTGATTCTCAAAGGACTCATGTTCTAAAATAGATTCTGAAATTTTTATTAACAAAACATCTATTTTGCATATCTAGCATTCTGTATCCTTTTCGTATAATGCTTTGCAATGAAGCATCTATCATAAAAACCACTAAACCGTACAGATGGTGTTTATGCAACACAATTTAATGTCCCAGCAAGAACTAGTGATTTGTTACATACATTATGCATCATTGTGATGTATATATCCAGATTTTAAATGTTTGGAGGGCAAATAGTCACCAATATCATTGTGGCACTAGACTACGATTTTTTTTCTTAATACCAGGCCATGGCCAAACATCTAATATAAAATAATTATACAATATGTTTATTAAATAAATAGCATAGTTTGGGTTTTAAATGCCTGTGTTTGTAATGGGTTCAAAGATTTTAAAATACTAAAATTTAGAAAGTTGAAAGAAGTGCTGGAAGAGGAAAAAAGATTTTCCCTCTGCTCCTTGGCCAACCATCAGGCAGTCATTTCATGTGCCTTCCTGTTTCACCTAGGGTTCTTGGTCCCAAGCAACAGAAATAGATTCTGGCTGATAGGAGCAGAAAAAGAATGAAATGAAATTGTATTAGATAGCTCACAGGAGAGATGGAACGTCCAAAGAAGGAAGCTTGGGCAATGGGTACAACCAAAGGTGAACTAATAGCCTGAAGGAATTCTCTAACATGCTCAGTCTCCAAAATTCTTGGCAGGCACACATGCCTGACTGAGCCGAGATTGCCTGCCATACCATGGCTTCAGGGGGATCTGGGGAACAAGTGTCTGATACCTCCCAGCTTCTACCACAGGATGTGGCTCTGCCTCTCACTATGGCTTTTAATATGGGAAATCCCCAAAGATGGGAAGGAGTTCACAAATTGGCCAGCCAGAGGAAAAAAAAATGTGTATATGAACAAGTCTGTTACACTTCCTACCTGGCCAGAAGCATTTTGAATTTCCTCTCTTCTTTGGCTTTTTGTCTTACCTGCTTTGATAATCCGCAACACTGAATAAACACAAGCTTTTTTTATTGTGGGTCTCAGGGCAGTTAAAAATCACTTAGGAAGTACACACTATTGGTCATGAGTCTTTAGTCTATTCCTAGTAAATTCAATTAGTACAAAGGTTCTAAACCCATCCCTAACTCCCACATCACCCTGTAGAAATTTAATTCTGTACAGGTCTTCAGGAGATTCTGATGCAGATTTCTGATTAGGAACCATGTTTTAGTCTTTCTCATCTTTCACAGTTTCTTTACAAACGATTTCTATTTTTCTGAAGCCCCAACCCTACGCCATCAGTCTTAATCAATGACTCTTTGTTCAATTGGGAAAACCAGTCCATCTGATGCAAATTCACTTAACCTCTCTCCTGAGAGTTGAACTCAAACTTTCTTCTTGTCTTTATCCATTTCTTCCTCCTTCCCTACTTCGTTATTCCTTCTTCCCAAGGCTAACTGGCTAATGTGATGCTCATCTGAATGTCCTCTTGACTAATTAGAGACTTTGACTAATATTCACCTTCCTTTTTGACTGTATCTTTGGCCTAATTTCCCTGTTGTCTAATTTGCTTTGACCCCCAAACATCCAAGTCTTGCCTGACCTAAAAACCCTTTCCACTAGACCCTGCTTCCCATGGGCTATGTTCCTGTTCTCCACCTTCATCTTTCACATCTGAAGAGCTGAAAGAAGCAGTTTGTACTCATGGTTGCTTCTCTGATCTCTCGCTCATCCCCATTTTTGTTTGTTTTATTTTCAACATTCACTTGGTAGCAGTCATTCCTCACCTCTTGTAAGTGCTTCCAAGCTCATCTTCTGGACACAAGTCACTCATGGCTTACTGACAGCCCTCCAATGGTCTCTTCTTCATCTGCATCCCCCATGACCTTTCAGAAGCATATGACCCTGTTGAAAACCTCTTTCCTTCTTTGTGGCTTTTGGTGCAAATCCCTTTGAATTTTTCCTTCTACTTCTCGGATGATACTTTATCAGTCTTCTTTGCTGGGCTCTCTCCTCTTCTTGCTCTGTTTTCTCATCCTGGCTGTTCTCATTTCTTTAGCTGTAACCGCAAAGTAGATGACACTTGGATGTGTGTCCCCAACCCCGATTCTTCTATTCAGAGTTCAGATATTTCCAACTGATCACTTCCAAAGGGTGCCCAGGCCCTTTTCCTTCTCCATCTCCCCATTCCATCACTCCTTTTAAAAATTTATTGCGGTTAAAAATACAAAACTTAAAATTTACCATTTCAACCACTTTTAAGCATATGGTTTGATGACAGTAAGTACATTCACACTGTTGTGCTCAATCATACCTTTTAAATATCTGTATAGCTGGGAGTAGAAGGACCATTTCTGGTTCAATTGTTTATTCCTGGGGCCTGCTTCTATCTCCATATCATTGGCCAAGCCTGGTGCTTAATGGTTAAGAGCATGGGCTCTGGTGAGTGTGATCTGAGTTTAAATCCCAGCTCTATAACTGTAGCTGAGTCTTTCAACCTCTCTGGTCTCATTTTCCTCATCTTAGTATTCTCTACAATCACTCTGCTGAAGCAATAACAGCTTTGTTTATTTGTGAGCAAACCCCTTTAAATAACTTGTCCTGCTGGGGCTTGTGCTGGAAATGAAGAAAAAAGGATGCATTTGAAGAAAAGGATGGGCTTAGCCAGAAAGTAGAAGTTTCTGATATATTGGAGTGGGATGTAGAATCTGGCACTGGCTTGGATTTATTAAACAATCAGCTCCACCTACACTTGTTATGAAAAAGATGGGAAAACAATCCATCAGTAAACGATTTTGGTGAGTGCTTCCATCTTTGGTCAGAGGAGTAATTGTTCATCAGTGACAGGTGAACCTCTGTGAAAATTGAAAGGGCAATTTAGTTGAAATGGAAGCATTTATTCAGGAAACAGGTGATCTGGGAAAATTTGATGTGCATTTTTTTTTTTTTTTTTGAGACAGAGTTTCACTCTTGTTGCCCAGGCTGGAGTGCAATGATGTGATCTCGGCTCACTGCAACCTCTGCCTCCCAGGTTCCAGTGATTCTCCTGCCTCGGCTTCCCAAGTAGCTGGGATTACAGGTGCCTGCCACCACGCCCGGCTAATTTTTTGTATTTTTAGTAGAGAAGGGGTTTCACCATGTTGGCCAGGCTGGTCTCGAACTCCTGACCTTAGGTGATCCACCCGCCTTGGCCTCCCAAAGTGCTGGGATTACAGGTGTGAGCCACCGCATCTGGCCTGATGTGTATATCTTTTAACATGCCTTTAAATCCTATGGCTCTAAAGAGGCCATATTAGTTATTTCAGTGTTTATTTCATTTGATGAAGAAACGTTTGCATATGAATGTTGGGAATTCTAGCAGGTCCTGCCTCAATGTGAAGAGGCATTTTTTTTTGCTTTTGGCATTGATCTCCTTTTGGACTGGGCCTGATCCACTTCTTACATCCAGTCCAGGACCTGTCACAAAAGACTCACATTAGTACCACATGGTATCCTGTTTTAGTAAAGAATAGGTGAAATATTTTAGTGAGTAGATCCTACTTTTCCTTTCAGATGCAATGAACAGAAGACCCTGAAAGGATTTCAATCCAGAATGTCACAGGATAATAAGAGCAGATGTCTGTGATGCCCTTTACAAAGCACCTTTACATACTGTCTCTCATTCGTCTCTAATGACACCTATGTGATCCTCCATTTTTTCAGATGAGGAAACTGAGGTTCAGAGTGATTAAGCGAGTTGCCTGAGATTTCACAGCTAACACATTGTGAAATCTAGTCTAGCACCCAGGACTAAAAACTCTCGGCTTCTTTTAAGGCCACATATCGCCTCACCAGAAGGGTGGCCTCTCTGGAGATATACCCTACCCTCGGCCGACTTGATATTGAGAACTTGGTCATCTTAAGCATGTGGGCCACTTGGGCAAGGCAGCCCTTCCCAAATTGTAAATGTCCCCACGTGGAGCTCAAGCGTCTGGCTTGAGCCAGAAGGTGCCCTGAACACTCGGTGGCCCCAGCCCCCACGTAACAGCACGTGCTCGGGTCCCACATTCGGTCAGACGCCCCTCTCCACTGGCATCTGCCCGGTGGAGGCGCCACTGCGCTCTGCCTCCGCCCCAGCAAGCGCGTGTCCACGCGGGCGCGCCACGCCAGCCGTGCGCCCCAGCGGCTCGCCGTGCGCCCGCGCCCCAGGTGCCCACTGGCTCGCGCGCCCTCCGTCTGCGCCTTGGAGACCCGCGGCGGCGATCGCTCGGAGCCGCCTTGGACCGCGGCCTCGGGTCCATCACACTCCAGGGGCGGAGCGAGGCACCGAGACGTCAGGGCGGAGAACTAGCGCCGGGCTAGCGCGCCCTCCCGGCGGCTGCCGGCGTCCCACGTCCTCGGCTGGCGCGGCCGGCGGCGGCGGCGACCGGGAGATGCAGTGAGCGGCGGCGCTGGGGCGCAGCCAGGCGGCCGGGAGGGCGGGGGCCAGAGGCTGAGCCCGGGCGAGCCCGCCGTGCGCACAGCTCTGCCCGCCGCCCCTGGAGCGGATCCCCAGCCGTCCCTGGGCGTTCTCCCGGGTTCTAGCAAAGCCCCCCGGGGTGCCCATCAGTTTCCTTGGGTGACTACAGCGTGTGTTTTTTCTTTCCTCTTTCCCCTGCCTGTGTGCCCTTCTCCAGGATGGCAGAGGCGGAATTGCACAAGGAAAGGCTGCAAGCCATAGCAGTAAGTCCACTTTCATTTTATTTTCTTGCTCTATTGTCTGGGGTGGAAGGGGGCCCCCGAGGGTTTCGGGGCAAGCGGCATGCCAGCACAGTAGCCGCAGGTCATATGTTCCAGGGGCTAAAACTCTGTCAGGGCTCAGCTAGGCTGCCTTTTCTTTTCTATGTCTATAGATGGAGACCCCCAAGGGCGCGCTTTGGACTGAGGATTTGAATGTGGAAGATTGGCTTAAAAAAAGATGCTTGCTGCTGGGCTTTGGGGAAGGACTAAACAGAGGCTTGGGGTGGGGGGACGACTCCAGGAATATTATGACCGAATGCTCAGGCATACGTTGGCTTCATAGCCTGGAGAACCAAGAGAAGGGTGACCTGAACGGTGGCTGCCATCCTCTCTGCGGAAGCTGTCCTCCTGTTAAGTGGAAAACCAGGAGTCAGCGACTCAGCCAGCCACGCGGTAGAACCTCCTCCCAGAAACCGGGAATGTTAGTTTTCCCTTCTCTGTTTGATATTGACAAGGGCACTGGCACAAGCCACCACCCTGGAGGTCTGGGGACTTCATACAACTGGGTCCTGGTTATAATATTCCATGAGAGCCTCCTTCTTATGGTGTGGAGTATCTGAAAACCTATTTTCAGCCTACAAAGGAGTAGTCAGTTTTGGCAAAGTTCGTAGGCACTTTCAGAAAAGTGTACCCATGTGCATCTTGGGTTTAAAAAAGAACTCTCTGAGACTGCCTAGATTTGAGCAATCTTAACACAGTGTTGCCAATGATCCACAGATGTGGTATTTTTACTGGAGCCACCACAGCTGGATTATATATTTCCTTCGAGGATGAGGGAATGATTACTGCTGCCGTATGAAATAGTAACAATTAAAAAAGAAGGTCCGTTAACATATTGGCATAAAAGAATCTCCAGACATTCTTCCACCTAAATACATTTGTGTTTTTCAGTTCGGAAGTTCTCTGGAAACACATATAAATTTGTTGGAGAAATAGTGTGTAATGTTTTGGAACCAAAGTATATTAAAGCGTTTTCCAAAACCTTTTTGGACAGATTCTTCATTGGGAAAATGCACACAGACCCTTCCTTTTTTAGAAGCATTTGACATGGTCTCCAAGGCTCTGAGACCCTCTTTCTCAAACGCCTCAAATCTGAAATGTCTTGGAGACTTCACCACTGAAGTGAGAGAGATGTTTGCTGGCAATATTGAAATGCCATGGTTTGCCTATTAGGTAATCTTTGAACGTGGTGCTCTGAACTCAGAAAGGTTGTTTTTTTCTTCTTTCTCTTTCCCCCTGTGCATGTGTATTTTGATGGTTTGTGAAGTTATTTGTGGTTTCTAAAGTTGGTGGCAAGGCAGCATGGCCAGTGTGTCATGAACTTGATAAGAATGGTGATATTGAGTTAATGGTGCCATGTAGCTGGTGGGTGTTTTGTGTGAACTGGATAATAGGCTGCTTTAACTGTTGATGCAGTGGCTGTTCCCATTGGCTGCTGCTGAAGGCTTCCAACAGTTGTCACATTTTCTGCCTTTGCACAACCAGCTTTACTGGATGCCTGAGGAACAGCTGAACTCCATGAAAGGACTTGCTTTCCAAACATGGAGCCAGTAGCTGCTAACACTGGGGTACCCTTTTCCAAGTGCGGTTGAGTAATCCCAGCAGAGGCCAAGTCGATTTTCCAAGAAAGATCTAGGCAAATCTTTGGGAATTCTCTTGAGCATATAAGAATACACACAAATACTCACTTGTGCCTCTTCAGTTATTGAAGAATTGAGTTTGTCCTGTGTATCTGGGGAGCTGTTGATTATTCTCATGAATGTGCACCTAATACAGTCTGCCCTCCCTATTCATGGGTTCCATATCCACGCCTTCAGTCAATCTTGGATTGAAACTATTGGAAAAAATAATAGATAGCTGAGTCTGTACTGAACATGTACAGACTTTTTCTTGTCACCATTCCCTAAATAATACAGTATAATCAACTGTTTACGTCGCATTTACAGTGTATTAGGTATTATAAATAATCTGAAAATGATTAATGTATGTGGGAGGATGTGAGTAGGTTATATGCAAATACCATGCTATTTTATAGGGACTTGAGCATCCTTTGATTTTGGTATCCAAGGGGGTCCTGAAACCAATTCTCTGAGGATACTGAGGGATGACTGTATGATGTTGTCAGGACAGATTTGCTAACAGCGTGTGTTTGTTTGTGTGTGTGTGTGTGTGTGTGTGTGTGTGTGTATGTGTGTGTGAGAGAGAGAGCCAATTAAGAGACAGAGGGAGTTGGGTGGGGGGACTTATGGCCACATCGGTAAATGGTTTTATGCTATGCTTTGGTCTAGTGCCTACTCTTCTGAATTCTGCAAACCCTGACTCTCTCATCACTTTCCTGGAGTTCTCAGGGGACCCTGAGGAGATCACAAGCCTGCCCCCAGAACCTAGCACTCCTGAAGTCTCTCTGGAGATGTGAGGGAAGAAGACAATAGGTCCTCACATCTTCACTTACTTGGGCTTCTCTCTCAGAGGCAGAGAATCGACTGGGATTCCAGTCTGCAGGGCCTTGGGCAGTCTTTAGTCTGGGTCTCAGCTCCTTCATCTGTAGAATGGGTTCATGAGTTCTACCTCCTGGGCTGGTTGTAAGGTTTAGTTAGGATGGAGGTGAAGCACCTGGCAGGTAGCTGTCATTGGATGGTGTTGAGCAGAGCCCTTAGCTTTTGTCTGTATTGCTGTCTTGTCCTGTGGGGGGTCAGAAGCAACATCTCTGAAGTGGAATGTGTATTAATGACTTTTTTTTTTTTTTAGACAGAGTCTCACTCTGTCACCCAGGCTGGAGTGCTGCCATGACAGCTCGCTGCATCCTGAAACCATCCTCCCACCTCAGCCTCCCCAGTAGCTGGGATTACAGGCATGTGCCACCATGCCCAGCTAATTTTTAAATTTTTTGTAGAGATGGGGTTTCGCCATGTTGCCCAGGCTGGTCTGGAACTCCTGACCTCATGTGATCCTCCCACCTCTGCCTCCCAAAGCACTGAGTTTAGAGACATGAGCCACTATACTTGGTCTGAACAGCTCTTTTTTAATCCCTTCCTTCAACTGACTGAAAGTCAGGGCCCTGCCCAGCATCACTTTCTCTAACTGCTTTAGACAGAGGCAGAGATATGACTTGAGGATTCATTCATCCATTTGTTCAGTAGGTATTTACAGATTGCCTCCTCTGGGAAGGTATTGGCAACACTGAAAAGTTGGTGTCCCCAGGTTTCAGCTGCCTGAGGCTGAAACCTTTATTTCACCTTTTGCACATAATTTCTTGAAGGACAGATGTCCTGATACCTAAGATGCTTGTCACATGAACATCTGTGGAATATCCGCCCCCACCAACAAAACTGAATTAAATACTTAGAAACTACAGTGCTTTAATGGAATCTTCCATTTGGATCCAGGAACTAATCAATGAGAAAAGATGACTCTTATCCTAATTTCTGCCAAAAGAAGAGCAAGTCCATCTTTGACAATGATCTCTACACTCACATGCTCCTTTCTTCTGTAGGGATACTCCCCAAACTTTACATTTAGAACATGGTAAAAAGCCTCTGAAACAGCATGAGTGAGAATGGTAATCCCAGGGACTAATAACAACAATTGCCATTTATTGAATATTGTTCATTCAGAAAGGCACGGTGTGAAATACTTTTTGTTTTTCACCTAACGTTATTTATAGTCTAATGGAAGAAATAGAAAAGCACATAAGCAGTTACTATCCAGGAGTACTATGAAAATGAGCATCCAGGAGGAACATGTAAACCAATCTCAGAGTTGTGAAACAATTCCCCAAAAAGAAGACATTAGAGTAAGTCCTGAAAATTGGGTAAAATAAAATATAAAATAACATCATAACCTTCCCAATTACCAGGAGGCATTTGTTTATTCGTTATTTGATTATTATTTATTCAGGACATTTAGTGTGAGAAAGGGAAAGGCAAAAGCATGAAGAAGTTAAGTCAGTAGCTAAAGACACAAACTCAGAGTGAACACTGAAATGCTTTTCAGCATGTATTATCTCATTGAATCCTAATAAGAAGCTTATGAGGTAGGCACTACAGTATTACTCATATTTTATAGGTGAGGAGGTTCTAGAACTGGTCTAACATTAAACTGATAGTATCAAAGCCAGGATTTGAATGCTGCCCGCAGCAGGCCATTGGAGCCTTTGCTTTGACTGCTGCCCTGAGCTGCCACCCAAGATGGCGGCAGCGTCTCGCACTTTTCCCATGAGCACACTGTGCAGGTGGTCTCAGCAGCCTGAGTGTGAGCCACAGACTGATTCCATTGCAATGGGAAAGCTTGAGACAAGCCAGGAGGCCTACCTCCTTTTGAGAGTCTTTCAAGCCTGGATTCAGTGCATAGAAATACCCAACATAAAATTTAATGGAACGAGTAACATTCCCATGGGGAAGAAGCTGTTGTGTCTCAGTGGAAACTAACCTTGTGGGAGGGTGCTGTTATGTCTGCACATTGGAGAGGAAGATAGTTTTCTTTGGGCATGAGTGAAAATAAGTAAATGTTATATAAATTGTCTTGGGTGAAACTCCTAAGAGCCACGTGGACAAGGCTCAGGCTACACCAGGGACCAGCATGAGTATGTTTATATATGTGCGGAAATAGGAAATGCTAATCTAACCTATGCTGTTCTTTAGGGAATTTTGTCATTTAATTAGAACCCACTCTGTGAAGTAATAAAAATGATCTTTGCATTTGTGCAGTACTTTATAATTTATGAAAACCTTGTATATGCTACCTTCTTCCTGAGGTGTGTAGAGCAAATCTTATACGCTTTACAGGTGAGTATTCAGAGCTATCCAAGCTTACACAGATAGAGGTGGAAGAGTTGTAGTAAATCCCAGCCTCTCCTGACTCCCAATTCTTGTATTAGTCCGTTTTCACCGTGCTGATAAAGACATACCCGAGACTGGGTAATTTATAAGGAAAAAGAGGTTTAATGGACTTATAGTTCCACGTGGCTGGGGAGGCCTCACAATCATGGCAGAAGGTGAAAGGCACATCTCACATGGCAACAGACTGGAAATGAGAGCTTGTGCAGGGAAACTCCCCTTTATAAAACCATCAGATCTCGTGAGACTGATTCACTATCACAAGAACAGCATGGGAAAGACATGTCCCCGTGATTCAATTACCTCCTACCATGTCCCTCCCACAACACGTGGGAATTCAAGATGAGATTTGGGTGGGGACACAGCAAAACCGTATCACTTGTGTTAGTGGTACATCCAGCCTTGGAAGGGTGCTTTGATACGGGCTGAAACTGCAACTAAGATCCTGCTGGACTAAAATCTTCTGGCTGGGAGGAGAGGAGTGAGCTTGGATGTGTCTCTATGGAATATGCCCTTGTTAGGATTTCACTTTCGGCCTCTTTCATTCTTGAAATTCTCACCAAGGGGTCAGCTAGTGAGTTTATGGCTTTCATCTGATTCTATTCTCAGTCCTGCATAGACCTGGGTATACGCTGTTGGCCTAGGCTGGCTGTGCCGTGGGCTTACAGAGAAGTGCTCATTGGCTTTTCGTTGGATTCGCCTCTCCATGCCTTTTCTTGCCTGGGAGCATTACAGCCTTGAGTACCAGGCTTGGAGTGTGGGGCCAGTGGCCAAGGAGGCCACCACCCTGCTTTTGGTCCAGGCCTTTTAGGCCGACCTGCACAGCATGGGCAAAAAGTCCTTGCAATGATTTACATACTATCCAGTCCAGCTTCCCAAGGATCCCTCAGAGGGGTTAGAGACTCAAACCCAAGCCCTGTAGAAACAGGCACTGTGATTCATGTGGGGACCATCCCCATCCATGTTCCTTGTGGACTTGTGTTATTGGTATGCAGCTGTCAGAGAACTGGAGAATTTAAGATCCTGGTCATTCATCTGTTATCTTATATCTCAGAGATGCAGATGACACCCTGCTTCTAAAATTCCATGTTAAGGCCTAAAAAATCATTTGCGTGGTATATTGGTGCTGAGGAAGGGTTCAACTTGGCTGAGTCTGTGAAGCTGCCCACTGGATAGGTGACACTTTGGGCCCATGCAGGGTCATTGCTGTGTCTGGGAGTGCCAAGGCAGGCCTTACCCAGCATGCATAAGGGTCACACACCTCCCTGCTACTTATTTGTACCTCTGAGTATTTCAGTCTTCAGCTTATTGGGACAAAGAGCAGCTACTCTGACAAACTTTAAAATGCTCTGAGAAATAGAGCAGTTATCATGGAAAAAAAAAGTCATCATAGAAAAAGCTAAGTGAGGGGGGTTGTGGGTTATAGTTTGTCAATATTTAAAGGAAAACCAGGGCCCAGTAGAATTGTTTCTATATTTCTTTGGGGGCTACTCAATGCTTTGGGGTCACTGCTGGCCCCTTTGAACTCTCCACATTTCACCACTGATCCCATTTGGGAATGTTGATGAACTTGCTTGGCAGTAAGAGTTGGTCATTCTGTGGCATGAAATTGACTGAGACAGCAGATGGACATTGATGCACAGAGACGGTGGTCCCAAGGGCTGTCATTGTGGTGGGGTAGTTACCAGCATGGATTTTGGTGTCAGGAAGACCTGGCGCAAGTCCTGGCCTTTCCGTTGGTATCTGTATGATGTCACTGTACCTTGGTTTCCTCACCTGTAAGATGGGGCTAATGATCATACCCACTTCAGTGTCTTGTTGTGATGGTTCTTTTAGAGGTTTCTTGGGAAATGCTCAGAGACAGCATGCATTAAGCACTCACAAACTTTCCTATTTATAATAAGCAAACCAACAAATCATAACTTATGCATCTTTAAACAGAAAGTGAACACAAAGAGTGAAAGGAGAATTTTGTTAGCCACAGCATTTTTGTCAAACTAGGAAATTAGATAAATACTAGGAAATCAGATAAATGTTGTAACTCCTGAGTTTTCAATGCATGAAGATAGTATTAATAATAAAAAATGGATTATTTGTAGTAAGCAGGAGTAGTAAACTCAACAGGTCAGGGGGCCAGCATGCAATGTAAATGAGGGACACAGATTGAGTCGAAAGTATTGGTCCCTAGAGAGCAGATGCCACCTCTCAGTTAAGATGCAGTTAATTTATGCCTTGTGAGAACGTGGGTCTTATGTTGTTACATCAACTCATTTTCAAGAGAAGCCAGAAATCTGATTTTTAACATGTGAGATCTCCCACTTAAAAAAGAACAGTATTAACTAGTTTAAAAACTTTAAAAAGATTGGCAGTCACAACACAATTCCTTTTGATCAAGAGGCCGACATTTTGTGACCTTTAGATATAGACAGAGCTTTGAACTTTACAGGATGCTTTCCTTATGCATTGATTTATTTGGATTTCATAAGGATACTGTGAAGTAAGCCTATCAGCACCCCTGAGATATTTCATAATGTTGTAATATCGGGTTGCATTTTCACCAGAGCTTTGTGAGTTTGGTGTCCAGATGTTTGGATCATTGGATAAATGGTGCTTATTTGCGATATCTTTTGACATTAAATGAGCCCTTGCAAATCACTGACATTATTGAAACTCAGAATACTCACATCTAGATAGGTAATTGCTCTCTAACTCAACCAAAACAAATCTAAACCACATCAAGTCAGCACCTTAATTTGGGAAATTCCTCTTATTAGAAAAGAATCTTTAAGAACCTATACTCAAGGTATGCAAATCTGAAATGCAAACCTGATATGAAGCCCAAGCCTAACTCATGTCAGTCAGGATGTTTGAGTTGATCCTGATTTATTATTAGCCTCAAGTAATGGACATTGTAGGGAGATTCTGCTGGGCTCAGGACTCATAGTAGCAGCAACTGCCATTTGACCGATGTTTTTGTCATATATGGTATAGAACAGTAATTCTCAAACGTTAGTGCATTAGGATCACCTGGAGGGTTCCTTAAAACACAGATTGCAAGAGCACACTCCCAGAGTGTCTAATTCTGTAGGTCTAGGGTGATGTGGCCTGAGAATTTGTATTTCTAAGAAGTTCCCAGCTGCAACTGCTATTCTGGGGAACACACTTTGAAAACGACTGGTGAAGTGTAGGAGATCAATAGTAAAGGAAGATTATGACCTGGGTCCTGATGTGCATCACATGCCCATTGTGATATGCCCAGGAGTTTGTGTGGTGTGTATATTCTGAAGAGGTGAAATAGAATAAAAGGCCAAATTTAGTCTTGATTAATGAGAGCCTTAAACATAGCCCAGTTTGGAAGTCATGCAAGCCGGGTGCGGTGGCGCACTCCCATAGTCCCAGCTACTTGGGAGGCTGAGGTGGGAAGATCGCTTAAGCCCAGGAGTTCAAGGCTGCAGTGAGCTATGATCACTGCCACTGCACTCCAGACTGGGCAAGAGTGACACCCTGTGTAACTGTGTCCTTCTCACATTACACTGGCTAATCAAGAAGAGGTCTTTGCTTATCTCGGGAACTTGCTTTAATCTATTTAAATAAAGTGAGATATCTGTTGGTTACTTGACAACACCGGTTTGGAAGGTTTGCCCAGGATTGGCTGGGCAGGTTGAGAGAGTTTGCCTGGGATTGACTGACTGAAACTATGGGCTACAAAATTCCCTTGGGGAGGCCTTAGAGGACACCTCAGTGAGATAAGAAGTCATGCAGTAGAGAAGATATCCAGCAACACCATGACAGCCCCATTGAGAGAGGCTTGCCATACATATGATGGTGTATAGATGAAGACATCAAATAGCAGATCAGCCCATCAAGCCTGGTGGCCCCTTCTCCAGCCTGCAGGTGCTAATTCGCGATGTGATTGCTTCTCACGTGGGCAACTCCAATAGGATGCCAGGAGAAGCAGCAACTGATGTTCATTTACTTAATGATGGTTAATATTTTATGAAGCCAGTCTGTGTATATGCAAGTATGACTTGTTATTGGCATATCAAGGACAAGTTTATTCTTCCAAGGATGTCATGCAGGCTTCCCTCACTTGTCTTTGTACCATGCATTTTTTGAGCTAACCCTTCATTTTTGGAAGGATTCTGCCTCACCGGATCTCTTGTATATCTTAAAACACAAAGCACAGAGGCTGCACTGTACAGGATGAGGCCTAAGAGAACGTGGAGACTGTAGGGGATGGGCCACACAGCATGGCGGAGTTTGTAGAGGAAAGGTTGCTCATAAGTGCTCTGGGTTTGGGAGAAGACCACACAGCTGAGATCTATTTCTGACAGGAAATGCCGGCAGGAGCAGAGGGTGGTGTGGGGCAGTGCGTGTTGGAGCTACAGTGCCCTTGGTTAATTATTATCTCAGTATTTCTCATTAGTCTCTTGTTGAATTAAAATGCTCAAAAGGAGATTATTAAATACACACAGAAAGGGAGACAGACTGACAGACACAGAGACAAGACTACACCCTATTTACATAATGCTTGAACATATATTAAAAATACTTTGGATTACTCTTTGACCCTAGTATCACTGTTTCTATAGGATCATATAAGTTTAGCTAGAAGAAAAGAATAGAGAATCTGTACCTTTCTTTTGCATAAGATCGAAGGGGAAAGAAAAGCCATGTGAGGCCCAAGATAAAAGCCCCAGCTGTAGATGAAAAAGCTGTGGGCCAGACGTCGGAACACATCTTCCTGTCCATCATTTCCCTTGTGGAAGCCTATTTCATTACCCTGCAGGCTTTTAGGCTCTAGACAGCTTTGCAATACCAAATATCTTGAAGGCATTTGTAAAACCTACTCTTACTTTTTTCCTGGAAAAAAAAAATTATACTGGTTTACTTACTATTCTAGGTGGGTGGGATTTTTCCCCCCTCTGCTAAATTATAACCAGTCATCTAAGTATTCACTTTATTTTTAAATTCAGGGCTGAAACTTAAAACCTTGAGGGTTACCAAAAAATGTTATTCTTAAGAGAAAAACATGCTTGAAAACTTAACCCCTTTGGTGGCAGGCAGGGGATTTTCTTTGTCTGTGTTTGAGTGCTAATGTCGACAACTTTGAGGCCAATAAATACCAAATGGGGCTCTAGGATTTGGGCAACTGTGATAGTGTGTGTGTCCTGCATGTCACATGAGAAAGAGAGAGGCCGGGATTTAAGAAAGGTGCCTCTTGGCTGGGTGGCATGAACTCAGTCAGCTGGCTTTCCCCAGGCACCTGATTGGCCTTAAACACTGAGTTTTTGTGGTGTGACTTGACATACATCTTGGGCTGATATCACGTGCTGTTTCTACTGGGGTGGGAAGTGCTTTGAAAATGTCCTTGCTCCAGTGGAACTGTGAGACATATCTAAAAAGCTTAAGGCTAATATGAGTGATGCTAAAAGGAAGTCCTGCTTATCCAGGTAAGCAAAAGCATACTCTAGGATAGCAGTGCTCCTGTAACCTGCATGGCCTATTTTTCTTTTCCAGGTGGTATGCAGGCAGTCTTGTTCATGAACATTGATGTCTGAGCATGTGTGTTCAAAATTCAGTGTTGTTAATCAAATAAAACTCACCACAAAACCCGAAGGATATTTAACAATAGATGAGATAGGTTTGGCGGAGATGGGTCAGAAGACAGAGGAGGTCCTGGAGGCAGCAGTAGAATGTACTTTCCAATCTTACTGGTGACTAGAGATAAGACACTAGTAGCCTGTTTACTCCCCATCCTTATTTACACTGGAGTGAGAATGATATATGTCAGATCAGTATTGGATGCGATGAGGGAGAATGAAGAGAAAATATTGACTCTGAAAAATACAGACAAGAGGAGGCAAAGTTGAAAGTAATGTAAACTGCTTAATCACCTGCCTTTCTCTCTTTCCACCGTCATCTCTTTCTACTTGACATGTTCCTGCTTTTGCCTCTGGATGGTTCTATCTCTCATCCCCTCTCAGCCTGGGTCCACAGAGAAAAGCAGGAAGCAGCCTGGCATGGCAGTGGAGGGAGCCTTTTCCAGCCTTCCTCCAGCAGAAGTGCGCCCTCTCCCCTATAGGGAGATAGGGCACCCCAGGCTTCAGAAAGCAAGGGAAAGATGGTACTTCATCATGTAGCTTTTCTTAAGGGGTTGGAGGGAAGGGCTCCCAGTTCCGGAGAGGGTCCATGTGCCAGCCACCCTGCTGAATGCCTTATGTTAGGGGGGTGAGATCTCAGATGTGCACAGGTACCAGGTTGACTTGGCTGAGCTTTTGGGACTGTGGTAGCCAAGAGAGGGCAGACTCCTGAGGGGACAGAGAGTGCTCAACTCCAACTGATGGGCACTGTGTGGGAATTTGAGCCCAGGGTCTCCTGCTTTTCCAAGAGAACCTGGAAATCCAATTTTGAAGGAAGTCTGTTGATGTTTAAATGCTCACAACAGTTTAAATACTGTATGGGCCAAACCAAACATAACACAGATTTTAACACAGTGTAGGCTGGATTTGTTCCCTGTCTCAATGACCCTCCCCCTCTACCCCCAGCCTGGGCCACCAGTTTTCCACGTCTGCATGTCACAACCTATTTTATTTAATTACAAAACCAATAGTATGTGGGAATGGGGGCTGGGGGGTTGGTACAGTATAAAGCTATGTGAGTTGTAGATACACTTATGTATGTTGGGCACCTTGGTGGGATCCATACCCTATAAGAAAACCATAGTCTTGGGTCAGAGTCAGGGCTGCTACTTAAATCAGTTCCTTATCCAGCATGCTGGATGAACTCATCAGTTCTCTGTAAGAAGTAAAAACTACAAGCACTCTTTAAAAAAAATGAAAATGAATGAAGAGAAAAATAGACTTATTAAATTCTTTAATTTGGAAGACTGGGTCTCGCTATGTTGCTCAGGTTGGTCCTGAACTCTTGGGCTCAAGCGATCCTTCCACCTCAGCTTCCTAAGTAGCTGGGATTATAGGCATGTGCCATTGCTCCCAGCACTAAAATTGACTTTCTTGATGTACAGCTCTCTCAATTTGAACACATGCGTAGATTTGTGCAATCACTGGTATACTCAGGCAACAGAACAGTTCCATCACCCCCAAAAGTCTCCCAGGAAGGCTGATTTTAAAACTCTAACTGGAATCTAAGTCATTCTGCTTGGGGCTACCTTATACCCTGACTTTGAAGACCCTAAAAATCAGTTGAGGGTGGGAGGGTTGACCAGAACATGAAACTTGGGTTCCCAGCCATTGGTGGGGAACTGTTTCATAATGAGCACCCTACCATACCTATATAACAAGTTTTTGCTTCTTCCTAATACATACCTTCTGCTCCAGCCTGGGTCGTCTTTTCACTATCCCCTACTAGGGTTGTTCCATTTAGCAACTAAATGTATAGGATGCCCAGTGATTCCATGGGGACATATTTATATTAAAATATTATTTGTTGTTGATCTGAAATTCACATTTAACAGGACATTCCATATTTTATCTGGCAAGCCCATCCTCTTCACATTCATGCCACATTCTCATGTAAGTTCAAAACCTACTTTCTCTGTGTTTCACCAAAGGGTGAAAATACTCTTTGAAAATACTCTTTGATTTTATTACACTTAATCTTAGCCAAAGGCCAAGAAGCGATTGTATGCTTTGATTTTAAATAGTAGCATGTTTATAGGGAGATAGGGCAAGTGTTGGAAGGATAAGAGTGCTTTCTATACACATAAATGGATTTTCAAGAAATGTTTTGTGACCAACTGGTTTTATCCTTTCCAGAGAACAAGAAATGATCTAATATGTGCTCAAGGAAGGAGGACAACTGGATTTCAGAAATTGGTTCATGTTACAGCCCCTCCTCTACCCTTTTTCTCTGGCCTGACCTTTGAATAATATAAGTCTGAAAAGACTAAACAAAGAGATTGCTCAAACTGGATGAGTTTAAAAATAACATTGGAATGCTAGCCTTCAGCAAGCCATATATCTTATACTGCACTGAGCAGGACAGTGCCCTGTGGTGGGTAGAAGATGAGTCACACAGTGATCACAACCAGATCCTTCCCAGCCTGGATACTTTGGTGGAGAGTGGTGTGATGGCTGATTTATTTGTCTTGTTTGTTTGTTGTTTCATTTTTCCATTTTACTAGTGTGATTTCAGAATCACAAGGAGGCAAGGAGGAAAATTGATTTTAGATAGCAGCTTCAGAATGAAAAATGAGTGGAAATTCCACTTTTCGGTCTAGACCAGGGACCAGCAAACAATAGCCCGTGGGCCAAATTCAGCCTGCAGCCTCTTTTCATAAGGCCTATGAGCAGTGCCTGGTTTTTATATTTTTACAAATTTGAAAAAATTCAAAAAAGGATCTTTTATGACTCATGAGATTTGTATGAAATTCAAATGTCAGCATCCATAAATAAACTTTTACCAGAGCATAACCATGCCCATTCATGTATGTGTTGTCTATGGCTAAGTTTGTGCTATAATGGCAGAGGTGAATAATTAAAACAGAGACTCTATGGCCTGTAAAGCCAAAAATATTTACTATCTGACCATTTGGAGAAAAACTTTGCCAACCCCTGCTTTCTACATGGCGTATTTCAATGGCTGTATTTGCGATGAAGGCTCCAGGAGCCTTTTATCTAAAGAAATCACTATTGCCTCATTGCTTACAGTCCAGAAC
This sequence comes from Homo sapiens, assembly GCF_000001405.40. Lineage (NCBI taxonomy): Eukaryota > Metazoa > Chordata > Mammalia > Primates > Hominidae > Homo > Homo sapiens. Next base: position 109,794,106 of record NC_000009.12, read on the forward strand.
AATAAAGCATCTCAGACATCCTTTTCACTGTTTTCTGGGCTTACCATGATGAGAGGTTTTGTTTACCGAAGCTGGCATGTGAGTTTTGCCGCTGTGGAATTTTCTCATTATATCCTTTGCTATCTAAGCCAACTGCATGTTGTTGTTGTTGTTGTTGTTGTTTTTTGAAAACCAGAAAATCTGATCTCTTAGGGTTAACAGTTTGGCCCATCTGAAATAAGTCCATACAATTAAAAACATTTCTTTCTATTGACAGGGACTGAGGGTTGAGGGAAAGCACTGCAGATTTTCCAGGTGTATTTTTTTTTTTTTTTGCTCCCTGGATTTTGCCTGAACCCTCACTTTTCTCTTTCAGGGAACTTTAAGCACACTTAGTGAAAGACTAAAGGTCAGAGAGCACACCAGCCACATTCCCTGAGTCCAAGCAGGGAGCCAGAGAGGAGTGGTTTCTGGCCAGCCTTCCCTGTTCAGTTACCTCATGGAACCCTTGGGACCAGGGCCTTGATTTACAAATAGAGTGGCCACTAGGTAAAAGTTGCCCATGGCCAGTGGTAGCAGGATCGACCCTAGTGTCTCTGAATCATTAAGTACTTCCTTTCTGCCCTCTTCCATTTCTTACTCAAAAACACCAGCTACAATTTTGAGTCTGGTCTGCCTGGAAATTTCCAAAGGGACTTTGGTGCCTTAATAAATATTTTCAAATTGCTCAAGGTTTTGGAAGATAGCAGAGCCATAATTGTGAAATCGGGTTAAAGAATGATTGCTGCAGTACTTGCGTCGGCCCTGTGGCCATGCTGAAGTGGACAGGGTTGTGGACACTCACAATTGCTCACTGCAGATGGACAGCCTTTGCTTTTCTGGTCATACATATGCTTGATCCTGAAATTCTCTAGATGGGCTACTTCTGAGCAGCTGCTTGGAGAATGGGAAGCCAACCCTATAGTGTAAGGTTTCTTAACTGAAGTACCATTAACACTTTGGGATAGATAATTTTCTGCTGTCTGTGGGGCCGATCTTTTGCATTATAGGATGTTAGTGGCATCCTTGGTCTCTATCCATTAAATGCTAGTAGCACACCCCACTCTTCATTGTGACAATCAAGAAGGTCTCCAGACATTGCCAAATATCCTTTGGGGAAAAAAATAACCCCTTTGAAAATCACTGATGTAGTATAACATAAAGGTTACCTGACCAAATGTACTTCCCATTCTTTTACCATTAGGGATTTATCCCTTTAAGTCTTCACTCTCATCATTAGGGATTAATTTCTTTAAATGTCAAAGTCTTTTTTATTTTCTAGAATCCCTCACGACAATATTGATTTAACTAACCTGCACGTTGTGCACGTGTACCCTAAAACTTAAAGTATAATAAAAAATAAAATTAAAAAAATGGTAAATCCTTAAGCTTGGGATGGCAGATGGTTTTCAGCTCCTATGTGAACTCTAACTGATAGAAAGTGTCCATCTATAGTGCCGCCGTGGGAAGATCTTTGAAGCTGCATTTTAGGTGTTGGAGAAAGGACATTAAGACAGATTAGAGCTGTCTTCCATGGGCAAGAGATGAGGGAGTTGGCATACACGTGTAAGGAACCTTCTTACCTAACATTTCTGCGGAGATTCACTATAGTCAGGCCTTAGGCTGGTGCTGTAGTTCAGCCTTACTGCTGAGCCCTGTGCCAGGGCACTGTTCACACAAGGTCCCTGTAGCCTTGTGTATTTGTTAGGGCAATTTTCCAGCAGGTTTTGAGGAAAGGGCACCTTTTCTAGATCACAGAGTGCCATATGGGCGAGCAGAGGTGCTGTACTCTGTTGATGGGAATAGAAGTCAGGGAACAAAAAGAGAGGGGCAAAGAATATAACTTCCTGTCTGTCTCTCCTGCCTGACTGTAAACTTCTTGAGGCCAATGACTATGTCATATTCACCATTATCTACTCTCCGCCTGTCACAACACATTTTGCATAGTGTCAAAGCAAGTTTAGTGACTTTTAGCAGAGTTCTTGTTCTGTATCTTGGACTCCTTAGCAGTCTTGTGGAACCTATGGGTCGCTTTTCAGAATAGTGCTTAAATGCACAAAATAAAATATTTAGGATTAAAAATATAACCAATGAAATTTATATATAGTCAGCAAAATATTAGAAAACTGTGATAGATAATGTGCTTTGATTGATTGATGTACAGTCAGCAAAATATTAGAAAACTGTGATAGATAACATGGGATTTGATTGATGTACAGTCAGCAAAATATTAGAAAAGTTAAAGATAACATGCTTTTTTATTAAGTAAAATCTAGTGGCAGTTCTAATACTTACTCTAATTGCAAATTATTGGTGAATGTAAGTGATATTTTGAGCTGTCTCCAACAACTGTAATGTTATATAAAAAGTCTGTGATTCCTACTCCTAATAAAGTCATGGTATATTAGTCCAATCTCACACTGCTATAAATAACTTCCCCTGAGACTGGGTAATTTGTAAAGGGAAGAGGTTTAATTGATTCACAGTTCTGCATGTCTGGGGAGGCCTCAGGAAACTTACAATCATGGTGGAAGGGGAAGCAGGCACATCTTACGTGGCAACAGGTGAGAGAGATCATGTGTGTAGGAGTAACTGTCAAACACTTATAAAACCATCAGATTTCATGGGAACACACTCACTATCATGAGAACAGCATGGGAGAAACTGCCCCCATGATCCAATCACCTCCCACCAGGTTCTGCCCCTGACACATGGGGATTATGAGGATTACAATTCAAGATGAGATGTGGGTGGGGACACAGAGCCAAACCATATCATATAGGTACTAATGATCTACCTGGGGCTTGTGCTTACATTCATAACTGAAGGCGGTGCTAAATGTTAGCTAGGGGGTGGTAAAAATAACCTTTAGCTGGGTACCCTAAATTCTGTCTTATCCCCAAACGCCCTGAATTCTCACTTCTTTCTTTTGTAACTGGGCCCCTGCTCTGATGGTTTCCTCCTTTCCTTTGCCTGATGCTACCTCTTTTACCTTCTTGGGGTTCTTCCCCAGCAAATTTTTCTAGGTTCTTTCTTCTGCATTCACTTTCCATCTCTCTCAGCTGGGTTGTGTCCTTTGGCCGCTATCTAAGTTCTCACTCCGCTTAGCATGGGAAGGGAAGCTTCTAGGCCCAGCTTGGGGTTACCCTGAGCTTCAGAGGAGAGAGGGAGGTTGGCACATCACAGATACTCACTGAATGCTTTTTGAATGGAAACAGTTGCTTTGCCAACTTCACCTTTTTTATCAGGGGCTCTTCTTGGATTCTTGGACTGTGTTTGAGATCAGTTCACTCTTGATATCTCCCCTCCGCATGGAAAGCATCCACAAATTTCCAGCTAGAGCATGAACTTGCAATTTGGTTTGCCTAGATCCTGGAAGTCTACAGAGTTAGAATCTTTCCTGGTTCTGAACTCAGAAGCAGCAGTGAGCAGTGGGACTGCTGGGACCTTTACCAGCAATCACCCACCACATGCACCAGCTTCAAGCAGCTCTGCAGAAGCCGTCCGTCACCCTCCCCGTTGCACACCTTGGCTGTGAACCGCCAGGGCAGGGGCATGTGTGGGAAGCAGGCGGCCTGCAGATTCATTATTGCTACAAGTGAATTTCATAATAAACAAACAAAAATGAGCCATCTCTAGTTTAGTTCCCTTTGAGCATATAGGCCATCAGGTCCCAAAATGTTCAGAGTTGGGTTAGTATCTGTGGCTTTCACCAGGTAAACACATCAGTGTTCTTCCTAATTTGGACTGTTGTGGCTTCCCTAGTTCTTTTTTCCCCTAGATTGTTATAAAGGTTCTGTATTAGTTTTCCAGGGCTGTTATAATAAAGTGCCACAAATTGGGTGGCTTAAACAACAACAATTTTATCATCTCATAGTTCTGGAGGCTAGAAGTCTGAAATCAAGATGTCCAGCTAGATTGGTTTCTTCTGAGGGTTGTGAGGAAGGATCTGTTCCAGGCCTCTCTCCTGGACTTGGGGATGGCCAGCTTCTCCCTATGTCTCTTCACATCATCTTCTTTCTACATATGTCTGCCGGTGTGTCCAAATTTCCCCTTTTCATAAGGACACCAATCATGTTGGAATAGGGCCTACCCTAATGACATAAGTTGATGACTTCTGAAAGGACCCTGACTCAGAAATATCCTGAGGTACTGGGGGTTAGGACTTCAATATATCTTTCTGGGGACAGGGTCCTTGCATGCTGTCAGATGATACCTGCATCTCGCAGTGATGGTCAAGCGTACCCTACTCTGCTTCTGGCTATGGCAGTAGAAATTGTGTCCCAGGGGAATGGCTAAGGGGCCTGTAAACAATGGGTGCCATATGCCATTAATGGCTCAAACCTCTGCCTTGTCTACACACTCATGTATCCCATAACCCTCTGTCTCCTGTCAAAGCCTTTTATCAGGAAAGGCATAGAACCACATTTCACGCTAAGGCATGAGTGTTAAACATACCCTCACCTAGCCAGTTAAAAACATTGGGCAAAGCTGTAAACTACATCACAGGAGTTCAAAATGTCAACAGAGCTGCCCCCAGTCCTGTCTGTGTTTTTGCTTAGGACCCAGTGTTGTGTCACTACTCCCCATTGATAATAAACAAAACATGCCTCATATGTTCACAGTTATTTAGAGTTTACAGAATTCTCTCCTTCTATCAATTTGTTTGTGCCTGAAGGAGCAGGAAAGGTATTATTTTCTGCATTTTATTTCAGAGAAAACAGAAGCTCAGCTGAGTAATTTGTTCAAGATCATCCAGGCTGTGGCCGGAGCCCACATCATCCATGTCTCTATGTCAGCTGTCTTTCCACTGCTCCAAGCCACCTGCCCTGCTGCCCTCCGTTTCCCCTCCAGGTCACTGTTGTGCGGACCATGCAACCCGAGTCTCAAAGACTCACGGATCCCCTTGCTGTGCTCTAGGACCCAGTCCTAGCACCTCCTAACCTCCCCAAGAGGGCAAAAAGCAGCCTAGGTCTGGTGAGGGTGGCCAAGGCCAGAGGATTCTGTTAGTATGCAGATCAAAGGAGGAGCATGGGCAAAGTGACAAGGTTTGTGATGGAGCAGAACAGTGTCAGGAAGTGATGTGAAGCTCAGCGTGGCTCGTGGATGTTGAGAAGTGAGGTTGATGGGCAGGGGGTGCTGGACCACAGAAGACCAGGTGTTCCAAGTGGGGCAAAGATGTGGTCTGTGAGAGGCTGAGAGCCACTGAAGACCTGTGGTTTATCAGAGACTGCTGTGGTGGCAGAGTGGAGGCAGGATGAGGCAGGGAGCTGCTCCAGGTTCCTGACTGCCGGTCCCTGCCAGTGCTGGTACATTCCTCAAGGCTTCTCAGTGGCTTTCCATTATTTCCATAGAGGGGTCACCTTTAGTTTTGGGGAGTTTATTTTTGAGATGGGGTCTCACTCTGTTGCCCAGGCTGGAGTGCAGTGGCACGACCATTACTCACTGCAGTCTTGACCACCTGCGCTCAAGTGATCCTCTCACTTCATCCTCTCATGTAGCTGAGACTGTAGGCATGCAACACGATGCCTGGTTAATTTTTTTGTATTTTTTGTAGAGATGGGGTTTCACCATGTTCCCAGGCTTGTCTCGAACTCCTGGGCTCAAACAGTCCACCTGCCTCAGATTCCCAAAGTGTTGGGATTACAGGCATGAACCACCGCGTCGGCCACCATTAGGTTTTTAACTGTTTAAGGCATTCTTTTTATACTGAAACCCAGAAGAAGCATCCTCCCCAGCTTCAGTGGAAAGCCTTAGAGCTGATGGAAAACCAGTTTCGAGTTGGAATGTGGAGGCTATTTCTGGCCTTTGTGACATCCTGTTCAACTTTCAGAGGAGCCTGGGAAGAAAGGGGTGACTCAGACTATAAGCTTATTTTTAGGGAAAGCTAAGAATTCAGTCAGAGCCACTCGGATTCCCTATTGCCTGCCATACAGAATGTGCTGTTGGTGGAGAGATTGATGGGCAGAAATCCTATGTTTATCACCTGATTGTTACCCAGCACCTCCCATGTGCCAGTATAAGGTTTACTGATTTGAAAAGAGGATGGAGATCAACACAAACACACTTTTAAATCAGAGGAGCATATTTCAAGGCATTTATATTTAAGAACTAATTTTAGGGCCAAAGAACTAATATTGTAAGAGCTTCTGTGATTAGGTACTTAATATATACTACTGTTATGGTAAGTGTTTAGCAAATACTACCGCATTTAATGGAAACAATAATACTCTGTTAGAGGAATTCTTATCACTGTTTTAACAGAAGAGGAACTGTTAACTTGAGGAGGTTTAACGTTAGCCCAAGACCGGGTAGCTGAGTCCAGATTCAAACTCAGATCTGTCTGGCTCCAAACCCATGCAAATGACCCCTCCGGGTTTGGCAATTAAACGACTCACATGTTGCCACCCTTTGTTCCTATGTATCACTAATTGATCATGGAATTATTTCTTGCTCAGCTCAGATTTGACCTCAGGATCCTTTCAACACAATGCTACAGGTAGCCACTGCTCCCAACTGAGCAATGGTAGTACTTGAAGTAGCGTCTACCTGTCATCTTAGCTTTATCTTTCTCTGTATTTACTCAAAATAGAATCTTTAAATCTACAGGGGTTTGTTGTTGTTTATTTCTACAGATGTATTTGTAACCTTTTATTGATTAAACAATTGTAAGAAATGGAGTATTCAATACAATTTCCTTTTATAGTCACTGGAAACTCTGCGTGCTTTAATAGAGGATCCTAACTGCCTTGGAGGGAAGAATGACGTCTTAGGACTCAAAGCCTTGATACAGGCAACTGGCTTATGTGTCAGTGTGGTAGTGATGAGTGGGAGATGGGGAATCAGCCTGAAGAACTCAAGCTGTATAGCAGTAAAACTTTCAATTAGCCCAGTCTGGTTAATTACAACTGGATGGTGAGTTGGGGTTGGGGGATGTGGTGGGAAGGCTAAAGAAGCAAGATAACAGGGTAGATTTGGGGGTTGCATACATACACACCTTCAGTTGCCGTGAAACATTTCAGCTCAGCAGACAGACCTGTTGTCCTAAAAGTATAGCACCATGTGGGGCTGTGGGTCCCTCCAGGGAGAAAGGAGTTCCTTAAAAGCAAACTCAGACAAGAGAATGGGGAAGATACCCCCAGGGATAGTGGTGAAGGGAGAACCTAGAACCCAGCCTTGCAGGAGGATGAGGTAGAAATTGGTCCAGGAGGAAGTCTATGGACAATATCTAAAACTGGAGCATCAAGAAATAGTAATAGAAATATGTTGCTTAGAAAGGTGGATTCCAGATGATTGAGCTGAAATGGAGTTGGACAGTCACAATGTATGGAAGGTAGTGCAGGTGCATCACCAACACAGATTCATTCGATAAAATTAAAATGTTTTTGTTTTACTTTCAAAAAAATAAATAGCAAAAAAGCAAGCTCAGGCCAGTGGTGGCTGGTGGCCTGTCAGCATGGAGCATGGACCTTAGCCACAGGCCAGGGCTTTAAAGCCAGGACTCCAGGACCTGGGATGGGTCATTCTGAAAGCTGATTATCAGAATGCTCAGGCCAGAGCTGGGCCAGCTGCCCAGGTGTTGATATGTGTGTGTGTGTGTGTGTGTTTGTGTGTGTGTGTGAAGGGCTGAGAACTGCATCTACTAACATACTCCTTGTGTGATGTTAGGGTTAGTGAATTGACCTACAGTGGTACTTGGCCTGCAGGAAGGGGATAAAAATGGGCATCATGGTAAGAAGTTGGGCCAGCAAGCAGCTCTAGTCTCACAAAGCCTTTTCCTGGACTAATGAGAGGGACCATGGGGAGGGGTGATCCCCCCAAAATCAACCAGATCAAGTTCCTGATGAATGGGCAATTTATGACTGACCAGCTGGACACAAAATGCCATTGAACAACCCAAATGAACAACACTTCTCAGTCAAAATGCTGCTTTGGAGAGTCTGTGTATGCAAATATACCTCATATATTCTTCTCACTGTGGGATGGAGCAAGAAGGCCCTGAGCGTGTTTCTCTAAAAATGCATAGCAATAATCCTAGTCTTAATTTTAGCCTCTTCTGGGCATCTGAAATGGGGTTGCTACAGTTAAAATAATGCTGTATAACTAACATGATATTGGGTATTGAGGTCAGAGCAGGGCTGGCTTCATCAGCACGTGATTTCTGTAGTCACATAGGTTCCCCACTTTGTTAAATGCTCCATAGCCATATTGAAATTCTTAATAACTTTTGGACCAGGAGCCCTGCATTTTCATTTTGCCCTGGGCCCTACAAATTATGTAGCCAGCAGTGGGTTGTCATACCCCAGAGTCCCAGACACCAGCCAGACATTTGCTGTGTTGAAATTATATAGGGGAAAAATATAATTTAGAGCATAAATAAACCCCCATACTTTCAGCAATTTAACAGTCTAATGCAGGTATTCCTTGCCAGTGGACAGCTTTCCTCCATGTGGTTTCTACTATTTCTGACTCTGCTATCTCCCAGGGCCTCAGAATCCTTTGCCTCCAGCCTGTCAAATGAGAGAGGATGAAGAGGCACACTCACTTCTTAACTGCCTTTGTCTGGAAGTGACCCACATCATTCTTCTCATAGTCTGGAGAACTAGTCATATGACCACACCTAGGTGCAAAGAAAGCTAGAAAACATGGTACCTGGCTGGGTGGTTACTTTCCAGGGCTGCCTCCATCCTATGGGAGGAAGAGCGTAAATTTAGATGGATCATTAGCCTTCTCTGCCACATAGATTGTTCATGAAGGAATGCTGATGCAAAAGCAGGTATCTCAGTGCAGACTACTGTGATGGATCAGGAAAGGTAGGAATCCGGGTCTTTTTAACACAGATGCCAGTCTCTTAGCCTCATCAGTTCATTATTATTAAGATGCTTGCTAGTTCCAGAATAGGAAGAAACTAGAATCAGAATAGTCTGTGTTTGTTTGCTTGCTTGCTTATTTATTTATTTCCAAGAACAGGTTTTTGGGGAAAAAAAAAGAAACACTAACACATTAAAATGTACACATTAACTGTAAGATGCATTGCTATTTCAGTAACATTATAATGCGAGAGGAAACACAATAGCATATCTTAGAATTGACGAAATCTAGTAATTGTCACTGTGAATTATTGGTTTAGTAATTTTTCACAAATCCTTTTGCTAGCTTCATAAAGTCCTTTAATAGTGCTCATAGGGGATAGCCATGTGTTGGCACTTGGATCTGGTAGGTTCTGCCTGACCATTTTAATCAAAATGCTGTTAACCAGGGTAGGCACCGCCTGTTGAATAGCACACCTTCTTGGTGAATTTGTCTCATGGAGCCTCATTTCTGGATGTGTCTTAGGCAAACTAGGAGCCCTCAAGATCATCTAGACCCACGCTGGAAAGAGGTCTACCTTGGAGATGCATTTATATTCCCCCCTGAGATGCTGGTGATTTTGCAAGTAGTAATAATCAGAGACCTGGAAAACTTCAAGAGTTCTGTAGGAAATATGTCCTGGTCAGTTCTCATCAGCTCAACAAACTGATGTGGCTCTTGAGGGAACCAGCTGCAGGAGGCAGGAAAGCAAGTTAGCATCAACACAAGTGGGCCAGCACCATAGTCCCAATTCTCCTCTTTCATCTGCTTCTCCTCCACCCTAGTAGACACCTTGGGAAGACAAGGTAGAGACAGTGGCTTGAAATTCCTAGTGTCTTCCTTTGATGGGTATGTGCTCCTGCAGAGTTAAGGGAGTAGATGAGGTTAACTGTCATCTAAACAAAGGCAGTGGCTGTAAATATATTCCTTGGAGCTTGGGAGCCCCATGGCTATGTTCCAGGCCAGAGAGTCCAAAGAAAATCAAAGACTGCCACCTAACAGCTTTTTTGGCCATCCTGAAAGTCCCCACCTTCTCCCAGGTAGCTCCAGAGAAAGACAACTCCCAGCCAGGCTCTGACAGCTGAATCGAATGGCCCAGTGGTGGCACATTCCCCAGAGGGCTTCAGGTTCAGGATGCAGCCAAGTTTCCTGCTTTATCCTGAGTTAAGCAGAGATCATCACCTGCCTGGATGTTGTTTTGTCTGTGTCACCTCATCACTGGAGAAAACAGATTACCATCTCCTGCAGTTTTTTTCACAAAACAGAGCATGGCATGGAGGAAATAAGATAGTCAGCATGGCATCTTGGTGGGTCAAAAATAATATCATCTGTATACTTTGATTACATTTTAAATTCAGTTTGCACACAATTGGGGTTCATTTAATTAACTCTAAGCTGTAATCTCAGTCTGGGTTTGAATGGATCTGAATTTTAATAGCTTTTTCCTCCAAAATATTATTTCTATGGCAAATAAGCAGCCCTTCCTTATAATGCTGAAATCATAGAAGTTAGTTGTTTTCCCCTCATTTTTTGACAATCATTCTTTTTGCGGTAGTAACGAAATCAAGCAGTTTTCATTTGGCTTTTTGGTAGTTGAAGTTAATTTGTCAATTTCCTGCTAGTCTTCTATTACGTACACATTTTTCTGGTTAGCTGACAAATCAGAATGCTAATGATGGTGGGGAAAAGAAGACTGGCAAATTTTACTTCTGTGGGTTTTACCAAAATCATAATTGGTTGATTTTTCCTTTAGACCTTCCAGGATAAAGGATTTTTTATTTTTAATAATATTTTCTTCATTCTAAATAAGAAAGTGAAATGTACAAAACAGTGGAAAGAATAAAATAACTTAAATGTGCCTGTCATGGGGCCTTACACTCAATCAGTATGTTAACATTTTTAAAGAAAAATAAATGCCCATAATCTCATCACCAAACACATGTAGGGAATTTTTTTGGCAAAGATTTTATATATTTGTAGTTATGCTCTCTATAAATTTTGCATCAAGCTTTTTTCATTTCACATTTTCATAAATAATTTCTCATGCCGTTATAAACTCTTCATAAACATAATTTTAATTGGCTACGTAATTGTTTTTTAGGAGTACATTTGGCTGCAAGTGCCTGAAAACCTGGGAAGAAACAGCTTAAGGGTTTTTGTTTGTTTTTTTCATGGAAGAAGACATTGAGACAAGGGGATAAGGGGTCATTGAGACCATCAGAGAACCTCCTCCTGCAGCTCTGTTTTTCTTAGTGATGGTGGCTGCAAGCCAAGCACAGGGCTCTCCCAGAGAAAACAGGGAATCACTCCCATCTGCAGACTAAGCCATGTGATCACCCTAGCTCAAAAATATCTGGGAAGGTGGGCTGATAACTTTCCAGCCTTTGTAGTGGAGGAATATGGGTTTCTTAAAATAAAATGACCTGAATTAGAATTACTGTGTCAAAGAGCAGTTGATTTTTTTCCCCGAAATTCCAGTCTGATTGCTTATTTGGTGAAAAGCAGGATTTAAAAACCTGTGCTCCATTTACTACCATCTCATTTGGCACTGGAAACACAAATGTACAACTAGTTATAAAAGTAGGATCAAGTCCAAAACCTGTGGCTATCAGTTTCGGGGAGGCAGCTGTCAATGCAAGATAAGGAAAAAATTCCTCAATATTTAGAGCTGCCCCAGTTTGGAATTAACTACTTCATGGGATGGTGAGCAACCTTTCCCAAGATGCAGCGACTGAATAGATACTTGGTATATAGGCAGAAGAGGTAATTTACGCATTTGGTAAAGTAGACCGGGTGACCTGTACCACCTAGGCATCTCCATGATTTTAAAATTAGGATACATTTGCTAAAATATTTCCCCAAGCACCCAGGATATCCTTTGCATGGTGGAACCTTGTTCTGATGTTGCTTCAGATCAAACATAGTAGCCTGAAATGTGGCTGTAGTAGAGTAGTTGCCTGAGATGGGAAGAATTCACCTCCCAGGCTCCTGACTCCAGGGCCATGGAAAAGCTCTATCTTGGGTTTGAGACCAGCCATTACCTGGGTCAGGCCCACATACCAGCCCCATCCAAGGTTACATATCTGATTTCCTCACTGCCTGTTAACATGACTTTATTATTTTTCCTGATGCCATGGATTTCTTCTTTTGTATCAACAAAATGTGCATGTTCCTTATGTAAAAGGTGGTATAAGTTCTATCTTTGACATTACCCAATTATAAAATGCAGTAAACATAAAAACAATTTTCTTTTTGATTTATTTACAAAAGTGGTCTTTCCAAAACAGTTTTACTAGTTTAACTCATTTTATCTGAACTCCAGCTTAAAGCTATGAAGTCATGTGTGATAAATAAACATGCATCTGAGTTTATGTAATTCAGCCAAGAAATATTTTTTGAACATTTTCTATGTTATAGATATATTTGTGGATGCTGAGAATGTTCATGGTAAATACAAGACAGTCTCTGCCCTCACGGAGCTTGCATTCTGGTGGGAGACTAGGGAAGAATAATTTATGAATAAACTATTGAATATATACTATGTTTGTATAGTTTGTAGTACAGAGACTTGGTTGTGCTGGGGAGGGGGATACCTTCATAGAATGTTCAAGAAAAACCTTACTAATAAGCTAGTGTTGGAGCTGTGATAAAAAACAAAGAGTGAGCCATGTGGATATCTGGGGGAAACACACTTCTGGTGGAAGGAACAGCAAGTGCTGGCCTGAGCTGAGATCATACTTAGTGTGTTCAAAAAGCAAAAGGAAAGCCTAGTGTGGCAGGTGGGGAGTGGGTGAAGGAGAGTGGTAGGTGATGTGACCAAAGAGGTGGTGGCTGGGGCTGGATTATGAAGGCATCTATATACCGTGGTAAGGATGTTGGCCTTTACTTGACATGAGATCAGAATCCAGTGGAAGATTTGGAGCACAAGAATTGCACAATCTGACCTATTTTTTAAAAAGATTACTCTGGCTGATGTGGTGAGCTGAGTTAGTAAGGAAGTGGGCAAGCGTGGAAGCAGGGAGACTAGTTGGGAGGATATTGTGGTAATTCAGAGGGAAAAGAGATACATGTGGGCCAAGCTAGCAGCAGAGGAGATGGGGAATCCTGGATTGATGTTGATAGTATAGTTCAGGGGATTTTTCTCATCCAGTAGATCTAAGTGGAATGTGAGAGAGAGAAAAAAAAGTCCAGAATGTGCCAAAGGTTTTGAGGTAAGCAACTAGAAGGATGGAGTTTCACTGGAATGAAATGGGGATCACCATGGGAAGGCCTGCTGTGAAGGGAAAATAGGAATTCAATTCTGGACATGTTAAGTTCAATTTTTGGAGATGTTGGTCTGATACCTAGGTGGAAGTGTTGAGTGGTCAGTGTCTTAGCCTGTTAGTGCTGCTGTAACAAAATGCCATAGACTGGGTGGCTTATATACAACAGAAACTTATTTCTCATAGTTTTGGAGGCTTGGAAGTCCAAGACCAAGGCATTAGTAGGTTTGGTGTCTGGCAAGGGCCTGTTTCCTGGTTCATAGATGGAACCTTCTATATATATATGTTCACATGGTGGAAGGGGCAAGGCAGCTCTCTGGGACCTTTTTTTTTTTTTTGTCTGAAAGAATTCCAATATTATGAGCATGTAATATAAACAAAGGTAGTGCTTTAATCTATTGGGAAAAGGATGAATTATTTAATCACTAGCAATGACATGGAGGGAGAAAATCAATATGAACCAATGGAGCCTCTTTTATAAAGGCACTAATTCACCCCCTGATATGGTTTAGCTATGTCCCGACCCAAATCTCATCTTGAATTGTAGTTCCCATAATCCCCACATATTGTGGGAAGGACTATGTGGGAGATGACTGAATCATGGGGGTGGTTACCCCTGTGCTGCTGTTCTCATTATAGTGAGTGAGTTCTCACAAGATCTGATGATTTTATAAGGGGCTTTTTCCTGTTTTGCTGGGCACTCCTCCTTCCTGCCACCATATGAAGAAGGACATGTTTGCTTGCCCTTCTGCCATGATTGTGAGGCCTCCGCAGCCATATGGAACTGTGATTCAATTAAATGTCTTTCCTTTATAAATTACCCAGTCTCAGGTACGTCTTTATTAGCAGTGTGTGAACAAACTAATACAGTAAATTGGTACTGGTAGAGTGAGGTGCTACTGTAAAGATACCTGAAAATGTGGAAGCAACTTTGGAACTGGTGAACAGGGAGAGGCTGGAACAGTTTGGAGTGCTCAGAAGAAGTCAGGAAGATGTGGGAAAGTTTGGAACTTCCTAGAGACTTGTTGAATGGCTTTGACCAAAATGCTGATAGTGATATGGACAATAAAGTCCAGGCTGACGTGGTCTCAGAGGGAGATGAGGAGCAAAGGAGACTCTTGTTATGTTTTAGCAAAGAGACTGGTGGCATTTTGCTCCTGCCCTAGAGATTTGTGGAACTTTGAACTTGAGAGAGACGATTTTGGGGCATCTGGCAGAAGAACTTTCTAAGCAGCAAAGTGTTAAAGAGGTGACTTGGGTGCTGTTAAATGCATTCAGTTTTATATATTCACAAATATATGGTTTGGAATTATAACTTATCTTTAAAAGGGAAGCAGAGCATAAAAGTTCAAAAAATTTAAAGCCTGATGTTGCGATAGAAAAGAAAATCTCATTTTCTGAAGAGAAATTCAAGCCAGCTGCAGAAATTTGCATAAGTAACAAGAAAGCCAAATGTTAATCACCAAAACAATGGGGAAAATATCTCCACGGCATGTCAGAGGTCTTCATGGCAGCCCCTCCAATCACAGGCCCAGAGGGCCTATGAGGAAAAGGTGTTTTTTTGGGCTGGGCCCAGGGCCTTGCTGCTTTGTGCAGTCTTGAGACTTGGTGCCCTGTGTCCCAGCCATGGCTAAAAGAGGCCAATGTAGAGTTCAGGCCATTGCTTCAGAGGGTGCAAGCCCCAAGCCTTGGAGGCTTCCACATGGTGTTGAGCCTGCAGGTGCACAGAAGTCAAGAATTGAGGTTTGGGAACCTCCCCCTGGATTTCAGAGTATGTATGGAAATGCCTGGATGTGCAGGTAGAGGTGTGCTGCAGGGGTGGGGCCCTCATGGAGAACCTCTGCTAGGGCAGTGTGGAAAGGAAATGTGGGATTGTAGCCTCCACACAGTGTCCCCACTAGGGCACTGCCTAGTGGAGCTGTGAGAAGAAGGCCATTGCTCTCCAGACTCCAGAATGGTAGATCTACTGACAGCTTTCATCGTGCAACTAGAAATGCCACAGACTTTCAATGCTAGTCCATGAAAGCAACTGGGAGGGGAGCTTTACCCTGCAAAGCCAAAGGAGCAGAGCTGCCCAAGGCCATGGGAACCCACCTCTTGCATCAGCGTGACCTGGATGTGAGACATGGAGATCAAGGAGATAATTTTGGAACTTTAAGGTTTAATGACTGTCCACTAGATTTTGGACTTGCATGGAGCCTGTAGCCCCTTGGTTTTGGCCAATTTCTCCCATTTGGAATGGGTATATTTACCTAATGCCTGTACCCCCATTGTATCTAGGAAATAACTAACTTGCTTTTGATTTTACAGGTTCATAGGTGGAAGGGACTTGCCTTGTCTCAGATGAGACTTTGGACTGTGGACTTTTGAGTTAATGCTGAAATGAGTTAAGACTTTGGGGGACTATTGGGAAGGCATGTTTGTGCTTTGACATGTGAGGACCTGAGATTTGGGAGAGGCCAGGAGTGGACTGATATGGTTTGGCTGTGTCCCCACCTAAATCTCATCTTGAATTGTAGTTCCCATAATCCCTGTGTGGGATCATGTGGGAGATGACTGAATCACAGGGGTGGTTACCCCATGTTGCTGTTCTCATTATAGTGAGTGAGTTGGTTTTATAAGGGGCTTGTCCTCTTTTTGCTGGGCACTTCTTCCTGCCGCCATATGAAGAAGGACATGTTTGCTTCCCCTTCTGCCAGGATTGTGAGGCCTCCCCAGCCATGTGGAACTGTGAGTCAATTAAACCTCTTTCCTTTTTAAATTACCCAGTCAGCTATGTCTTTATCAGCAGTGGGAGAATGAACTAATACACCCCCGAAGGCCCTACCTAATATAATCACATTGATAATTAGGTTTTCAACATATAAATTTGGCTGGTGGTGGTGGGGAGGTCATAAACATTCAGTCCATAGCATGCAGATAAATTTAGGAGTCTAGAATTCAAAAGAGACGTCTGGGCTGGCTGTATAAAGATGGGAATCATCAATGTTTAGATGGTACTTCAAGCTAGGAGGTTGGATGAAATCACCATGGGAGTTAAGGTAGGTAGAGAAGAGGTCTGAGAATAGAGCTCTGGACTGTTACAGGAGATGGTGAGGCACTAGGAAATGAAAATAAGAAGGGCTGGCCAGTGAATTAGGAGAGGACTAAGAGAACTAGGGACCTAGAATTTAAGAAAGTATTTCTAGAAAGGGGCAGTGACCATCCTTATGAAAAGCTGCTGATATGCCACGAAATCTGAGGCCAGAGGATTGTCCACTGGATTTAGTAGCAAGGAGGTTACTGGTGCCCTGAACTGGAGCTGTTTAGATGGAGAGGTGGAGGTGAACACTGGGAGGTCTGGATTTAAGTGAGAATGAGATGAGGCAGCAGGAGTGTTGACTCCTTCAAGGAGTTTTGCTGTAAAGAGGAATAGAAAATGGAGTAGTAGATGAGGGAGATTGTGGGCTTGGAAGGGGATACTTTTAGAGATATGACAGTATGTTTGAGGGCTGCAGAGAATGATCTAGAGCCTGAGAAACATTGATGAGGGAGGAGAGAGATGAGACAACTGCTAGAAGGAAGCACTTGAGTTGGGAAATGAGGAAGGCATCGAGTGCACAAATAGAGAGGCTGTTCTTGTGCAGGAGTGATAGCAGAGCCCACAGAATGAGTGCAGGTGTGCGGGAGCCTGTGGTGGCTTGGTCTGTGGATGAACCTTCTGACTGCTTCCGTTTTCTCAGTGAAATGGGAAGCAAGGTCATCAGCTGGCAGGGAGGAAGGGGGAAGAGGTGTTGGAAATTTGAGGAGAGAAGAGAAGGTGTGAAATAATCCTCTCAGACAGTTCAGGAGTAATTGATCTAAGGCAATGCAGTCAGATTTCTGGATACCTCCAACGGCTCCCCTGTGATTAGGGATCTTGAATTTAAATAAGAGCAGACAGTAGAAATCAGGTCTTGGGTGTGTCTCCAGTGTTTTCAACTCAATAGGTGCAAGTACAGGTAGGCAAAGTATTGGATTTAATCTGAGTTGGGCTTTTGCCAGCTGAGTATGACAGAGAGAGAGGGGTGCAAGGGAATTGAGGGTGTGGACTGTGGGTATGATGATGGTTATTGATCATAGAATCTGAAAGCTGGTCAGAGAGGGACATGAGGTGGGTGCGGGGCAGTGAAGGGGTGGTAGAAAGAGTGCTATGCTTTATTTGACTTAACAAACTGGACTCCTTATTATAAATTCAATCACATTTCTAATGCATGGTGGAAAGTTAGTATGTTAAAAAAAATAGTACATTTTTATATGTTAAATATCCTATATAATAGTAATAATTATCTGCTGTGTTGCTGTTTTTATTATATTCTTTTTCTTTATGTTTTTAGAGATGGAGTCTTGCTCTGTTGTCCAGGCTGGAATGCAGTACCATGATCATAGCTCACTGCAGCCTTGAAGTCCTGGGCTCAAGCAATCCTCCTGCCTCAGCCAACTAAGTAGCTGTGACTACAGGTGTGTGCCACCATGCCTGGCTAATTAAAAAAAATTATTTTAGAGACGGTGGCTTGCTATGTTGCTGAAGCTGGTCTCAAACTCCTGGCCTCAAGCCATCCTCCTACCTCAGCCTCCCAAATAGCTGAGATTATAGGCATGAGCCACTGTACCCAGGTATATTGTATTTTCTTAAAGCAAGTCATGGTATACCTGAAAGAAACCAAATATAAGGCACTGTAGATGAATCCCAGTGCTGTTGGCAGAAGGGACAGGGAGGCCACATGTGAACCAGGGGTCACTGGCCCTGCCCCAAAGGCTGGACTTGAATATGCAGCTGGTGCCACTGGCTAACAGAGCCACAGTCTCGGTCACAATAATAGAACTGTTGACCCATGAGGTTTCTGGTCATAGGGGCAGAAACTGCCAACAGGGAGAGGGCAGCTGGCCATCTGAAGCCAGGATCTGTCCCATCCAGGAAAGGAGAATTGGCAGGAGTTGGGGACATCTTGCCATGGGTGAATACTCCTCTGAGAAGGGAGAAGGGAGGAGGCAGCTTACAGACAGAACCATGAGGGAGGGACAACATGGAGCCCAAAGCCCTGCTCCTGAGTTGCTGGGTCTGGATCTCGGGGTCAGGGTTGTTTGTGAGATTGGAGAGGCAGCAGAAGTAGCCCAGATGAAAGGGAAGAACCTGGGTTGGTCTCTTTGCTGGGCAAACTCTTTGCACCACAGTCTGGGCTGGCTCAGGCATTGGATAGGAGTGAGCCTGAGGGTGGGGGTACTGACCCATCCAGCGGCACAATTTGGGAAAGGAAGGGGCAGAAGAAGCAAGGCGCGGCTGATGAGGAACATCTGCTCTCTTCCCACAGTGCAGATGGAAGGCCTAAATGCCAGCACACCGTTTATTTCACTTTGGCAAAATCCATGTTTATTTCATCCCTCACCTCATTGTCTAGACTTAACATAAATCAGGACAGTGCAAATGGAAACCACAGGTCCTTCTCTTGGCCTTGCCAGCTTTATTCTTCCCTAGGGCAGGTGCGCATGTTGCATTAGTGTCATAAGGTGGCATGAGACTGTACCAGGCCATTAGTCCTGATTCTGATCCAGCAGCATCACTGCCTTGCTCCGTGATCTTCCCATGTTTGAGTCACCTCATCCTTGATATGGAAGGGGCAGTACCTGTTCTCTCAGTAGCATAAGATAAGAGGTAGGGAAGTGCTTGGGAAAATGCAATAAAAGACACTGCTGGAAGCCTTCAGCAGTAGGTTGGGTTACAGAGGTCTTGGCCTTGCAAAATGAAGTGAGGTCAGCACAGATTAAGCAGACCAAATCAAATCTTTGATGGTTGAGTGATTTTTAAAAATGATTGCAGGTCTGCACAATTTAACAAGACTGCCCATAGCAGCTGAAAACATTTCCAGAGCAGATCAGATAAAGCCAAGTTAGAAATTGGTCATTGCTGTAAATCAAGTGGCAGACTATCAATGACCTAGATTACCCCAGTTTTCCCACAGGAAGTGAAAGGAAAACCACTGTGTGGCTGCTGAGGCTTGATTTGTCAAGAGCTGAGAGAGCTACACAACATTAAAAGATTGCCCATTTCTCAGCTTGCCCTAATGAATTGGGACTCATTTAATTCAGAAGCTGATGAGATGTCTAAATCACATCTATAGAATAAGTGGTCAGATTTAAACTCCAGTTGCCAACAATCTGTAACGGCCTCTGGTTGCGTTGTTCATCTCTTAGTTAATAAATGCTTGGCTTTTTGCTGAAGCTGCCGCTTTTTAATGTCTAACACCATGACGTCAGCATTTTTCCCATTTTCTGCCCTCCCTTTAAGGAGGTAGGGATGAGAAATGGTAAGAAGATAGGGCTTGTTATGGGTCTTGACTTGGAAGACCCAGAGCATGGGTCTTGAAGTAGAACCTTGATGGCTCTTTTCTGTCTGTGCTGCAGGTTTAGGGGCCTGCATTTAGACTGGCCCATAACTATGGGAGCTGCTCCCAGCCATCCTAGACTTCTCAAGAAGCCCATAACTCTTAGGAAGAACTAAGAGCCTAACTCGTGTTGTCCTGGACTTTTCAAGAAGCCGATAACTCCTAGGTAGAACCAGGAACCCAACTCTACTCGTCTGTCCTACGTAGGGTCTACAAGGCAGTGTAACACACCACGCCCTGCACCCTAACTGATCATAGTCAGCCGTGGTGACCACAGGATGGTTCATCCTTCTTGCTGGTTCCCAGCATCCTTCTTGCTGGTTCGCATGTGCTCTTTTGGCACTTATCACTCCCACATTCTGGACTCCTGGCCCTGCAGTTGACTTTGACCCTACCTTTGGCCCTTTGAATTTGTGCAAATACCACTGCTGAGCTGACTTGACTCATTCTCCAGCTCCCACTACCGTTTGCAGTGAAGGTTTGTAATGCCCTTGATGAGAATGAAGCTCCCAGTTTCACATTGGGACACAGTGGGTAAGCAAATGCCACACAAAAGAAGGCACATAGTGCACACTTGTACCATCATCTAACGTCTGCATGGTTCTATTGCAGGGCTATACTTTCTTATCGGTAGATACATGGAAATGGAAATGCACCTGCTTTTAAATATATACTTAATGCACAAGTGTCAATGATATAGTTTTCACCTGAAGAAAATCTAGAGCCATCAAAGTACAGGGCGAGACATACTATATGAGCCTGAACGATTGTGGCAGGATTCTAAGAATCTGGATGATGAATCTGAAGAACTCTGTAACAAACAGATGCAAAGATGCCATATTTAGACCTCAGAGGAAGTGAGCCTCCTGTCACTGGGAGAATCCATTCATTCTCCTGATTCACTCATATGCAGAATAAGTGTTGATGGCCTTCTGTGTGCTAGGGATTCAAGGACAGTGCAGTGGAAAAGATGGGCTAGTACGGAGGATTTAGAAGGTGGTGTGGGACAATAAGTACTCTGATAGAGAAGCATGTGGTGCTCTCAGAAGTAACTTGTCCATGATCACAAACCAGTAAGTGGCAATTTAATTTTGAACACATGTATATCTGACACCAAGACTCATCTATCAACCATTAAGCTATATCATTGCATAAGCAGTTCCCTGTAACTGGATTGGAAGGTTTGAGATAATGGTGAGAATGGTGAGAAAGAATGATGGAGAGATGGACTGTCTTGTATGCCATTTTAGGTAGAGTTTGGATTTTATCCTGTGGGTCATGGGAATCTCTCAGGAAGTGATCTAGTTGGATATGCATTTTTGAGAGAGTACTCCACTGTAGTATATGAAGTAATTTGAATTGGGAGGGATGGGGAGTGGGCAGTAAGACCACTCAGAGGTGGCTATCTTGATACTGATCCAAGAATGAAATAGGGATAGACTGACATGAGAGAGTGGCTGTGGAGATGGTGAAGAAGGCATGGATTTGATAGTTATGTGGTTGAATTGCTGGAACTTGGTACTGATTGAGTAAAGGGTGAGAGGTATGGAGAAATAAAGTTGATAGCCATGTTTCCAGCATAGACAAGGGGATGGTTGATGTTGAACATGGAAAGAGGGACATATTTTGGGGAAAAGTGATGAGTTTATTTTGGACATGTTGAGATCATAATACCTTCGGAATATACATGTGAGATGCCTGATAGGAAATAACATGTAGGTATGGAATTCAGGAAGGAGATCTGGTTTTGGGGACTTCAGTAAATCTGCATCAAATAGTAACTTTAGCCATGGATGTGAATGAGGCTATCCAGGGAAAGAATGCAAAATATAAGGTCAACCTGGTGACTCACTGTGCTGAGGGAAGCCAGGGAAGCAGAAGGGGAGTCAGGGTAGACAGAAACAGGGGGGTAGGTGAAGATGAAAGAACTTTCCAGGAAGGAGGGAGTGATGCATGGTGCCAAATGCCACTGACAGGCAATGGTACACATTCTAAAAAGTGTCCATTGAACATACCAACTAGAAGGTAACTGGTGGCCCTCACAAGAATGGAAAAGCAGGTTCAGTGAGGTTGTGGAGTGTGGAGTTCAGCTGAGAGGAAGTTGGGGATTAAATGAAGTCTTTGTCTCCCTAAGTGGTGTGGCTGTGAAGGAAAGAAGAGAAGTAAGTCTTAGCTAGAGAGGGCATAGGATTTGCATGGATTGTTTTAAGAAGAGGAAGTCTAAATTCTTAGGTGAAGGAGTTAGGAGAAAATAGTGAAAGAGGTGAAATGCAGGTGAGTGGAGGATAAATGATGGTATGGGGTCCCTGAGAGGTCAGGGCATGATGGAATTCAAGGTACTGGTTATTAGCCTTTTTATGTACAAACAAAAAAGATATTGATGTTCTATTTATGCTAAGTATGGGCTTGTCCTGGGGAGAAAGTATCTTTAACTGAAGCTAGAGAGTTGACAAGGAACATGTACAAAGATCCCTGGACAGTGTTGAGAGCTCAGATAAGGTTGGAGACCACAGATTTGTAGTGTCGTTCTCCTACACTCCAGGGCACCTTATGTAGGTGTTTGATCTTGGGAAATGAGACTGTGCTTAGCTCTCATTTGGGATTTTTGCCAGATACCTGGATGTAGCCAAAGGACGAGGAGGCAAGATTGTTGAGGATATAGGAAGACAGTGCAGTGATTGGAATGGATTGTTCACATGATCTTAGGCGAAAAGACATAAAAATGAAGACAGGAGGGCTATGATGGACTGGGATAAGATAGAGGAAGCTGGAGATTAGAAGATTTGAAAAGACCCAAGAGCAGAGGTGTGAGGACAAGCCAGTGAGAGACAGGGAAAGAGGCGAGGCTGTGGTTGGAGTCTGGGCCGCTGCACCTAAACAGTTCCACATTTAGTGATGAGGCCAGATTTCAGCCCTGAGTGCAGATCGTTGAGGAGAGTGAAGATCAAGGTCATCAGAGTTGAGGTTTTCAGGAAACTGTGGGAATAGGGTTGAATGAGTCATGAACACAAACACTGAAGTCACCCCGGATGATGGTGGGATTTCATATAGCTCCTGTGAGCCAAGGAATGAAGTCATCAGTGGATGTACGGAAGTGACCAGAAGATCAGCTGGGGACAGAGTTAAGGAGAGAGGGAACAAGGGAACAGATGAGACTTTTTCCATGAGGGCAGAGGAGTCATGGTCTGGAAATGACATGAAGGAGAAAGAAAAGTGCCAAACCCACTTCCTGATCCTAATGCCATCTGGCTTAAGAGCCCATATTCATTGAGTCTGAAATGCAACGGACAACTACCAGTTTGTCTGGAGGCGGTACAAATACTCTTCTAATATTTTTTTAAAAACTATAGGATGTAGTCTATTTTCAACTTTATTCAACCAGATTTATTTACCCCTACCGAGTTTTCTAAATCAGTGAATCAGTATTTTAAGGAATAAATCTTAGGCACATAAAATGATAGGAATAAAATATGTATTATAAAGCTTCTTTAATCAATACAAGCTATTCTTATAAGTCTATTGGTTAATGTCTAGATTGCCGTGCCCACTTAAAATGGGAAAACATTCCAGTTGGCACTTTGTGGATGTTGAGTTGCTACTTGGACACAGTTACTGGCCTTTTGGTCTGATCAGAGGCCAATTTTGAGCTAGGAGTTTCCCATGCATATGCATGATGTCCTACTATCTGTGATACATGCTGGGCATCTGAGCCTGCCTGGTATGCTAATGATCAGACCAGGGAAATGCACATCACTGTGAGTCACAAGGGTAGCACGTCTAATCTAAAAAATTCAAACCCCTATAATTAGAGTTCAGATGTCTTCATAGCTCTATTCCTCAGATTTTTTTGATCTGAAAAACAAAAGCAAACAACAAACAATTGTGTAAAAATAGACAGTCTAGGCTTGTGTAAATTTGCAGTGGAAATCTGCCTCTCTGATGAGCCATACAGTGTCTATGGGTTGAAAAACGAAATTCAGAAAGCAAATAGTTGGTCACCTTAGAGCCCAGAGGGATGCTCAGAATTCCCTAACCTCACAGCGGTGACTACTGAAAGTTTCATTCTGTTTTATGACTTGACTTGCAGCGAGGAAGGTAGCACAGCTGTAAACCAGCTGTATTTTATTTACGCTTGGAAACAGGGCCCCTTTGTTCCAAATGTTCCTGGCCCCCTCCCTCAATTTCATGGATTTAGGTTGTTAGTGGAAAAGTAGTTGTTGAAATATCAGTTCACTCTTGGAACCTGCCACTCACCAGGACTTCTGGCAACCAGTGAGCCTTTTTGTGATATGCAGCAAGGTAAAGAAGTCGTTAAGTGGATCTCCCACATGTTCCTCTGTGACTTCATTCATAGAAATGCGCTGATAACTGAGTTACATTAAGCGCAGTCTTCCCAGCTGTCTGAGGACATAAGGGATGTAGCGCCTCCTAGTGGAGGGAATTTCTTAGCATGTGTTCAACCCCGCACATATTTTTGGAATGAGGCAAGGTATTTAAAAATAGTGTACGCTAATGAATGTATTTATTATATCTGGGTAGCAGCGAAACAGAAAAGGTATAAATAAGCCTTTCGAAAAATGTACTTGCTACACAATCTCTTTTTTTTTGACAAGTCAGCCCTTGAATACAAATAATCTTTTAATGGTGAAAAAAATGACTGAATCATAGCATCTTATAAACATAGGAGCTATGGGTATCAATAACATGGAAACTGAAGCTGTGGTTATTTTTGAGTGGAAGAAGAGGGATTAAAATTGGCGTGGGGCACATGGAGAGGCTTCTGGAAGTGGCTAGCAATTTCTATTTATTTTTAACTGGGTGGTGATTACAAAGGTGTTTGCCTTATAAAAATTCATTTAGCTAAACATTGGTTTTATGATGCTTCTGTATCTGTATTGATAAGAAGGTAAAAAACATAAAAACTTTTCATTAAACATACTACCTGCTAAATTTGCTTTTTAAGGAAAAACCTCAAAAATGCTAAGCCATGTATACTTTTTATTTTTAGAGATGGAGTCTCACTGTGTTGCCCAGGCTGAACTCAAACTCCTGGGATTAAGGGTTTCTCTTGAGTAGTTGGGACTACGGGCGTGCCTGGCATGGTTTTGACACTTTATTTCACTGTACTTTCGAAATAAGACTTAGGTACCAGTGAACACCTACATTGACAGGCCTGGTAATATCATTAAAACTTGAGCTTTTATGTTGTCTGTGGCACAGACTCTCTTCTTTCTAGTTCTTCAGAGAACTCCAAATTCAGTATTTCACTTGGAACATCCAGTTGCCATAGAAATGACCATGTAGGTTACAAGTTCATTTTTGTAACCAGTCAAAAGGAGAAACTAAGAATGACACGAAGGCATCTTTCCATTGGAAAAAAATCCTTTGCAGAGTCCCAATTTGAGAAAAAATACATTTTGCTTTAGAAGTGAGAGGCGAACAGATGAATTAGTAATGCTGAAATATTTGACTCCTTCCCCCACAGGTGAAAACTCCTGCAGAGCATCTTATAAGAAAAATTATTTTAGAGCAATATAGGTGATGGCAAATTGACATTGGGTTGTAATATTCTATCCAACATAGTTTAATTCTGAGTTATTCAATCATAACTAAATTTATTCAAGACATAGAATACATTTAAAAATTCATCTTAAAGGAAATTTCACAAAGGCTTTTACATTCGTGTAATCCAGATGAGAAATGAAGATAGGGGGCGAGCAACAAAGTTGAAAGACCCAAATTGATTCCGGAAGGACTTGCCAAGTTTCTATAATGCCTCATTAGCTGCTTATGTGGCAGGGAGACCTGGGAAGAGCAATAACTCTTTTCTAGGTTCTCAGGTTAGGGAATGAGATTTTGACGTGGCCAATATGATCTTATATGTCCATTTATGTCTTTTACCTTATCATTTTCTTTTACCTTATCATGGACAGAGTGGCCCCCCAGAAGCACAGGATGCAAGACAACACACATTTCAGTGGCTGCTCCTTCTGCATACATCATTGAGCTCTGCCAAGGGTTTGAACACACACACACGTAAATAAAGGCCTAATTATGTGTGTGTGTGTATGTGTGTGTGTGTGTGTGTGTGTGTGTGTATTATATGTATTAAGCTCTTTTTCCTTTCTCCATAGCACTGCATATACAAAGATCAGCCACCCTGAGTTGAAATAAACTGTCATGATCTGTTTGGCATTGTGAGATCACCACTCATCATAAAATAAGCTTTTTAAAATGTTAAAATTGAAGTGAGAGCATGAGCACAAAGAAACAAGGACCAGAAGGTGTTTATAATCATGAAAAATTGGGAACAATTCAATAGGAAAACAGGAAAATGGTTAAATATGATATGTTCGGAGTATGGAATATGATGCAGCAGTTACAAGTAGTAAAATAGATCAGTATGTACTGACATGAAGAAAATAGACTTACACATACCTTATGTAAAGGAGGTGAGGAAAAGGAACAATGGTCTTTTCTGTATTATTAGAATTTGAATATCAAAATTGGATTCATATATTACTTATATAATTAAAAAATTAAGTTAGTCAGACTTAGAACTCTTTGAAATCTAATTTTTGAAAGTTAATTTATGCCATCTGGAGGCAAACATGCCAATGTGATTGAAGTTTCAGTGGTAACCTGAATCCTCAGTCTCGTTGCACATTTACTCTGAAGACATTCTCAAAAGAGAATTGGAGAGGAAATCCACCCAGTGTGTCCCCTCATGTATGTCTGTCTGGGATGCTCCAGTGGTGAGATGCCGTCACCTCAGTCCATTGTGTTAGTTTATTGCAATGTTCTAGGGTTCAGTCTCAGCCCCATTCCTGCCAACTGTTAGCTTAAGGCCCTTGGGCAAAGGAGATAAAATTGTTCAGGGCCAACAGATCTCAGAGTTTCTTGGAACCTTAAAAGGAGATGACCCAAACATTTCTTATTCAAGATGCCACCAGCTCCAGTCACTCACAGTGACTTGCCACAGGGGCTGGTGATGTTAGCTGCTTCCTTGGCGTCTGAGTTCTGGCTTGTGAGCAGATCTTATGCCCAATACATCAGAAACTCCATGTCTCCTTCAGTTGTAGTCGTTGGGAGAATCCATGGGTTGACTGGAGCCTAAGGAAAGCACCAAAAAGTCACTAGAGGCACTGGAGTGGATATGACCTTTTCCTTTGAACAGCAGTTTGCACAACATATACCGGTGGCTTTGTAGATCTGGTTTTCATTACCATTTCTGTCCTGGGGCAGCCATGGAAGCCACCTGGATATTTCAATTAGTGCAGCAAGCTGGAATTCATTTACTTTAGAGTCTACTGCCTGAAGCTTCTCCCAGCTGGGCACCCAACTACGCCCAGGAACTTCTAGATATAACACAGCATCCTGATTTCAGTCTAATAAGTAGATCTATTTTAGTCTTCTCAATTTCCAGTCATTTTGAAAGTGCTCCCCTGTCCCCATACCAGGCATGGGTTCCATTCCCAACTTCTATCACTGTCAGTGGAGGTGGCAGCCTTGTGAGCTGCCAGGTGGGACCAGGTGCAACCCACAGCAAGGCCACTTGATGTCTCAGTCTGTAGAGTAGGTGCTTAATAATTGTCTTTGACGAGTTAATGGGTGCAGCACACCAACATGGCGCATGTATACATATGTAACAAACCTGCACATTGTACACATGTACCCTAGAACTGAAATTATAATGAAACAACAACAACAACAACAACAAAATAATAATAATAATTGTCTTTGAATGGCTGACTGAAAGCACATTCATATTATCTAGTCAAATGAATGTCCACCCTCCACTATAGAGCCTTTGTAACTGAGCTACTGGGGTCTACCTCATTTCAGAATCCCTCAGAGTCCATGGTGTATCCATTCATGCATTCATTGAGCAAATATTATGTACCTGTTCTGTGTTAGAGAATATTTGAAGTGGTGGGAATATAGTGGTGAGAAAGGCATGTTTCTGCCTTCAAGACATCACCATATGAAAGATACTCTGGGATGGATGGAGGGTGTTAATAGAACCCCAGCAAATTGACAAGGTGGCTCCCCCTGTGTCCTCTGGCTAGTAAGGGACTGGTGGCTCCATGAAACAGGGAGCTGCCCTGTGCTGCCCAAGGCTCCAGCCCTGCTTCCTCCTCATCTCCCCCCTGGACGTGACTCTGCCTCATGGGGAGCCCATTCTCTTAGGGATCTTTGTAAACTGATCTTCTTGTGTCAAAAACATCAAATGCCTCAGATTCCATTGCTTATAATAAGCACTTTGGGACCAAAGGAATTTTTTGTAATGAAAAAAACAGTTTTTCATAAGTTAATGTTTTTCCTTTGAGACCTGGATGCCCTTCTCTTATTCATCCACTGCCCATGCAGCTAATCAGATTTGAAGGGTAAAATAATACCAGACTTATCATTGCATGTTACATGAGAAATGTATTAGTTAGGAGTCTGGGGTTCTAAGGCATAGAGACAGCATGAGCTAGCTCAAGGAAAAAGGGGAGGGAATTGTTATAAGGGCACAGGGGTGCCCCACAGAATCGAAAACAGAAATGTGACTAGGCCTAAGGAAAGCGTCAAAAAGTCACTAGATTTTTTTTCTCTCTTTCATCTCTCTTCCCATCTTCCCCATCCATCTATCCATCCATCCATCCATCCATCCATCCATCCATCCATCTATCCATCCATCTCTCTTTCCTTCTCTCCTTCCCAGCTCCTGCCTCTGTATTTCTTCCTCCTTTTTTCTTCCAACTTTCATTTCAGGTTCAAGGGGTATATGTGTGCATTTCTTATATGGGTAAATTGCATGTCACGGGGGGTTGGTGTACAGATTACTTTGTCACCCAGGTAATAAGCATAGTACCTGAAGGTACTTTTTGGACCTCACCCTTTTCCCACCTTCTACCCTCAAGTAAGCCCTGGTGTCTGTTGTTCCCTTCTTTTTGTCCATGGTATACTCAGTGTTTAGCTCCCACTTATAAATGAGAACATGTTGTGTTGGTTTTTGGTTCCTGTGTTAGTTCACTTAGGACAACAGCCTCCAGCTCTATCTATGTTGCTGCAAAGGACATGATCTCATTATTTTTTATGGCTGTGTTGTATTCCACGGTGTATATGTACCACATTGATGTCCACCATTGATGGGCATTTGGGTTGATTCCATGTCTTTGCTGTTGTGAACAGTGCTGTGATGAACATATGTGTGCATGTGTCTTTATGGTAGAATGATGTATATTCCTTTGGGTAGATACCCAGAAATGGGATTGCTGGGTCGAATGGTAGCTCTGTTTTAAGTTCTTTGAGAAATCTCCAAACTGCTTGCCATAGTCCGCCTCTGTATTTCTTCCTCCACCTAGCTTCCTCTGCTTTCTGGTCCATGAGGTCAATCAAATAGGGTTGCCCCATAGTGTCTAAGTTTTCATGTCACCAGCCCAGCCACATCAGAGAGACTCTCGTCAGATCAGCTATGGCCAGAGGTCATATTGTTCCATAGTGGTTCCTGGATGCAGATTAACTTCCAGCGAAAAGGGACACATTTTGAGCAGGACAGACATGGCCAAAGCTATCTAATATGCCCAAGTCTACACACACAGACACATGCCCAAATCCCTCTCATGGCTACACATCCAACCAGAGATGGTCAAATGGACCCTGCCCTGAACCCACATGGGAGGATATGGTTCTGACTTGAGCTGCAGGATCCCAGGGCTTGTGTTGAGGTGGGAACAGCCCTGGACCTGAGCCAGAATACTGGGGCTCCAGTCATGGCTTCACCATTAAACAACTCTAGAGTCTTAAACAAGTTCTTAGCCTGTCTGAGTCTTTATTTTCTGTATAAACTGGGAGTCACAGAGGCAGCTTTCAATTATTTAAAGGACCACTTTATGGGAGGGGGATAGGTGTGTTACCTGTCTAGTGTTGGAAGGTGAAACCACAGTGGAGACCACAGAGTGGCAATTTGTGGCTGGAGATACAGAAGAACCTTCTCCCAATCAGGCTGCCCCACCATGTTCAACCTGCCTGCCTTGCAGAGAGTTGGCTCTCCCTGTTACTGTGGGAAATCCAAGGGGTCTCAGAAAACATCTACAGAATGGAGATACTGGCCCATTTCCTAGCAGGATTATCTGTGTTTGTCTGGGGGTGAGGGGAGTAAATAGAAGTTTGAGTGCTACATACAAATGTGTATTTTTTGCATTGTAATCTTAACAAACAGAAAGAAGTATTTTGCTCCAGTTTGTATATTCTTTCAAAGCCTTTGAACCACACTTTATTTTTTTAGACAGGATCTCACTCTGGCGCCCAGGCTGGGGTGCGGTGTTGTGATCATGGCTCACTACAGCCTCAACCTCCCCCAGCTCAGGTGATCCTCCTGCCTCAGACTCCCAAGTATCTGGGACTACAGGCACATACCACTATGCCTGGCTGATTTTTGTATTTTTGTAGAGACAGGGTCTCACTGTGTTGCCCAGGCTGGTCTCAAACTCCTAGGCTCAAGTGATCCTCCCATCTCTGCCTCCCAAAGCCCTAGGATTACAGGTGTGAGCCACTGTGCCCAGCTGAAGCACACTTTTTAGTGTGTCTGCCACAAGGGTTTCCAAGGCCACTAGCTGGCAGAAGGATAAGGTGGAAATGTAAATGACATGCCCCTCTCTTCATGAAAACAATGTCAGTTGTTCCTCTCAGTCCCCACCATAACAGTTTCTGAAATTCTTTCTCACCTCCTTCACTTATTTATCCTTTCTGCTCCCTGCTAGACTGCTAGGGGTGGGGACAGGAGTGATGTCTGATCACCACTGCCTCTGTGACCATAACCTCTGATACTGTCATTTCTTCTTTCCAAAGTCTTGGCTATCATTTGAGGAGCTGAGACAATAGGATAGTTCTGCTTTCACAGAGCATATTAGCAAATACCCTGTGTGAGGCCCTAATGACATATTTGGCCCTTTCCATCTTTGGGGCTGTAATATTCCCTACAGATGGACCCTTTGGTTAAGTCTCCTTATGTTGCTTTTAGTTTTCATCAATCTCTGGTTGGTTTTTAGAACTACTAAATGGAGCCATTAGGTCATTCAAAAACAGGCAGATGTATGTATGTTTGTGAGCCATGATAGGGATCCAGAAATATTTACATAATTTTCATCTATTAAGAGATTTAACAGCTGTGTCTGCCATGTAGTTACTTTAAAATATAAAATGCAAGGTCAGATCTCTTGGGGATACTGTTTTGTTTTTCTTTTCTTATGATTGCTGTTAACGATGTCATGTTTAAGTAAGGAAAGAAGGTTTTGATATTCCTCTAAGAGTTACCAGCCTGTGGAGGAGTTGTGCTCCAAGAGGATCGAAGGCTTAGAATTCAAATGTAAAAGTGTTTACCTTCTTAGGCCAGTCATCTGATCAACACGTAATGTAGCTGAATTAGTACACATTTCCAAAGAATTTACGAAACAAGACACCTTGCAAAACTAGCAGTCAAATAAAACAGAACTCTAAAATTGAATTTAAAGTACAGTTTTGTCTGGCTAGCCATATGTAGAAAGCTGAAACTGGATCCCCTCCTTACACCTTATACAAAAATTAATTCAAGATGGATTAAAGACTTAAATGTTAGACCTAAAACCATAAAAACCCTAGAAGAAAACCTAGGCAATATCTCATTCAGGACATAGGCATGGGCAAGGACTTCATGTCTAAAACACCAAAAGCAATGGCAACAAAAGCCAAAATTGACAAATGGGATCTAATTAAACTAAAGAGCTTCTGCACAGCAAAAGAAACTACTATCAGAGTGAACAGGCAGCTTACAGAATGGGAGAAAATTTTTGCAGCCTACTCATCTGACGAAGGGCTAATATCCAGAATCTACAAAGAACTCAAACAAATTTACAAGAAAATAACAAACAACCCAATCAACAAGTGGGCGAAGGATATGAACAGACACTTCTCAAAAGAAGACATTTATGCTGCCAAAAGACACATGAAAAAATGCTCATCATCACTGGCCATCAGAGAAATGCAAATCAAAACCACAATGAGATACCATCTCACACCAGTTAGAATGGCAGTCATTAAAAAGTCAGGGAACAACAGGTGCTGGAGAGGATGTGAAGAAATAGGAACACTTTTACACTGTTGGTGGGACTGTAAATTAGTTCAACCATTGTGGAAGACAGTGTGGCGATTCCTCAGGGATCTAGAACTAGAAATACCATTTGACCCAGCCATCCCATTACTGGGTATATACACAAAGGTTTATAAATCATGCTGCTATAAAGACACATGCACACGTATGTTTATTGTGACACTATTCACAATAGGAAAGACTTGGAACCAACCCAAATGTCCAACAATGATAGACTGGATTAAGAAAATGTGGCACATATGCACAATGGAATACTATGCAGCCATAAAAAAGGATGGGTTCATGTCCTTTGTAGGGACATGGATGAAGCTGGAAGCCATCATTCTCAGCAAACTATCGCAAGGACAAAAAACCAAACACCACATGTTCTCACTCATAGGTGGGAATTGAACAATGAGAACA
The DNA here is from genome assembly GCF_000001405.40 of Homo sapiens. Classification (NCBI taxonomy): domain Eukaryota; kingdom Metazoa; phylum Chordata; class Mammalia; order Primates; family Hominidae; genus Homo; species Homo sapiens. The sequence goes on from NC_000009.12 coordinate 109,826,172, forward strand.
CAGGGACACAGGAAGGGGAACATCACACACCGGGGCCTGTTGTGGGGGTGGGGGTAGGGGGGAGGGATAGCATTAGGAGATATACCTAATGTAAATGATGAGTTACTGGGTGCAGCACACCAACATGGCACATGTATACATATGTAACAAACCTGCACGTTGTGCACATGTACCCTAAAACTTAAAGTATAATAAAAATAAATAAATAAATAAATAAAATACAGTTTTGTTTTGTATCATGAATATTGTTGCTACTTGGGAAAAACATGTTTAATCAGGCACTAAAGGGGCAGCTGAAGTGTTTGATGGTGATTCTCAAAGGGATTCTTGGACCCCTCAAGAGTTTTAGAAGATAGTGATGCTAGTATTTTATTATGTATAATTATACTGTAAAATACATTTTTGATACATTATAATTACTTCTGTTTATGACTTAGGTAGTTTTTGCCTTGCAAAAGGGAGATAGGGAAAGAAAGTTTACTTAAATAATTGGAAGCAAAGGGGGAATGAGGAGAAAGCTAATGAAGATGTGAATATTTGTGAGGAAAATTGCCTGTAAGTGTGAATAGGGTGTGAATGGAGAGTGGATGTGTCTGGCAGCACCTCTTCTTATTCTTATCATCTTACTGGGGTGATTGAAGTTGCAAACACATGGCCCTTCACTTCTTTTGTAAACGGACATAATTGATCCAACACAGCATGATTGCTTTCTAGTGCAGCAATTTTCAGAATACTGCCTTCTCAAAGATATGGTTCTCCTGATTGATTATGAAATGAGATAAAAATATAAGTCCTTGGTTTAATAAGTGATGAACAAGCCCATAAAATACTAGGTTTTTACTTTTGCTAGAGTAATCTACTAAGTGAGTTATTAAGGGCCTTTCTGAACTCAAGTTAGTGTGTCACCATAGACTCTAATTAGTCTGAGGACTCTAATTAGTTCTGCTAAAAAGTCTCACTGCTATTCGGTGACAAAGCTCCTATAATGTGGCATGCATGTAGGCAGTTGTAGTTTCCAAAAAAGAAAGAAGTAGGTGGAGCATAGGATGCTCAAAGTAGACAATGATCAAAGACTTTTGAGAGTCATCAGTCTAGGAAAGTTATTCTCAACCCTGGCTGGGTATCAGAATTGTCTGTAGTGCTTCTAAGAATTATGAGTTATGGCCAGACGCGGTGGCTCATGACTGTAATCCCAGCACTTTGGGAGGCCAAGGCGGGTGGATTACAAGGAGTTTGAGAGCAGCCTCCCCAATATGGTGAAACCCCTTCCCTACTCAAAATACAAAAATTAGCCAGGCATGGTGGGGTATGCCTGTAGTCCCAGCTACTCAGGAGGCTGAGGCAGAAAAATCGCTTGAACCTGGGAGGCAGAGGTTGCAGTGAGCCGGGATCGCACCACTGCACTCCAGCCTGGGCGACAGAGTGAGACTCCGTCTAAAAAAAGAAAAAAAATTATGAGTTGCTGGACTGCATGATGATCTACTGAATGAGAATCCATTCTCCCCCCAGTAAACTTTTCCTTTATCTCCTTTATCTCATTGGCAGGCACTCATTCACAGGTCCACTCAAGACAGTCACGGACAAAAGGAAACAGGATTGTGAGGATTTAGCCCCATGGGGCTAGAGCACTGCTACTGAAAAAAAACCACCCTAACTATATTTGCAGCTTTACGGTGTGTAAAACTTCAGTTTAAAAACAAAAGGGAAAAAAGGTCTCTGCCTTCAAAGATTATAAGCTATTCATTCAAAAAGACCAAACATTGTAAGAAATAACTGGATAATTAATCCATAAAGGGCAAGAGAAGTAGAGCCAGCTTTTATTGAGTACCTGCCTACCTGTGTGCTGTGTGCTGTGTGCTGGGTGAGTACTTTATATATGTCACTTCCTTTAATCCTCATTTTAATCTTCAGAGGTCAGTAGTGTCACTGGCATTCTACAGATTAAAATACTGTAGTTGAGGGAATTTAGGGGATTTGAATTGCATTTCCTCTCTAGAATGGGGTGAGACAGAAGTGGTGTCCTTCTTTCAGGCATCTAGGTTTGTTTCTTTGGGGTGTGTATGTGTGTATGTTTCCATGTGTGTGGCAGCTTACCAGGCTATGTCCCAATTAATAAGGAGATGTATCATCCTCATTCCAGTTTTTCAAATGTGACTTGACCAAAATGCATTCTATTCCTATTCTTTGAGTTTATATGCCAGAAATGGAGTGGGCATGTGTGTCTTCTCAGGACTAATCCATGCATGAAGCTCTTTGAATCAGCACAATATTGTACAGCCTAGTTGCGTTCTGTTCATCAAGCATCGGTCGATGATTTATTGACAATGCAAACAAGTGGTCTGTTCATGTGAGTTCATGATGATTTGTGAGTGCTTCCTGCCCATCTGCTCTCTCATTTTAAGTGTGCTCTGTAATATAAAAATGATAGTCATACAATAATTCTATTGGGGTAGATCTGTACCACTACCCAGAGATATTTGTTTGACTTTTACTATTATTTTACAAAATGGGAATTTCTTTCACAAAGAAGATGAGTTCATTGTACTTTGGCTTTTTGTAAGAGAAAGTGAATGTTGTGACACTGACATGAATAAATGAATTCATGTTTTCTGATCCCGTGGAAAGGAAAGAATAGAATAATATCAGCACGTGGATCTCATAATGAAAGGGGAGTAAAGTGAGTCTTCAGAAACAGACTTAAAATAAGCTCAATTCATTGTAATTAGAAAATGGATCTTGAAAGGGCCTTGCCAAAAGGCGATGATGTGATGTTGGGGTGTAGAAGTTTTTTGACAGTGGACTCTTTTATCACAGAATGTGAGGTGAGGCAGAGGAAATATGATTCATGTTATAGTGCTTTAGTTATTGATTACATAGGAGTTTGCTTTCTCCAGCTCTTGTTCATAGCTGCTAACTGGCATACAGAGGAAATATTGTTTACTTATTTAAATAATTTTTAAGATAGTGAAAATTCTGTATGTTTGGTTAAATTATACTTGGTTGTTTGCATAGGCTGTCTCTCCCTGAGACGCTCACCTCACTTCTCTATGGGTCAGCGAAACACATACCCTGTGTAATCACCTCCCCTATAAAACCCCATGGCAACCTCTTCCAACAATTCATCCTTTGCATTCCATCCAAGTATGTCTTGTTATATCCATAGCATTTAGTGCATTTATTATTTCCTCTCCTGCTTTCCTCTACTAGATTTTGAGAGCCTTAAGGACTAGAGAGTGACTGATTCATCCTTGTTTCCCCAGCACCCTGGAGCAAAGAGCCCAGCACATAGTAGTTGCTTGTGGTGAATGTAATTCAGGGTGTCTTAGGACTATCCTGCTCATTATGAATAGAGGATAAAAACAGATTTCTAAGTTCTCCATCTGCCATAAAATTCTGGGAAGAAAAAATATGAAGTATTCCTTTCTGCACACACAGAAGTCTTCCATTTTGCAATTTTCTATCTAGTCTGCTGTCCTTTCTCTCTCTTCTTTATCAGGGCTACACATCCTCTCTCCTGGCCAGAGCGTCATTTGAGGCGTGCTTATGCAGTTCTCATTGTCTTCAATTAAGGTTTGGGACTGAGATTACCAGCTTGGCTTGGTAACCCTGTTCACTTATTAAAAAATCAGTCGATCCTTCATTTTTATGAAAAGATGCAATGCAAAATAACCTTGATTTAGAATTTAATGAGGCTGACATTTAACCTGAGTTCAGTTAGGAAGACAAACAAAAAACACAGACAAAGTTGAGAGAAGGAAAATAATTACCTACTTGAATAGTGTGGGCAATTCTCCATCCATATGCCCCAGGAGAATATGAGGTGGGAGATGCATGAATTACCTGAAATTTCTTTTAGCCTCTGTTTATGATTTTAGTCTTTCAAGATGCAGGTATGTTTTTCAGGCCTTGTGGTCCCCAAACACAAGGAAACTTTCTTTATCTGATGGTCAAAAGAAGTGACGACCTAGTCCTTAGTAGGAGAAAAATGTGCCTGCATGGACTCTTTGTGAGACAGTGTTGTTGGATACTTTATGAACATTTTAAGGGATTCTCATGAGTAATTTTGATTATAGACGATTTTTACTTTATGCATTGACTAGGAACCAAATGCAACTTTCTTAGAGAGACACAAAATTCATTGTCCAAATAGACCATAGGGTCAGCAGGCTTTGTAAACATGTTTTGTATGTGCCTAGGGGTTGAGAGCAGGGGCGGGAGAGGTTCTGGTCCGTTCATCAAACCAGGGGCTGGTGTTAATGTTTGATCAACAAAACACATGTAGGCCTAGGCTCTGATCTAGGTCCAACTGCCAACATAGCCTTTTCATGCCTGCCTTTCCTACTTCAGGTAGAGAGAGGAGAAAAAACCTATTGAGGAAAAAAGAAAGAATAATATTAGCCCAAGCAGTGGTTCTACTCACTTAAGGAGAATGGAGTATGTTTATTTAATTTTAACTGAAAAGTCCTGGCCAATATTTCTAAGCCTGGCTTGGGATAACAGAATGAATGGCCTTGGGGGAGAGGGAGGAGAAAGAAGATGACTGATTTTAGTGTCTGCTTTATGGTGTGTGCTGTTTAATCCTCATGACAATCCTAAGTGGAAGGAAGAACTCCCCATGTTACCAGTGACGCAGCGGAAGCCCAGGTGCTACTGAAGGTCACGCAGTCAGCATTGACGAAGTCTACACTAGAATCCAGGCCTGACACAACCCAAAGTCTGTATTTTTTCCCTCTGCAGTCTCTTAAAATTGGCAAAAGGTAAACCTTCATGCGACCCTAGATTTGATTGGAACAGCAGATTTAGGGGTCATGCAACAGGAGAATGAGTGGATTATAAGTTTTTGAGTCCCCAGATCTTTGGGGAGAAAACCCAATTCTGTTGAAGTAGGAGCTGTTCAATTGGAGGTGAGATTTTTAGTAGGGATTTCTAATGCATTCTTTTTTCCCATTGATGGTTGTTAATACTTCCCCTACACACACACACACACACACACACACACACACACACACACAAGCATAAATAGGGCACACGTATTCTCCCATGTAAGGGCTGCTGTCCCTTCTCCCTCCCACTTATAGCGATGTGTGCCTCTCTGTAGCTGAAGGTTGCCTTGTATTAGGACACTGACTGATGAGTACTCCCCACCAGGGTCCGGAGAGTGTGCTTCATTCACCTTTCAGCCTCTCACAGTTCTGGCACAGGGGAGATAAAGATGTTGATGGTTTGAGGTGCTTTTTGGTAAATAACATAGGCAAACACTTGACACCCCTAGGCTACCACCTGTCCTGTTGTGTGGATACCTATTCAGTGAAGCCAGATAACTTTTACAAATCACAATGAATACATCCTCAGCAGAGCCAGTTGCCTGAGGGAGGTTACTGAATCTTCTGGGAGTCGTTTGCAGGCCTTTAGACACTGGGCTCCTTTCTGGACCATGCCCAAACTAGTGACAGATGCAGTCAGAGTAGCAGAATAAGGAAGTCTAAAGTCACCCAAGCCTCTTAGTTCTTGATAATTGACATGTCCAGCATTTCTTGACCATCAGTAGAAAATACTAAACTTTACAGTACATAAAATAATCAATTCATTCCTCTGATGGGGCAACTATTTAAGTCAGTATGGAACTCTATCTTTCTGATTGCTGCATTAGTCCCTTTTTTTTTGTTTATTTTGCTTCTTAGTAGAAAAGAAAAATCTAAAAGATTCTCATTTTAAGTGACTTGAGCTATCAGTTAAATTTTAAAAGCCAATTATTTTGAAGCAGTAGAGCCTTACGAATTCTAAAGTCACACACTGGAAGCCAAACTATCTAGAGTATAAATATTTCCTTTTGAGGGGGATACTGACAGATTCTTCTATTTTATCCCAATTCCAGTTCCTGACCTCCACTCACAGACAGGGAGGCAAGGGGAAGGCTCACTAATTGGCAAGGCTGGACAAGCATAAAGGATTCAGTGCATAAAGAATCAAGCTTCTGATCCTCTCAAGAGGTCACACGCAGAGTGTCTATGTGCTGGACAGCTTTGGCTGTACACACCAGAAGTGTTCCAGGCGTAAGGTTTTTGGCAAGTCTCGTTGCCTACGTTCAAGTCCTCTCTGAGTCGCTTACTAGTGTGTAAACATAGCTGAGATATATAATGTTTCTAAGCCTCAGTTTCACTGTCTGTAAAATGGCAATGACAATAACTGTACCCACCTCACAAGGATGCTGTGTTGTGAGGTGTGAACGAGCCATTTGTGTCAGAACATAGCACAGTGCTGGGCTCACACTAAGCATTCCATTCATGTCAGCTACTAGCTCTTTGGAACTTTTCAACTTTGGTCCCTAGGGCTACATTAACCCTCTTTCCTGCCAGACAATAATCTGAGGTTGGTTGCTGCTTTCAGAAGAAACAGTGTTTGAAAGCTAAGAAAAATGTACCTAGAAATCTAATTTCTAATTTCATTGTCATGCCTTAACAGAACACCCAGATGCCTTAAAAGACTTTTACAAAATGCAAATTTCTGATCCAGAAAACTTCTCAGCCATAGTGCCAAAGAACATTATCAGACCCAATTCCCTATATCCCAACAAAACCACTCCCCAGTCACAGATTATCCGACACAATTTCATTGGGGTTCTCAAATGGCAAGAGTTTGTTTAAAATGCAAATCTCTGAGCCCCACCCTCAGAGAGGCCAGCGGGGCAGTGGAATATGCACTGAACACTTCGGGCACTAACTCGTGTGCCAATGGTTGCACTTGGACATATACTACTCTAGGCCTTTGGGCTCCTTTCGTCCCTGCAGCACCTTCTGTCCTCAAGACAGGGGCTCTCTTGTTTTCCTCATGCGAGAGCTGTTGCCCAGCTAGTCCATCCCACTGAGGACAAACTCTGACTCACCTTTTAAGATGTAGTTCTCTGGCTAGGCACAGTGGCTCACACCTGTAATCCCAGCACTTTGGGAGGCCGAGGCAGGTGGATCACGAGGTCAGGAGTTTGAGACCAGCCTGACCAACATGGTGAAACCCTGTCTCTACTAAAAATACAAAAATTATCTGGGTGTGGTGGCACACACCTGTAATCTCAGCTACTCAGGAGGCTGAGGCAGGAGAATTGCTTGAACCTGGGAGGCGGAAGTTGCAGTAAGCCGGGATCACGCCACTGCACTCCAGCCTGGGCGACAGAGTGAGCCTCTTTCTCAAAAACAAAAAAGAAAAAATAAAACATGAAGTTCCCAACCATGTGCTGTGTAGTGAGCACCATGGTGGCCCTGCAGTGTACAAAGGTGAATTGGCCATGGTGTGTGTTGGCATGGAGCTCCCAGTCCAGCTAAGAATACCCTTCAGGGCCAAGCTGACTCCACCCTGTTTCCTGAGGCCCAGTCAGCGGTCCCAGCTTCTGGTCTGTGGGCTCACCTAGTTTAAAGACCCCCTTGAGCCTCAAAGGATGTTCGAAGCATGATTCAGTTGGGGAGTTATTGGTCAACATGGTGGGACAATTCTTCACTGTGTGGGACTGCCCTAAACAGTACAGGGTACTTAGCATGTCTGCCCTCCCAATGCTGAGTACCAGTGGTGCTCCACAGTCACTGTGACAATCAAGAAAAGTAATGATTGCCACATGTTTCTGAATACCCCTGACCTCTGGGGAATAATACTGCCCCAAGTTGAGAGCCTCTGTCCGGTTTAGGTCTTTCTCCTCAGTCCATACCTCTGCTACCTCCTTAAGGGACCAGTTCCCTCCAAGGGGCATGCTTTCTTAGAAAAGTCATTTGATGGCCGGGCACAGTGGCTCACGCCTATAAACCCAGGACTTCGGGAGGCCAAGGCGGGCAGATCACCTGAGGTCAGAAGTTCGAGACCAGTCTGACCAACATGGTGAAACCCCGTCTCTACTAAAAAAATAAAAATTAGCAGGACATAGTGGCATGCACCTGTAATCTCAGCTACTTGGCAGGCTGAAACACAGGAATCGCTTGAACCTGGGAGGTGGATGTTGCAGTGAGCCAAGATCACACCACTGCATTCCAGCCTGGGTGACAGAGCGAGACTCCATTTCAAACAAAACAAAACAAAACAGAAAAGAATGTCATTTGACAGTGTACAAAGTTTATATATTTTAACATACAAATGAAGTTGACATGGTATCAACCAAAGGGAAAGAAGGGCCATTTTGTAACAGGCAGAAACCAGTTGGGATTTAAGAAGCATTTTAATTACCCTTACTTTTTTTCTATAAAGGAAAATACTTTTATTTCTTTCACTGATGTGCCGGTGAGAGTCTTAGCAGGCTTGCCTTTGTAGGTAAATATGATGGCACTTCCCAATCATCATGTATTGGGATGTGAAGTTGTGTGGAGTCTGAGGCTGACCCCTGGTAGTGTGAGGACCTTGGGGGATTGCCTTGGAAAATACAGGGTCCAGCCCAAGGCTCTGGCTTTCAGGGTCGGGGGTTGAGATGAATTTGTCACAGCTCCGCCTGAGCTCACCACACTGGGAAGTCAAACAGAGGCAACAGCTTCTGTTTGCTAAGTGTTACCACATGCTAGGCACTGTGTTGAGTATGGTGAAGGACCTCTTAAATCTTCAGAACAACCGACGTTTCAGCATTTTACAGCTGCAAAAACTGAGTCTTAGCAAACATGGTCTTAGAGCCACGAGAATGGACCTGGGACTTAAATCCCAAGTCTAGAGCCTGGACTTGACCACAGCAGCATCCAGCTTCTCACCCATCTTTCGCTCAATTCATCCCTTTAATCATTTATTTTAGGATTCAGTTTGATTCCCCCAATCTCAAAACTTTCAAGGATGAACAATACTTCTCACACAAACACACCTTCTACCGAATGCCAGGAGGGGTCTGCACTTAGATTCCTCAGCTGTCACAGTGCCATTGAGTCTGAGGCTGCCTGACTGCTTGGTTGTGGTTTTTTGACACCTGGCATTTGTGTTTAACAGCCCCAGTGGTTGAGAAGCAGAGGGGACCCACACTGGCAGAGGTGGAGGGAAAGAGGAGAGGGTGTAGGGAAAGAGGAGAGGGTGTAGGGAAAGAGGGGAGGGTGTAGGGAAAGAGGAGAGGGTTTAGGGAAAGAGGAGAGGGTGTAAGGGAAGAGGAGAGGGTGGAGAGGTAGAGGGGAGGGTGGGGGAAAGAGGGGAGGGTGGAGAGATGGAGAGGAGGGTGGAGGGATAGAGGAAAGGGTGGAGGGATAGAGGGGAAGGTGGAGGGAAAGAAGAGAGGGTGGGGGCGGTTCCAAGATGGCCGAATAGGAACAGCTCCAGTCTACAGCTCCCAGCGTGAGCAACACAGAAGATGGGTGATTTCTGCATTTCCAACTGAGGTACTGGGTTCATCTCATTGGGGCTTGTCGGACAGTGGGTGCAGGACAGGGGGTGCAGCACATTGAGCATTAGCCAAAGCAGGGCGAGGCATCGCCTCACCCAGGAAGCGCAAGGGGTCAGGGAATTCCCTTTCCTAGCCAAGGGAATCTGTGACAGACAGCACCTGGAAAATCGGGTCACTCCCACCCTAATACTACGCTTTTCCAATGGTCTTAGCAAAAGGCACACCAGGAGATTATATCCTGCGCCTGGCTCAGAGGGTACCACGCCCATGGAGCCTTGCTCATTGCTAGCACAGCAGTCTGAGATCAAACTGCAAGGCAGCAGCAAGGCTTGGTGAGGGGTGCCTGCCATTGCTGAGGCTTGAGTAGGTAAACAAAGTGGCCGGGAAGCTCGAACTGGGTGGAGCCCACCGCAGCTCAAGGAGGCCTGCCTGCCTCAGTAGACTCCATCTCTGGGGGCAGGGCATAGCTGAACAAAAGGCAGCAGAAACCTCTGCAGACTTAAATGTCCCTGTCTGACAGCTTTGAAGAGAGTAGTGGTTCTCCCAGCATGGAGTTTGAGATCTGAGAACGGTCAGTCTGCCTCCTCAAGTGGGTCCCTGATCCCCGAGTAGCCTAACTGGGAGGCATCCCCCAGTAGGGGCAGACTGACACCTCACATGGCCGGATACCCCTCTGAGATGAAGCTTCCAGAGGAATGATCAGGCAGCAACATTTGCTGTTCAGCAGTATTCACTGTTCTGCAGCCTCGGCTGCTGATACCCAGGCAAACAGGGTCTGGAATGGACCTCCAGCAAACTCCAACAGACCTGCAGCTGAGGGTCCTGACTGTTAAAAGGAAAACTAACAAACAGAAAGGACATCGACACCAAAACCACATCTGTACGTCACCATCATCAAAGACCAGAGGTAGATAAAACCACAAAGATGGGGAAAAAACAGAGCAGAAAACCTGAAAATTCTAAAAATCAGAGTGCCCCTCCTCCACCAAAGGAATGCAGCTCCTTGCCAGCAATGGAACAAAGCTGGACAGAGAATGACTTTGATGAGTTGAGAGAAGAAGGCTTCAGATGATCAAACTTCTCCGAGCTAAAGGAGGAAGTTCAAACCCATCGCAAAGAAGCTAAAACCCTTGAAAAAAGATTAGACAAATGGCTAACTAGAATAACCAGTGTAGAGAAGTCCTTAAATGACCTGATGGAGCTGAAAACCATGGCATGAGAACTACGTGGCGAATGCCCAAGCCTCAGTAGCTGATTCGATCAACTGGAAGAAAGGGTATCAGTGATGGAAGATCGAATGAATGAAATGAAGTGAGAAGAGAAGTTTAGAGAAAAAAGAGTAAAAAGAAATGAACAAAGCCTCCAAGGAATGTGCGACTATGTGAAAAAAACAAATCTACATCTGATTGGTGTACCTGAAAGTGACGGGGAGAATGGAACCAAATTGGAAAACACTCTGCAGGATATTATCCAGGAGAACTTCCCCAACATAGCAATGCAGGCCAACATTCAAATTCAGGAAATACAGAGAACGCCACAAAGATACTCCTCGAGAAGAGCAACTCCAAGACACATAATTGTCAGATTCACCAAAGTTGAAATGAAGGAAAAAATGTTAAGGGCAGCCAGAGAAAAGGTCAGGTTACCCACAAAGGGAAGCCCATCAGACTAACAGTGGATCTCTCTGCAGAAACTCTACAAGCCAGAAGAGAGTGGGGGCCAATATTCAACATTCTTAAAGAAAAGAATTTTCAATGCAGAATTTCATATCCAGCCAAACTAAGCTTCATTAGTGAAGGAGAAATAAAATCCTTTACAGAGAAGCAAATGATGAGAGATTTTGTCACCACCAGGCCTGCCCTAAAAGAGCTCCTGAAGGAAGCACTAAACATGGAAAGGAAGAACCAGTACCAGCCACTGCAAAAACATGCCAAATTGTAAAGACCATCGAGGCTAGAAAGAAACTGCATCAACTAACGAGCAAAATAACCAGCTAACATCATAATGACAGGATCAAATTCACACATCATAATATTAACCTTAAATGTAAATGGGCTAAATGCTCCAAGTAAAAGACACAGACTGGCAAATTAGATAAAGAGTCAAGACCTATCAGTGTGCTGTATTCAGGAGACCCATCTCATATGCAGAGACACACATAGGCTCAAAATAAAGGGATGGGGGAAGATCTACCAAGGAAATGGAAAACAAAAAAAGGCAGGGGTTGCAATCCTAGCCTCTGATAAAACAGACTTTAAACCAACAAAAATCAAAAGAGACAAAGAAGGCCATTACATAATGGTAAAGGGATCAATTCAACAAGAAGAGCTAACTATCCTAAATATATATGCACCCAATACAGGAGCACCCAGATTCATAAAACAAGTCCTTAGAGACCTACGAAGAGACTTAGACTCCCACACAATAATAATGGGAGACTTTAACACCCCACTATCAACATTAGACAGATAACGAGACAGAAAGTTAGCAAGGATATCCAGGACTTGAACTCAGCTCTGCACCAAGCGGACCTAATAGACATCTACAGAACTCTCCACCCCAAATCAACAGAATATAATTATTCTCAGCACCACATCACACTTATTTCAAACTTGACCACTTGGTTGGAAGTAAAGCACTCCTCAGCAAATGTAAAAGAATAGAAATTATAACAAACTGTCTCTCAGACCACAGTGCAATCAAACTAGAACTCAAGATTAAGAAACTCACTCAAAACTGCACAACTACATGGAAACTGAACAACCTGCTCCTGAATGACTACTGGGTACATAATGAAATGAAGGCAGAAGTAAAGATGTTCTTTGAAACCAATGAGAACAAAGACACAACATACCAGAATCTCCGGGACATATTTAAAGCAGTGTGTAGAGGGAAATTTATAGCACTAAATGCCCACAAGAGAAAGCAGGAAAGATCTCAAATTGACACCCTAACATCACAATTAAAAGAACTAGAGAAGCAAGAGCAAACACATTCAAAAGCTAGCAGAAGGCAAGAAATAACTAAGATCAGAGCAGAACTGAAGGAAATGGAGACATAAAAAACCCTTCAAAAAATCAATGAATCCAGGAGCTGGTTTTTTGAAAAGATCAACAAAATTGATAGACCACTAGCAAGACTAATAAAGAAGAAAAGAGAGAAGAATCAAATAGACGCAACAAAATTGATAAAGGGGATGTCACCACCAATCCCACAGAAATACAAACTACCATCAGAGAATACTATAAACACCTCTACACAAATAAACTAGAAAATCTAGAAGAAATGGATAAATTCCTAGGCACATACACCCTTGCAAGACACATACACCCTTCCAGGAAGAAGTTGAATCCCTGAATAGACCAATAACAGGCTCTGAAATTAAGGCAATAATTAATAGCCTACCAACCAAAAAAAGTCCAGGACCAGACGGATTCACAGCCAAATTCTACCAGTGGTACAAGGAGGAGCTGGTACCATTCCTTCTGAAACGATTCCAATGAATAGGAAAAGAGGGAATCCTTCCTAACTCATTTTATGAGGCCAGCATCATCCTGATACCAAAGCTTGGCAGAGACACAACAAAAAAAGAGAATTTTAGACCAATATCCCTGATGAACATCGATGCAAAAATCCTCAATAAAATACCGGCAAACTGAATCCAGCAGCATATCAAAAAGCTTATCCACCATGATCAAGTGGGCTTCATCCCTGGGATTCAAGGCTGGTTCAACATATGTAAATCAATAAACGTAATCCAGCATATAAACAGAACCAAAGACAAAAACCACATGATTATCTCAATAGATGCAGAAAAGGCCTTTGACAAAATTCAACAGCCCTTCATGCGAAAAACACTAAATAAATTAGATATTGATGGGACGTATCTCAAAATAATAAGGGCTATTTATGACAAACCCACAGCCAATATCATACTGAATGGGCAAAAACTGGAAGCATTCCCTTTGAAAACTGGCACAAGACAGGGATGCCCTCTCTCACCACTCCTATTCAACATAGTGTTGGAAGTTCTGGCCAGGGCAGTCAGGCAGGAGAAAGAAATAAAGGGTATTCAATTAGGAAAAGAGGAAGTCAAATTGTCCCTGTTTGCAGATGACATGATTGTACATTTAGAAAACCCCAAATCTCCTTAAGCTGATAAGCAACTTCAGCAAAGTCTCAGGATACAAAATCAGTGTGCAAAATTCACAAGCATTCTTATACACCAATAACAGAGAGCCAAATCATGAGTGAACTCCCATTCACAATTGCTTCAAAGAGAATAAAATACCTAAGAATCCAACTTACAAGGGATGTGAAGGACCTCTTCAAGGAGAGCTACAAACCACTGCTCAACGAAATAGAAGAGGACACAAACAAATGGAAGAATATTCCATGCTCATGGATAGGAAAAATCAATATCGTGAAAATGGTCATACTACCCAAAGTAATTTATAGATTCAATGCCATCCCCATCAAGCTACCAATGACTTTCTTCATAGAATTGGAAAAAACTATTTTAAAGTTCATATGGAACCAAAAAAGAGCCCGCATTGCCAAGTCAATCTTAAGCCAAAAGAACAAAGGTGGAGGCATCACGCTACCTGACTTCAAACTATACTACAAGGCTATAGTAACCAAAACAGCAATGGTACTGGTACCAAAACAGAGATATAGACCAATGGAACAGAACAGAGCCCTCAGAAATAATACCACACATATGCAACCATCTGATCTTTGACAAACCTGACAAAAACAAGAAATGGGGAAAGGATTCCCTATTTAATAAATGATGCTGGGAAAACTGGCTAGCCATATGTAGAAAGCTGAAACTGGATCCCTTCCTTACACCTTATACAAAAATTAATTCAAGATGGATTAAAGACGTAAATGGTAGACCTAAAACCATAAAAAACCCTAGAAGAAAACCTAGGCAGTACCATTCAGCACATAGGCATGGGCAAGGACTTCATGTCTAAAACACCAAAAGCAATGGCAACAGAAGCCAAAATTGACAAATGGGATCTAATTAAACTCAAGAGCTTCTGCACAGCAAAAGAAACTACCATCAGAGTGAACAGGCAACCTACAGAATGGGAGAACATTTTTGCAATCTGCTCATCTGACAAAGGGCTAATATCCAGAATCTACAAAGAACTCAAATAAATTTACAAGAAAAAAACAAACAACCCAATCAACACGTGGGCAAAGGATATGAACAGACACTTCTCAAAAGAAGACATTTATGCAGCCAAAAGACACATGAAAAAATGCTCATCATCACTGGCCATCAGAGAAATGCAGATCAAAACCACAATGAGATACCATCTCATACCAGTTAGAATGGCGATCATTAAAAAGTCAGGAGACAACAGGTGCTGGAGAGGATGTGGAGAAATAGGAACACTTTTACACTGTTGGTGGGATGTAAACTAGTTCAACCATTGTGGAAGACAGTGTGGCGATAGCTCAGGGATCTAGAACTAGAAATACCATTTGACCCAGCCATCCCATTACTGGGTATATACCCAAAGGATTATAAATTATGCTGCTACAAAGACACATGCACAGGTATGTTTGTTGTGACACTATTCACAATAGCAAAGACTTGGAACCAACCCAAAGTCCATCAATGATAGACTGGATTAAGAAAATGTGGCAGATATACACCATGGAATACTATGCTGCCATAAAAAAGGATGAGTTCATGTCCTTTTTAGGGACATGGATGAAGCTGGAAACCATCATTCTCAGCAAACTATCGCAGGGACAAAAAACCAAACACCGCATGTTCTCACTCATAGGTGGGAATTGAACAATGAGAACACTTGGACACAGGAAGGGGAACATCATACACTGGGGCCTGTTGTGGGGTGGGGGTAGGGGGGAGGGATAGCATTAGGAGATATACCTAATGTAAATGATGAGTTAATGGGTGCAGCACACCAACATGGCACATGTATACCTATGTAGCAAACCTGCACGTTGTGCACATGTACCCTAGAACTTAAAGTATAATAAAAAAAAAAAAGAAAAAGGGTGGAGAGATGGAGGGGAGGGTGGGGGGATGGAGAGGAGGGTGGAGGGAAAGAAGAGAGGGTAGGGGGAAAGAGGGTAGGGTGGGGGGGTGGAGGGAAAGAGGAGAGGGTTGGGGGAGAGAGGGGAGGGTGGGGGGATGGAAGGGAGGGTGGAGGGAAGAGGAGAGGATGGAGGGGTAGAGGGGAGGGTGAAGGGAAAGAGGGGAGGGTGGGGGATGGAGGAGAGGGTGGAGAGAAAGGAGAGGGTGGGGGGGTGGAAGGGAGGGTGGAGGGAAAGGGGAGGGTGGAAAGATAGAGGTTAGGGTGGAGGGAAAGAGGGGAGGGTGGGGGGATGGAGGGGAGGGTAGAGAGATAGAGGAGAAGTTGGAAGGATAGAGGGGAGGGTGGAAGGGTAGAGGGGAGGGTGGAAGGAAAGAGGGGAGGGTGAGGGGGATGGAGGGGAAGTTGGAGGGATAGAGGGGAGGTGGGAAAAAAAGAGGCCTGGAGCTGGTGTTAGGAGGCCAGGGTCTAAACCCCACTTGAAAACCTACCTGGTGGATGACATGCACAGACTCTCTGGGCCTCAGTTTCCCATTCACATATAAGATGGGGAGGCCTTTATCCACTTCCCTAAGAGGGTTGTTGTGACAATTCAGAGCAGTGTTAGAGTCCAAAGTCGGGTGAATGCCCCTGGGGAGTGTACAGGACCATCCTTTATAGTGTGAGTAGAAAGTCTTAGCATTTTTATTTTTTACTCAACAAGAAATTAGGCTTTACAAATATTTGATGTATGGATGGACCATGACATCCACAATCAGCTGCGTGTTCTGGGCATGTCCTCAAAGAAAGAAGGGACTTTGCAAACGGGAAGGGGTTGGGAGCTCTATCCTCATTCATTCCCTTGCAGCCTTTGTGATGTTTGATTGCAATTTGCCACTTCTGGTGAGGCGGGTACGCAGAATACATTATCCAGCTTAAACTCAACAAACCCTGTTTCAACAAACTGAAGAAGTGGCTTAAAAAGTTTTCATGAATTAAAAGCTAATTAAAATCTATAATGAACAATATCCACATAAACCAAAAAATGGCAGAGTTAACACTTCACTGGGAAGAAGTTTTTGTTGTCGTCGTTGTTGAATCAGCCCCAGTAAGATGTGAAAAAAAAAACAGACTAATGATATCTGACAAGAAGTCGGCCCAAGAAGTTCAAAATTATCAAGGTCAGGTGCAGTGGCTCATGCTTGTAATCCCAGCTCTTTGGGAGGCCAAGGTGGGAGGATCACTTGAGGCCAGGAATTTGCAACCAGCCTGGGCAATATAGTGAGATTCCATCTCTACTAAAAATCAAACAGTTCGGTGGCTCACGCCTGTAATCCCAGCACTTTGGGAGGCCAATGAGGGCGGATCACCTGAGGTCGGGAGTTCGAGACCAGACCGACCAACGTGGAGAAACCCCATCTCTACTAAAAATACAAAATTTGCCGGGCGTGGTGGCGCATGCTTGTAATCCCAGCTACTCAGGAGGCTGAGGCAGGAGACTCGCTTGAACCCGGGAGGTGGAGGTTGCGGTGAGCCGAGATCGCGCCATTGCACTCCAGCCTGGGCAACAGGAATGAAACTCGGTCTCAAAAAAAAAAAAAAAAAAAATCGAACAATTAGCTGGATGCTTGTAGTCTCAGCTACTCAGGAGGCTAAAGAGGATCACCTGAGCCCAGGACTTTGGTGCTGCAGTGAGCTATGATGGCACTACCGCACTCTAACCTGGGCCACAGAGTGAGCCCCTGTCTCAAAAAAAAAAAAAAAAAAAAAAAGAAGAAGACTTTTTGAATTAAAGAAAGATTTACATCTCCTCTCATTAATAGCACTATTGATTTTTATTTGATTTAACACATTATTTCATTGTTATTACAAATTATGTGTTTTAAATGCCTATTTTGATGTATAATTCTATAATGTACACTTAGTTCAGTAGTACATGTGTATTACTTGTATTTATCATGTGTGAATATATATATATACACACATGGTATGTGCTCAAAATATTTTACAGATTAGAGTATGTGAAAAAAATTTGAAGACCACTCTGCATAATAAATGTGCAGGGGCTGGCCCATGAGACATGTTCAGTAAATGCTTGTTTCCATCCTCTTTCTCCCTGGAAATAAAGTCGATAGTGTGTGTGTGGACCTTGCTTATTAAAGGAAAGTGGCTGATTTGATTTCTGGAACAAGGTGCATCTCAAACTAGCTGGCAGCACTACCTCGGCCTGGCCCCATCCCAGCTGTTCACACCGAGTTCCAGACATTTGTAGGAGCCCGGACGAGGCCAGCTGGCTGCCTATCAGTGGCCTTCTTCTGTCAGCACTACACAGTTGTCACGGCTCACATCCAACCGCCAGACAGCCAAGAAGGAGACGCCAAGATTTAAATCTGCAGTTCCTGACCTCCGCAACCACACCCGATTCTTTGGTTGGTCCTAGACAAAAACAACGGTTTTGCAGATTTGGGTTCTCTTTCTCAAACTGCCTTTTGATGATTTATTTGTGAGATATGATTGCTCCTCTTGCAAATCAGAGCTGGTTGCAGTAGCTAACTAACATTTATTGAGCGAGTAGTATACCCAGGCTTCAGCTAAGTGCTTTCTGGAATTATTTAATTTTCACAGCAACCATGTAGAGTAAGTTCTGCCACTGGCACCACTTTACAGATAAGCGAATGGAGACTTAGAAAGGTTAAGTAATTTTACTAGAGGAACATAAACTAACAGTGAAAGTGAGAAATCTCAGAGTCTCATTGGTCTGACAGCTATGTAAGGAACTGAGGGGATGTACCATTGCAAATCGTCAAAATGGAAATACCCCAAATGCAATGCAGGACTCTGGATGCGATTCTGGAACAAAGAAAGAACACTTGTGGGGGAAAAAAAATAGTGCAACCCAGAGTCTTTATTTAACAGTATTGTATCAATGTTAATTTCTTAGTTTTGACAAATGCATCCTGGTTATGTAAGATGTTAGGATTATGGGAAGCTGGGTAATGAATAGATGGAGAGTTTCTGCACTATGTCTGTACTGTTTTTGTAAATGTACAATGATTCCAAAATAAAAGGTGTATTTAAGAAACAGAAATGCCAAGTGTATATGTGTGAGTACACACGTGCTCTCACATGTGCATGTGTACAGTTGTGCATATGTAAGTCTTTGTGCATATGTAAGTGCCCCTTGCTGCACACCCCCTGCTGTTCTGTGTGTGCTGCTCCACTCAAGCCCCTGGGACTTACATGGATGTCAGCGAGAAGGAAGCCTACACAACTCACATGTGACATGCCCGCCATGCTCTCGTCATACCTCACCTGTGCTGTAGAACCCCTGGGTCACAGGTGGCAGTCTTGTTCCCCCATAACAAATGCCAGAAAATGATGTGTGTGTGTGTGTGTGTGTGTGTGTGCATGTGCACACACGCATGCACGCACACACGCTCTGGTAGGGGGGTTTCAGGAAGTCATTCGTGAAGATGCAGTGTAGCATCCAGAATAAAATAACCAATTTACACCTTAAACACTCTTCTCCAGTAAGGCCACTACAGCTGCCTCTGCTTACTAAGTGCATTTGAAGAGTCCTCTGCTTTATCCGTACTCTATCCTCCTGAAAAGAGGCACTGACCTGAAAGGGAAGCCCAGGAGCTTCTAGGCCCAGACTTTTGCTTTGTTTCTCACCATGTGCTGTGTCAAAACTGAGAGAATATTTTGATCACCTTTTAGCTAAGAGCTATCTCCTGGGCAGCAGCTTAAGGCTAGAGTAAGGACATTTCACAGTTTAAGAGAGAGCAGTCACTCCGCCAAATGGCTCTGAGGTGGCCACAAAGTGCTTGACTTGCAAAAAATTGCTCCATTAACTAGATTCAGGGATTTTCAGGATTTATGGGCTAGGCTGTGCTAATATTACTGTGGTGCTTCTCAGTATAATTGCTAGAGGCCTCCAGTGAGCAGAGGAATTGTGTGTTCAGTCTGTCCTGGGTGACCCTTACTGCGTAGTCCTAGGGAGACAAAGAAAACCCACTCAATCCAGGAGGCTACAGAAATGATGTTTGTGGAGATCTCAGTGGGTATCTAATCTGTAACCTCAGGGGGAGAACTCTAGCTGGTCTCAGTCTTTGCTGGAAACAGAACTTACTGGATGTGTGTGTTTACTCACTCATTCATTTATTTGTTTATTTATTTACTGTGACAGGGTCTTGCTATGTTATCCAGGCTATTCTTGAACTCCTGAGCTCAAGTGATCCTCCCACCTCATCTTCCAAAGTAGCTGAGATTACAGGTGCATGCTACCACACCCAGCCATCATTCATTTACTTATTGAGTGTCTACCATGCACCAGATGCCCAGGTTAAGCATAAAGGATATAGAGCAGGACAATCAAAAAGTCTCAGATTCAGAAGGAGGAGATGGATAAAAACCAGCAAGATCTAAAGTAGATAATTTGATTATGATAAGCACAAATAAGCAGAGAATACATTGATGTGATACAGAGGGCCATGTGGGGGGCAGTGTGATTCCTTTAGATTGGGTGAATCAGGGTGATGGCTTTTCAGTTGACATTGGAAGAATGAGGAGGAAGGAGGAAGAAGTGGCAGCCGGGTAGGACAGCAGGTCTTCTCTGTCCCCCGAGTTCTTCTGATGTCCTGCACAGAAACCTGAGGGGTAGAGTAGCAAAGGAGAAATCCAAGCTCAGGCTGGGAAAGAAGCTCATGGCACCAAGGTTAGGGCTTGTGATAACAGGGACCTGCTTCAAGAGAAAGGGAGGTGGGTGGCAGATTGGTCTCATGGCTGCCACCCACATAATTCTAAAGGTCTCCCAATGGGAGAACAGCCACCCTGGTAAGTGTCCAGCATCATACAAGGAGTCTCTGCCCATTGTGACTCTTGCTTGAGCCCCCACACTTAGCCCTCACCAAGCTGTGTGATTTAGGATTCAGGTGTTAGAACGGAGAAGGCACCAGGCCTACTGCACCATATCAATGAAGCCTTTGCTTTGGGGAAAACAGAGCTGGGTACAAATACCAGTGCCACCCATTCTTCCCTCCATGCTCTGGACATTCAACCCATCTGAGCCTTAATCCCTTCATCTGCAAAGTAAGGACCATGCAGTCTTCCTGGTAGTGTTGTAAGGCTCAGATAGAATAACCAGACAGTTCCAGGTGCATATGGCACTCAGTGAGAATCCACTTGCTTTATCCTCCCTCACTCCCTTCCTTCCTCCAGGAATAAAGAGTACACTAGTTGAAGAATATTTCTTTGCCTTCCTTCTTTAGCAGCTCCAATCCCAGCCTAACAGCACAATGAGCATCAGATGTGCTTTTTTGATGTTTGAAATTTATAGTCTCTGTTGAATGTTGGCCAGGACAGCACTTCGTCATTTGAACAATTTCCATTTTCCACAAGCTCTCTGTGATTGATGACCTAACCAGGCACATGGCATTCCGTTCCACCAGCAATGTGGCCAGTGGGGAGATGGCTATGTCAGTAACACCTGTTTGTGGTAGACCAACAATGGCGCCCTAAAAGATATATCCGCATCAAATCCCTGGGACCTATGTGTGTGACCTTATTTGGAAGAGGGGTTTTTTTTTGCAGATGCAATTAGGAATCTTGAGATGCAGAGAACATCCTGTGCTATCCAGGTGGGCCTTAAATGCAATGACAACTGTCTTCATAAGAGACGTATAGGGAGATCTGACAGATAGAAGGGGAGAAGGCAATGCGATCACCACTAGGTAGAGGTTAGAGGGATGCACCCCTAAGTCAGGGAATGCCAGCAGCTGCCAGAAGCTTAAAGAGGCAAAGGATGAATTGTCCCCTAGAGCCTCCAAAGGGAGTGTGGCACTGCTTATGCCTTGGCTTTGGACTTCTGGCCTCCAGAACTGTGAGAGAATAAATATCTGTTGTTTTCGATGGGCGTGATGGCTCACGCCTGTAATCCCAGCACCTTGGGAGGCCAAGGTGGGCAGATCACAATGTCAGGAGATCGAGACCATCCTGGCGAACACAGTGAAACCCCGTCTCTACTAAAAATACAAAAAAGTAGCTGGCCGTGGTGGCGGGCGCCTGTAGTCCCAGCCACTCGGGAGGCTGAGGCAGGAGAATGGCGTGAACCCAGGAGGCAGAGCTTGCAGTGAGCCGAGATCGCACCACTGCCCTCCAGCCTGGGCAAGAGTGCAAGACTCCATCTCAAAAAAAAAAAAAAATCTATTGTTTTAAGCCAACCAGTTCGTGGTTATTTGTGTAGCAGCCCTAGAAATGAAGACAGCCTGCGAGCACCTTGCCCCACCTGGCTGTAGGTGACTTTTGGTGCCACCATTTTTGACTCTTGTGGATAAAGAGCAGACTATATTCTTTTTATAAGTAAGTCCACCTTTTACAGAAAAATTAATAGCCAGGATCATGGTTTTAGAACTCATAGAATACACTCCTCTCATCCTCTCATTCTTTCCCCCACCCATTGGCTTATAAACTTGTTCCTATGAAATAAGTCAGCTGAGTTGAGTTTGTAAATGCATCTTGAATAAATGTGTTGGGTGGGGTCACAAACATGCAGACACCTGCTGGTGAGTGTTACTGACCTGCACTCTGAAAGGCCCCTATATTGATGATACTTCTTAATCTCCTATGGCTCTTCTTCAGCCCTGGGAGCAGGGGAGTGCAGACTTTTGTTCAACCCCTTTCACAGATGTGCACACTGAAGTCCCAGTGTGTCCAGTGACTTGCTCAAGGTCATCAGCACTGTCTGGTGGAGCTGGGACTCGAACCCAGTCCTCCTGCTCTCAGCTGTGGGAAATGGAGACAGCAGTTGCCCTGGAAGATGTTTCCTGTGCTGCGTGTTTGTGGTTGTCTCAGGATTTGTGAGACTTACTGTTTTCTTGTGTCCCCTGTCCCTGTGACTTATCTTTGTGCCCACTCAGCCATCACCACTTCCAACACACACCCACACCTGTGGAGAGAATGCAGCCTCCTAGAGCTCATGTCATGGCAGGACTGAGGGAAGTAGTCAGTTCTTGGTGCTCTCTAATAGGGCTCTGAATTGCAGCCTGGGCCGTGCCCATTCATTTATGTATTGTCTATAGCTGCTTCTGTGTTACAAGAATTGACAGAGACTGGGTGTGGTCGCTCACACCTGTAATCCCAGCACTTTGGGAGGCTAAGACAGAAGGATCGCTTGAGCCCAGGAGTTTGAGATGAACCTGGGCAACATGATGATACCCCATCTCTACAAAAAAAAAAAAAAAATTAGTTGGGTGTTGTGATGGAGGCTGAGATGGGATGACTGCCTGAGCCCATGGGGTCGAGGCTGCAATGAGCTATGATTGTGCCACTGTCTCAAAAAAAAAAAAAAATGTTGACAGAACAAGTTGATTCAATTATAGACTTGAGTAGTTGTAACGGAGACTATAAAGCCTAAAATATTTATAGTGTTAACTTTGATAGGACAAGTTTGCCAGCTCCTGCACTAGAGGATAAAGATTAACAGGATTGACTCCACATAGAGGAGAGGAGAGGAAGGGGCAAGGATGGAAGCAAGGAGGGAGAAGGGTTAGAGAGAAAGAAAGAGGGAGGGGGGTCACTCAGAGACTTCACAAAGTATGTTATTTCCTAAAAACTGTAATGCCCAGTATCTAGTGATTACCTGTGGCACTGTCAGCCTTCTGCCTGGGAACAGGAATCTTGCAAAGATCAAATGCAGGGCCCAGAGCCCCAGGACTCTGCATTGGCATTCGTCAGTAAGTTTTGAAGGAGGCAGACATCTCAAAACCATCCTAAGCATAAGGCACCCAGCTGGTGATTTGAAGATAGCCATCTTCCCCATTACTAGTTGGCCTCACTTTAAAAAATGTTGTTTCTTGGATAGCATTTTTCTTTCACAAGTTGGTTTGCTTTCACATGTCAAAAAACAAAACCAGGGCTGGGCGCGGTAGCTCACACCTGTAATCCCAGCACTTTGGGAGGCGAAGGTGGGTGGATCATCTGGGGTCAGGGGTTTGACACCAGCCTGGCCAACATGGTGAAACTCCGTCTCTACTAAAAAAAAGAAAATACAAAAATTAGCCAGGCATGGTGGCGTGCACCTGTAATCCCAGCTACTCAGGAGGCTGAGGCAGGAGAATCACTTGAACCCGGGAGGCGAAGGTTGCAGTGAACCAAGATTGTGCCATTGCACTCCAGCCTGGGCAACAAGTGTGAAACTCTGTCTCAAAAAACAAAAAACAAAAAGCAAAAACAAATAAACGGAAAGAGAGAGAGAGGAGAGAGAGAGAGAAACACATACCATTTGCCATATTTGTGGTTTCTCATTCTTGCGCTATTTTTTTAAACCTTTCATTACATTAGGCCTTTATCAGATATTAGCACTGGTTCTTCAGTTTTCCCCCTGATCAGGAACTTCCCTGAAATAAATGCTGGTAAGATCGTGGAAAGTTCCCAGGAGAAGGATAGAACAGGTGTACCCCAGGGAGGCTGAGCCAGTACAGAGAGACCTATGGGTTTCACGGGCCCTCAGTAGAACTGATTTCCTCTCCTTGTCTCAGGTTGTCATCAGCCACTGAGCAAGACCGAATAAGGGATCTCGTGAGGCTTTGGAGATGGATGCAGGATCTGTTGCCTGCGATTCAAAGCTGGTGGAGGACTTGCTTAGGTCATGTTAATTAGTTTTTCTCAGCTCTCACCAGGTGTCATTCATGGAGGTTGCATAAAAGAAACTCATACCCAGGGATGAGCTTTTTCTTAAATATTACCTTTCTGAATTTTGAAATTTAGTGTAGCATTGAGACATTTAAACACATTTTTGAAGCACAAAACTTATTTATCCTAGTTCAAAGCCAGATTTGGTTTGACCTGTCTTGGTGGTGTTTTCTGTGGTTCTGAGATCCAACCCCCAACTTCGTCCCTTTTGACCTAGTTTATCACCCATGTCCTTGGGTTGAAAATAGTAGTGTAATCCTAAGAGAAGGGGCCTGAAAGGAAGGGAAGAGAAATCAGATGTCAGCTGGTGAGGATGAGAAATACTGCAACAAGGGAGCAGCATTGACCCTTGAGAGCTACATGCTAGGTAGAGTCAAGCTCTACTTGCCCTAAGTCAAAAATATCATTGACTTGTGGCTAAAGCCCAGACTTTGAAGAGCAAAGAAAGCAAGGATTTAACTGCAAAAATAGAAAAGTGGCTGACCCAATGCTGAGGCTTTTAACAAAATTTACCAAATAGTTTATTTCAGACTGAGAAAGAAAGAGCTCAAACAAGCTTAAGCAGCAGCAAATGCTATCAGCCTGGACCATGAGATTGCATGTGCCCTGCAGTGATCTTCCACCTTGACTGACATTAAAACTACCTGGTAGTGGCCGGGCGTGGTGGCTCACACCTGTAATCCCAGCACTTTAGGAGGCCGAGGCGGGCGGATCACGAGGTCAGGAGATCAAGACCATCCTGGCTAACACGGTGAAACCCCATCTCTACTGAAAATACAAAAAATTAGCCAGGCATGGTGGCGGGCACCTGTAGTCCCAGCTGCTTGGGAGGATGAGGCAGGAGAATGGCATGAACCCGGGAGGCAGAGCTTGCAGTGAGCCGAGATAGCGCCACTGCACTCCAGCCTGGGCAACAGAGGGAGACTCCGTCTCAACAACAACAACAACAACAACAACAACAACAACAAAAAAAAAAAAACACTACCTGGTAGTGTTTACAGCCTTGAGTGCCCAGACCAATAAGATCAAAATCTCTGAAGGTGAGGCCTGGGCTTGGTGCTTTTTGATGATCCTCAGGTGATCTTAATGGTCTTCCAGGGTTGAGCACTGTGGGGAAAATTGAGGCCAAGATGTGGAGGCATCTAACTGGCTCGTGCATGTTAAGAACTGGATGAGATGGGAAGCCAGACATTAGAAATAATGGGGTCAGGGCACCACTTACATGGTATTAATAGCCAGAGGTCTTGAATCTTCCTCCAGACTACAGTGAAGAGAGATACACATGTTATCTACCTGGTGATAGATACCAAAGGGAAGCAAAGTACCACACTGAAGCAAAGTACCATGGAAGGACTGCTCCCCA
The DNA here is from genome assembly GCF_000001405.40 of Homo sapiens. Classification (NCBI taxonomy): domain Eukaryota; kingdom Metazoa; phylum Chordata; class Mammalia; order Primates; family Hominidae; genus Homo; species Homo sapiens. The sequence continues at coordinate 109,851,607 of NC_000009.12, forward strand.
CTTTTGATGCATGATAAAGACCAACCTGCCTGCATGAAGATGATGGTGCACTTCTCCTGAACTTCACCATCATGATCACAGTCAAAGCCAGTGATGATGGAGTATAATCACACCAGTAAATGAAGTTCCCCTGCTGTCTTCTGACTCACTTCTAAGTGGCCTGGACCCTGGTGGTTAAGAAAAGTAAACCCCCAAAGCAGTCAGTCATTGTCGGTTTGCTAACTTGAGCATCCTGAAATTAAAGGACTAAGTACTTTAACTGGGTCACCTCTATTAGTGGGTAAAAAGCTGTGTGGTCTTTGTTCACTTCCTTAAAATGCTGCTATACGTGATGGCAAGCAACAGAACTAGCCACGAGAAAGCAACATGGAAACCACTGAAGTCAAGACTTAATCCTACCTGGTTCCCCATCAATAGGTAAAACAAAGTGGTTCTGAGCACAAACTCTGAAGCCAGATGATCAGCTTTTAAAAAAAAAATAATTAAAGAATATTTATTTATTTATATTTTATTTTAGATTCAGGTGGTACATGTGCAGATTTGTTACATGAGTATATTGTGTGATGCTGAGGTTTAGGCATCTAATAATCCTGTCACCCAAGCCATGAACATAGTACCTGATAGGTAGTTTTTCAACCCTTGATCCCATCCCTTCCTCCCTCCTTTTGGAATGCCCAGTGTCTGTTGTTCCCACCTTTGTGTCTGTGTGTACCCAATGTTTAGCTCCCACTTACAAGTCCATGTTGCTGCAAAGAACATGATTTCATTCTTTTTTATGGCTGTGTAGTATTCCATGGTGTATATGTACCACATTTTCTTTATCCAATACACTGTTGATGGGCACCCGGTTGATTTCATGTCTTTGTTCCTGTGAATAGTGCTGTGATGAACATACGAGTACATGCCCTTTTGATAGTATGACTTATCCTTTGGGTATATATCAGTAATAGGATTGCAGAGTCCAGTGGCAATTCTGTTTTCAGTTCTTTGAGAAATCTCCAAACTACTTTCCACAGGGCCTGAACTAATTTGCACTCCCAAAAACAGAGTATAAATGTTCCCTTTTCTCTGCAACCTCACCGACATCTGTTGTTTTTTGACGTTTTAATAGTAGCCATTCTGACTGGAGTGAGTTGGTATCTCATTGTGGTTTTGGTTTGCATCTCTCTGATGAATAGTGGTGTAGAGCATTTTTTCATATGTTTGTTGGCTGCTTGTATGTCTTTTGAAAAGTGTCTGTTCATGTCCCTTGCTCACTTTTTAATGGGGTTGTTTTTTACTTGTCAATTTGTTTCAGTTCCTATAGGTTCTGGATATTAGTCTTTTGTCAGATGCATGGTTTGCAGATATTTTCTCCCATTCTGTAGGTTGTCTGTTTACTCTGTTGGTAGTTTCCTTTTGCTGTGCAAAAGCCCTTTGGTTTAATTAGGTCCCAGTTGCCAGACGGACAGCTTTGAATTCTGGTCTTAACACTTCATAACTGGGGGATCTAGGGGCAAGTTACCTAACCTCTCTCAGCCTCAGTGTCCTCATCTGTAATGGAGGGATAATAGAAGCTTCCCCCCAGGGTTATAGTGAGGGTTGATGAGGTAGTTCATTTAAAGCACTCAGAACTGCGCGTGGCACCTGTAAACACTCCCACCCCCAGTACCTTTTCACAAGTACTATTAGGATGATGCTGTTAGCAGCAATTATCAGCACCTCTCATCTCAAGTTATATTGCTAGTGACAAAACCTTTGGCATTTCAGTGTATAGCTTTCCAATCTTTTCCATAACTGTATTTTTTCTTATAAAAGTGAGATTATACTGAGCATACTCTTTGCTTTTTAAACTGACTATATTGAGAATATCTTTCTATTTCATGTAATCTACAGCTTCATTTGCAATGACTGCATAATGGTGCAGATATATCATAGATTATTTAACCAAACACCTGTGGTTTAATACTTAAGTCTCTCTCTTTTTTAAAAGCAATGCTGCAGTAAATATCATTAAGTAAAAGCACTGCTCATTGGCATAATTTCCCCTTTAGAATAAATTCCTAGAAGTGAAATGTGTTGTTCAAATCGCATATAAACTTGAAAGTGTTTGCTATTCTATATGACTGCCAAATTATCCTCTAGAAAGATTCTACCACCACCAGCAGGGAATAAAAAGTCAGTTTCCCCTCACTATACTTGACACTGGGTATTACAGTTTTTAAACTGTAATCTTTTGTATTTGTTCTTGACCTAAAGCTGAGCTCTGCTGTTTGGGGCTTGGCTTCTCTGAACTTGGTGCTGATTCTTGCTTTAACTGGAGCTTCCTACTGGAGCATCCTAGGTGGGCTCTCACTGGCTCAAACAACCCTATGAGGCTCTTCTTAGTCTTCTAGGACTAGAGCAGGGCTCAGCCAAGCACATGGTGCTGGCAGGACACTTGGAGCTGTCCCTATACCAGCAGCAATCTTTTGTCTTGCTTATTTAATTACCTTATCCTAAAGTACGTCTTTACTAGAAATTTGCTGTCCTCAGTGAGAAGCAGTACCTTTCCCTTGTTCCCTGCTGAACCACCAGGGTCACTACCAGCAGATCAGAGCCACTTCCCTGTCCCTGGGGGCATCGTCTTAGACTTTGGTCACCACCAAAGAGGAGACATAAGAAGAAGGGCAGGAAGAGGTAGCATTGAGCAAGAGCTCTGGATTTGCCATCATCAGCTGAGGATTCTGAATTAGGAAACATATCTATTTAGGTTTAAACTACAAAATATGCAAGGGTTCCTATTCCGAGCCTCTCAGAAACATCCCTCTGGCCACAGGCAACTGTCACTGGTGATGGTTATTCTCTCAGAAGATGCTGAGGATCAGGGTGTCTAAGGAGTAGCTTTGCTTTAATCTGAGCTTGGTATATTACATTTTCCATGTTAGCCTACCTAATAGGGTGGGTTCACATAGAAATACTAGAAAACACAGAAGGATATAAAGAGCAAAGATGAAAGCATTCCAAATCCTACCATCTAGATACAACCTATGTTGATATTTAGCATGTATGCAGAGGATAGATGCTATCCTGTAGCATGATCATTTATATGCATGTGCGTACACATGCATTTACTTTTTATAAAAATGATATAATACTGAACATGCTATTCTGTAGTCAGTTTTTAAAAGAATGTATCTTTTTTTTTTTTTTTTTTTTTTTTTTTAGATGGAGTCTTGCTCTATCATCAGGCTGGAGTGCAGTGGCACAATCTCGGCTCACTGCAACTTCTGCCTCCCAGGTTCAAGTGATTCCCCTACCTCAGCCTCCTGAGTAGCTGGGACTACAGGTGTGTGCCACCACGCCTGGCTAATTTTTTGCATTTTAGTAGGGACAGGGTTTCACAGGTTGGTAAGGATGGTCTTCATCTCCAGACCTTGTGATCTGCCCGCCTCGGCCCCCCAAAGTACTGGGATTACAGGCGTGAGCCACCATGCCTGGTGCCCCCCCCTTTTTTTGGGGTGGGGGAAACAGGGTCTCACTGTGTCCCCAGGCTGGAGTGCAGTGGCACAATCTCAGCTCACTGCAACCTCCGCTTCCCAGGCTTAAGCAATCCTTCCATTTCAGCCTCCTGAGTAGTTGGGATTACAGGCATGTGCTACCATGACTGGCTAATTTTTGCATTTTTTGTAGAGATGGGGTTTCACCATGTTGCCCAGGCTGGTCTCGAACTCCTGAGCTCAAGCAATCTGCCCGTCTTGGCCTCCCAAAGTACTGGGATTACAGGCATGAGCCACTGCTCCCAGCCTTAAAAGAATTTATCTTTAATGGCTGTGTTTTATTTATACATTTTCAGTCATTCATTATCAATAAATACTGATTCAGGCCCAGTATGTGTTAGGCATGATTCTAGGCAAGAGAGAGAAACCATGAATGAGAGACATGGTCTCTGCCCTTGGGGAGGGTGTAATGAAGTTCGTCAGTTTTGTGCTTTGTGGTTTCTTTCTATGCGTTATGTTTTTAAAGTCCTCTTCCATCCTAAAGTCAGACAATCACTATATTTTCTCATGTTTTCACTTTTTACATTGCCTGAGTCCATCTAGAAATTGTTTTGGTGGATGAAAAATTTTCTACTTTTAAACCATTGGAGGACAGCAATGACCACAAAAGGATTAAATCCTCTTTCCTTATAGACAAGTGGGCACAACTTGGCTATGCAGTAATTCTAACATCAGCAGTGCAAAGAAGGGAAGTACAGTGTTGATTCTTCATGGGAGACTGATGGAATTATAATAGACTTCTGTTCTTAAGGTAGAAAATTATCATTTTTTTAACCTGAAAAGATAGAGTAATAGTCTATGATAAGGACAAATTACCCCAATATGTTTTTAAAACATTGCAATTATTAACAAAGTGGTAGTTTCTTTCATTTAAAACCCCCTTGGGCCCTAAAGATATAGCTAACAAGAGGAAAAACTGTCAAAACTCTTATTAGGTGGTTGAGTTTATTTTCTGCTCACAATTGTATCATTTAAAACCCTGAGAAACTGTTTTTTGGAGAGCAATTTGTCCCTATTAGAGTTTTATGTGTTCAAATCCTTGACTTAGCAGTTCTGCTGGTAGAAATCCACCCTATGTATGGAATCACAAAAGTACGTCTAAGATGAACATAGAGGAAGATTCATTGCAGTCCCGTCTATAATTGCAAACAAAGCACTGAGAACCACCTAAATTATCTATTAGCAGCAGACTGCTAAAGTAAGTTAAGCTACATCTGTGAATCGCCATGCCGTAGTTGCAAAGAATGTGGTGGGATTCCATGTGCTGAATGAAATAGTAAAATCTCTAAGATACATCACGAAGTGAAGAAAGTAAGCTGAAGGGCAGGTCTTTTGTGTTAAGAATAAAAGACCCCAACTTATGTTGGTGTATCCATTTTTTCCTGTAGGATGCATAAAGGACTAATAGGAATTGTTGCCTGAAGGAACAAAGCTGGTAGGGATGAGGTGAAGAGAAAGTCAAATGTTCATTTTATTCCTGTGTGGATGGTGTGAATTTTTCTACCCTGCATGTTTATTACTTTTATTTATGTTTTGTAATGCTTACTCCATTTATCTAGGCAGGGAGATTATAGACAATTGGTGTTTCCTTCTTTATACTTTTCTATATTAAAAAATGAATATAGATCAGAAATGTTCACCAGATACTGGCATCTAAGAAACAAACAAAAACATGATTTGTCAAAGTCAGAAAAGGAGTGTATGTCTCTGTTTGGAATTATGCTAATTTCTTGGAGTTTGCGTTCCTTTGTTGTCATCAGAATGCTGCACATTGTGTTCTCTTTCTATTTTTGTGCACACTATCTTGTTTTGTATTTCCAACCACGACAGCTATGTTCAGTTGTGCCCCATCCCCTCCCCTGTTCTGTGGCCTGCGGTGCTGAGAACTGCGAGCAGCCAATGGGACTGCTGCTTACTGTGAGGTCCATGCAGTGTCCACCCCCGCTTCCTGCCCTGAGACTGCCTCCAGGCCTGGCACGTCTTCCTAAGACAGGCCTATCAACCCAGTGGATCCTTCTGCCCCTTCCTCCTCCTGTCCTCCAACTTTAGGGAGCCATATTCTGATATCCAGAGATCCTGGATTTAGAGCATCTCCTCCATTCTTGGTAAATTGAGAACCTTCCCAACTGCTGCCTCATCTGCAGTAGTTCCTTTCAGATGAAAAGTTAAAATGGGAGAGAAATATTTTGCATTTGCTCTTTTCATTAGACTATTCGATTTCTATGTAAATGTCTTCTACAGGGATTGAAAGAAATGAATATATTGGTTCACCAGACATTGCTGAAGGTTCCAACACAGCCTTGACCTATTTTTGTTTGAAATTGAGAAATGCTCACAAATGTAAGAGGCCTCCTTTTTTGGAGATTGGAGGGATTTGACATCAAGATGTTTTGCATTTTCAACAGCTCATTTGCCCTGGATGGCTTTTGGCAGATAAATGTGGAGGTGGCAGTGTAATAGGTTTCATGTGTCCAGAGTGGAATTCACCCAGAGCCAAACAAAAGCTAGTAGCTCTGAACATGTCTCTTTTCATGGTAAAGTACTCTGGAGTGAGACTGTTTAAGTTTCAACCCCTGTTTGGCCACTTCTTAGCTCAAGGGCACTTCCCTTACAGTAGCTAAGTTTAGGTTGTTTCATCCATAAAATGGAAGATTTTAAAGTATCTACCTCAAAGTGTGATGAGGATTAAGTGAAAAACTGCGGGGCAATTCTTACTATAATGCCTGACATAGCAAGGCATCAATAAACTCAGTTGCCATTATTATTCTTACCATTATGGTTTATACCACTACCATCATTGGGATTATTAGGTTCAACCACTACACAACTGAATTGTTGTTGCATGAGTAAATTGCAGTTGTTTAGACAAAATCCTAAGCCAAAAACTTCGTGCTAGGTAGAAAGGAAGCACCTTCATTTATTAAGTCCCTGCACTCTACCAGGTGATGTGTTAGTTCCATCTTTGCTGTATCTCATTTCAATCCTGCAGTAGCATTTTGCAGGTAGTTCTATTTCAGTATTTCAGACGGAGTTCCAATTGTTTGATGCTTACTAGCCATGTGACCCTGTCTCTTTATCTTCCTGTGCCTCAGTTTTCTCCTCTGTAAAATGGGGATAATGATAGTACCTAACTCATTAGGTTGTTGTGAAGATTAAACATGTTAAATCACACAAAACAGTGCCTGGCACACAGTGACCACTATGTAAATGTTTGCTAGCATTACTTTATAACTCAGGAAGGGCACATGTGACAGTCTGGAACGTGTGAAGTCGTTGTTCTCCTTAGCACTGTGGAATGTTAGTGATGCTGGAGGAAACTTAGAGCTAAGCTGGCCCAACCTACTCATTTCACAGGCTGGGGATCCAAGGCCCAGAAACAATAAGGGACTTGTCTAAGTCACTCAGGGAGTTCGTGGCAGAGCCCCTACCTGATACGAGATCTCCTGACTCTGCTCACGAGACTTCATGGTGGGAATAAGGCAACACACGGAGAGGGATGAGATGGAGATCACATTCTTCGGGAGAGTTTGATTCTGTTATTCCTGCCATTTGGGACTTTTTCAGAGTCCTCTACCATTCTGCCTACCTGTACAGAAAGTGCTGGATTTTTCCACCACAAGGGGCTTATCAATGTGGTGTCATAAAGCGGGTCTTACTTTCTCATCAGAGCCCATATCAGACCACTTCCCTTCTTGGTCTTTAGAGGAAACCAAAGTGAAGCACTCCTAGCAAAGAATTTGATGTTATGACCATCAAAGCAAAAGTATAGCTCTATGGTTAAATAATTACTTAAAGGGTCACACCGTGGGCAGACCTTAAAAAACAGACTTAAGATATAACCCATATGGGCTATAAAGTATCTATAAAGGACCCTAAATGGAAACTCTGCTGTGTTGTGCATTTGACTTGGCACTAATAGGCCAGATATATTAACTGTTGGGTGAAATTAATGATAATATTGCATCTAAATTCTATGGGATGTTTCTTAAGGTTTTGGGTGTTAAATTACCCCTTCTAAAATCCAGTATTGAGGCTCGAACTAATCAATGTCTTCTTTTTCTTTTAAAAATTCTCTTGACCATATTGTTTCTATTACAAATGAAACATGAAGGTAGAAAGTAGAATAATAAGTTACAAGAAGTGGAGAAGGGAGTGTGTGTAGTGGAGGATGAGAGAGGTTGGTTAATGGGTACAATTATACAGTTAGGTAGAAGGAATAAGATCTAAGGTTGGATAGCACAGTAAGGTGACTTTAGTTAACAACAATATATTTTAGATTTTAACATAGCTGGAAGAGAGGACTAAAAATGTTCCCAACACAAAGAAATGATAAATACACGAGATGGTGGATGTCCTGAACACCCTGGTTATTATACATCCTATGCATGTAACAAAATATTACAGGTACCCAACAAATGTGTACAAATATCATATGTCAATAAAACAATTAAAAGTAAATAACTACAGAAAACAATACAAAGCTGGCAGTTCCTTCTTTTACAGATAGATGGCAAGCTCAAGTCCAAATAATCAGTTGAAGAAAAGAGAAGTTATGTAGATGGAAATGCTGGTCCAAACTAAGGGATGAGGAATAAATAGAGTTGTGGAATTATCCACTTCACCTGGTGATGTTGCGGGTTAAATGGGTACATGGCTAGGCAGAACAATGTAGAAAACCTACCTTACTTGTTCTTCTGACCAAGCCTTTTAAGGCTGTCATTTAAAATGGCTCTGAGTTCTGTTTCTTAGTTTTGTAGGATCAGAAAATCACATGCCAACTTAGCTTTCAGCTACTTATCTACAAACCCAAGTGTCTATTTATTTTTCAGTGGATGGACACTGCAGGGGTCTTAGCAAGTACCATCTCTCCATTTAGCTAACTACATAGGAAGCCTGAATAGAAATCAGGATTATGATTGGTGATCTTGAAGACAGAGCCAGGAGAGTGAGTTTTAATATCTGATGGTGTTGAGATGAGATAACTGATCTCGAACAGGGATGTGTCTGCTGAGCAAACTCAGCATTACTTGTTAGCTGGACAGGCGATTGGACAAAGCTGAGTGAGCACCTCTTCAATTTTTTTTATGCTTGATTACTCAGGTTTTCAGTTTTTAGACAGACTATTTTTCTTTTTTTTCCCCTCAGATGTATAAATAGCATTGAATCTGCAGTAGTGTTAGAAAGGTAATTATAACCCAACCATGTCTGAGATGACATTGTGATTTCTTAATAGAAAAAGCTTGTTGGGTCCCCACTTGCAAGTTGATTTTTCATAATTTAATTCTCAAAATGTCACCTTATTTCTTGGTGTAACCCAGATAAAACCTAGGTATCCTGGCAATCCAGTTTCAGCATGAAGTTATATTCAAAGGAACACAGGCTAGTTGGCCAAAGTAATTTCAGTATCCTTACTGGAATCTTCTGGAGAACATCAGAGGGGATTCATTTTATAAGCCACAGTAAAATATCTCAAGATTCTCTTTTCCTGATTTCCTGGCCTTAATATCTCAGCCTTTTCATTTTAAACTCTTGAACTTTAAACTGTCTCTGACCCCTTTCAGTGCTTTACTTCTTCATCTCTTCTTTCCTTTTCTCGATCATTTTTCCCCCTAAATAGCATCCCCACCCATTCCCTTTCCAAGTGCAACTATATAAAACAGTCTGTTTCTCGCAGTTTTTCAGTACTTTACCTCTTTCTCTGATTCTTCATTTCAAAAGCCTAGGAATCCTCTGGCAAAAAGTCACTTAAAAGGTTTGGGGCAAGGAAACAAGATTCCCTTTAGCTCACATGGAAGGAAGTCAAAGCTGAATTATCTTCATCTAGCAATAGAAAGAATAAAGATTGCAACGTTTACAATTTAATATATTTTCTTTACCCTCCTCTTGTCTAAATTCTGTGATCTCATGATGGCAAGAGGGCCTTGAGTAGGTCTTCTGGTCCCTTCCCACTGCTGTGCCCTGGGGCGCGAGGTATCAGCGCAAGCTAGAATGGGGGTTCAGTGGAGGAAAGGAAACACCCTATTTCTGCTTCTGACTACCTTCCCTGCTTAGCCTCTTTCCCTGTCTCCCTGTTTCTCACACACTCAGTTGGGACACCCACCTTGTCCACAGCCACAGCCTGGCATCTCCTAGTGCTCCAGTTGCAGCACAGTCAGCAGGAGAGAAGAGGGAGTCTCAAGGAGCAAAAAGGTGGAAATAGGCTTTCCTAACAACAGGTGCTTGCCATGTCTGTCTTCTCATCATATTTATTGAACAGAATGTGCTTCATTCTCTACGGGTGCTCTTTAACAATAGTTTACGTGTTATGTTACGAACATGTTATGATTATAACATGTTCTATCATGTTATAATCCTTCCAGAAAATACTTGCCAGGAAAATATATAATTTATAGAAAGTGAATGAAAGTGGCTTGTTAGCCTTCCCAGATAGTGGAGGAATCTGGAAGTCTTTCTAATGGATTGAGATCACGTCATTCCAGATGTCTCTTGAGGCACACTGCCCCGAATGGTTGCTACTGTCAGCTCATTATGCTTTTCCCTGGAATTTCCACTTCCCCCGCCTTTCTCCCCAGAATAAGCTTTCCATGATTCTTTCCCAGAATTAGCCTTTTCAACTCTTTCCTCATATGCATAGCAACAGTAATTTATTTCATGTGGGTTAATGTCTTTAGCATTAGGACACTTCTGGTTTTATGGACTGATGGCCAATGTGTTTTTAATAATGTATTTTGCTTCTATTGAAGTCATGAGTACAAATTCGTAATTCATTTGAATGAGGGATATGGACAAACAGGAACACAAGTGGAAGAGAGAAAAAAGAGGATAGTACACTCAGAGATACTCAGTAAGCATAAATTACATGTATTCATCATACAATATTCTAGGCTTTAGAGATGTGTCAGCCAAGATCCTTGTCCTCAAGGAGCCCATAGTTTGTTAGAGAGAGAAGATGTGTAAATAGTTAAGTGTATAAAGTGCTACAGTGCTTGAGGTCTAATGTAGAAAAATCCACAGCCTGTGGGGAGGGAAGAGAAAGGAGGGAGTGATGCAATCTATTTGGAGGGAACAGAAAAATCTTCTGTATTTGTCAGTACTCTTTGAGTTGTAAGTGGTAGAAACATCACTCAAACTAGCTTAAGAAAATGGGAGATTTATTAGTGTATATAATTTAGGAAGCCTGGGGATGGTTCTGGCTTCATGCATGACTAGATCTGGGACTCAAACAATGTAGTAGGACCCTTTTTTCTCTTTCAACTCTGCCTCCCTCTGCATGTTGACTTTATTTTCTTCAATGTAGATGCATTTCTTTTATGTGACTTGGAAAAATTGCTACTCAGAAGTACATCATCTCAGCTTAATCCTAGTGGTATGTTTTTTCACTTCTCTCCTGGTATCCGTGTGTCTGTCCCTAGAAATGTCTCTAACTGGTGTTTCTCAGTTCACTTAGCTATCCCTTGGATCAATAGCTATTGCAAAGAAACGAGGTAGCATGATTGGCCTAACCTGGCTCACAAACAAGTCCTAGTGGCAGGAATGAGCTAACCATGACTGGCATTTCCACCAGAGCCATTTACAGTGAGGGTAGATGTGTTTCCCCAAAGGAAAGAAGACTAGGCAGATCAAAATTGACAGATGTTCATTAAAGCTTCATGGATATTTAAACTGTGCCATCATAGATGAATTGTTTTTTGTCAAATGAAGCAGCAGTGCACATCGATTATTGTTAGAGGAAGCAATAAGAACAAAACTAAGAGGACATGAACCAGCCGGGAAGATCAGGAGACTGCAAGTAGTCTTTGAGGTTGGATCATGGTAGGGGGCCATGGCTTGAGATGAAGCTGTGAAATAGACAGGAGCCTCACTGGCTATGCTAGGGAACCTGCTCTTTGCACTGTAGGCAATGGGGAGACATCCTTGGTTTTAGGCAAGGGTCGGAGGTGGTCAGATTTCCATTTTAGAATATCACTCTGGCAGCAGTGTGGAGATTGAGTTGGAGAAGCCAAGAATGGATGCAGGGAGACTAATAAGGAAACCACTACAGTAATCCAGCTGGAGATAAGTTCTGTAATGTGCTAAAGATGCTAATATGGAATAGTCTCCATGTCCAGGTAGGAGATGAAGGAAGGAGGGTTAAGGCAATACTCAAGGTTATAGTGGGGAAGCAAAAGATGTGGAAACTGGCCAGCAGAATCAACATGACTTGGTCTTTCAAGAAAGTAAGTGTCTAGGATGACTTAGATTTCTGACTTAAGTAGTGTCATTTGCTGAGATGAAACATAGAAGAAGGAACAGGTGTGAAGGTAGAGGGTGGGGGATTGCTTGAGATGGTGACTGCATGTGTTTGAGTTTGGGGGAGTGACTATGAATAGTTGGCAGTTCAGTATAGGGATCTGCAGCTCAAAGGAGAGGTAGAGTTGTAGAGTGGATGAGAATGAAGGCCCGAAGAGTTACTGGTTTTGTCCTGGTTAAGGGAAGGAGAAATCTGGAAACCAGTGGGCTATCCCGGTGAGGAGCACAGCTCAGACCTCAGCCATCAAACAAGTATCAGAAACTGCAAGTGAGTTCCTTAATGGTGTCCTATGCAAACTTGTTGTCGTTTGACTCATATCTAATTCTGAGCGTAGGCTGGTTGCCTCTTGTCCACCTAGAAGTGACTTTAAGACCATCACTATGGGCTGGGTTCGGAGGCTAACACCTATAATTCCAGCACTTTGGGAGACTGAGGTGGGTGGATCACCTGAGGTCAGGAATTTGAGACCAGCCTGGCCAACATGGCAAAACCCCATCTCTAGTAAAAATACAAATATTAGCCAAGCGTGGTGACACACACCTGTAATCCCAGCTACTCGGGAGGCTGACACAGGGAAATTGCTTGAACTCAGGAAGCAGAGGTTGCAGTGAGCTGAGACTGTGACAACAGACTGAGACTCTGTCTCAAAAAAAAAAAAAATTCACTGTGAAAGGGAGCTCAGCTAGTCAAAGAATCCTGAAATAGCTGTGGATGCACAGTGGGTCCTTGTCATGGGGCCAGGCCCAGGGTCATCAGTTAGAATGCAGTTGTAAACATGCTAATGCTGCTGCCTGGTTGTATGTGCTAACAACTGCTTAGTTCCAAATTCTAACCCAATAAGGAGTTTCCTCAGGGGAAATGTATGACTACAGCACAAATGGGCTCAGCCTTACTGCTTTCCCACTGTTACCCCTTCCTGCACCAGCGCTCTTCTGGTCCGTGTGACTAAAAGCCAAAACACCACTTTGCCTAACCCCCCAGATCCTATTAGTTTTGAGTCTCATCAATTCTGTTTCTTCCATTTGTCCTTCTCTTTCCATTCTGATTGGTACAGCTCTAAGCTAGGAGGCTTGTTAGTTCATCCATCCTTACTGCACAACCAGGTGAATGGAACATCCTCCTAAGGCACTTAAATGATATTTGAATCCACAGGTCAGCAAACTAGGACCCGTGGGCCAAATCTGGCCCACTACCTGTGTTTGCAAATAAAGTTTTATTAGAACACAGCCACACTCATTCATTTAAATATTGTCCAGGACTGTTTTTGAACTACAATGGTAGCATTCAGTAGTTGCGACAGAGACTGTATGTCCCACAAAATCTAAAATATTTACTTTTGTTTTATAGGAAAAGTGTATCAGCCCCTATTAATCCACCTTATGTATGAATGCCAGATTAATGTTCCTAAAATGCCATTTCACCATATCATTCTGTAGCTTAGAACCCTGCAATGACATTGCATTGTCCATGCAATAAAATCTAAACTTCATGGCCCTCCATGGTATAGTCCTAGCCAATCTGTTGAGTCATTGATCTCTGTTCCTAAAGGCAAGCCCTACAACCAGTTAGATTTTCCTCCTCATTGTCCCTGGAATATGCAGTGCATTTCTACCCTTGTTCACCTAGTTCCTTTTGCTTGGAATGTATTGCCCATTTGTATCTACCTAAATCCTACTCATTCCTTTTTTTTTTTTTTTTTTTTGAGACAGAGTCTCACTCTGTCGCCCAGGCTGGAGTGCAGTGGTGTGATCTTGGCTCATGGCAACCTCTACCCACTGGGTTCAAGTGATTCTCCTGCCTTAGCCTCCCAAGTATCTGGGATTACAGGCATGTACCACCACACCTGGCCAATTTTTATATTTTTAGTATAGATGGGGTTTCGCCATGTTGGCTAGGCTAGTCTCAAACTCGTGACCTCGGGTGATCCACCCACCTCAGCCTCCCAAAGTGCTGGGATTACAGGTATGAGCCACTGTGTGCCCGGCCCTAAATCCTACCCATTCTTAAAGGACTAACATGAACTCTACATCCTTCATGACCATGTCAGTTACAGTGATCACCAATGAGCCTGCTGCTTGAGCATGTAAAGGTCCACTGCCCATACTGCCTGGTAAGTTTTCTTCTGCTCAGAGAATGGTTCACCAATATGATGATGGGCAACTCTGGAGTGAGGACTTTCTGATGGAACAAAGTCACAGCTGTGGGAAAGCCTGGGAATGGTTTGGAAATGACAAGACATGTAATGAGAACACATGACACTCAATTAATATTTGTGGAAATCTTGAGTCATCAGCCTCTCATATCTATGACATACATCTTGGTTCTGTATTTAAATGTAGGACAACTACATATCTTGATAGCCAGTGGGAATGACTGACAAAGTCCAGTAAGTCTACTCTTGAGAGATTCTAGAATGTAGAGATAGCAGCTGGACCAGGAAGCCCTAGCTTTATCATGTGCCATCTCTGAGATGGTGGATGTGGGCTGTTCCCACTGTGCCTCACTTTTCCCATCCACTGTCATATATTTTATGGTCTTGCACACACTCTGGGATTAAGTAACATCAATTATGCACCATTGATTGGAGTTCTTTGGTAAATGGTACTACATTCCTAAAATATTCATGTGTCTTACTTTGTCAGGGAGATTATATCCGTGACTTAGATATCATATTCTAGTGGCTTAAGATTATGAGCTAATATTTTGTAAGGTCTGGGCATTGCACAGAAAACCTTGGTTGTAATACACATTATTATTACATTGATTTGAATAGCAATGGTACAATCATAGCCCCGGAAACATAGCGACTACATAAAATAAAAGCTTCCGTTAACACTGAGCACAGCAGCCAGGCTTCCGCATTGTTGTTGTCCCTAGGATTTGGCTGTTGTATTGTCAAATGCCATTATGTCTTATCTAATAAGTTTCTCCCTGCATATGTGAGTAAACGAAAATGCTCCAGTATAGTAAATGTCTCAGCAAACCACTCCTGTACGCTTTGGAAACAGAACATTAACAAGGAAACTATCATGAGAGCAGACCTTTCTGTTCTCATGAATCACATTCATATGATGTTTATTGTCCACATTGGAGAAGTATAGAGAAGAAAAATATGAAGGGTACACTCTAATGGAAAGGTTATAGTGGAAATGCAAGGAAAATATATCCCTTTACAACCAGCTTCTAGGCATTACCTAGAAGTAAAATTATGACAATAAGACTAACAGCAAATAACATTGAGCACTTACTCTGTGCCAGGTATTGTTCTAGGCCTTTTACGTTACATCATCTTATTTAATCCACTCCACAACTAAGTGGTTTGGATGCAGTTATTATCTCCACTTTATGTACGAGAAGACCAAGACCCAGGGAGGTAGAAGAACTTGTCAGAAGTCAGACAGGTAGTGAGTGGTAGGGCTGGGAGTTGGACCCGGACAGACAGATTCCAGATTTCATATTTATCGTAACCTCAGCTGCCCCACCCACATGAAATGCTACCCCAAGGCTAGTGGCAGCAAATATAACCCATTTCATTTGCATTGTTTGGTATGTCCAACTGGGTGATTTGTCCTACAAAATTTGAAACAACGTCTGCTTATTTATGTCTGTGATTTTGATCAAATAAATCTCACCCAGAATTTCCCACTGTCTTATTCTATGGTATTTGCAGTTTGTAAGAACCTCTGTCTTTTGGATTGAGACGTTTTTATTCTTTGTGTCCAAATTAACACTGCACAGAACATGGTTCTCTGTGTGTGTGTGTGTGTGTGTGTGTGTGTGTGTGTGTGTGTCTGTGTGTGTGTGTAGAAACCGTCTTTTCTTTTGGATTAAATTCTTGCAGCCTGGCTGAGTGAGGAGAATTTCTCCCACTCTTCGAGCCTACAGCAGACATGTTAGGAGAATGCTGCTGCTTGCAACACACCCAGAGACGGTGGGGCAGGTGACACTGCGTGTGTGCCCGGTGTCTCTGGAAGTGTCTATACAGATGTGTGCTGCTGCTGCTGCTGCTTTCTGCCTTAAAATTTCTGGAGCCAACACCCACCCACTCTTACAGCCTCTGTCTCTTTATTTTCAAGGAAAAAAGAAAGAGGCAGACTGAAATAGAAGGCAAGCGACAACAGCTTGACGAGCAGATACTTCTGCTGCAGCATTCCAAGGTAAGCAGCTGATCCCAGGAACCTATTCCATTATTAGACATGCAGATCACACTCCGGAGAGCTGGGCAGTGCCTGCCCTGCCGTGAAGGCGCTGCCGCCAACCAAACCAGCCTTTTTCATTCAATCAGGAAACCATCTCTTGGCTTTTCTTGTGAATTTCTCAAATTCAGGGCATTATTACAGCATTCCAATTTCTGCAAGCATAAGATTACAGTGTGCATGTGGACAGGGTGGAGGGTTTGTGCGTGTGAAGTGTGGTGGCTATATATAGAAATTGGATGAGAATACTTCACAGGGTGGGTGAGGCAGCATTTCAGGATTGTTTCTCCCATGCATAGGTGCTGGGTGTGTTTGCTCAGAGACCCCAAAAGATATATTTCACGGAACGTTCTTTTTATTCACTTAAAAATATTAGTATTTCCTTTCTTGATATGGAGAAAAGGGAGATTAAACGATGTGATCTGATAAAAGAACAACACTGTGTATTTCAGATTATTCATTTATTTTATTTGTACTTTAACAATTTTGAAAGTGTTCTGTGAGAGCAAGCAGTTGGTCAAAGATGGCTTTGAAATGATTTGACTCAGACGGGTCTCCATGGTACCATCTAAAAAGAGAGAGAGAGAGAGACAGCACACAAGAGCTGTTTATTTTTTCTTTAAAACATGATGCACTTAAGCATCGTAATTGATTACAGCTCAGGAGAAAGCTCTGTCACTGTCACAAGGACCCCACTGGTTGCAGAATGTTGCTTTTCACATGTTCAGAGAATAATGTGACCACATTCCAATGGCCAGCCGGGAGTTGTTGCTTGCCTTTGACTGCTCCTGGGCTTTTTGGCAGGAAAACCTTCTCCTGCTTACCTCATGTTGCTGTGACATTGCCTGCACAGAGCTGCATTGCTCAGAGGACTGGGTGGGAAGGTGGTGCTGACTTTCGGGGTGATGCTCGGTATGAATTATCTAGATTTTTTTCAACAAGATAAACCTTTATGGCTACTTTTCCTGTCCTTTTCTAGAAAACAGGATTGTGCTAAATGAATACCCAAAATGAGAACCATCAGCAAGCGAGTTACTGATTGAAAATAGCAGCATGACCTATATCTGCTTAGCATGTTTATCAGTTTTTGCCATTTACCTTAACCAGAGAAATGTGCTTAAAAGGAAGAAAAGCAGCATGATACTAAGGATATTGCCTGTTTCTCTCTGTTCATCATATAAATTCATTGACAGATCTTTCTTTGTAGGAGCTTGCTCTGTATCCCCGGTGCTGTTGCTCTTTCCCCACAACATTCCTGAGGGAGGATGGAGGGCTAAAATTAGTATCCTCTTCTCACAGAGAGGGGGCCTTAAAAACACCTAATAGAACTGAGTGAATTGTTCAAGGTCAATCTGCACAGAGCTAGGTCTCTGGCTCAGAGTACAGTCCATTCAGTACGGTGCTTGTAAGAGACCAACATGTACTAAAACCTCAGTGAATTTCTGGTTAAAGGTGAACTTTTAAATAAGAGGACCGAATGAAAAAAGAGAGGCTGCTTTGGGCTAGACAGCCTCACTTTAAGCTCAACGTAGTTCTTTGCTTTTGTATTCCCTGAATCCAGTCAGGGAATAAACATATGTCAAAACATCAAGGGATTTTTTTTCTTTGGTCTCCCTTCTCATGATCCTGGGTGCCAAATAAGATACCAAGGGCTCATTTATTGCTGATGTCCAGTGCAGTATTAGTATATTCTGTTCATATTACATCTATTCATTTTTTTATTTGTTTGTTTGTTTGAGATGGAGTCTCGCTCTGTCGCTCAGGCTGGAGTTCAGTGGCATGATTTCAGCTCACTGCAAGCTCCGCCTCCCAGGTTCACGCCATTCTCCTGCCTCAGCCTCCTGAGTAGCTGGGACTACAAATGCCCGCCACCACGCCCAGCTAATTTTTTTTTTTTTTTGGTATTTTTAGTAGAGATGGGGTTTCACCATGTTAGCCAGGATAGTCTCGATCTCCTGACATTGTGATCCACCCGCCTTGGCCTCCCAAAGTGCTGGGATTGCATATTCATTTTTCGTCTATGCATCCATTCATCCATCTTTCCATCCATCCATCCATCCATCCAATCAACAGAAACAACAGTAGAAATTAACTTGGTCTTGTATGCGGAAGCAGTGAGGTTTTTCTCAAGGACTTGGAAACAAGGGAATCAGCTAGTTCTTTATGGCTATCTTGGTAAAATTCTCACACAGTTGATGAGATTGGCTATCTGAAGGAACACCCAACACTCGCACCATGGCAACCTTGCTATTGCAGGGCAGGAGGTGGGTGAGGTGGGGAGGACTGGAGGTGATGGTAACTTACTAAGTGGAGGTGAGTGCATTGTATGTCTCTGGGAAAGGCTTGTGTGGACAGAATGAGGGTGAGTTATTTGCCTTGAATACTGAAAAAGGAAAGCTCAGAGGTTCCAAAGGTGGCAGTGGTTGTCTAGTACTATCTGCAGAGAGACCCCCAGCTTTGGGAGGTCCTGAATTTCTGTATGCTGGTGAGGTGGGGTCAGTGGTAAGGTGAGGAGGGTCCTCAGGCCACAGTGAGGCCCAAGTGAAACTTCCCTCAGGACCTTGCCTCTCTTTGTTCTGAATTCATCCTCCCTATAATTATTCAGTTATTTTGATATGAGGAAAGGGTTGCCTGATTGAAGGATATGATCACTTTAGGCACTAGGAAGGAATATGTTTCACTTTAAATCAATAAACTGGTGACTGAACTTGAATAGCATGGGACTTTTTCCCTGTAATCATCCAGTTTGCAGCCTAGTGGCCTCGCCCCTGGATGGAAGTACATTCGTGGAGGTTATATTTTCTTCTCTGTGAGCCTCTCCAAGGAGTCAGCCAGTTTTCTCCTGGTAGCCTGTTAGCCACCGTCAGTAACAGTCACCATTTTTTTGAGTGCCTAACACGTGCCTGGTACTTTAAACACATACCCTCAATAATGACCACAAGACAGTTATTACTCTGTCTTACAGCTATGGGAACAAACTCATGAGGTCAAGTGATTTGCCCAAGACCATAGAGACTATAAATGAGGGAGCCTGAGAGAAACTCCTGGGCTGTCTGCTTTCAAAGACCGAGCTCTTTCCAGGCCACCGTTCTCTTTGAAAGAAATGTTTCCTTTGGAATAATTCATTTAGTGAGATGCCAGTTACCATCATTGCTGTCTCTCTTACTCTAAATATATTGTGATGGACTCCAGAAAATTTAGATCATGTGGAGACATGTCACAGTGATTATTGAAGTTCCTTGAAGTAGAGAATATTAGGAAATATGTCAGTAATCAATATTTGTTTCACTAATTTGCAAAATCCTAGATATTCTCTAAGAAAAAAATATTCTCCTTGCATTAGAGTTAGTTGTCATGTTTATAAGATATAATTTTCATATTCTTTATATAATTCTCATATTCTATGTCTTAAGATAAAATTCTCACATGTGGCAATTATCAGATAGCCTGTGGACACTTATTCTCATGCAATGAGATGAATTATTTAGACAGATTCACCTGTCTGTGGTCAAAGCAAATAAATAGAATGCAAGATAGTAGTTTTGGCATTCATATATATTTTTAGAAGACTTACTTATTGCAATATTTAGGAACATATAGTGAGCAACTCTACAAAATGGAATATCATCACTTTGTATATGGACTTCGAGCAAATTCCACAATACAGTAAAAGACTAAAGTATAAAATGGTAAAATACTAACTGCTACATCCCAGTGATTAGGAAACCTCAAGATACTTTGAACTCCAGGCCAAATTAAACTCAGATGTATTTTTAAAGCATCCTTAGCTATACGTAGTGTGGTGTAATAATTTCTAAGCATTACAAGTAGAACTAGTAAGCAATTTTTATAGCTATATTATTTTTGATGATTACAAAAGGAAAGAATGTATAATCATTGCAAAAACTAAATTAAAAAGTACAGCAAAATATAAAGAAAAAACATATGTACTCTATACTTACCATTCAGATAGAACCCATGCAGAGGTAAATCCTTCTATACTTTTTTCCCCGATATATTTCTGTAGATTAAGATATGTAACCATCATTCACAGGGCTCACCAACCTGTGGGTAAAATGAAATTATATTAACATTAGCATTGGAATAACATTAACCTTTACCTCTTTTTTATGTGGGTTCTTTTTAATACCCATACAAAAACTTATAATTTTTATAAAATCCCATGGAGCATTCTTTTACTTTAGGATAACTGACTTTGATGTCTTCCTTGAAAAGAATGTCTCCATCTCAAACTCTTAGCTATTATGTTTCTTATACTTCAATAGCATTAATTCATCTAGAATTTATTTACAGACGAGGTATGCAGTAGGAATATAACTTTACTTTTTACTGATGCTGAGCTGCTTGTCTCAATGTGATTTATTGATTAATTCATCCTTTCCTTCACTGATTTAAATGTCTTCTTTATCACCTACATATTTCTGACTTACATTTGAGTCTACCATTTATGGATTATTTTTATTCCATTAATCTGCCCATTCCTGTGCCAGTATTGTTCTCATTTAATCCCTATAGCTTTTTAATATATTGTAATATTTCATAAGACAAGAACTATCATTATTCTTTTGAAAAATTGTCTTGGCTTTTTATTTCATAGGAACAATTATTTATTTTTATTGTTTTTATAATGAGACTTGTGATGATATGGATTTTTTTAAAATAAATCAGCTACTATATCATACTAGAGCAGAAGGAATTTAATATTTCCTTCTGTCCCTTGGTTGAATTGCCAGAGATTTGTCTATTTTATTGGTCTGTTCAAAGTCCCAGCACAGAGTAGGCACTGAGTACCTACTGCAACATGAATTCCTTGGAGACTGTCATATTTACAAAGGTTTGCCTGACAGAGTTGGCCCTGTCAGAATCAAATTGCTAATACCACGTCTTCAATACATAAACTGCCTTTGAATTACTTATTCATGAGCGGGGAACCCTCACTAGAGTTTTCTTCTAATCCAAGCTATAAAAATTGTCATTATATTTGGAAGACCACAGCCTTTTCTTCCAAGAAAGCTGAATGAAAAAAGATGAAAGGCTGAATTGTGACCCTGTGAAATATTTGTTGTCAACCCACTAAGGTCATTTGCTGAAGAGCCTGAAGGTATCAGAAGACTTGCTACAAAGATATTACAGTGTCTTTCCCGGTTTTGAACATTTAGCACTAATTTTAGACTTTTTCTTGTTACTGGGATGTGTGAAAGACTTATTTCAAATTTTAAAATATTGAACAGATAGGCACAGTACACAGTGTAAAGTAACCTTAGATCTCCTCCCTTGTTTCCATACCCAGAGCTTGAATGGAAGTTAAAACCTGATTTCTTCTATCAGAAGTCTTGGGTCGGCTTCTCCCTGGGTGGACTGAAGCATATAACAAAATCTCAAAACCAAACCAAGATCTTATTTATTGAGAGTCAAGAAAGAGGAAGGAAAGAGTGGGAAGGATAGGGGAAGAGAAAGAGGGACAGGACACAGATAAATGACTGAAAACACAAACACAGCTATTGCCTCATGCTGAGTTTAACCCACTTTCTGTTAGAAAACTGAATTTAGGCCAGGCGCAGTGGCTCATGCCTGTAATCCCAACACTTTGGGAGGCCAAGGCGGGCAGATAACCTGAGGTCAGGAGTTCGAGACCAGCCTAGCCAACATGGCAAAACCCTGTCTCTACTAAAAATACAAAAATTAGCTGGGCTACTTGGGAGGCTGAGGCAGGAGAATCACTTGAACCTGGGAGGTGGAGGTCGCAGTGAGCCAAGATCACACCACTACACTCCAGCCTGAGTGACACAGTGAGACTCCATCTCAAATTAAAAAATAAAATAAAATAAAATAAAATAAAATAAAATAAAATAAAATAAAATAAAATTGAATTTAGCCATATTCCAACCATCATCCACTAGAATAGCCAATATCAGCTTCAGCCAGATTACAAATGAATGAAAGATCCAGAGTAAAAAGTAAAATCATGAAAGTACACAAAGGAATCACAGGTGAATATTTTTATAGTGAGGGTAAGGAAGTCTTATCTATGTATGACATCAAAGCCAGAATGTGCAAGTAAAAAAGATTGCCAGTTATGACTTTATAAAAATAACAAACATCTGACCAGGAAACAACAGGAGACTTATTACAAGTTCTCATTCACCTCCTACTTCCCCAATCTGCCCCACCCAGCCTCTCCAGACATGCCTCACTCTTCACCGGGGTCACCTCAAAAAGTGGTATCTAGGCTGGGCACAGTGGTTCATGCCTGTGATCCCAGTACTTGGGAGGCTGAGGTGGGAGGATCATTTGAACCTAGGAATTCGAGACCAGCCTGGGCAACATAGATTCCATCTCTACAAAAATAAAATAAAAAATAAAGGAAAGTAAGAAAAGTGACTTCATTGCAGTTACCTTAGCTGTAGATGAAAAAGATTGGGTTAGATGATCTCTGTGATCTTTTTTTAGCTTTAGTGATCCAAGATTTTATATTTGCTAAAGTACAGTGTATGTGCATGATTTTCCAAGAATTCCTCACATGTCAGCCTCCGTGGATGAATAAAAGATACAGTCCTGACTGTGAGAACTCAGGGGCAAGTGGGGGAGAGAGAGCATCAATATGGAACCCACCATTAGAGGAGCTGAAAAATAGTTTTCCATGTTATGAAGTGGATCAGTGGCACCTGATGATTTTGTAAATCCTATTTGAGCAAAAAAGAAAAAAGGATTCTTGGGTGATCTTACACAGAGGCAAGATAGTAGAGTGTACCTCTTGGCTTCAAATCCCAGATCTACAGCTCACTCGGTGTGATACCATGGATAAGTCAGTTAATGTTAGCACCTACCTCATGGGATGCTTGTGAAAGTTAAGTGGATTTACATGTAAAGCACATAAAGCAGTAAGAGTTCTATAAGAATTATCATTATTGTCACCATCATCACCCAGTACTATGGCTGCAAATACCATTTATGTATATATGACTGCCAAATTGAGAATCCCAGTCTTCCATGTTCAACTGCTTTTCTGACATGTCCGCTTAGATGGATGTCACTTTCATTTAGAAGCCTCTGAAACTTAACATGCCCAAAATGAAAGATTTTATTTTCTGCTTTTCTATCATTTGTTCTACTCTTCCCTGTCTCCAGTTGATGATACCACTATTCACCCTTTCACTCAAACCAAATATCTATGCATTGCCCTAATCCTTCCCTTTTTCTCAGCCCACATCTAATCTGTTACAAGTCACACTGATTCTACCTCCAGAATGTACCACCATGCCTTTTGATTCTTCTGTCTCTCTTCTGTTTCAAGCTAATATTCTCTGTCACTTGAACCATGCAATAAACTCCCATCACTTGTACTTTGTAATCCTGCCCCTTGCAATGTGTTCTTCCTATTGGGCTTAGAAGACACAGCAAACTCCTTAACAAGGCTACAGAATCCTACCTAATCTGGCCCCTGCCTTCTTCTCCATCTTCAGTTTGTTCTGCCCTCCCACCCCAACCTCACTTATTATGGTCCAGCCACTCGGGCATTTGTTCCGGTCCACAAACACACCAAACTCTGTCCTACCACCAGGCTGGTACATTTGCCAGTCCCTCCACCTGGAACACCCCTCCGGATCTCAGATCTCAGCTTGAATGTTCAAGTCATCAGAGAGACCTTTCCCACTTTAAATGTCCTCCCCTGGTCCCTCTTTGTCACATTGTCCTGTCTACCTCTTCCTAGGCAGCATCATAGTCTGAGATTATCTTGCATCCTTGTTTATTGGGATGAAGGCTTGAGTGAGAGTAGGGACTTGCCTGTCTTCCTGAGCTGTGACTTCAGGGACTGGCAGAGTTCTTGGCACCTAGGAAAGGGATAAGAGAGCCACTGCTCCTGAGTTGGGGACACAGAAGGAGAGGATGGGGAGTTCTTTTAGATTATGGTGTTTGACCAGCCATTGAGAAAGCTTGTGTATTCTTCAAGCATTTGGATAGTCATAGGTCCTCATGCTGTGCTACTCAAATCGTGGTCCTCAGTCTGGCATTGCCAGTGACAGCATCACCTGGGAGGTCGTTAAAATTCAAATTCCCAGGCCTTATGCGAGACTTAGAGAATCTGCATCTCCATGGGTGGGTCCTGGAATCTGTGTCTTAGGAAGTTCTCCTGGTGGTCCTTATGCATACTGAAGTTTGGGAAACTCAGTTCTTGCTTTTTGTTTTCCAAAGCTGGCCAGGCCAGTAGAGCCAGAAACAGATTTACTTTGGGAGTTCCTTCTGTCCTCCTTTCAGAAGCCCCTGTCAAGTTTCCCTTTGTCCAGCTGCCAGCTCCCCACCTGCTCCTTCCTTGTATTGACTTGCCATGATGACATTCGTTTGACAAATGTGAAGTTTGACAGTCCTTAGCACCTTGGGAGGAGTTTGAGACCAGCCTGGCCAACATGGTGAAACCTTATCTCTACTAAAGCTATGATACTATGTTAGCTATGATACTTTTTTTTGATGTATGTTATTTAGACAATAAAGGCCACAAACAGAGAAAAGTTTTTTTTAATTTTAATTTTTTTATTTCTATTGAGCTCTGCTTCCGCTAAATTCTGAAACACTGAGGCAGCCAATACAAGCTAGCACAGTATAGGGGACCCTGTGCTTTGGATGGTGCACTCAGTATACACCATTCCATTTGGAGACATGTTGGAGACAACATAAGGGGGATCTGGAGTCAGTTAAGGAAGCCTTTTGAATTGGTGATTTCCCCTGAAAGCATGACTTTGGAGCCAAGTAGAAAATCAACTATGCTTTTTCGGCTTCTTAAAAATGTCTAAACACCTTTGTGAAACAGGATTCTCTGAGACCAGGCCCACTGCCTTTTCCAGTTTTTTTTCTTTCTTTCTTTTTTTTGAGACAGAGTCATGCTCTGTTGCCCAGGTTGGAGTGCAGTGGCGTGATCTTCGGCTCACTGCAACATCTGCTTCCTGGGTTCAAGCAATTCTCCTGCCTCAGCCTCCTGAGTAGCTGGGATTACAGGTGCTCGCCACCACACCCAGCTAATTTTTGTATTTTTAGTAGAAATGGTGTTTCACCATTTTGGCCAGGCTGGTCTCGAACTCTTGACCTCAGGTGATCCACCTGCCTTGGCCTCCCAAAGTGCTGGGATTACAGGCATGAGCCACCACACCCAGCCCCACTACTGCCTTTGTCTGTTGGAGCCTCTCTTCCTGGCTCCTCCTGTTGGGATGTTCTTAATGATGTCATGCCTATATCAAGAAAAGAGATGGAAGTAGAGGGACATGCACCTCTGGGTGACCAGAGTCACCAGGCTGCTCTGGCCAGAGCTACCTGCTGATGGTGGCAGCTAAGTTGGTGAGAAGTGAGGGGCTAGACCCTTCATGTGATGGCAGGAGGCACTGTGTGAAGAACAGCAGAGAGAACATTCCAAGAGCAGCCATTTACGTTGCAAGAAGTTGTGGCTGCAGAACATCCCTGCTGGTGTGGAGACAGCCAGGACTGTCCATGGCTGCTTTTCCAGAAGGGTCCACACCAACGCCAAGGCTTCCAGGATGTCTATCCCCCAGAATCCTAAGGTTTTTACTATCTGTGGTTTGGACATCTTTAGCACAGGAAGCACCCTGAAAGTGTGGTCCCTACCCCTCCCAAATAATTAGAGAGAAGGAAAGTTGAGAATTTCCCAGTTCATCCATTTACTCATTCATTATAGGGAATTGGGCTACAATTCCATTGACTGAATGAATAAATGGATGAATTGGGAAATTCTAGGTGACACAGTGAATGTGAAGGTGGATAAAGGACAGTCCTAGCCTTCCAGGAACCAGCAGGCTACAGGGGGAACAGATGTAAAAAGAAAGAATTTGAGGATAGTATGAAAGGGCCATAGAGTGTGTCTCAGAGCCAGTAGAGGTGGAAGGCTTCTCTGGTGGTATTTTACTTGTTCTTTCTTAGGTAAATAAAGCAGAGGCCAAGGGAACAGGATGGACAACAACAATAGTAAACATTTCTATAGTACTAAGTATGTGTGTGGCCCTTTTAGCCTATAAACTCCTTTAATCCTCATAACAACCCTCTGAGCTGGGCACTGCTATTTTCTCCATTTTACAGATGAGAAAACTGAGGCTCAGTGAGGCGAAGGAGCCTGTCCAAGCTCACTCAGCTGGTAAATGGCAGACTGGTTCCAGAGCTCAGGCTGTTAGCCACTGTTCAGCATGGCCTCTTGCAGTCTCTACCCTCTTCCTGAGAGTAAATTTCAGAGCCAAGTTATAGTTCAAGAAAAGCAAAGCAATAATCATTCTTCTACTTCAGAATTGCTACCAATGAACAATTTATTTTGTGCCTACAACAGATTAAGTATCTGAATAAAAATATAAAAACATGAATTGATTAAAAAATGGCCTCTCATAATGTGCAAAACAGGGTCTGTCGGGGAAATTTTGAGAGGTTTTTGTGGAGAACAATGGTTCTGAATGTTTTGTAGAAAGAGCAACCGATTTGCCCCACCCTTTCCCACTTTCCAATGGAAAAGAATCTCTGATAAAGCTTTGATAAGCAACCAACGTAAGCAAATTGTACTGCCCTCTTTTACACATGATTTTATACTATCATACGATGCCCTATAATGTAAAAACTGTACATTTTAATACCTACCCTGGTGGTAGATGCACACTATTTATACAGAGCACATTCAACAGGCAGCATGTCACCAGTGATGCATAGCTGTTTACGCATATTGAGGTGTGGGGGTGGATCCTGTCTATAATCACTGTAAGAGTATAGTTAGGAATAATTCTATGTGAACAAACTCAAGTCTTTAAGCCTAATTATTAAAAAATTACAGGTCAAGTACCATAAATTTGCCTATGTGCTGCAAGAGTAATCAAAGAGATCTCTACAAACAATGATTTGTAATGAAAAGGCAAGAATAACATCAATAAAAACCATGGTCACCTGAACCCACACTGATGATGTATTGTCAACACAGAGTCTCTCCTGGAAGTGCAGGAATTCCAGGTTGATTGAACTTGCTCCTGGGCATGGAGCAGGGTGTCTACAGCACCAGATGACCCCTGGACTTCTCAATAGAATGGTGAATCAGGACCATTAGTGAAGTCTAACTTACTAATACTAAGTGTTGGTAATTTTTTTTTGAGACGGAGTTTCGCTCTTGTTGCGCAGGCTGGAGTGCAGTGGCATGATCTCAGCCCACTGCAACCTCTGCCCCCCAGGTTCTAGTGATTCTTCTGTCTCAGCCTCCCAAGTAGCTGGGATTACAGGCGCATGCCATCACACCTGGTTAATTTTGTATTTTTAGTTGACATGGGGTTTCTCTATGTTGGTCAGGCTAGTCGCGAACTCCTGACCTCAGGTGATACGCCTGCCTTGGCCTCCCAAAGTGTTGGGATTACAGGCGCGAGCCACCGTGCCCAGCCCAGTGTTGGTTATTTTTAAAGACTCATCAGTTCATAATAAAATGCCCTTAATGCCGCATACAAATGAGAGTCTATGGAATTGTGCATCCTTCGCTCATAAGAGCTTCAGGGAGTGCTCCAAGCCTCCATTCCCTGGCTCTCAGTCTTTAGAAGAGTTCTTTCCTTTCACCTCGCTCACCCTGCCTGATGAGATCAAACGAAATTCTGGACAGAGGTGATGCCAGTGAGCCAGGGAGCCAAAGAGCCAGGTCTTTATTCTGTGTTAGGTGGCTTAATAGTCATTGCTCCTGCTGTTCCTTTCGTTGCTTACTATTTCTGGGAAGAATTGTTCATGTGCCCTGCATCCTCACTGTGGTCCCCTCTGGTGACCACTGACCTGCCCATGGGCATGGTCACTGGTCCTTAGCCATGATGTACAGGGTCAGTAGCTGCTGCCGTCTGCCATCTAGGGACCATATAAGTGGAACCTGAATCAAAATTATCCTCTCACATCTACCTCTCCTTGCTCTTCCTTTTAGGGAATTTCAACATGCTTTTTTCTGGAACTGTTTTCATTTCCCTTCTCAAAGCAGTAATTGCTGCCTCCGAACCATTGACCTGAAACAAAAGCTTTTTATTCCACTGTACTGTATCGTAGTACACTTGCAAACATGGGATGTATGGTTTTTTTTTTTTTTTTTGACAGGGTCTCGTTCTATCACCCAGGCTGGAGTGCAGTGGCACGGTCACAGCTCGCTGCAGCCTTGACCTACCTGGCTCAAGCGATCCTCCCACCTCAGCCTTCCCAAGTAGCTGGGACTACAGGCGTGCACCACCACACCCAGCTAATTGTTTAATTTTTTGTAGAGACAAGGTCTCACTATGTTGCCCAAGCTGGTCTACAACTCCTGGAATCAAGCAATCCTCCTGCCTCAGCCTCCCAAAGTGTTGGGATTACAGACATCAGCCACGGTGCCCATCTAGGGGCATATGATTTTTATAACATTTGGAGATTATTACTGAAGATGATTGGGAGTCATTAAAGAAGGGAGTCATTGAAGAAGAGTCTTGACAATCTTTTTAAAACACTTTAATATGGACCAGATATTAGGTGGTCTTAGGAAGTTTTTTAATTAAATTACAGTTGCATAGAAAAATGTTCTTAATTTTTAGAGACTCATACTGACATATTGTTGGGTAAAATATGGTTGTTATTTAGTTTAAAATCATTTGATGAGAAACATATGGGAAAATATGGCAAAATGTTCATAATTGTTAAATCTAGATGAGGTTACATGGTCATTCATTATACAGTTCTATTTTTAAATTTTTTTAATAATAGAAAATGATATAGAGATAAATCTCCTTGGGTGTTGATCTAGAGGGAAGTAGGGAGCCATGTTAGTGAGGAGGTGAAGGCAGCGATTCAGGCAGCGCTGGTGAGGGGTGGAGCTAAAACAGCACCACTGCAGAGGGAGAGGACAGTGTGGACTGAAAAGTATCATCTTGTCTGTTGTCTTCCCTCACTTCCACAGTCCAAAGTGCTTCGGGAGAAATGGCTGCTGCAGGGCATACCCGCTGGAACTGCCGAAGAGGAGGAAGCCAGGAGGCGGCAGTCTGAAGAGGATGAGTTCAGAGTCAAGCAACTTGAAGATAACATTCAGAGGTAGGTGGCTTCCAGCCCAGGGAACCCATGCTACAGTTTTTCAGTGCAGTAACCACTGCTCTCCTCTAGGTGGCCTTTCTCAATACTGTTACCTTCTCCTGTACTTGAGAATTTTCTTCCTAAACAAAGCACATTGATGTTGTTTAAACTTTTCCAGATGACCCAGAGTTATGACACAGAGTACTAATAATTTTTTATTTTTATTTTTAACTTTTATTTTAAGTTTAGGGGTACAAATACAGGTTTGTTACATAGGTAAACTTGTATCGTGGGGATTTGTTGAACAGATTATTTCACCACCCAGGTATTAAGCCTAGTACCCGTTAGTTATTTTTCCTGATTCTCTCCCTCCTCCCTCCCTTCACCCTCCAAAAGGCCCCAGTGTGTGTTGTTCCCTTCTACGTGTCCGTGTGTTCCATCATTAGTTCTCACTTATAAATGAGAACATGCAGTATTTGGTTTTCTGTTCCTGTGTTAGTTTGGTAAGGATAATGGCCTCCACCTCTATCCATGTCCCTACAAAGGACATGATCTCATCCTTTTTTGTGGCTGCAAAGAGTACTAATTATTGCACTGGGCTGTAATACAGCACAGTGATGGCTTCATGGGCCCACAAGGTGTTGTGAGCAGCTTGCCCCTTCACTAGGTGCTC
This sequence comes from Homo sapiens, assembly GCF_000001405.40. Lineage (NCBI taxonomy): Eukaryota > Metazoa > Chordata > Mammalia > Primates > Hominidae > Homo > Homo sapiens. The sequence continues at coordinate 109,881,334 of NC_000009.12, forward strand.
CCTTTGAGTTCTTATATTAGCTTTCATCTTTTTCCTCCTTCGGGTCAGGTTGTTAGCTGTTATTGCTGCTGTAGTGAGTCTGTTTTCAAATTTGCTGTATTTGGTCAATTCGAAATGTGAAAACTGTAGTCAACAGTCTTGGGATTGAAATGAAGAGTGTGGAAGTGCTGAGTGAGAGCACCTCTGTAGGTTATGTGCCCGTGCTCTAAAAATTAACTTTGTATTGTCTGCTTTCACTGCTCAGAGAGTGGTTTCTTTATGGTTCTCAACCAGGATCTGATCACTTCAATCTGGGAGATAAGCGACCTGTCTGTGGGCAATAACTGGCCAGGCTCACACAAGAGCAATAATGTAGGTTTTTACTTGGGAGCTATAGCCACTCCAGGTCCCAGGACACCTAGCCAGAGAGATATGAGATAGGGATGGAAGGTGGTAAGCATAGATGCCTTAGAACCAAATCTGTCCCTCCAACCCATCCCACCAAATTCTACCTGAAATCTCACCACCTGGAGCTTCATCTCTGTCTTCTGAGCTTATGAGCTCTTTTTTTTTTTTTTTTTTTTTTTTTTTAGATGGAGTCTCGCTCTGTCACTAGGCTGGAGTACAGTGGCACAATCTTGGCTCACTGCAACCTCCGCCTCCCGGGTTCAAGCGATTCTCCTGCCTCAGCCTCCCGAGTAGCTGGGACTACAGGCGTGCACCAACCACGCCCAGCTAATTTTTGTATTTTTAGTAGAGATGGGGTTTCACCATGTTGGCCAGGATAGTCTTGATCTCTTGACCTTGTGATCCACCCGCCTTGGCCTCCCAAAGTGCTGGAATTACAGACATGAACCACCGCACCTGGCATGAGCTCTTTTAAAATAAAGGGTAATAGCTAAGCTGCTACCAGCCATTTATAACCAACAGCAAATTAAGACTCTGAGGGCACCTGTAATAGTGTCACTAAAGGGAAAAGCAAGCCAAGTAAATCCCAAAGGCATACGTCAGCCTATGTCCCTACTTTGCTTAGGTCCTCACATGTCTTAAAGAGCTTTCAGAGCAGCTTGGCTAAACATTGTGAAGGAAACTGGCCAAGAAAAAGTTTGGAGGGTTTGTGTGTACATATACATATGTATACTCACACACACCCGTGTACATGCACATGCTTTTTCTTAGAATACAAAGGATAAAGGCTAAACTGTTACCAACCATTTATATCATATACATATATATATAGAGAGAGAGTAGGTGTTATTATAGACAGAAGGCAGAAAGGATTTGGAAAATAGGATAAAATTAGTTACATGACCTTTTCTATTTTTCTTTTTGTTTCTTTTTTTTTTAAGAGATGAGATCTCACTCTGCTGTCCAGGCTGGACTGCAGTGGTGCGATCATAGCTCACTGCAGCGTCAAACTTCTGGACTTAAGCTATCCTCCGACCTCAGCCTCTCAAATAGCTGGGAATAAAAGTTCATGCCACTGTGCCTAGCATTATTATTATTTTTTTTTTTTGGTAGAGAAAGAGTCTCACTATGTTGCTTAGGCTGGTCTTGAACTGCTGGCTTCATGTGATTCTTCCCACTCAGTCTCCCAAAGTGTTGGGATTACAGGTGTGAACCACCGTGTCCGTCCTATTCTGTTTTTCTTAAGTGTCACTGGGAAACATGGTCTTCCAATCAAATTGGCAGTTTAACCTTGGCTTGAATGCAAATATGTTGTTATTATGGTCCAATAGGTGGTAACTCGCACTTGTAGAATGAGCCATTGCGTGTGGAGGCTAGAGTCTTAAACTGAGACTCAGTTTCTGGGTAAATTGACCATTGGAAGGAGGTGTTGTGGGTTAGGGGCTGGTTTATTATTCAGGTGGTCATGATTATACTCAAAGAAAAGTTGTTAAAGTTCTTTTTATCCTTTACGTCCTTTACGTCAATGGAATAAAGAGCACACTCAATGTATGCAGGCAGTCTCACCCATTTAGAGCTAGAATCCCAAGCCAGAGGAAGGAAATCACAATAGCCTACAGGGGTGGATGGTGAGGCCTGGATTCAGGGGCCATTTCTTGTGTCTTAGTCATGACTTTGGGCCAAATGGGCACTGGATGTGTGCTGAGATGAGCTGTGCTCCCTGGAGCTGCTTTCTGTAGGAGCAGGACTGTGGTGAGCATCGTTTCCTCTGCAGGGCCTTCTGAGGGAGGAGTTTCTTCTACCCTGGAAGTCAGCTTCTGCTTCTCTTCATCTTGCTGGCATCTTCTCTACCACAATGGTTATTAGTGTCTTTAATCTTCAATCCCATGGGAAGAAAGAGCTGTTATCTCTCTTCCCATAAAGGACACTCAGTCACCTAAGACATTTCTCTGTAGTTGAACATAGCTTAGTTCTCACTCACAGAATGACATTTGAATAGTTCTAAAGGCTCATTGCAAACATGAGCACCCTACGGTGTTACAAAGTCCCTGTGGATTGGCTGGCATGGCTCTGCTGATAGGGCTGAGCTCACCTACGTGACTCTAATCTGCGTGTTGCCTGAGTCCACTCTTGTTTACCCTGCACTAACAGGCTAACCATGATGCTGTCTCTTTCTGGCAATGGGAGAGGTACAAGAGGGCTGAGCAGAAACAAGGCCTAGGCTCAGACTGCCCACAAGCCATCTGCCAAACCAAGTCAATGAGCAAGCCCAAAACCAAGGGAAGAGACAGCCAGCCAACTTTTAGTGGAAGGAACACAGATCAGGGAAGGGTGAAGAATGGGGATGAATAATTCAGTTTTCCAGGAGCATGATTGTTGAATTGAAAACTGCAAGCATTCAGGAAAATGGACCGGCATTAGGGAAACTACAGAAAAGACATTTAAAAAGAAAGAGGACTGGCTGGGCACAGTGGCTCATGCCTGTAATCCCAGCACTTAGGGAGACCGAGGCAGGTGGATCACCCGAGGTCAGGAGTTCAAGACCAGCCTGCTCAACATGGCAAAACCCCATCTCTACTAAAAATACAAAAATTAGATGAGTGTGGTGATGGTCGCCTGCAATCCCAGCTACTTGGGAGGTTGAGGCACGAGAATCGCTTGAACCCGGGAAGCGGAGGTTGCAGTGAGCTGAGATCATGCCACTGCACTCCAGCCTGGCAACAGAGTGAGACTACATTTCAAAGAATAAAAATAAAAATAAAGAGGACTAACTAAAACAATGCAAGAATGCAGAGAGAAAGGAAGAAGAGAGTAAGAGAGAATATGAGTGACTTCAAGATCAAATTTGCGATCTGATCTTTATATAATAGGAATCTTGAAAACTATAAGATCAGATGCAGAACCATTAAATAAAGGCATTTTAAGGGAAATCTTCATTACTCAAGGCAAAACATTAATCTGTAGATCTTTAGATTTGGGCCCCCTAGTCTAAGTCACCCCCAGCAATCAATTAGATTCTCCTAAAGAGATACATAAACTGGTTGCAAACTATAAAGTATATTAGTACAGTTGTGCCCTGAAGGTATTTTCGTCCTTGTTGTTGAACTAAGAATAGCTTGAAGACACTGAAGGAGGAATAGAGAATAGTAACCAAAGAACAAGGAACATTTCTACAAAGAAAGACTAAGGGAAATTGGGCCATTTAGTTTAGATAACAAAAGGATAATGGTATCATAACTCAGAACTTCAAGTGTATGTAGGATCTAGGCCATGTCTTAATTCTTTATGTGCAGGCCATTTTGAATATGGCAAAGACTTCAAATAAAGCATGCAAATTTCTACTTAGATGTCTATTTCCCTAGATACCTCCTAGAAGAAAGAACATAATCACCTTTTAATTCTTATTCTGTGATTCTTTACAGTGCCAGTAACTGTACAAGAAGTTCCAGGTTTACAGACATGTTTTTTTCCAAAATGTTATTTATAAATTGGTGGTGGTTTGGAAGGGCGAATGTTGTTCCTCTGCCAGAATTATTATATGTGGTGCTTAGCTTTTGAGGGCAGCCCACGAAGAAGGAAGGAATGGAGGAAGGAAGGATGGAAAAATGTAACTAGAATATTAAACCCTGGGCATTAGAATCACTTGGGAAGGTTTTTAAAAATAAGAATTACCAGGCCTCATTCTAGGAAATTTGGATTTAGTGATCCAAGTAAGGAGTCCTGTAATCTGTTTTTTAAAAGGGTGTTCCAGATAATTCTGTTGTATGGTCAGGTTCAAGAATGATTGCAGTAAATGGAAAAAAGGATAGACCATAAATGAAATCCCATTTTAATACCTAGAAACCCCCCAAGGAGAGTGGGAAGTAAATCATGTTTATAAGAAAACTGGCTTCACACACAAGGATAAAGGACAACCCAACCCTTGATTCAGACTGTTTCTGAGCCTTCCTACTTTGACCCAAGGATATGTGAAACCTGCTTTGGGGATTCCTGTAGGTGAGAGTAGCTCTGGCTTAGAGCTGAAGTCTCTCCTCCATAGGCCCCACAGTAGAGCTAAGCTTTCATTTGAAGTGGATTAGAAACAGCCTTGGTTTACCAGGCTAAAGATGATCCAGGTCAGGAAAACTGTGTGCTTTACCAAAGGCCAGAAAATTCTACCATTCTTCCAAGATTTCTTGCTAAAATTCAAAGTAATGTGGTCTTGAAGGGGTGACACCAAAGCAGCTGCAAAGGAAGAGGAAAACCCGGCTGCCACAGTGGAGAAATAGATTGTCATTCTTTTGCACAGCTTTTCCCTGGGTAATGTCAGGATTATATTTTTGGCTCCCTGGAAACCAGAATTAAAATAGGCTAAATAAGATTGGAATTGTTGAAAGCAAAATCTGTAGACGTTTCCTTTTTTGAATTTTTTGAATGTCCACATCTTCTGTATGCTTTGCTTCTTTTTGGAGTGACGTATTGAGAAAGCCCAAGAGATTGTTTCTGGCTTGGGCCCATTGCCAGCCATTGTCCGTGCCATTATTGTGTGTGGTGGGTCCCTGGAGGCCACATGTGGACCTCGGGTTGATACTTTCGGAGATTGTAGGTAGTTCGAGCCACACTAGCCCTGTTTACTTCATGTCTGCCCCAAGCATCAAGTCTTGTTGTTTACCTTGTCACTTTCCCACTTAAGATTCTCTTTCATTTCACTGGGTTTTACTAAAGTGTTTGAAATACAGGGTTTTTAACTTCCTTTGATTAGTGAGAAATATGGGGAAAATTTATCTCCCAACCTTATCAGTTGGGGGCAGACCAACCCCAGTGAAGATGAGAAACTTCATGGAGTATTAAATGAAAATGGGATGAGCTGTCACAAAGCCAGGATGTTAATTCTAGCTCTGCTGATCATTTGCTGTGTGACCTTGGGCAAGTCTTTTGCTCTCTTCAGTCTCAGTTTCCTCATATCTTCAGTGAGCCATCTCTCGGGATCTTCCAGCTCTGGTATTCTGAGTTTCTCTAATTTGAGGAGTTGGTTAGAGATCTCTTTTCTCAACAGTGTACCTGTTCCGAGAAATGTTACTGTTATAGAAGGAAGTGGTTTTGGAAACGGGTCAGAGTGGAGGAAAGAGGTTGAGTTCTCAAAAAACTAAAGGCTAGGTATAAGTAACTGATTCATCACAGAGATGACTAATTCATCAGAACAGCTGTCTGTTCTAAAATATGTCACATCAAATATTCATTGAATAAAATATTGAAGTCTCAACTGCTAACCTAGAGAGAGCCAAGCAGCTTTTAAAAAATCAGGATAGAAGTGTACTTTTCATTTCCACATTGGACCTGTGATTCTCTGAGTACCTGTGTGGGTCTCTGGTAAATACCAGAATTCACTTAATTTTCCATATTGTTAGGAGGCTCAAAGCCAAAGGCGTAGAGACATTAGGCATAAGCATATGTATCTTATTAAGCATCTGTATGTTATGTTGTGGGGTTTGGCAACCAAGAAGATGACAGTTACTTACAACTGTTCTAGAAAAGGCAACCACTGAAACATTCATTGAAATCACAAAGGACACTTGCTTGAGATTCATTGTGTTCTTCACATTTGCTATTTTTAACTCCATGATTCACTGTTCTTTTGAGCAGGGAGGGGAACACTCCACAGTGGCATTCCACATCTGTGCACTTCCAGCCGGGGTCCCCACCCCACGTTCAGCCACATTTGCAGCCCAATTATTGTTTCCATTCTTTTGTTTCCTTCCAAAATAAAACTATATATGCTATGTATACAGTAAACTATATAGTAGTGTCTCTATATTGTGTAATATTTCCTGTTTTGTCACTCCCTTCTGGGTAGCGGCCTAGCTTTTCTGCCTCCATTTAATTCATTAATTTTCTAATTTAAGCCTTGTAATACTCCCATGAGGTAGTGATGATGATGATGATGATGAAGAGAGAAGAGAAGCACAGGAGGTGAAGTAACTTGCTGCCCCCCCCTAAAAAAATTCAATGGAAGGACATACAAGATGAATGAAAAATAATTTTAAAAAAGTGAAAGAGCAAGTATTTGAACTCAACTCTGCCTAATTCTAAAGCATGTTCTCAAAAATCCCAACAGAAGTTGTTATTTTAAGCTAAATTTTTTTGAGACCTCTGATATTGAGTGAAATTACACTAACGTGCACCTCGTGATGTAGGAGGAGGGACAGGTAATGTGATTCTCCCTCCTCAACCTCCACACATGCTTCTTCAGAAGGCGGTGCATCAGACGCACCATGACTCTGGAGGTGCCGGTCTTCAGCCTATTGTGGGTGGTCATCATGATGGTGAGACTGCCCCCTTCAGGTTCTTTCATGAAGTGCAGGTTTCATTTTGGGCTTGGCTCCTTTCTGTCTCTTTTGGAAGCCCTTTGTTCCTGATTGCACTTTCTAGCCTGTGTACAGTCTAAACCTCTGCGGGAAACAGTGTGTGCTTCTGAAAAGGGCTCCAGCATAGCAAACTCACTAGAAAGCCGGACCTCAGAGCTTGACCAAACTTGGCTGGAGTCCTAGTTCTGTATTTACAAGTTGTTTGATCTTGGACAAGCCATGTAAACTCTCTGGACTTAAGTGTCCTCGCCTGTACATTGGGGAAAACTATACCCACCTTGCAGTGCTGTTGTAATGTGTAGAGGTCAGGTGTGTTTGTGAAGTGCCAAGAACAGCAGGTTGTCAGTAAGAATAGTGCTGTTGGCTGGGCACTGTGGCTCATGCCTGTAATCCCAGCACTTTGGGAGGCTGAGACAGATGGATCACCTGAGGTCAGGAGTCCGAGACCAGCCTGGCCAACATGGTGAAACCTCTTCTCTACTAAAAATACAAAAAATTAGCCAGGCGTGGTTGCAGGCGCTTGTAATCCCAGCTACTCAGGAGGCTGAGGCAGGAAAATCACTTGAACCCAGGAGGCGGAGGTTGCAGTGAGCCGAGATCGCACCATTGCACTCCAGCCTGGGCATCAAGAGCAAAATTTTGCCTCCAAAAAAAAAAAAAAAAAAAAAGAATAGTGCTGTTCTTATTGTTGTTTCTTCCATCCCCCTACAGCAGAGTTTCTTAACAGCTGTGCTATTGACATTTAGGGCTGGATAGTTATTTGTTGTGAGTGGCTGTCTTGAGTATTGCAAGATGTTTAGTAGCATCCCTGGCCTCTACCTAGTGGCTTCCAGGGGCACCATTGCCCTTTCCCAGTCATGATAATAAAACATGTCTCCAGACATTGCTGAATGTTGCCTTGGGGGACAAAATCTCTCCAAGTTGAGAACTACTGCTCAAAAGCCTGGCATTATGTGTATTGATACTAAGATGAGAATCTCACCACCGAGTAGTTCCAGAATACAGAACCCTAAAAAGATTTATGAAGATAACATTAGTGATTCTCAGTGCAAAATGACAAAGTGTTTCAGTTACTTGAAAATAAAAGGCTTCTCTTATGCACTGAGCCATGAAAGTCTGTTCAGAGTTAAAAAGAAATAGTTGCTTTTTTGGTTTTTGCATTCAGTATTGTGCTGCTTTTGCAAAGGCAATAATTTTATGACAGTTCATAAAACCATGGAATCTTAGAGTATGCATAACTGACATGTTATGCGGATCAACTCCTATCTGATTCTTGAATTTGCAATGAACGTAATGAGTGGGAGTGAAAAAACAGTCTCTCCCCAAAGCCTGAAAGTGACAGGAAACTCATTTACTTGCAAAATAAAACCCAAGTATATACTGGAACAACTCTAATTATTACAGAGGATCCTCCTTTGGGATGAAAGTTTTGTTCCCTGCAGCTCCTACCCTCTCTCTGGTCCCTGCCCTATCCTCCAAGGACCACACAGAAAAAGCCCTCTTCACTGACTGAAAAAATCTAGATGCTTAGGGTTTGTGGTCAGCTTTGCAAGCTGGCACAGGTAAGGGAGGAAACACTCTGAAATTGCAGTGCAGCATTTCAACATTTCATGTGTGTTACTTAGCAACAATAGCAGGAGGCCTGCCAGATGTACCAGAGTCATCGTGCCTCGCTCAGGTTTTGTAGGATCCATTATAATCATCTCATTATTGGTCTGGCAAATTGGGTTTATAGTGCCCAGAACTATGAAAATAGTAGTTGAATTTCTTCCATACACTGAGGCCATGTAAGAGCCATATTTGGGAAATACATGCATTTCCCAGCCCTCAGAACAATTGCTGCAATGGAAGGAATTCTGCAAAGTCAACTTTTTTGGTAGCCAGTTCCAGGCTTTTTGGCCTATGATTGCCACACCCCAAGTTTTCTCTCTACAAAAAGCTTTGATAATAGTCTTTTTCCAATTTTAGGTCACCTTGCATAGCCCCTCTGGCTTGTAACGTGGTCATTTCCAACCGTTCTACATTCTTGATGAAATGAAAACAGCAAGCTTCCTGTTGACATACTCTTCCACAGTTTTCATGAATTATGCATTTTGAAGGCAGCAGACAAGATGGTGTCTCAGTCCTTTCCAGCGATTCTCCAGCATGGAGGTCTTATTTGGTACATCCATCACAAGGGCCCGGAGCCAAGATGATCTCTTGAGCACAATCCCCACTTCGTGTTTCCCCTTTTCACTGTGTAGGCCACAGGGAAGAGTACTGTGGGACCCGAGGCTGCTTGATACTCATCAAGGCCCGCTTCCTCCAGCCTTCCTAGCTTCTCTTTCCCTCAGGTCTAGGCGTGGAGCCCTCCAGGACAGCGAACGGGTGATAAAATATACAAACTGTCTCTGATTATGGGATTTTGGCTCCTTAGCCAATGCATGCAAGGATGGTAGAAAAAACACTCATCTTCCTTCTACTATCCTAAAAGCAACTTCCGACATCAAGAATTTTTTTGGATCTCTCATCCAAAGGTATAAACCTTAACAGTGGGAAATTCAGACCAGGTGAGAGGAAAGGGTTACACACTAAGAGATGACTTAGGTTTGGGTAGTTTCATCAGGAGAGGTCTGCCTGCATCCTGGTTCCTGTCCTTGTTTTGGGAAACTCTTTTTAGCATACTTGGAGTACATATTCAGTTAAACTTGCAAAGTGAAGAATCAGAGAATGGAGGCCTAAATGTGATTCACCTGAGGCCACACGCAGAGTGAGGAGATACCAGTGTGCTTCCTGCAGAAGCATCTCCCACATCTCTGCCAAGCCTTTTTATCTCCTTTGAAACAGAATCTCTAATGGAATAAACCACTCCAGGGATCCTAGAGTCTTGTGTTTGTTCCTCCTATGCAGAAAGGCAAAGGAAAAAATTAAATAATATCTGAATACCGCCCAGTGCACAGAGAGTACCTGTGAAATTACAGGGACATTCAGCCAGCAAAGAATGTCCCCCTGGCCAGGGTGCCTGGAGGAAGGCTTTTAAGCATTACCATGCTGTACAGCATGGGGCTGCCAGCTTGACCAGATTCTAGCTGGAAGGATCAGGCATCTTTAAAGACCGGTAGCATTCAGGGCCATTGCTGGGCCACATGGCTCCTTTGTGCAATTAGAAAATGCAGTTCCACAGGGTAGGCAGCACTTAGAAAGCCACTGGCTGGACTTCACCTCCCTTTGTTCCCTTGGCTAGCATCTTGGGCAACAACATTCTGTACAAGCATGCACCATGGCCCTGCTGGCTTCTTGGTCTCCACGTGCCTCCTTCTTGTTGGTCATTAAGGTTATGCCATTTTCCCCCATTATTAAGTAATGTCAGGTAAGGTCTGAGGAGATGGAGATGAAGACTTTTACAGGTCGCAGGGGAACACTGACATGTCACTCATCATTTTGTGTGTGTGTGTGTGTGAGACAGAGTCTCACTCACTCTGTAGCCAGGCTGGAGTGCATTGGCAGAATCTCAGCTCACTGCAACCTCCCATCTCCTGGATTCAAGCGATTCTCTCCTGTCTCAGCCTCCTGAATAATTGGGATTACAGGCACCCGCCACCATGCCAGGCTGATGTTTGTATTTTTCGTAATGATGGGGTTCCACCATGTTAGCCAGGCTGGCTTTGAACTCCTGACCTCAAGCGATCTGCTCACCTTGGCCTCCCAAAGTGCTGGGATTACAGGTGTGAATCCCCGTGCCTGGCCATCACCCATCAATTTTTAAATGGTGGAGTAGCTCCCATGATGGATGTTATGAAAGGGTCTATGGGTGCATATGAAAGGGAGTGGTCATTACTACTCAGTCCAGGTAAAACTCCCTGGATGGAGGGTGAAGACAATGTGGTTTGAGTTGTTAGGTAAATGTTTCCTTATCATTTTTCATTATATGTTACATTTACATTCTGTTCATCCCTAAGATATAACTCCTTAAGATTACATCTCTCAGATGTAAACTCCACCAGAGTAAGGACTGTCTTGGTTACCTACTGTGTTCATTTCCTGAGACTGATGTAACAAATTTCTACACGTTCGTGGCTTAAAACAGCTCCAGAGGCCAGAAGTCCAAAATCAAGATACTGGCAGGGCTGTGCTTTCCCCAGAGCATCTAGAGGCAAATCCTTCCTTGCCTCTCTCAGCTTAGTGGGTCCAGACATTCCTTGGCTTGTGGCTGTGTCGCTCTAATCTCTGCCTTTGTCTTCACATGGGCTTCTCCTCTTGTCTCTGTGTCTTCTCCTTTGTCTCTCATAAAGACCCCTATCATTGGATTTAGGGCCCTCCTAAATAATTCAGGATAATCTCTTCTCAAGATCCTTAAATTAATTACATCTACACAGACCCTTTTATCCACATAAGGTCATATTCATAGGTTCTGGGGGTTAGGGTGTGGACATATCTTTCTAGGGCCATCATTCAGTGTACTATATCTGAGTGCCTAGATTACTGTTTTACACCTAGGAGGTTGCTCAATAAATAGTTTTCAATTTAATTTATATGTTTCAGCCTTAGTTTATCCATAAGCTTGCCATGAGGTTCAGAAACCATCATTTATATCCAGAGATGGTATAAGGCAGTGGTTAGGGGCATGAACATCCGCGTAATACTTGCTGGGTTCAAGTTCAGAATCTCTGCTTGCTGCCTGTATAATTTGAGGCAAGTTCTTTAGCTTCTCTCTACTTCAGTTTCTTCTTCTATAAAAAGAAATAATAATAATAATAAAGATCAACTTTATTGGGGAGGGGTGACTATTAAGTCAAGATATGCAAAGAGTACCCAGAACTGTCTTGGACTTTGTGCCCAATAGGTTTTGGCTTTTATTATAAAAATAAAAGAATGATATGACAATGTACAATATATAAACAATCTCAAATTGTTTGATTTTATCAGACTCCCTCTCCACTTTCAGAAACAGCTGAGAGGGCTGTCACTGCACTGAGATTAGCATGGCATTCCAGAACTCGGGCCCGGTAAGCATCCAGGTCCAAGGGTGCCTTGGAGGGGTACACCTCACCTTTGCAGTCCAGGGCAGAGGAAGGCAGGGAGGCTAGGAGTGCAGCACTGAGAGAGCAGTGGCCACTGCCTTACAAGGCCAAGAAGCGTCCCATCTCCCCAACAACTGTCAGGTTCCTTCCTGCCCTGGGAACAGCTCTAATCTGTCTGTTTACCACCTACCTGCCAGCCTTCAGCAGGAATTCCAGGACTGCTGGGCCTATCAGCTGAAGTAGAGGATGAAAAAGAACAAATCCAAAGGCAGAAGAAATAGGACAATATGATAGATGGATTTGACAAGAATCCAGACCAATTGTGGGCAGACCAAGTTGAAAAGCGTGAGAGGCTAGAGTTATCTCAGCAGGGGTTTCGTTTTGTTTTGTTTTGTTTTTGAGACAGTCTCACTCTGTCGCCCAGGCTGAAATGCATTGGTGTGATCTTAGCTCACTGCAACCTCTGCCTCCTGGGTTCAAGTGATTCTCTCGTGCCTTAGCCTCCAGAGTAGCTGGGATTACAGTTGTGTGCCACCACACCCAGCTAATTTTTGTATTAACACCGTAGAGATGGGGTTTCACCGTGTTGGCCAGGGTAGTTTTGAACTCCTGAGCTCAAGTGATCCATCTACCTCAGCCTCCCAAAGTGCTGGGATTACAGGCATGAGGACTGTACCCAACCATCTCAGCAGTTATTTTAAAAAATGTTTAGCCTTCTGATGAGAACACGTGGACACGTGGTGCGGACAACAAACACTGGGGCCAGTCGAGGGGGCTGCGGGGAGAGAGATCATCAGGAAGAGTAGCTAACACTTAGGTGGTGGGTTGATCTGTGCAGCAAGCCACCATGGTACATGTTCATCTCTGTAACAAACCTGCACATCCTGCACGTGTACCCCAGACTTTAAAATAAAAGTTGAAGGAAAAAAGTTCACTTTTCTGCTTTCCAGTTGCTTATTTAAAAAAAAAAAAAAAAAAAAAGAAGCATCTGGCTGGGTGTGGTGGCTCATGCCTGTAATCCCAGCACTTCGGGAGGCCGAGGCAGGTGGATCACCTGAGGTCAGGAGTTTGAGCCCAGCCTGGTCAACATGATGAAACCCCGTCTCTACTAAAAATACAAAAAATTAGCTGGGCATGGTGGCGGGCACCTATAATCCCAGCTATTCGGAAGGCTGAGGCAGGGAGAACTGCTTGAACCCAGGAGGCAGAGGTTGCAGTCAGCCAAGATCGCACCATTGCACTCCAGCCTGGGCAACAGAGCGAGACTCCATCTCAAAAAACAAACAAACAAACAAAAATGCATCTAAGTTGTCTGAGTGATGTCCTGCTCAAGTCCATAAGGGACTTGCTTTATTACAGAAAAGTGGCCAAACCCAGTAATATTGAAAGTATGGTCCAGGGACTGCTTCTGGTCAGGCAACTGTTTATTACCAGTCTGTGACAAAGACAGAAATTGCCAGTAAGGTGTTTAGAAACTTTAATAGCAATATGATATCCCAATGGGTGATCAATGGACCCATCTTACTGAATAGGGTAGAGACAAGTTTGAGTGTCGTTGCACTCACGTGGTGAGCTGCATGTGTCGTGGGCTGAGTGCTAGTATTGGTCTGTGATGGATTGGGATCAGACCCTTGTCCATGACCATAAAATCTTGAGCAATATTGCAGCAAGCCAAATGGCAAAGATGACTATGTGCCCCAAGACCACACTTTTTTTTCCTATAGTTTTTTTAAGAGAGACACGGCCTCGCTCTGTTGCCCAGGCTGGTCTTGAACTCCTAGGCTCAAGCAATCCTCCCATCTCGGCTTCCCAGAGTGCTGGGATTACAAGCATAAGCCACTGTGCCAAGCCTCCCTAAATGTTTAAATCTTGTCATTGCCACCATTCTGCAAGATTTACCTTTGAATCTAGAAAAGAACTTGGAGTCTTTCTACTAGGCCTATCCCCACACCACTTCCCATCATAGAGGTGAAGAACCTGAGGCCGGGACACACCACAGGACTCTCAGAATGACACAGCCAGTCAGATTTTCCTGGCACAAAACCCAGTGTTCTTTCAAAGCCACCATTCTTTTCCTGTAACTAATGCAAAAGCAAATCTTAGCCCATGACAGGGAATCACAGATTCCAAATGAGTGCCCTCAGAATGACTGGTTTCCTTGAAAGCAGCTGTTTCATAAACATGACTTTGCGGGGGCAGCTCAGGCCTTCCATGCAGTGGAGTCTGCTGGTCTTGGGGCTGCTCTGTTAAGCAAAGGATGGGAACCAAAGGTACTGACATTTTAATATTAGCCACACAGATGTCTTGGCTTGTAATCTGGAGAAAATCAGTCAGTGTCCCAGCTGAATCTGTAAATAGGAACGACAATAAGATTTGCTCTCTCTCGGGACATCCTAAGAATTTTTGTCAGGCTAGAAGAGGCAGCCTGGAGAGATTTGTTTGATCTGGGAAAGCAGAAGTCAAACTTGGTTTTTCATTCGGTAAGATCCACTGTGGTTAAAATGTGGTCAGAGGGCTCATTCAGCCTCCTACTTCAGGTCGAACTATACTTACCTTCTCTTACTTTTAAAGAAGGAAGGGAGATTCTGTAAATGAGTGGCTTTTCTTTTAGTCAGTGCTGTCATATGCCATGACAATATTGTATTTAAGTCTGTTCTCACAGTGCTAATAAAGACATACCTGAGACTGGGTAATTTATAATGGAAGGAGGTTTAATTGACTCACAGTTTAGCATGGCTGGGGAGGTTTCAGGAAACTTACAATCATGGCAGAAGGGGAAGCAAACACATCCTTCTTTACATGGCAGCAGCAAGGAGAAGCGCTGAGCATAAGGGGGGAAAATCTCCTTGTGATTCATGCCTGTAATCCCAGCACTTTAGGAGGTTGAGTTGGGTGGATCGCTTGAGGTCAGGAGTTTGAGACCAGCTTGGCCAACATGGTGAAACCCCGTCTCTACTAAAAATACAAAAAATTAGCTGGGCATGGTGGCAGGCACCTGTAATCCCAGCTACTTGGGAGGCTGAGGCAGGAGAACTGCTCGAACCTGGGAGGCGGAAGTTGCAGTGAGCCGAGATCACACCATTGCACTCCAGCCTGGGCAACAAGAGTGAAACTCCGTCTCAAAAAGAAAAAGAAAAAGAAAAAGAAACCATTAGATCTCATGAGAACTCACTATCACGAGAACAGTATGAGGGTAACCACTCCCATGATTCAATTACCTCCCCACCAGGTCCCTCCCATGACACATGGGGATTATGGGAACTATAATTCAAGATGAGATTTGGATGGGGACACAACGAAACCATATCAAATATTAATAGAGTCTGGCAGGGAGGAAGCATGACTTCATACTGGTGGTGAGTCAGAAGGGGCATCTTCATATTTTAAGGAAGGTGGCACTTAGATTCCAAGTGCGTCCTGTGTGCAGTGGAGTCATATGCAGCTCTAATAAAGAACATTATTCAGGCCAGGCATAGTGGCTCATGCCTGTAGTCCCAGTTTGTTGGCAGCCTGAGGCGTGAAGATTGCTTGAGCCCAGGAGTTCAAGACCAGCCTGGGCAACATAGTGAGACCTCATCTCTACAAAAAATACAAAAATTAGCCAAGCATGGTGGTACATGCCTGTCGTCCCAGCTACTCGGGAGGCTGAGGCGGGAGGATCACTTAAGTCCAGGAGTTTGAGTCTGCAGTGAGCTATGATCATGCCAGTGCACTCCAGCCTGGACAACAGAGCGAGGCCCTGTCTCCAAAAAATAATTAATTATTTAATTTAAATGTTCGAAAGAACATTATGCAGATGCTTCTCAGGCTTCTCTTCAGATGGCAAAATCTCACTGGTTTTCAAATATCCTAACTGAAATGTTCAGTTCCAGCTATCTTTTGCTTCATCCAGTAATTAGTTTCAAGTTTTTTTTTGCCTCTTTTTAGATATGAATCCCATGCTAGGTAACAAATTATAGTGACAGGAAAATGTGGATTTTTCCATAAAGTTTAAATATTCACCACTCAACCTTTTAGCAGAAAGCTCTGGGACCAACCTAGCATAAGTATAGAGTTGAGGGTTAAGAGTAAGCATTCTTCCCTTCGTCACTTATGTGGCCTTGAACCAATTAGTTAAGATTTTGTGCCTCATTTTCCTCATCTGCAAAATGGAAATAATCATAAGGTATACTTTGGGGATTAGTGTGAGGGGCAAATGAGTTAACATGTATAAATTGCTTAAAATAGTATTTGGCAGCCAGGCTTGGTGGCTCATGCCTGTAATACCAGCACTTTGGGAGGCTGAGGCAGGTGGATCACGAGTTCTGGAGTTCAAGACCAGCCTGGCTAAGATGGTGAAACCCCATCTCTACTAAAAATACAAAAATTAGCCGGGCATGGTGGCGGGTGCCTGTAATCCCAGCTACTCGGGAGGCTGAGACAGAGAATTGCGTGAACCCCGGAGGCAGAGGTTGCAGTGAGCCAAGATTGCATCACTGCACTCCAGCCTGGGCAACAGAGGGAGACTCCATCTCAAAAAGAAAAAAAAAATAGTATTTGACAATGACGATAGCTGCTGTTATTATCATGACCCAAATGCTATATTTGCTTCAAGCAAATGGAATGATTCTCAGACCAAATTTTTTCACCAGGCATTTATTAGAAGGAGGTTTCATGTAATTCTGAATTATGCTCCGAATCATATTCACTTCATTCAATATGAAAAGCAAGTATAGATTTACAGTTTAATTGTTTTGAGACAGGGCAGGATTCCTAATCACATTTTTAGAAATGACTTTTGTGTCTCATATTGTTCATCTCCTCTATCCTCTCACCAAGATTCCACTGTGTTTCATACCAGCTTGTTCAGTTGAACAAGGTGGAGAAGCCCATTTACTGTTTGGATTAAATTTTTTTATCACCAGTGTATGAGGATTTGCATTAAATAAATTATAGGTAATTACATTAACAAACCAAGAAGACTTACAGTTAAAGAGGGCAAAAATATAATTTACTTAACTGCTCTATGAAATCTATTTGTGGATTTCTCTCTTCTCAAAGGAGAATTAATCAGAGAACAACTTTGTTGTTATTGTTGTTGTTGTCGTTTAAGAAAAAAAAGAAAGAATGAATGAAAGATCACATAGTAGCAGTGGTACCCTATTCACCTTGCAACAGTTGTACTCTGCGCACCTGCCCCAGGTTATAGCAACATCAAGGTCAAGCTCCCAATATTTCAAGTACAAATAAGACTTCACCTGTGCACAAACATGTGCTTACACACTTCCATCCTCCTGAATTTTCTTTCCAGACTGTTTTACAGATAAGGAAGCAGCTCTCAAAAGACCTCTCTCAGACATTTGAAAACACATTTTTTTTCAGAGTGCTAAATTCATGCTTCTTATTTTATATATGTTAGAAATAAACACATAAATAATAAACAGTCTTGCCTGGACTGGTTCATGTTCAATTCATAGGCACTGAGTATTCTTTATTAGGACATACTCACTATTGTTTGTTGAATTATTGCACTTTTAAGAAATCAATCTGAAGATTAAACATTAGGAGTCTCGATAAAAAACAAGTCTCTATACTTTATGAAGATCTTAGGAATTTCTAACTGACTTTGGAACAGCCATTTGTTAAAAAACACTTTCCCATCCCAAACTCCACTGACTCCATTTTTCTTCTGCACTAACTCTCCCTTCCTCCTCCCCCATATTTGGAGCAGCGTCTCTATGTCCCATTCACTCTCCTACACCTGCCAAATCACCAGTGACTATTTAGGGGCTAAGTGCAAAGGAGACTTCTAAATCCTCACTTTCATCAACTGTTGAGCAGCAACGGAAGCTGCTGAATGCTCCCTATTTCTTCTTGAAACACACTCTCTCCTTGTTTACTTGAGATGACACTATCCTTCCTCTGTCCATCTGGGAAATATTGGTGCTTTGAGGTTCTTGACTTGGGGCTCCTTTCTTCACTTCTCCCATTCTCTGAGTGACATTGTCTGTTCCCATGGCTTCTGAAATATAGGCATTCTTTGATCTAATTTTTTCTCCAGACCTACCCATATAGCCAACTGCCCCCTAACCATATCCATTTGGATCCCCCCAGACACCTATAACTCAGCATGCTAAAAATTCATTAGTCATTACTTTCTCTGATTGATTCCTTTTCATTGATTCTTAATCTCATTGAAAAACATCACCATGCACCCAGTTGCCCAAGTCTGAAATCAGGACATTGTCCTTGCTTCTTTTCACCCTTTCAAATCCTCTATCTAATCAGTAATTTTATATAATAAAAGGATTCTTGATTCCTTCTACACTTTTTCTTTCCCACTTCCATGACAGTAGTCCAGGCCACCATTATCTTTCATGGGGATTGATGCAAGAGCTTCTCACCTAGTCTCCCTTCCCCTAGTGTTGTGTCCTTCTGACCTAACCTCTGCCACCCAGCAGAAGTATCTTTCAAAGTTCATATTTGATGATGCTACTCTCCAGCTTCAAACCCTTTACCTGTTTTCCTTGGACTATAAGATAAAGTTCAACTTCCTTAATTTAGCTTAGAGAGTCTTTTATGATGTGACCTCCTCTTACTTCTCTGGCCTTGTCTCTCATAATTGTGTCATTCCATTGCTGACCACTCCAGCAACTACCTGCCATTCCTTGGATGTACCAAGCTCTGTCTGTGTCCCGTTCTTTGGATCTACTGTCCCTTCTCCAAGGAACGTTCTTCAGCTGCTCTTTATGTGGTTAACTCCTACTGAACCATCAAGTCTCAGCTGAGATACCACTTTCCCTGAGCCCTAAACCCTGGTTTAATGTTTCCTGTGGGCATATTTACCTTAGAGCTTACTGTGTCATAGTACATTGGAAGCTGATTTTTTTCTCTATCCTCCTCTAGCCTCAGCTGCCTAGGGGTAAACACACTACAGTGTTCACCCTTGTATTCTCAGATCTTAGTACACTGCCAGGCTCAATGGGTTTTCAAACATATTTACATAAAGAAAGAAAACAATGACAAAAGTGCAGATGACATGCCCATGGATACTCTGGACATAAATGCTTGTAATATTTCTCTCTGTAAGCGTTTCCAGTGGGAAGTTCAGCTTTTGTCTCAATTACTCTGATTGGCATGCAATCATGACAAGAAACTAAAGGAAGGAGATTGTTTTCTTGACATTTACTGAGAAGTATAGACAAGTACTGCCATGAACAAACATTCTTGCTAACAATTCTTGCTCTAAATTGGTTGATATAACATCCACTTGAGTCAAAATGATTAAGTAGGTATCCATTGAGTGTCATGCATCGCAATGGCAAAGCATTGGAGTTACAGAAAATAAGTAAAATCATCTCCCTTGCTCTTACAGATCTGACAGTCTAGGCACCCAATAGATGGGTAAACAAGTACTGAGAGATGTCATACTTGTCCTCAAGATAGTAGAAATTCAAGAAAGTAGTGACCATGGAGGACCTTAGGATTTGGGCTTTTACCCCAGTGGTGTTTGGCTGAGTTAATCTTTCTAAAATGTATTCATCATTCAATCAAGTGCTTCTTCTGGAGGCCAAGCATAATTAGAGATACAGAGATGAAAATGACAGTCATTACCCTCACAAGACCTATAATCTACCCAATAATAATGGGAGGCAAGCCTTTAGAGTTTTTTAATTTGGAGTTTTCAGAGATTTCCTGAAGCTTCTGGACTGACGTTTCTATTGTACTTGAGTCCCATCATTTGACATTAGAAGATCTCCTTCCAAGAAATATTTCTTACCACCAAAAGACAGTTAACTTTGACTTCAGACAGAACATTCTGGTCTGCACCCAGAACCTTTAATACCTGAATCTTTTAAATCAGTGATGGTCTCTTCTTCTAAAAAGTAAAAGGTAAATCAAATTCAGTATGTCTCAATTAATTGGAAGGGAGTTTCAAGCTCATAGGAAATGAACTACGAAGCCATGTTGGGATATGAACTGAATGGTTGCTATTGAGATGGAGCAAATGTACCTGGATATCATTAGGTGGAACCAGACTGGAAAATGGGGGTCCTTCCTTGACCTCAGTGAAGATTTGGCCCTTTCAGCCTCAAGTAGTATCCCAGCTCCAGAACTGGACCTGAGTTACTGGATAATGCTGTCATTAGGAAACTGTGACCACCTAGGAGTTGGACTGCTAAATGGGCAATGTCAGCAGGTTGTTACAGATACTCTATGCAGACCAAGCTTATTTGGCTCTTCTCAGCTCAGCCACCTGTTGTAAACAGCTGAGAGGGGCTTAGCTCCACGTGGAGGTTGTCACTATCTCTGGTATGTTGTCTCTCCCTGGGAACGGACATGAGTGTGGAAACAGGGAGGACACAGTTGATTCCTGCTTTCACTGAGTCACTCTGTCCATTAGGAGAAACAGTCCAGGCATGGCCAGCCAAAGGGAGGTTCTTCGCAGGATCTTCTGTCTCTTTGAAGATGGGATAATCTCAGGCCTAACCACAGAAGCAGTTCTGGAGAAGAGTCAGAATAGCAGATTGGAAACAGCTCACAGGGGCCTCTGAATGCTAAGTGGAGGGACTTAGAATTTATCCCAGAGGCCACAGAACACTATTAGAAGTTTCAGAGGTATAATAAAGGCCGTTGTGAGGTTAGGATGCTGGTTCAATGTCACAATTAGAGCAAGGCAGGAGGTAGAGAAGTCAAGGGCAGACTGGGAACCAGCTGGGCAGGCCACTCATTTTGGTTGAATTTGGCAAGACTGAGGAAGACAATCTACCAATAGAGGATGGATGAGAACACCAGAAAGCAAATAAAACAAGTCATTCAAAAATCCCAAGATCATCGTGGCTGGGCCAGAGAAAGAATCAGACAGAAGCAGCGCACGGCTCTGGAGAGTTGCAGGGAGAAGCATTGCTGCATCCGCTGTCTCCTTTTCTTTTTCTTTTTTTAAATATCAGCAATATCTTGGATCTGAATAGAGTTCTATCACAGATTAGGGTTTCTCTTTCCCCAGGGTTCCCAAAGACTGAGCAGGATCTTATTACAGATGCAGCGAAAAGGGTACGTTTTTCAGTATCAGACTGACCTCATCTGAATCTCAGCCTCACATCTCATTAACTACATGGGACCTTGGGCAAGCTACTTCACCCATCTGCAAAGTGGGAATCAATGATATGTATCTCATTTGGCTGTTGTAAATCTTAATCAAGTTAATATATGTAAAGTGTCTCATCAGTGCCTAGCGCATAGTGAGTTCCCAGCTTCTATAGCACCCTTTCATCTTTCTCTCCTTACAGCATCAGAGAGCTTGTCCTCTGTGGCTCCCGTTTCTCTCTGGCCAGAGGCAGAGCCTCCATGGGAGCATGGGAGGGATATAATCAGAACAGCAGCATTCTTTCATTATGACGTCAATTCAGCCATCCCTCAATTTACTGAGCCCCTGAAAGGCCATACAGTGAGCCATCATTGTAATGAAGTAAAAGTAGCTGGATACTCCAGGAAGCCCTTCTAGTGGCACTTTGTTAGGTGAGATGTGTCAGCATTGACTTCTTTTGTAAGTGCTACTTCTGTTGAATTCAATGCGTTGAAAGGTGGAATGCATTGATGAATGTATTCAGTGCCTTGGCCACTTCTCAGTTAGCTTTTAGAGTAGAGGACCTCATGGCCACATGACAGAGTCTAACTGTCAGTTTCCAGACATTTACTGTGCCCTTGGCCCTGCTTGGACTTTGGAAATCCAAAGATACATATGACCGACGCCTGCTCTGGGAGGAATTCCCTGTCCATGTGGAACACATCTATGCCCTTCTGGTCCAAGTGAGAAGAGAACATGAAGGAGCAAGTGTGCATGCCCATAAGTGCCGGTCCCTACTCAGTTCTCACTCAGTCCCACAGATACCCAGGTCTACTTTATGTAGGTCCTTGTGTTGGTTTCTGGCATTGCTGAGATGACAGAGGCCCCAGTCTCTGGAGCCTCAGAGATTTCATGGACACCTTTTTCTGCTTGAGCTCATGAGCCAGATATCACTCCTGGCCCAGGTCACTGGGTTACCAGATGCACGGGTGAAAGAGCTGCTCTTGAGCAAAGGGCCTGGGACACACATGCCGGAGAAGCATGGTGAGCCAGCCGCAGGGAGGAAGAGCACTTTGCAGGAGCATGCTGTGCGGGGTCTTGCTGCTGCTTTTCAGAAGCAGGAGAGCCATGAGCCTTGGGGTTCACATCAGCACCGAGACTGGCCTTTGGTGGCAGGGAGGATATGCGTACCGGGAGGGGTTGGCCATACTGGACCACAGGGCCACTGGTTGGGTTGTTCATAATTGATCTTTGGGGACACTTACTGCAACCCATTTATTAGGTGCCCCCTCTAAAGTGATGATCTCAATGAAGATGGTTCACATAGGCCCACTACTTCTAGAAGGCCCGAATCCCTGGACCTTCCCAACCACTTTTTCTCCCTGTTCCTGGGTTACATGGCTTAGCTGGATATTTTTGCACACAGCATTAAGGGCAAGTGCACTGTTCCTTTGAAAACAACAAGGGAACAAGGAGTTCAGTGTTGTGGACATTTAATGAACTTTCTCCTCCTAAGTACACAATACCAAATCAGCAGAATCACAGCTGTCTCCTCCCAGCTTTACCTAAATTCCCACATGTGCTACCTCAGTTAGGGAACTATGACTTCACCTGCCACTAGATGGCCCTCCATGTGCACATAAGCCGCTCCCACATAGCGAACTTGCATCAGATTTTCTGGATTTTTTTTTTTTTTTTTACATGTAGACACACATGTGCATACACAATCTTAACTTTTACCATCCTTGAAGCCAATAATCAACACTTTAGTTTTCCTTCTGGCATTCAAATGATAGAATGTATTCTCATTCTCTGGAAAATCAGTTTAACATCAGAATCTACAGATATTCCTGAATATTGTGGGCCACAAAGCACATATTAAGATGAATTTGAATTTATTCTATTAAATAGTATGCTTTGGTTTATCTTATAAATGCTGTATTTAACAGACTTGTTTCTAAATTAAATTTTTTTAAAGCACTGGAAGAGAAAGGAAGCACAAACATTTGAATAGTACTTGCTCCATGGAGGCGGGCAGTGTTCTGAGGTATTTTAAACATTAGCTCATTTAAGCTTCATAACTTTGATGTAGGTATTCCATATGCATCATTATAACCATTTTATAGATTGAGGAGAAAATCAGATTGCAGCATGAAAGGTGTTTAGATTCCCTTTTGCCTTCCTGTCAATTTTCTTACCTATAACATGGGAATAAAATAATCCCTAATTGCTGTGAAAGGATGTTGTAAACTCTAAAGCATTACACAAATGTTGTTATTATTATTATGACTTGGGTTTCATGGGAATATAATTTTCTTATGTGCTCAGGAGGCTTGTGATCATTCATTCATTCACATGAAAACATTTATGCAGGTCCCAGGTCATTGCCTCTGCATGAGACGTCTCATACCGAGATGCCTGTACTATTTCTAAAACAAATCTAGTCTGTCTTGAACTCTCTTATAGCTGAGGGTTCCAGGGAAGTTGCTGTGTGCTTTCAGCAGGTAATTCTCCCTTAGTCTCAGGATTTAGAAATGATGGATGTGGTAGGACAACTTCAGGGGTGGGACCTCTGCTGAACACAGAGGTGGCCGGTGCTGATTTCACATAAGCCAAGCCAGCGGGAAGAGGCAGGCTGTTTTTTAAAATTATTATTCTGGAGCACGATGTACTATCTCTGTATCCAAGAGTTCACATTTCAAGTGGACTATCAGATCATCTCTGTGACAGAGGGCTTTAATTAAAAGCATAAGTCTCTGGGTGGATTTTAAGTGGCATTGTTTTTCTTTGGACGTTATGCAAGCCACTTCTGTGCTGTAAAAGGGCTTTTAAAATTTGGCTTAAGGAAATTTGCTTTACCCCTCAGGCTTTGATCCCTGCGTGTGAATCATTTTGTATCTGGAGGTTCCAATTTGCAGTCTCCTGGGTGTAAGGAAAATTCTACCCTCACAGAACATTTTGGATTTGAAAACTGAGAAATCTGCATCATTCTCGACATAATAGCTGTTGTAAAATAGAATTAGGGCTGTTAAGTCTATAGGGATAAAGTTCACCAAAGAATATTTTAAACTTTAGTTTTAGTTCCTAAAGTTTTTGTCTCCAACTCCCATAATAAATGTACTGGGACAGTGACCTACCCACTCAACACCTGAAGCTCAGTGTTCTCTGCACTCAGGCCAGGTGGACTCAGCCATCGAGGCCATTGTCCCTGTCCAGCCTCCCAGGGGGCACGCATGAGCCAGGGCCAGGATACAGATACTTCTGCCTCAACACCATCTGTACCACCAGAAAAGGGCCCCAAAGGCCCTTCTCACTGCCATTTGTAAGGCAAAATGTCTCTATTTTATCTAAGACAGGAAAAAGGCAGAGAGATGCCAGAGAGAATGCAACGACTGTGCCCGTGAGAAACCAACAGTGCAGGGTGGCGATCTACCCGCAGCACATGCAGGATGCAGCGTTAGATGCTGACTCAGTTTCTCAGCCATACAGGAGAAAAGTTTCAGCATTTCTCAAACTCCATGACCATCCTTCAGTCGGCTACCCCAAGCCCCGTTTTGCTGCAGCCGGGTGAGGGCAGTAATGCAGCTCAGTAGGTTAAGGGGCCAGGCTGTCCTTGGACTTCAGATGATATCAGTTCAGTCCCTGGGACATCTTAAATTAGGGCCTCAAGCTTCAAATTCATGCCTTGGCCAACACGTTACCATAAATGATCACAGGGAGAAGAAACAGTCAGGCCAGGGATGGTGGCAGGTTCCTGTAATCCCAGCATTTTGGGAGGCTGAGGTGGGAGGATCACTTGAGGCCAGGAGTTCAAGACCAGCCTGGGAAACATAGCGAAACCCTGTCTCTACTAAAAATAAATAAACAAATAAACTTTTTTACAAAAAAGAGAAGAAATGGTCAGTTTACGTTGCATTTCCTTCTTTTCCTCAAGAAGAGGTGCCCCGTGGTGCCTGGGACAGCTGGGCCATCACATGGAAGTGGCTGAGAGGTGGGCTGGAAAGAAGAGGAAAATCCAGGGCTCCCACCAACCCCAGCCAATCTCTAGTCACTGGGCAACCTCAATCTACTTCTGGTCATAGTTTTACAATTTTGCGGGGGTAGGGGGGATGGAATCTTGCTCTGTCACCCAGGCTGGAGTGCAGTGGTGCAATCTCGGCTCACTGCAACCTCCAACTCCTGGGTTCAAGCAATTCTCCTGCCTCAGCCTCCCCAGTAGCTGGGATTATAGGCCTGTGCCACCATGCCTGGCTAATTTTTGTATTTTCCGTAGAGACGGGGTTTCATCATGTTGGCCAGGCTGGTCTTGAACTCCTGACTTCAAGCGATCCACCTGCCTCAGCCTCCCAAAGTGCTGAGATTACAGGCATGAGCCACTGTGCCCAGCAATAGTTTTACACTTTAATATTGCCAACTTTTTTTCAGCCCAGCCTGTGCAGCCACACAAATGCAAAAAGGTTAGCTTAGGAAGTTGTCAACATCATTATACTATAAAAATCAATAAATGGAACCTTCTTGCTTCCCACAGTAGTCCATGCTAAGCTTGGCTTCACCATCCCTTGCTTGGACAACTCCTAATTGTTCTTTATGGTTTCACTCTGTAACCCTTTCATACATCCAAATCCGTTCTTTTCACATCTGTCCACATGGTCTTTCTAGAACATAGCCAATCCTATCACTGACTTAAAGCAAACACATAAACAGGCAGACAGACAAACAAGAAACTCAAATGGCTTTCTGTTACTTTCCGAATCAGACTCATTAGTGTGGCATTCAAGAGCCATCATATCCTGAGCCTGATCCTCCCTGTCACTTTCTTTCCCTCATGAGTGCACTCAGATAGGCCAGTCCTACAGAGGTCCTCATTCACTCACTTGAGCCTGCCTTGCACATTTCTGCATCAAAGCCCCTTTGTCCATGTTATCATCCTAGCTTGAAATGCTGTCTGAACACCTCTATGCCTTGATCATTTTTCTCTTCAAGATCCTACTGACATGTTCCAACCTCCTGAAATCCTGCCCTGCCTCCCCACAAGCAGAGTTACTCAGACTCTCTTCTTTGCATTCCTGCAGCATTTTGGTCTTGCAATTTGAGCTCTACTGTGCACTGCATTGTAACTATTCATATAGCTTCCTCCCTCATGAGATGATGAATTTCTCAAAAGTAGAGACTGGGCAGCTGTTACTGAATATAGCCCAACACTTGCTTGATAATGCTCGATAAACATGAATGAGTGACCCAGAACATTTCAAACTTCCCTTCCAAGACCTGAAAGACTCATATTTCTGGGTGTTTTAAGCTCTGTGATTTCTGCTCTGGTCACCTGGGCCAGGAACTGCCTGCCTCTATTTTCATTTCAGGCCTTTCTCTCTCTGCCAGATGCCTTGATCTCTGAGCCGAGTATACCTTGACCCAAAGCCATGATGCAGCCCTCAGCTTCTGAGAGGAAGGGGTAGGGTTCAGTAGTTGCGCCTCTGAGAACATGACAGAGAACAATAGCAGGAAGCAGCCAAGCGGGAAACAATCAGCCCGGCACAACCCATGTGGAGGAGCTTCCTGATTGGCTTGATCTGGTGGGAGCAGGAACTCTTACAATAACTCTGGAATTATCCCAGTGGGATGACAAATTTCTCCACTGAGGAGAAGCTGTCACCTGGTAATGTCAAGCACGGAAAACACAGTTAGCAAAAAACAAAACAAAACCCAAGACAAAGTTCTCTTGAGGAAGAGCAGTTTGGATCAGTTGGAAGCCTCCCAGCCACTGCCATAGCACCCCATGCCGACCTCCTTCCTAGTCTCTGTTTCAGGTACAATTAAGTCGTCATCTCTACCTTCCGGATAGATATCATTCTGCCGTCCATGGCTCAAAGGTCAGAGGTGCTGTTTATTCTTTGGTGTCCTTTTGGGTAGTTTAGGGAAATCCATGCTGTAGGTGACCACAAGAGAGAATGTTCCCTTTTAGAACTATATTGATTGAGCACAGGCTGTGTGCAAATACTCTTCTAGGCACTGTGGATGCCATAGCAATACATGCTGTTTCTGCTTTCATAGAGCAGTGATTTCCAAATCCTGTGTATCCTATGGAAAGACCAAGCCAGGCAAGGGGTGGAGTGACAGGAGCTCCCAGTCAGCTTTCTCCTTAAACCACAGCAGCTCCCTTTGATCAAGATGTTGGAAAAGAAAAATCTACCCCAAAAAGAGGAAATGCTGAAAACATTTGGATTGGGAGTGGTTTCATTTGCTCTTAGGCAGGACACACTGCAGGGTAGCAGTTAATATTCTAGGCTCTAGCTACAAGCAGACCTGGGTTTGAATCCCAGCTCTGCCACTTACTGGTGGAAGGTCATAAGTTGCTTGAACTCTCTCAACCTCAAGTTCTTCATCTGTCAAGTGCGAATAACAGTAGTAGATATTTTACCAAGTGCAAAGAATTGAATAATGCTTACAAACCATTTAGCATATCATCTGGCATTGTCTATTACAGTAAATGCTCAGTAAATGTGAACTATTTTACCCCTGTTGTTTGACGTTAATTTTTTTTCAATGAATGACTCATTGAGATACTAACTCATGCGTCTTGAAAACACTACCAGTCTCTCCAGAGTAACCTCCAATATGGACAACAGGCAAAAATATGGTGATTATTCCCAGTTTGGGCATTTGTGAAAGATGTGGCTGAGGCTGTATGGATGCGTGTGCACACACACACACACACACACACACACACAGAGGCCGATGGGAAAATCTAACTCAGCAGGAAAGCTATCACAGAGCGCTGGATTTAGGCACAATGAGTAAACAGGGATTTGGAAGAGAGGAATGCACCACATAAACAATTTTCACAATCTGGTATGAAAGCCCAGATGCTTCCTGCATGAAGGGGTGAACTCAGAGAGCGTCACAGGGCAAAATGAAGTAAATGCTGAGACTGTCCATCATTCTGGCCCAATTCCTACATATCTGTGCATCTTCTACTTATGGTTTTATTTAGGTGAGAATAAATAAGAGTACCTCATAGTAGATAAGAATAGTACATTACACACGCGCGCACGCACACACACACACACACACCTGGGGTTAGATGAAATTGTATATTTGGGGAACTTGGGGTAAAGAGTACAGAGCCACACAGCAGTTACCTTCTGCATCCTCCTGCTTCAGAGAAAGCAAATAAGACCAGTTTCTTTTTAATCTGTTGTTTTTACTAAGTCCAGGATTGATGTTAATTTGAATTTGTTCTTTTAAGATTCATTTTTGACTGAAAGAACTGAGCCGGAAGGTCTGCTTGAGGCTACTTCCAGTTGAGAAACAATTTATGTGTTCATTGAGACAGTCATTTACTCAACCAACACTTACTGAGAACTTTCAATGAGGCAGGTTCCTTGCTAGATACAGGCCAGCTAGATGCTAGAAGCCATCATCAAAGGAAGATGAAAAAGTGATGGTAATTATCCTCTAGAGGTTTGTAAACTGGAGTTAGGGAAGGGAGCCCAAAATCCATGAATGAGTGATTAAAATACAGTGGGATAAAGTTGGTGGTAGAAATATGTCCATGAGATATGGCAGCAAAGAAGAAGAGCACCTTCATGGGAAAAGTCCAAAGAAGACTTCCATAAAGAGATGATACCTGAGCAGATGCTTTAAAAATGAGTAGTAATTACCCATGGGAAGGGGAAGAGAGAGAACAAGGGCAATCCAGGCAGAGGGGTGGTATGAGCAAAGTCATTGAGCCAAACAAGGAAATCTTCATTTCTGCAGGTAAATGAGAGGCTGGGAGTGTGTCATATCCATGAGCTTTAGCAGAGAGCCCATGAGGGGTTTTCAGCAGGGGAGTGCTATTGTGGTGTGTCTAGGCACATTCTGGATTTTAGGGTGATGGGGCTGCATAGAAGCAGAGAGATTGGTTAGAAGGTTGTTGCAGGCATTTAGGAGAGAGCCTATACTAGGGCTGAAGAGAAGCAGCTATGAAAAGAGATTTGTGGGGCAAATTGGCTTGGTGGCTAATAAGACACTTAGTTGACCTGGTGACTAATAAGATACATGTACGTGATGATAGTAAGCGAGGGTCAAGCCAGAGGTGAAGACAACATCTAGGTTTCCCTCCTAAGTAGAATGGATTAACGGTGGTACCAGCATCTGAGCTAGAGAATAGGGAGGAGCAGCTCTATGGAGAAAGATGAGTTTGGTCCTGTATATGTTGTGTATGTGGACCATCCGGGTGGAGACATTCAAAATACAATTGTACATAAAGGCTGGAGTTCAGGAGAGATGCTGAAGATATAGTTTGGATAGATTTAAGCATGTTCGGTAGGAATTAAAGCATGAGGCTGGACATGAGTAGCCAAGAATTAAATGTTAATCAATAAGAACAATAAAACAAATAAACCTTTAGTGGTAGAGTAGGAGAAGAGGTGCCCATATGGAGAACATGGCGTCATGGTCTCTTCATCATGGAGGAAGAGTGATCAAATATGTTTTTAAAAACGAAGAAGTCAAACAGATCCACACCAAAGAGGGTCCGCTGGACGTGGCAGTCATGGACTTGACTAGGAGCAGACGCAGCAGGGCATGAGGGCAGAGGGACTGAGGCTGAGGCATGGACTTGACTAAAAGCAGATGCAGCAGGGCGGTGAGGGCAGAGGGACTGAGGCTGAGGCATGGACTTGACTAGGAGCAGACGCAGCAGGGCGGTGAGTGCAGAGGGACTGAGGCTGAGGAGGGGTCAGGATGTGAGGATGTTGAGGCAGTAAGAGATGACTGGCCTTGGGGAAGTCTGGAAGAGGGATTCAGCAGCAACTAGAACAGGATGCAGGGTCAAGAGAAGTTCACTTATTTTTAGTATGGAAAGAGATAATTCTTGTTTATTGACTAGCAGGAAGGAGGCATCTTGGAGAGAGGTGAAGACACAGGGGAGAGGGGATAGTTAATGGGGTATCCTCCCAGATCAGTCTGCACAAGCTCAGGTGCAGGGGTGGAGGCGCTGGCCTTCAACAGACAGTCTGAGTCAGAGGCTGGAGGTCAGAAGGTGTGGCTGGATGGGACTTTTTCTCTTCCTAGAAAAAAGGGACATTTTTAGGGGGAAAAGGAGGGGGTTTAAGCTATTGAGAAAAGTACTGCTTTGAAATGAAATAATCTCACTTTCCTGTAATCAAAACTCTTTATTTCTGATGAAACAGACTCAAATAAGAATCACAACAAAGAAATCAGTGCTCAGCTCAAGCCTGGAAATGATTTCCTACACGGAAATCCACTTGCACAGATTCTGATAGTGTGAGTCATGTGATTCCAGATGGAGTAAATACACATGAAAAGGAGAGAAAAGCTGGTGTCTCCATGGGCTGAAGCACACTTATGGAGAGAGAAATTTTCATTTATTTGTATTTGGGCTTCAATATGATTACATCACCATCAATAATGAAAAGTGCTGCCATGTCCCAGCTGTATACTTAGATCAAGATATAAATCAGTCCAATATTGTTCTTTTTTCTCACTGAATATCTAAATTTGTATATTTGAGGGGAAAGTAGAAAAACCAAGCCAAGATTTTAAAAATTACATTTACTATCACCATCTCCA
The DNA here is from genome assembly GCF_000001405.40 of Homo sapiens. NCBI lineage: Eukaryota > Metazoa > Chordata > Mammalia > Primates > Hominidae > Homo > Homo sapiens. Next base: position 109,911,687 of record NC_000009.12, read on the forward strand.
AGTTACATTCACTATAGAATCCTTTAGAAGCATGTTCTTGGGTAGCTTTGCTTTTTATGCACTCAACAAATATTTATTGAGCATCTGTATGTACAGGGAAGAATGTGAGGTACAGTAACACAAAATATATAGTCCTATCTCTTAATAAGCCTGCACTTGGGAGAAGGTATAGATAGGGTTGGGAAGGATAAATATATTTTTAACACTCTAATACAAGGCAGAGTGTACCAAAAGTTAGAAATGCTGTGGAGAATCAGAATGAATGAACATACCAGGCTGGGTTGGGGGGCTGGGGGAATTATGGAAAACATTCCTAAAGAGATGTAATTTGATTTGGGCTTTTATTATGATATCTGTTTTCAGACAATGGAGTTGAGAGTGGGGAGTCCTTCCTGGCTTTGTCAGGAGCAGTTTGAGGTCTTGGCTGAAGACAGGAAGGCATAAGGCTGGAAAGGGGTGGGAGCAGAACATGGAGGGTGTGAACTTCCAGCCGAAGAAGTTTGATGGGGTTTGGGAAGGAGGTGAGAGGGAGCCACCAGGAAAGGATGTGAGCTGGACCTTTGGAATTCTTAAAGGGACCCTTGTCTTCTCTGCCATATTTCTGTCTCAGGGATGACGTGAGGAAAAAAAAAAAAGAGGAGGAAATGGGCTTGAGTTTCCACTGACACCTTACAGTCAAGGAAGGCCCTGTTCTTTCATAAGGAAAAGTGGAAATCCTCTGTTTACTTAAGGGCCATTAACATGTTTTCATATTAAAATACCAAATGATCTGCCGTGACTCCAGATAGACTCATCTAAATAAAAGGAAGCTGTTTCCTTACAAATTGAGTCACAAAGGATAAATATTTGTGGAGTGCCATAGAAACAAATGCGCTGTCTTCCTGAAATGTGGAAAATGAATTTTGTAGCATTGATTTGCATGAAAACAATATTCTTCCCAGTGTTCTACCTAGAATATTGAAATGGAGGTATTAAGATAGATGATAGATAGGACAGATAGATTGCTAGAGAGCTAGATTAGATAGATAGATAGATAGACAGACAGACAGACAGATAAGATAGATAGATCGATGAGGTTAAATATTCTTAGGATGGAAGAAGGGGTCAGATAATCACATCTCAGACAGATCTGGAATTCCAGGCAGCAGGAACTAATGAAGTGGTCTCTTCAGAGTTTTACCATGGGACGAATTCACCCCCGATTAGTTTTTATTCTTTGAGTCACTTCTCTCAAGACAAAGATCTTTGGGCAAGAGTTCAGTTGGCCTAGCTTAGATATGTTTCTACTCCTTGGCCAGGGATGTGAGCCTTCTGACCAATAGTTTCACCAAATCTACAAGGAACCCTAGAGAGACTTTTTTCCCAGTGGAGGAGCTGGATGTTGTTCCTAAAAGAAAAGGGCAGAGGGACCCTGGGCAGGCAAAATTTTCAGCTGCCTGCCACCTTAGCCCCTGTCCCCACACTCACTTCTGAACCACATGTGATCAGTCTTCTCTTCCCACCACATAACTGAAACTTCAAGGTCATGGGTGAGCTCTATGTTGTTAAGTCTTATTTATAGGAGCGATCAGCTCGCTGCACTGCAAGGCTGGAAAGGTGTTTAAAATGTATACTTAGGCATGTCTTGGCTCTTTCTGATATAATTCAGCTGGCAAAGGCTCTGGCAGGAAGCCAGACGGACACAAATAGCGCACCAAAGAGATGCTAAGACATGGGTGATTATAATTGTGCAAGGAGTAGAAACTTCTCTGCTGAGACTTTGGATGTGGCAGAGATTTGGGGAGTAGAAGGGGGGCAAAGCACAGTTCCAGCCAACCCCATTTACAGGCGTTGATTAGCAGTAATGAATTCACAACCTTGCAATTGCTCATTTTTTTTTCTTCTGCTGCTGAGTCATGGATAAGACTCTAAGCTCTGATTAGCTGTGATCCCTAATTCTCAGCACAATTCTAAGAGCATTCCTTCAAATTCAACAATATGTGGTAAGTGTCTTGTATTAATTAGGATTCCATGTGGATGCAAGGAACAGAGACCCACAATAACAGTGGCTTAAACAAGATGCTTATTTCTTTTTTTTTTTTTTTTTTTGAGACGGAGTCTGGCTCTGTTGCCCAGGCTGGAGTGCAGTGGCGCAATCTCGGCTCACTGCAAGCTCCGCCTCCTGGGTTCATGCCATTCTCCTGCCTCAGCCTCCCGAGTTGCTGGGACTACAGGCGCCCGCCACTACGCCCAGCTAATTTTTTGTATTTTTAGTAGAGATGGGGTTTCACCATGTTAGCCAGGATGGTCTTGATCTCCTGACCTCGTGATCCACCCACCTCGGCCTCCCAAAATGCTGGGATTACAGGCGTGAACCACCGCGCCCGGCCAAGATGCTTATTTCTCCCTTCAATAAAAATCCACAGGTCTGCAGTTATGTAAACATCCACAGGCATGCAGTTAAGAGCTGTTTGGTGGCTGTGCCCTGTGAATTCCTTAGGGACCCAGACCTGTTCCACTTTAACCCTAAAGACTGATCCTTGTCAACAGTGACCAAGATGGCAGTTTGTGCCTCAGCTGCATACATGTGCATTTCAGGCAAAGGATGAAGAAAGAACTGGAGAAGAAAGGGCTAAAGAAGATTCTAGGAGCTGACATATAGCACTTTCACTTACATGCCTTTGGCCAGAGCATGTGGCTACAAAGGATGCTGAGAGATGTGGCCTTTACTCTGTGTGGCCATATGCCCAGCTCAGCCACAGGAATGACATTGCTTTGAGAGAAGGGGAGGATGGAAATTGAGCAACTTAGCAGTCCCCTTTCCACTTTTACTTGTGCTGAATTCATAAACATGTGGGCAGCTTTCCTCTCCTCTGAGCAGCAAACACTTCTTCTGAGGTTCTTGTTTTGGCAGGTTGGCCAGACAGGCACCCCACTTGACTGCTCAACTATGAAACTGCAGTTCCAGAGAAGAGAACAGGTCTGAATTAAGCACCTTAAGCCAGTTGGTCAGCATCTCCTTTTATTCGGAGAGTAGTTACTGAGATTCAAACCCATGTCAACTGAGTAGCAATGTGTTTGGCTATAGGGTAGGGCGTAACCCTAGTCTATGTCTCTCAATAGTGAGTTATTTCATAAAGGCTCAGCCCATCGTCAGGAATATGCTGGTCTTGCGTAAGCCTTTTTCAGAAGTGTTCATAGGGTCCTGAGAATTTTGTGAGCACTTCTTTACTGCTTCTCTTGCCTCCTCTTTTAGTTGGTGCTGAGTTCACTGCATGAAGGGTCCCAGGAGTCCTCTTTCCCCTTGGTTTTTCTACTCCTTTCCTTTTCTGCTCTTTCTACCACCTCCTACTGCTGGACCTCTTTGTATCTGTACTCCACCATGGAAAATAAGTTTTGTTTGCCCCAGATCTTCCCATTTCCCAGAGTGGAGCCTTTATAATTCATGATGTTTACTAAACTTGATCTCTGCCCTTTCAAGGGATGGAACTCAGATAATGAAAGATATAGGGAGGGATACATTGCTTAAATCTGTGAGTGGGCATTACGATGGGCCTAAGTGTCCCAAGAGGGATTGGCTTGCCATGGGAGGTGGTGAGCTCCCCATGTGTGGAGAAGTTCAAGAAGGTGTGAAATAATCGTTGGGTGGAGGACAGTTCAAGGACTTCATGTTTCTGGAGAGCAATTAAGTTCAATGGCTTCTACTCCCAGTCTGACCTGTGCTTCTGTGAGCTTGAAAAATATATATTGTGTTGCAATGTGCATTCTTTAGGGAATGAAGGTAAAAGGGCAAGTGGTCATGGGAGGATGTCAAGGATAGGGGCAAAGGGTACTGGTTCCCCAGCCAGACCACCAGGGTCCAAATTCTGGCTGCACATCATCTCTGCAACCCTGGACAAGTCAGTGCTCTTTCTGTGTATCCATCCATCTGTGTCATGGGAGTTGCAGATTTTTTTACTTCATGGGATATTGTGAAGATTAAGTATTATAATGTACGTAAAACACTCATAACAGTTCCAAGCACACAGTAAGCACTCAATAATCCTAATCCTTATGATTATTATTGTTACATATATTACTGTATCTAGCAAAAACAATATTAGAATTGTTAGTATTATAATAATTATTATCATCATTGATGGGGAAGGAAAAATGAAGCCCACCTGAGTTCACAGACAAGACCCTCTCCAAACAGTAAAACAATTAAAAACCAAGTTGTATTTGTCTGTGCTCCTTTGGATTCAACTGACCAACACCCAGGCAAAGGGAAAATATATTGGCTTGCTTTTTTTTTTTGAGATGGAATCTTGCACTGTCGCCCAGGCTAGAGTGAAATGGCATGATCTCGGCTCACTGCAACCTCTGCCTCCCAGGTTCAAGCGATTCTCCTGCCTCAGCCTCCCATGTAGCTGGGATTATAGGCACCTGCCACCATGCCCAGCTAATTTTTGTATTTTTAGTAGAGACGGAGTTTCACCACATTGGACAGGCTGGTCTGAAACTCCTGACCTCAAGTGATCCACCCACCTTGGCCTCCCAATGTATTGGCTTTTGTAAGTAAGAAGGGCAAAGGAGTAGCTGAGGATCTGGGAAGCAGGAACTGGAGATTGAATGGCACGGGTCCCCAGCAGCCAGCATGCTCTGTCTTCCCTTCTCTTTGTTTGGGCCTTGCAGGAAGGTAGGCTCTCAGCAGAGCCTTGAAGGCCAGGTATTTGAGAGCCAGGCAAGTGAAGCAGAAGGAGAGCATGAGTGAGCCATTGGGAGTGGGGACGGAAACGGCGAGAACCTATCCAAGGCACCGTGCTGAGCTATGAAGCTGGAGGGCAGCGCAGGCTGTGACCCAAAAAGGCCACACAAGGCCACATGCTCCTGAGTGACAGGAGGGACATGTGATATGCTGGGCCTTGGCCCATGCTGTCTCCTCTGCCTGGCTCATTTTCTCCTCTTTTCTACCTGGTGAATGCATCCTTCAAGGCCCAGTTAATTCATCATCTACTTTGTCGAGTTTTTCTCACCACCTGTATCAGTTGAGAATTGCATTCAGCTATGATCACAACAGAGGCTTAAGCCCATAACAAGCAATCTGGAGCCAGGCATTCCAGAAGTGGTGTACTCTTTCCATCGTGCCCTCTGGGACCCAGGCAATGTCTCTCTTTCTGCACACTCAGACATACTATTGCCCCTGTGGACATAGGATTACTGCTCTGCCTATAGCATCATATCCCTTGCAGTAGGTAGAATAATGGACCCCCAGAGATGTCCACAGGCTAAGCCTCAGAACCTGTGAATATGGTAGGTTCCATGGCAAAGAGGAATTAAAATTACAGATGGAATTAGAGTTTCCAAACAGCTGACTTTAAAATAGGGAGATCAGTATCCTGGATTATCTGGGTACACTTTGTATAACCACAAGATCCTTAAATGTGGAAGAGGGAGGCAGAAATCAGAAGGAGGGGTGGCTGCAGGGAAGGTCAGAGAGATGCAACAGTGCTGGTTTTGAAGATGGAGGAAGGGACCCACAAGGCACGGAACGTGGGTGACCTCAGGGAGCTGAAAAGGGCAAGGAAATGGATTCTCCCCTAGAGCCTGCAGAAGGGAACACAACGCTGCCAGCACCTTGATTCTAGCCTGGCAAACCCCGTGTCAGACTTCTGACATACAGAAATATAAGATAATAAATGTAGATTGTTGTAAGCCACTAAGTTTGTTGTAGTTGTTATAGCAGGAATTGGAAACGAATGCGTCTCTTTAGCACCAGGTCCCTGTACCTGGCAGGAAGGAAGGAAAGGCAAATGTCACTTAAGCCAACGCTCCTTTCCTTTTTTTTTTTTTTTTTTTTTTGAGACAGGGTCTCACTCTGTCACCCAGACTGGAGTACAGTGTTGTGATCATCACTCACTGCAGTCTTGAACTCCTGGGCTCAAGTGATCTTCCCACCTTAGCCTCCAGAGTAGCTAGAACTAAGGGTATATGTCACCATGCCCAGCTAACTTTTTATTATTTGTAGAGGTGGGGGTCTTGTCTTGCCACGTTGCTCAGGCTGGTCTCATCCTCCTGGGCTCAAGCAATCCTCCAGCCTCAGTCTCCCAAAGTGCTGGGATTACAGGCATGAGCCACCGCACCCAGCCCTCCTTTCCCTTTTAGGGAGTTGTGTGGAAGTCCCTTCGGATCATTTTTACTTACATCTCATTGGCCAGAGCTGTCCCATGGCCAGCTTTATCTTCAGTGGAAGCTAGGATACATAATTTTTTTCAGGTGGGCATGTTGCCATCCCCAACCAAATAAGGATTCTGTTAGTTTGGAAGAGGGGGAGAATAGATATTGAGAAGACCACTCAGCGTCCCCACCACACACTCCCAGGCAGAACCAACTATTCTACAGCATGTTGTTCTTTCCTCTATTATTGCTATTTTTGGTTTGTATTGTAATTTATGTGTTCACATGGCTGTTTGCATTACTTGACCAAGAAGTCTCATGAGCAGACACTGTGTCTGATTTATTTCTCCATCCCCAGTGCTCAGCATAGTGCCTGATACAGAGAAGGTGTTTGCATGAAGTTAGATGGATGAATGTCTAAATAAACTTTGAAATAAGAGCATGATCGATGCACTTCCCAGAGCGAGAGTTCCTTTCTGTTTTCTTGTGAGGATGATCTATTGGGGTTAGGTACATTTTATAAGACCATTTGGCCATGATTGCAACCTCATCTCCAGTAAATTAAACCTACACAGCTGCAGTGTGTCACCTTTCCTTATGGCTTATTACAGTTTGCTTTTTGCTCAGAAGGAACTGAGCAAGCAGGTTAGAGGCTGTTATGTGCACCTGCCACAGCCTACGGATCCTCAATTAACCTTGCGTGTAAATTACACTTCCTGCCCATTCTTTATTTTTAGCACAGCAACATCTACTTGGCTCTTCCAGAGAAGACTGCATTAGATTTCAGTCATGAAACTACAAAACAGTGGCGTCTGCAGCCTGGCTGGGATGACTGTTGTTAACCCCATGACACTCTGTTCCTTGCGAAGCTGCTTTGCCCCAGGACTCAGGTTTTCCTGAGAAAGAGAGCAGCCTGGACTGACCACACCCTCAGAGCCTGGCCCAAGGCCACATGTGAACTTATAGAAAAATCTGCTATTGGATCTGACATAAACTCTCCATTTCCTTCATTCATTGCATTTGGGTTGAAACTCAGTTGTTGTTATCACAAAGGTTTCATTTCGTTCCTTTTTTTTCTCTCCCTCTCTCTTCGTTCCTTCTCAGTTACACAGTATCATGACCCAAATCTTTAGCACCTGAACCATATAGCGCAGAGCCTTGAAACCCATAGGGCCAGGGCACCCCGTGGAGACAGGCCAGCCAGTGGGCATCAGGTCGCAGAGAATTCTTAACCACTTAAGGTTGCTTCACTGGAAGAAGTGAGTTACTGAGAGACAGCCATTTTCGGTTTTAGTCAGCCATTTTTATCACGATCTTGTTTGTTTTAGAATCCCCTGTAGTGCCTAGCTCGGAGTCCAACCAAACAAGCTCCATAAATGTTGATTTTGAATTTAAATAGATGTTGGGGTGCTCCCATTTCCCCTTCACTAGACACATGGGAAGCTGAGGCCCTGGCCCCTCTTTCATGCCACAGCCTGGGAGATGCTGCCTTCTCAGCAGAAAGCCTCAGGAGGTATTTTGAAAAGGGAATTTGTTGTTTTCATTCTGGTTAGATAAGTTACAAACTAATTTTTTAAACTGGGAAAATATTGAAAATTGTTTTTTAAAAATGAAATCACCTTTAATTCCATTACTCAGAGACAACTATCACTGACATTTTTCTGTTTTTTCAGTCTTAATTCTCATGAAGGTGTGCCCTGTTTCCCTCCAGATTTCTCAGAGGATTCAGGATTAGGGAAGGGAGGAGAGGGTGCCTTATGTTCTTTCTAATCGTTTAGCTTTGGGTATTATTGGGATATATATAAATACATTAACACACATATAAATATATGTGTATATATATTATATAACTGGCATATACATTATTGGGATATATATTAGTAGGATGTATATATATATATGTGTGTATACATATGTGTGTGTGTGTGTGTGTGTGTGTGTGTGTATATATGTAAAATGTATACACACTTCTATTTGACCTGTACCAGTTCATTATTACCACAATAATGCTAACTAACACGCCCTCAAATTCAGTGGCTTAAACCCAAAGTCATTTATTCTTGCCCACACTTCTGTGAGTAGGCTGGGTATTTGCTGATCTAGGCTGGGCTTAGCTGAGTGGCTCTAATTTCAGGTGCTTCTGAACTATATAGCTGAGAGCCCTGAAACCCATAGGGCCAGGGCACACTGTGCCTATCTATGGGTTTGCCTCAGGTCTATTCCATGTGTGTTCTTTCTGTGGTCCAGGCTGAAGGGGCAGCAGCTGCCCAGATAAGTTATTGTCTTGGCATTGGAAGGGGTGCAAGAGGACAAGCTCAACTGGGCAAGCACTTTTCAAGCCTCTGCTTGTGTCTTATCTGCTCACATCCTATTGGCTAAAGCAGGTCACATGGCTGCGGCCAGTGCCAAGGGACTGGGAAGTGTAACCCATCTACCATAAGCCTAGAGCAAATCACATGGTCAAGATTGACATCAGTGGCTTGGGGAAGCATGTACTCTTCCCATGGAAGTAAGGGAGGAAGGAAGGGAATATTTTTGAGAATAATGTAATCTTTTTTTTTTTTTTTTGAGATGGAGTCACACTCTGTTGCCCAGGCTGAAGTGCAGTGGTGCAATCTGGGCTCGCTGCAGCCTTGCAGCCTCTGTCTCCTGGGTTCAAGCGGTTCTCCTGCCTCAGCCTCTAGAGTAGTTGGGATTACAGGTGTGCACCACCATGCCCAGCTAATTTTTGTATTTTTAGTAGAGACGGGCTTTCACCATGTTGATCAGGCCAGTCCCAAACTCCTAACCTCAGGTATACGCCTGCCTCGGCCTCCCAAAGTGCTGAGATTACAGGCATGAGTCATCGCAACCGGCCCAAGAATAATATAATCTACTGCACACCCTAAATATCTGCTAAAGTACTCTGTACTTTGAGATTTAAATCAAATCTGCTCAGGCCAGGTGTGGTGGCTCATGCCTGTAATCACACCTCAAATAAATAAATAAATAAATAAATAAAACCTGCTCAGAGCCCACCTGGTTGGTAGTATCATCCAGTCTACACAGGGAACCTCTAGTCCAGAGCTCCTCTACTCATTGAATTAATTCAGTTTCTGGATAATGTGACTGTCTCGTGTGTTGTTCCTATTTCACACTCATGTCTCTTTACTTACTCCCCCCAAAATAATTTACACAGATGTGTGTAGAAGATTTTGCTGAACATCTGGACCAGCAAAGAAGTTTTACATCTTTATGTTCGTATCTCTAGATTGGCCAGCCCCCTCTCCATAAATTCTCTTTGCGTCTCGCCCACACACAGCCTCTCAAGTTAAAGCTTGCTGAAGAATTCACTCTTGTCTCCAAAATTCTGAAAGTCTTATCTTGGCTGGGCCACACCTTTGCGCAACTTAGCTCAGCTTTTTAAATTCATTCAATGTAGGTGTATTGAGCATTTGTGCCCTCTGTCTGAGGAATTTATAATCTAGTAGGGGAAATTAATAATGTATGTTACTATTTGGGGCCAGAAAATTCTTTGCTGTAGGGTGCCATCCGGTGCACTGTGGGATGTTTACCAGCATCCCTGGCCTCTACCCACTATGTGCCAGTAACACCAGTCCCACCCCCTTGAGCTTTGGACAACCAAAATATCTCTAGACATTGCTGAATATCCCCTGAGGGACAAGATCACCTCAGTTGAGAGCCACTGCTCTAATATATGGTAGACTTGATAAGACTTCTGATAAAACAAAATAATGTGCTAAGAAATGTTCAGAGGGAAGCGATGTTATTTCCTGGCAGTGAAATCTGTGAACACCTCATGACAGGTGGCATCTGAGCTGAGACTTCAAGAATGGTTGGGAGTTTGAGTTGAGTTTCCTAGAGGAGGAAAAGACATGGGGTACATGTGGGCAAATAAGAGTGGCTCTATTTGACTAATGCATGAAGTGAAATAGGCATGTTGTTAGAGTGGAGCTGATAGGTACTGGGAGGCTAGATACCATGGGGACTTATAAGCTGTAGGACTTCTACTTTTACCCTGAGTGAAATGACAAATATTTCAGAGCTGTGTTCATTTGGAGGAGGTTAATTTGGATATAGGGCTTGCCTTCATAACCCAAAGTAATTGCTGCAAAGATTATCCCTCCAGAGGTCACTTTTCTGACACCCAGGAAGGAAACAGAAAGGCCATCTGAGGGGCACAGTATGTCGCTAAATAAATTCATGCCTGGATCTTGGTGTTCCTTACCTTTCAGAAAACCCCACTCTGAACTCCTTATTTTAGGTCTAAGTCTAATGGCCAGTTCCCGAGAGCAGATTAAAAGATGGAAAAAGAGGGCCAGGCACGGTGGCTCACGCCTGTAGTCTCAGCACTTTGGGAGCCTGAGGCAGGAGGATTGCTTAAGCCCAGGAGTTCAAGACCCACGCAGGCAACATAGTAAGACCTCACCTCTACAAAAAAAAATTAAAAATTAGCTGGGCATGGTGGTGTGTGCCTTTAGTCCCAGCTCCTTGGGAAGCTGAGGTGGGAGGATTGCTTGAGCCCAAGAGGTAGAGGCTGCAGTGAGCTATGATCGTACCACTACACTCCAGCCTGGGTGACAGAGTGAGACTCTATCTCAAAAAAAAAAAAAAAAAAAAAAAAAAAAAAAAAAAAGATGGAAAAGGAGGAAGGCAAGGGAGGGGACTTATATAGGCAGACACAGACTCAGCAGCAAAGCTTCCAGCACAACAGAGGGGAAAGAGACCAAAAGAAAAAATGAATGAATGAGTGATTGAATGAATGAACCAATGAATAAATTCAGATCAAATAATTCAAGAGGCACAGCAATCTAGAGTTTTAGCAAGAGAACATTTATCCCTTCATTCTTCCTGAAGACATTGCTGCATATCAGTGCCATCCTACTCTGCCAATATATGTAATGTTTAACAAGGTGGGGGATGTGGAGAACACTTTAGATCCCATGTGGTAAGAGTTGCTCAATGGTTAGGAACAGGGTCTAGAGTCAGAGCACCTGGCTTGAATCCTTGCTTCAAGGCTCTGTGGCACTAAAGCCTGCTTTACTAGGTTACTTCACCTTGCCAAGCCCTACTGATCTCATCGGTAAAATGGGGATTCCCTACTCACAGGGTCATTGGGAAGTTTGGATAAAATAATCCACATGAATTCTTAGCTCAGTTCCTGGCACAGAATAAGTGCTCAGTAAATACTGGTGGTAATTATTATCATTTCACTGAAAGAATATGGCTGTTGAGACTTTCCCCAAATCATAGCTGCAGCTGCTATTCTGGAATATTTCCAGAGTCTCCTGGCAGTGCTGAAATTTCCCTTTTATAAAATACATAGGATGGCTGTGAAAATTGAGGAAAGTTCCAAAAGGCAGGGGCAGTTGCATCTGTCTTCTTCATTTCCCTTCTTTTTGGCAGTAGAATCCAGACCACAGAGGGAGAGGACACCAGGCTCCCAAGGGTACTGGCCACCAGCTATTTCTTGGCAACATACTTCCTTTGAGCAAGAATGGCCCTTTACTTTTTGACCAACCTGAGAGAGCACTTACTCTGAGCCGGTCAGGAGAATATGAAGCTATTTTCCTTCTGATGTTATGTCCTATGCTATGTAAATATAATCTCCCTCCAAATAAGAAAGGTGCACATGCATGGTGTTGGCAGGGAAACATCGAAACATATTGCATAGTGGTGGCTGTGAACCAGTGGAGGCAGTGCTGTGTTGATTTCCCTTGACCAATGTCTGCCCAGTGGCAGAGCTGGAAACACAAGATGCTGTGTAATGTAAAACCTTGGCCTGGCTCCTCAGCGTAATGTAAAACAAAGGCTGCCAGGAAGGTACAAATCGCCCAACAGGAAGGAGCTGCTCTCTTGCCCGTGGATGGCAGGACAATAAAGTAACTTGTCCTTTGTTTGTGTGTTTTCCAGGCTGGAGCAAGAAATACAAACGCTAGAAAGTGAAGAGTCCCAGATATCTGCCAAAGAGCAAATCATCCTAGAGAAACTGAAGGAAACAGAAAAATCCTTCAAGGACTTTCAGAAGGTGAAGAAAACCAAAACGATTTCTCAAAGTTATTTCCATGGGGAAGTAGGGCCTAGCAAAATGGTGCTAACTGGGAAACAGGCCAGTGGGCATTGATGAGAAATCTGAGCCACGAACTCTATGAAATGAGGGGCAGATGTGTGAGGACCAGGGGCCATCCTGAAGCTAAGCATGACATATCTTTGGGTGTGGGACCATCTGGCCTGCTGCAAGGCATAGGGAAGAGTCATTAGATTACCCCATCTGCCTGCTCTCCGGATCCCTGATATGCCTTGTGCCTGAAAAGCCTTCTCTTATTGGACTCTAGAATTCTAAAACCAATTCTGATGAAGCAGAATAAACATGCTCTTTGTGGCTTTAATTATAGTTTGCTTTTTGAGTCTTTCATTATAAAAAGGCCAGAAGCAACACCTTATGAAGTGGACAAGAATTCCAAATACAAAGAGTGTAAATACATGACATTTTACTGTATATAGAAACAGATGGTGCCTGTAATCCCAGCACTTTGGGAGGCCGGGGCGGGTGGATCACGAGGTCAGGAGATCGAGACCATCCTGGCTAACGTGGTGAAACCCTGTCTGTACTAAAAAATACAAAAAAATTAGCCAGGTGCGGTGGCAGGCGCCTGTAATCCCAGCTACTGAGGAGGCTGAGGCAGAAGAATGGCATAAACCTGGGAGGCGGAGCTTGCAGTGAGCTGAGATTACGCCACTGCACTCCAGCCTGGGCGACACAGCAAGACTGCGTCTCAAAAAAACAAAAACAAAAAACAAAGACAAACAAACAAAAAAACAGGTGGTGCCGTGTATCAAAGAGTAGAGTCCGTAAAACCAGTAGGCTCTGAACAAACATCTCAGGACCTCCCTCCATTTTATAACTGTTTCTGCTGTACCTATGAGTGACAGAAAAGCAATCTAATGAAATCAATTTAGGATGGGATTTTCTGATATCATTCTCCAGCATGACCAAGGATATTTGCTAGATCATTGAAATAAATCTCTATTGGGAGAAATTTAGTATAAATTGGGAATTATAATTTTGGAATTCTAAATAAATTGTCCAGAAGAAAAGAGATCGTTGCGTTTCCCCAGCACAGTCAAATTCTGGGCTGGGGCATGGGAGAAAGATGGGTTAAGTCTTTAAAGATGGGAAAAGATGGGATTGTACCCCCACATGTAGAGTAACGCTCTGCCTTGTTTTTGTTCCTACAGGGTTTCTCCAGTACGGATGGAGGTAAGTGCTCTCTGCCCCGACTGTAGATGAATGTTTTAATCCTGGTCAGCTTAGGGGGTTTCATTAACAGGGGCTTAAGGAAGAGGTACTGTGTTGATTTGTAAAGGCATCAGAAGAAGTAGCAGCGCTGGTTGCAGGCCACTGAGGAGGTCCACATTCCAAGCCTTCCCTGCCTCTCTTCTTCAGGAACTATCTCTTGGCTCACTGTTTCTCCTCTTACAAAATTGGCCTGGCTCTTCTCCTTCCCATTAGTCCCAACACTCACTGCTTGGGCCTCTCTTGAAAGGTACCCAGCAAAGAAGAGTACTAACATCAGGACCTGGTCCCTTGTAGGGATGAGCCCATTTGTCTTGGTGGTTAGGTCCTCAGGTTGAAACATACGTGAGAAGTTTAAGAAATTTGGGGAAAATATTTGGTGTTTGGGAAACCTTTCTACAGCCTCTGGATTTTCTTTGCTTTCTCTCTCTCTCTCTCTGATCAGACAACTGTCGTTTCTTTCATAGAAACAGGGCTGGGCAAAAACTTCCCTCCCTGTGTGGGATAGTTGGTTCAGAGCATAGGAAGGTAGGAGTGGGGTCCTGGCTTCCTGGTGGCAAGAGCAGGTCTTTCACCTTCTCTACCTTCCCTACCTTTCCTCTGTCCTCTCCTCTCCTTACCTGGACTGTGGGGATGAACTTGAGATTGTGTACTTCTCACCCTTCACCTTGCTCCCTATCCTCAGCTGCAAACCCATGATTCCTACTTTCATTTGGCCCTCAGCTAGACCTGCTTTACAATGCAGGGACTTGTTGGAAAGACCAGATATTGTCTGCTCCCCTGGCTCTTAGAAAGTCACATTCTAGGGCTGGGTGTGGTGGCTCAGGTCTGTACTGCCAGCACTTTGGAAGACTGATGTGGGAGGATCCCTTGAGCCCAGAAGTTCAAGGCTGCAGTGAGCTATGGTCACACCAGTGCACTCCAGTCTGGGTGATAGCAAGGTCTTGTATTAAAAACAAACAAAAAAGGTCAACCTCTAGACTAGGAAGATGATCAGGAGCCAGGATAAGAATTGGCATCAGTGTTTTCCCAGCGTCATTTGGAAATATACGGGGAAAGGTTTAAAAATGTGTTTCTCTGGATTAGTCAAAGGTATTTGCATGAAGGATAGTTCTGACTTTGGCAAAACAAACAAACAAACAAACAAACCTGTGATTTTTAATTTTTTTTTCCCCTAGCAAGAGACCTGGATTTTGTCTCCCCAGGTGATCTTTAGGAAGGTACTAAATTAAACTTCATGCTCTGAGTACATGTAGGCAGGGCCAAGTCATGTCCAAGCTAGCAAGGACTCTAGGAAAAGCGGACCTACAATACTTCTAGGAAGTCTCTATGGTGTGACCAAGTCAGGGCACTTGTTCTGTGCTTTGGGGGTGGGGCACGGATTGAGGAAGTGGCCTTGGGGAATTGTGGGTACAGCATGGGGAGGATGGCAGGCTTCCCTGAGTCTGGGAAGACCTGAGGCATGCCACACAATTAGCAATAATACAGTGCATGTCAGGCTGGGATGAAGTGTGGGACACTGACCCATGAACACCTACCCAAAGAGTGCATGTCGGCCTTTTATGCTTTCACTTTTTTTTTCCCTTCCCTTCTCAAATCAGGAATTTCCCTAGACATCTCTCTGATACTTAGGGAAGGGAAAGACCCTGTATGTCATGTTCCTGAGGAGTCTGTGTGGGGCATGGAGACCTGTCATACTCTGTGACTTGTTAACAAGCAAAAATGCAGCCGCATCATAAACTCTCACCACCTCTTTCATTTTTACCTCAAACTTCTTTCATTTTCTTCTGCATTGCTTCCCATTGTTTTCACTTATCCACCTAAGCCATTTGTAGAGGTGGTAAGAAGCCTAGTCATAACTGAAAAGAGCCTGCAGGGAAAGTTGCCCACAGACTCCATCCTCCAGGATGGGGGAGCTCAGGCTTAAGAGGATGCAAAAGTCTTAGGGATCTCATTTCTTGGGAAGTGGCCCAGGGAAGAGTTTCCGTGGTCTTACCTGTCACCCTGCATTATAATTCCTGCCATCTGTGGTTATCACCAAGCCTGGGTGACCTCTTTATCTGTCATACCACATCTATTAGCAAAGAAAGAAGTTTGAAGGCGGGAACACATACATCCCAGAATGTGATTGATGTATATAGAGTCACAATGTGGTGAAGCACATCCCAGTTGAGGGACTTTGGGATGTCTCTTTATCTTCTCATTCTTCAATTTCAAAGGCCCCGAGTTGCCAAGACCCTCTTAGAATCATCCAACTTGCTACAAAAAACTAACCAGATATTATTATAGAACAATGGTGACTTAAGAAACACAGTTAATTTCTGATGCGTGCAGATTACAGAATCCAGGTCCAGTTAGGATTATGTAACTATACAGACACTGCAGATAAGCAGCAAAAGCATCCCAACTCGTGAGGTGCTATGAGATAGCTGCTGGTGTCTGTGTGTGTAATGACCCCATCTCAGGTAACCTAAGTGTGTCCCTCTATGCATGGCAGAGGAAATAGAGGTACCGTACTGCTGGATCACCAGTGGCTTTTGATTGCATGATAGCCTGGGCAATCAAGAACAATTTATTCTATTCTTGAGTAGAATCTCCTGGTCATATACATTCTGACACCCACTCTCCTCCCCCGCCAACACACACTGTTGTTATATAGCAGAACGCTCATCTATTGGGTGGGTTGGTTTTCACTGTCTTAGGCATAATGTCTTGTACACCTATAAATTGCATATAGTATATATCTGGTGCTAATTCTGTTCTTTACCCACTGAGGAGGGAGCTGATGCAAAACTCTTGCCAGAACAGGCAAAGGAAAATGTCTGTCCTGGGCCTATCTCAGTCCTTGGTGTATGATATGGATCTTCTTAGGTTCCCATCCCATACCAGTCTGTGGTGGCTTAGAGCGTTTCCCACATCAAAACCTTCATACCAGTTATTCGCAAACCTCAATCTTCAGTTGCCTGTAAGTTATGTGTTTGTTTGTTTGTTTATTTATTTTGAGATGGAGTTTCACTCTTGTCGCCCAGGCTGGAGTGCAGTGGTGCCATCTTGGCTCACTGCAACCTCCACCTCCCAGGTTCAAGCCATTCTCCTGCCTCAGCCCCCCGAATAGCTGGGATTACAGGTATCAGCCACCGCATCCAGCCTAAGTTATGTTTTAAGAAGAGTTTTCATCAATTTGTTTCTCTGGCTTTAGCTGTTTAGATTCTTCATAGCTACTGTAAATATTTCAGCGGGATTAGAACTAAGAAGCAGCACTCATCTTTAATTTCTACTCTATAAGTTACTGCTTTCCACCTTCTCTGTCAGTGGGGAGAATAGTGTTAGACTATTCTGACTTTGGCAGGAAGAGGGCAGCTTATTAATTGAGGCCACCTGAAGAAGTTTTTCCCATTGAAGTTTTGGCAAGCCTGTTTGTTACTCTTTGTGCTGGCCTATCAGACACTTCCTGTCTATATAACCTTAGGGTTTAGTACTTAATCATATATTGAGGGGGCTGCTCTGTCCTCTTTCTGATGCCCCATTCTCCACTCCCTTATCTTTCTCTCGCTCTCTTTTTTTTTTTTTTGAGTCAGCATCTCACTCTGTCACCCGGGCTGGAGTGCAGTGGCGTGGTCTCAGCTCACTGCAACGTCCGCCTCCAGGGTTCAAGCGATTCTCCTGTCTCAGCCTCCCAAGTGGCTGGGACTACAGACACACACCACCAGTCCAAATTTTTGCATTTTAGTAGAGACAGGGTTTCACCATGTTGGCCATGCTGGTCTCAAACTCCTGACCTCAAGTGATCTGCCTGCCTCAGCCTCCCAAAGTGTTGGGTTTACAGGTGTGAGCTACTGCGCCCAGCCCATTCCCTTATCTCTTAACAGAAGCCATGTAGCCCAACCCTCTAAGTGCTGTAGACTTCAAGCTTGTAGCCAGTAAACATCTGGCAAAGGTAACTCCATCATCCATTCCCATCTGGCAGGGAGCTATCTCCTGGAGGAGGCTGAGACATAAGCCCTGGGAATCACATGTTCTTTCAGATGGAAAATTCCCTGTCTGTAAGTAGTTTTTTTTTTTTTGTTTCTTTTTTAAACTGCTAAAACATTGAGTATGCAGACACACATGTGACCAGTCCATGAGATCTCACATGGGCTCCAGCCTCCATCTTATTTGAATGCAGAAAGTCAAATTCACCAAGATCCCATTCCACAGATTTCTGGAAATTATCAGTGAATCTTGGAAGTTCTACAAATCTGCTCTGGTCATCCCTTCTTTCCTAAACTGACCCTCTAGTCCTAGATTACTGCTTCACTCTTCCCACGGACAATTGTCACCCACCTGCCCCTACCCCCTCAGGACTACTGACCTCAAGGTGCTGCTCTTTCTAGTTCTGCCTTGTGCTGCTTTGGGGCACAGACCCTTCCTACAGCCTTCCACAGTGGGAATTAAAGGAAAGAGAAGTCTGTGACCTAAGTTTAAGAATCATGGAGGTGGCTCACGCCTGTAATCCCAGCACTTTGGGAGGCCGAGGCGGGCGGATCATGAGGTCAGGAGATCGAGACCATCCTGGCTAACACAGTGAAACCCCATCTCTACTAAAAATACAAAAAATTAGCCGGGTGTGGTGGTGGGCGCCTGTAGTCCCAGCTACTCGGGAGGCTGAGGCAGGAGAATGGCGTGAACCTGGGAGGCAGAGCTTGCAGTGAGCTGAGATTGCGCCACTGCACTCCAGCCTGGGTGACAGAGTGAGACTCCATTTCAAAAAAAAAAAAAAAAAAAAAAAAGAGAGAGAATCATGGAGGTGCAGTTCAACATGGAGAATAATGCACAACTTCAGACATGTGGCTTCACTCACAGCCCCTGACTCAAATCCAAAACCATCTTCAGGGGGTCCCTGCAGGCTGCTTTCCAGCCATCTCCCAGCCCACCATCATCTCAAAGGCTCAATTTCCTTCCTTGCAGTGAGGGGTGCCTTCAACCATGTCTGCCTTATCCAGGATCCAAGCTCCAACACATATAAGGCACCTGAGAGGGAAAGCAACTTGAGCCTCACTCCACCCTAAGTCCTGCTGTTCTAATCTTCCTTTCTCATTCCTTCTCCCCAAATGGTTAATATGGAAAAATCTATTTTTTTTTTTTTGAGACAGAGTCTCACTCTGTCACCCAGGCTGGAGTGCAGTGGCACAATCTTGGCTCACTGCAACCTCCGCCTCCTGGGTTCAAGCGATCCTCCTGCCTCAGCCCCTCTAGTAGCTGGGACTACAGGTGCATGCCACCATGCCCAGCTAATTTTTGTATTTTTAGTAGAGACGGGGTTTTGCCATGTTGGCCAGGCTGGTCTCGAGCTCCTGACCTCAGGTGATCCACCCGCCTTGGTCTCCCAAAGTGCTGGGATTACAGGCATGAGCCACCGCGCCCGGCGAAAAATCTGTTTTCTTAGCGATACTCTACCTTTGCCTATGAACATAATGGTCTAATGTCAATACATTCTGGATTGTTCAGACTCATTTGCAAGTCAGAAAAGGGTCTGGTTGGTCTAGAACTGAACTAAGCCTAGTCCAGTGTGTGTTTGCAATCCTCTTCAGCAAGAAATGAAAAAGAAAGCTGCTAGAATGGAAGCAGTACGAGTGGGGATGCAGAGGAGGGGTCAGTGATGAGAAATGCGGAGGATTTTGAACAGAGGCAGAGGCTATTGAACAGATTGGATACCAGCAGGGGGAAGAGTGAAGGGTGCTGCTGAGGATCCCAGGTGAACTGCAGTGCTCGTGAGCCAAGATAGAGGACAGGAGAAGCAGCAGGTGAGCAGAGATACAAGGTCCATTTTGCACATGTTGAGTTTGAGGTGATTGTGGGATATTCAGTATAGACCTACAGTGAGCAGTTAGATGTAACCATTGATGACTGATGGACGTTCCAGGATTTTGTGATATGGTCGTGATGCAAGGAAGGGATCACATCTCATGGTGCCCAGCTTTCCGGAATCTTCCTGCTTTCACTTTCCCACTTCTTTCTGGGGTGTACCCAGATTTGTCTTGTCTTACCTCAGGGGTTTCCTCCTTTCCTCTGATACCTTGGCATGCTTGCTAATGTTCATGCTCCCCATGTCTCACCTCCCTAAAGAGGCTTGTCGAGGTATTTGCCCAAGCAAATCTAATGGGCTCCTTCTTTTACATAGCAACATTCCCTGCAACTGGGCTAATGGTGGGCTCAAGGGGTATTGTCATTTAGAATCTCAGGACTTTCTAGCTGAAACACCAGCCTGCAGTATTGAAAACATGAGATCAATTCTGAAGTCTGTTTATTTGTTGTAATGCATATAAAATTGGTCTTTTGAATGAATCAGGCTCATAAAGCTATATTGCCAGTTCAGGGAATGAACCCCATAATAATCAGACACAGAAAGCTTTATTTCCGGTTCAGAGAATGGATCTGTTTTTCAGTACTGTTTAATGTACATTTCTAGTTCCATGTTTTCTATTTGTCAATCCCACCAAGTTGATAATGGCTCCCACAAGCCCATCTCTGAATCTTCCCCCCGTCCCTGAACTCATTGTCCTCCTAGAATCTAGAGATTTCTGATGACTCTTCTAATACATAGAGCCATCCTGGGGCTTGAGCTCTCTGGCCAGGATCCCTCCTGCCTCAGCTACTCTGCTGAATACCAGTCACTGGGCAAATGCTTGTCTTTGTTTACCCTGATCCTCCTGTTCAGTGGCCGCCTCAGCGGTCCATTATGTAGGGCAGACAAGCTGCTGTCTCGGCAGTGAACCCATTGGGCCTCCCAACACTGTGACTAATTGTATTCCCTGTTCTCTGCTACCAGATGCAGTAAATTACATTTCCTCCCAGCTTCCCGACCTGCCAATCCTCTGTTCACGAACAGCAGAACCATCACCTGGGCAGGACGGGACCAGCAGAGCGGCTGGTAAGTCCTGGGGACCTTTGGACGCTAGGATGGTCCAAGGGGCTTGCATTTCACTGAGCTTTATTAATGAGATGAGTGCCCTGCTATCCTTACATAGGGGGAGCTCACCTTCAGCCCAGCCTCAGATGCAGCCTTCACAGTGGCCACACAAGGCAGGCACCGGCCCCAGATGGGTAACTGAGGACCAAATGGGAAGGAGTTCTGAGGAAATCATACGGCATTTCACCTCCGACTTCGGGGGAGTCTTTCTTTGGTGTTTGTGGTCCTTATATCTGTGTTTATTCTCAAAGTTAATCTGTATTCTGCCTCCAGGGATTTTCATTTTCCTCATTGGAAATATACAAATTGAGAGAGCCATCCATGATGGAAGCTGGATGGGAAATATTTTCAAAGCCTGTGGTATCTTTACAGAATCCTTTGGGAATTGTGCTATTTGTATATTATGAATACATATATTCCTAAGTCTTCCCATTTCTGGAATTATTTCTTAGCCACTGTGGTATATTTGGGAGGAAAAGAAGCAATTTAAAGCACACATGTTACTTGCTAATGTGTCTCACAATTGGAAATTTTACAAATAATATATTTATGAGTGTTGAGTGTAGGGAGAACCATGCTTTGCTCTGCTTAATGCAGACATGCCTCAGAAATCAGAACTGGAAGGATGCAAGCAATAAATCTGTACACGAACCCTTATGATCTACACAGAAATGTGCTGAGGGCTGGGGGTTAAATGGAAAAATGAATTGCCCAAGGTTGCATGGTTAGTTACAACATAGGTGACTTCAAATATGAGTATCAGATTCTGCTTTGCATATTCTAGGTAAGTGTATGTTTAAAATAAATCACATAATGGCAGATTTTTTAAAGTAAAACAATCATGGATGTTTAAGCCAGAGGATATCTTTTATATAGGCCAACCTGAATATTTCATGAAGCAAAGAATCCCTACTTATTTTAATACAAAAGTAAAATAAAAGGCAAGTAAGAATTAACATAGTTGTCACGTCCACTGGCTAATTTAAATATCTGTTGGGCATCTCTGTAAACATCTTAGCAGATTACTTTTATGTACAGACTCACAGAGTCCTAGAGATGGTTGGGACTGTAAGTGGTATCTGGTCAATCCAGAGCCAGTTCCACATCTTCCTGGACAGTGACAGGATGGATAAACAGGAACCTGCAACCTGCAGTTATGCTTCAAAGGACTCACTGGCAGTCACTTTAACATTGGACTCTTTAAGTACTCCAGGGTACACTTCTGAGGTACACTTCTGAGGTCAACTTAGGTAAAATGTGTTTAAGAGTGACACCCCTTCCCTCTGGTTATTAGAGACATGGGTGTTGATGGCTCCTGATAGTTGTGGGTAAACAACTTCTCAGGTCCTCTGCACAAGTTCCTGCACTTCAAAGGACACAGGATATGATCCAACATATGGATCAGCTTATGGGAGGGTAGGGACAATGTATGAGAAATAATTTTAAGAGACAGAAAAAGAATTTGAGCAGTGTGGGTAGTCAAAGAGTTTAAAGTTCAAGAGTAACACATGAATGTGATTGTAGTGCTGTGTAAGCAGCAATACACATTATTACCACAACCCAGCTCCCTTTATCTTTGAAGATCCTGCAAAACATGATTTTAAAAGCCAATGCATTTTCAAAAGTATAATGTGATCAGAATCTTTTTCAAAGTAATTTTACATATGTTTCTGCTGATTAGTTAAGAGTTAATTTGCGTAAATGCATCTACTGTGGGATTACATATAAGCAGAGCTATGGAAGGAATTGTATTTGTTACGATGAACTCCTTTGTCCAGGCTGTTTAGGGAATGGGATGTTCAGATTCATGATCAATTATGGTTAATGGTGACTACACAGAGCATGTGTGGCTTACCAACCAAGGGTACTCACTAGAATTCTCCTAGATACAGTCCATCTTGCTTTAGGAATGTCCTTTTGGAAATTTATATAACCTCAGGGACATTTTGACAAATGTCACTTGTCATTACTGAGTAGTATAACAAATATCCTGGTTGTTTGGCGTTTGGAAGGTTTGGGACTCTGTATAAATGGGAATTTATTTAGAATCATTGCTTTTCAGAATTAGGAGACATCTATTCCAATCCTTTATCCAAACATTGAATCCTTAACATAGCAGCCCTGTGAAGAGGTCCTCAAACCCTGGTCACACACCTCTGTGATTCATGTTTAATCTTCCTCCAAGTTTCCCATTCCATCTCTGGTTGGTTCTGACTATTGGGAAATTCTTCCTCTGATGGAGCCATCATTTGTCTGCCTTCATCATCCACCCACTTATCCTTATCCTGCACCCTGGAGCTACTCAGAGCACATCTAAGTTCTAATTTCCCTTCAAGTGTAGAAAGTCACTGTTATTTCCTGTTTTTCCCAGATCCTCACTCTAAATCCCCTTTGTGCTCACAGTCCCAGTCTCTCCAGCTGGTATTGAGATGATGAGATTGCCTTTAGACACCCTCCGCCATCCCTGTCCCTCCCCTCTGCACGCTCTTCACTTGGTTGCTAGTCTTCTTGATGTATCATGCTCAGAGCTACCCAATGCCTTCAGAGCTAGGCTGCTCACCCCCAAAATAGAGCACGACGCTGCAGACCACATGGCTGACTTTGCTGGCAATGTGGCCTTTCAGCTTCAGTTTTGAAAGGCCTCAAAGTCATTTCATGTGTGCCACTGCTCAGCCTCACTCCGTTTATCCATAGAATTGTTGTTTCTGAGTCATTTCAGTTGAAATGTTCAGTCTGTTTCCCCTAGCTATACATATACTACTTCACCTGTTCATACATAGAAGGACCTACAGAATTCTTTTGTTTTTTAATCTCGAAAGACAAAAATAAGCATGAGCTATGCACTTTTCTGTCCTTTGTAGATTTGCTATGACTATTAAATTTCTTCTTGTTAGATTGTCTCTCAAGAATGTTGCGGGTTTCATGGAGGCACTGAGGAACCACAGCAGGAAGTGGGGGAAGGGAATGATGTCATGGGATTTGACAGGGCTCTGACATTCCCTCCCATTTCAAACACGCGCAGTTCCTCCATCCTCATGTTTACATATTGTGTTTCCACATCAGATTTCACTTGAATCTAGGCCTCAACAAGTTTTGAATGTAGAAAACCCTCTTCTCTATTGTTAGGGTCTTTGTAGCTCATGATTATGGTATCCTCATAGCCTCACTTTGCTTCTCAGTTTAGTACCCCCTCAAATCTGAAAAAGCAATCTTTTATTATTTTTTATCATCTCATTGCTAAAAATGTTGCATGTTGGAACCAAAGTCAGAGCCCTGTGGCACACCATTAGAGATCTCTTGGCCCTCAATAACCCTAAATTGACATCTTTGGGGTATGATCATGCAACCACTAACAAGTTAATTGTCTTAACACCCAAGGCACATGTTTCTGTGTAGTCCACAGGAATATAAGGGATTTTGTGATAATCCAAATACTCTGGATCTTTTCAAATGCAATTTGCCTATTCTTTCCAGAGACCTTGAACAGAAAAGAAAATGAGATTAATCTGCATAGTTTCTGCTTGATTAACCCATGCTGGCTCTTAGTCATCTCTGGTCTTTGAAGATTAACTTTAGAATTTAGCTAGCCATGATGTCAAGCTCCTTCGATGTAGTTTAGAATCCCCTCATTCTCATTTTTGAAAATCAGACCTTTGAGTGTCAGCTTCCAGCACCTTTCCTGATGTTCAAGATTCTTGAGACAAATTCAACAAGGGAACTGGGACCCTGATCCCAAAGCACTGAGAGCCTTTATATCCCTGCAGTGCTATGTTATTTTCCAATCTTCTCTGCTCATCTGGGCTTCACTTCCCTTTCTGCCACTTTCTTTCTGGCACTTTACAGGCTGAAAACTCTCCTTCTTGACCAAAAATAGAAGCAAAATCAGACACAAGAAATTGGCTTGCCTTTATTATCCATCAACATCACACCCTTGCTGACTTATTTTTGTTACTACTGAGGTGTCTTGGAAAAACAATTGATTCACAGAAATTTTTGATCACTGTTTTTTTTGGGGGGAGTTACAATTTTTTATTGATACATAATAATTGTACATATTTATGGGGTACATGTGGTATTTTGATACATTCACACAATGTATAATGATCAAAAAAGGGTAATGAGGATATCCATCATCTCAAACATTTATCATTTCTTTGTGTTGGGAACATTCAAAAATCTTCTAGCTATTTTGAAGTAGACAATAAATTATTGTTGGCTTTAGTCACCCTACTCTGTATTGAACATTAGAACTTATTCCTTCTATCTAACTATATTTTTGAAGTTGGAGATTGTGCTTTCGGATGAGAGGGAGAACCCATTCTGAATTAATTTCCTCATTTTTATTGTCATTGGCATCACAATAGCCATTTTTACATTTCCAGCCCAAAGATAATATGTGAACACATATTTATATGTATAACCATTTGCTCGAAGGGATAAGACTACCCATATGTGTGTTCATTCAATAAGTCAACCATGTGCATTGCTTGTCTATCACATGCCAGGTGCAATGCCAACTCCTGGATGTTTCTGTTACTGAGATGACCCTGACCCCCCATGGATGACACTTATGATCTGCTTCTCTCCTACTGTACTTTACGCATCACTGACTCGTGAACCACGCAGGGTGTTCACAGCACCATAAAATATCAAATCTGGATAACTTTCATTGTACAAATGAGAAAATGAAGCCCCAAAATGGGGTGTGATCTGGATAGGAATTCAGATCCTATCTTTCTCCCTCCTCCCATCTCCCTGACTAATGACAGCGGAACATGTGGTGCTTATATTTTAGATGTGGGCTCTCAGCCTGTTCCTCCTCCCGTAATCACAGTGAGTGAAAGAAAGTGAGCTGGGAAAAGCCTGAATCAATGATTGAACTTTCCATCCTCCTGGAATAGTCTTGTTTTGTATGCTCTTGGACTGATGCTCAAATGTATTCATGTCCATTGCTCTTCCCGCCTTGCTTGTGTCGGTTACTCTTGTTCCCTCTTCTCTAGGCTCCCTACAGCCCTTGCAGTTGCTTTCACTCTGCCAAAGGTGAAGGCAACAGGCAACACAGGCATGTGTAGAGCCAGGGGGATAAGTCTGAATCAGAACCAAACATTCTCTGCTCCTCAGACCCATCTCTCTGGGCCCTGCAGAGCAATCGCTTCTCTGCTCAAAACTACCACCTTGGTTTTTAGGTGGGCACCTTCCCCAGAGGCCTCACACTCCGCTCCACACCTGGGTGTTTTCAGAACCTAGAGACTGGAATTCTCAACCTCAACTTAATGTCTCTACTCCTTCAGGGCGTTTCCCTATTGATGAAAGAATTATTAGGGAGCAAGAACCAAGAAAACCAAATGCGGAGGCCCAAAATCAAAGTATCCATGCAGTCATTCATCTGTATCCCTTTGAATAAGCTAGCAACATTCGTTCTTACTCTCTTTAATAAAAAGAGCATATTAAAATAAAATAAAATAAAATAATTCTTAAAAACAGCATATTACTCAGCTGTCTCGCTGGCTTCTTGGAAGGAGTAGCAAATATGCTTTATATACTCCAATCTCATTGTCATCAGTATATAGGGTTTGGAAATCAATAATTAAATACATAATTTAATAAAAACATACTTCCAGATTTCAGCCAGCCTATCAGTGAAACTTCCATTGAATTGTCTTCTATTTCTTTTCCTTCTTCCCCAGGTCCTTCATCCAGGAAAATTTCCAGAGCTTTCCTTCAAATACTTTTCTGTATGTCCATGTATGTTTCAAGATTTCTTTCAGGGCTCCCCAGAAAGCCCTCACCCCTCAACAGCACTCCCTCCTCATTTTTTAAATAAGATGAACAAAGGCAGCAAGCCCTTTGACCCTCATCATTATACAAATTGTAGTGTACCTCTGACATGGAGAAGCTGGAGAGAAGACAGGGCAGGTTAGAGAGTATGCTCTGTG
The DNA here is from genome assembly GCF_000001405.40 of Homo sapiens. NCBI lineage: Eukaryota > Metazoa > Chordata > Mammalia > Primates > Hominidae > Homo > Homo sapiens. The sequence goes on from NC_000009.12 coordinate 109,938,004, forward strand.
CTTTGTGGTTAGAGACAAAGGGATGAAAAGTGTGAGAGGCCATTGGTATAAACTTTTGGCAGCAACAGGAAGTAGAAGAGTTTTTAAAATCTTGTGCATCAAAAATAAGACATTGCACTGAAAACGTAAGTCTTATGTTCCTATTGGTTCATATGCACTCTAGTTCATGCTTTTGTATATTATTGGCTGAGAACTGAAGCAAAATATAAATGCTTACTCATAAAGATGACATTTAAACATTCACACCTCTTGCATGGCTTTCTAAAAGGCCTAGATAACATTCTCATATATGTATCCATGAAAACGAAATATTGCCTTTGGGTTAAGTCAGAGCTTCTCAAAGTGTTCGCCTTTGTTCTCTTTACTGGAGGAAAGAGTGAATGCAGAAAGGAATGTAGAATCACACTCTTAAGTGTGATTTGTGGTTCCTCTGAAGCCTTATGTTTTATCTAGGAAAAAAATACATATGCATTTTGTGACATAACATATCTAAGTTTATTTTATTATAAAATTATATTAAAATTCTTAAAATATTCTATGCTCATATTCTAGGAATATTGGAAGAATAGTGTACAACATGTAAATATAAATAGGTAACCCTAGTAAAACCATGTCACATGTGGTTCAGTCCCAGAGCCATATCACATTTAAAGAACTACAGCTTAAAATTGCACACCAAAAAACCATTAAGAAGGTGTTCTGTTCTTTAACTATTTCTCCTGAAGGATATTAAAAGGGACCTTGGCCGGGTGCGGTAGCTCACGCCTGTAATCTCAGCACTTTGGGAGGCTGAGGAGGGTGGATCGCTTGAGGTCAGGAGTTTGAGACTAGCCTGGTAAACATGGTGAAACCCCATCTCTACTGAAAATACAAAAATTAGCCAGGCTTGGTAGCATATGCCTGTAACCCCAGCTACTTGGGAGGCTGAGGCAGGAGAATCGCTTGAACCCGGGAGGCAGAGGTTGCAGTGAGACAAAGTCGCACCGCTGCACTTCGGCCTGGGTGACAGAGTAAGACTCTGTCTCAAAATAATAATAATAATAAAAAATAAATAAAAGGGACCTAATTTATATCTCCACTAAGTAATAATTCTCATATTCACTTTTCTTTCCTCCACATATCACCTGCTCTAAAGCATCATTTACCACCACAAAATACTCCTTCTCTATGCATATTTCATACAGTTTTTACTCTCTTTCCCACTAAACTCCTTCTTTCTCATTTGTGTATTATGTGGATATACTTAACCTTTCCAGCAAAGAACTTTTCATCATCATCTCTCCTTTCTTCCAGGCTCTGATTCTAGAACAGGCAAAGATTAAAATGACAGAAAATTGGACCAACAATGATCAGCATTCTCATTGGTGGGAAGAGGGAGAGGGATATCTGTAAACATCCCCATGTTAATAATTTGTATTTTTATCCTATCACATATGGATATAAAAATAGAAATATTTTGTTCCATATTCTGTATTGATCGCAGGCCAGTGTGTGGATTTGTTCACAGATAACTGAATGTTTGCAGAATAATAAGATATTGTACCTACAAACTAACAATTATTACTTTCCTTATTTATAACTGTGTCCCATGAGTGTGTTAATAGTGATAAGATATATTCTAATCCCAAACTGCTTTTTAAAATAAGTGTTATATTTCAAGAACAGGCTTTTGGAGTCCATGCAAATTTTAAATGCCTATTCTATTCTTCTGATGGCACATTTTGTGAGAAATCAGGAACTAACTGAGATAAATGTTTATTTGGATACACAGTCATTGTGTGTGTCCATGCACCTCTATGACAAATGCTGGTTGGCCTCCCATTGTGTCACTTGAAGAAACTTGAGATCTTTATGCTGAACAAGTGAAACTTTCAAAATGGATCTGATGAAAACCAAACATGGGATTTTGTTTCATAATCTTTTTAGTTAAGTGTTAACCAGGAACAGAGTGTATCTTATTATGCAAGCAGATGGAACAATATCATCACTGTTATTTTTTCAAACAAGTTCAAACATTAATTACTGTGTGTACCATTTCATTGGTGTCATATTATACAAAGTATTTGTTACTAGATTACAACAACCATATTAGACTCTTGAATTATTAGCCTTTGTTTGAGAGATGTGTATATTGGGTACCTGCTATACAAATGGCTCTAAGGTAGGTGCTGACAGGGAGGGGGCATCATGGATAGGTGTTGGGCAAGAAACTAACCCTCAAAAGATCCTAAAAATCTATGAAGCTGATGAAACATTCCCACAGATAATTATACAACTGAGTGGTAATTGTTAAGAGCCTTCAGAGAAGTTTAGAAAAAGTATTGAGAAAATTTTAAGAGAGGGATGACTTAGAGATGGAAGGATCAAAGAAAGCTTATGGAAGAGGAGGCAGTTGACCTTGGCGTTAATCAATGGGCCATATTTGGATATGTAGAAACTCAAAACAAAGACATTTCAGGAGAAGGGAATCTTAACAAAAGCAGAAGATATTTACGTCTGGGATGGTGTTATTTGGTTGTGCTAAATGGAAAAGGAGCACTAGAACATATGGTTGAAAAGATAGTTTGGATCTTCTTAACACAGGGAACTTATTCAGAAAGAGGTAGGGACTCAAGACAATGACAAGCAGATGGGCTAGATCTCTAGAAGTTTGGAGGAGCAACAGAAGGCTATCTAGGCAGAGGGACAGCAGGCACACAGATGAGCAGCCGTGGGAGGAAGTTGAGTGTCCTGGGAATAGTGAGAAGTCGTTATGGCCACAATGTGTAAAGAATGAGAGAGCCCACAAGACAAGGCTAGAAAGGAAGTTTGCAGACACATCCTGAAGGGAACTATATGCCATGCTGGGGAGTTTGGTGTTTATTTTCTAAAGACACAAGGAACCAACAGAGGGTTTATGACTCAAGTAACTGTGGGCAGGATGGAGCACAGGCTGGCAGGGGTCGGCAAAATTTTTGTATAAATGGCCAGATTTTAACTATTTTAGACTTTGTGGACCATATAGTCTTTGTCACACATTAATTGTTTTCTTTCTCTTTTCTCTTTCCTTCCCCCATCTTTTCCTCCCTCTCTTTCTTCTTCTCCTTCCTCTTCTTTTTTCTTCCTTCTCCTTCCCCTTCTCTTCTTCTTCTTCTTCCTCTTCTTTTTTTTTTTTTTTTTTTTTTTTAAAGAAACAACCCTTTACAAGTGTAAAACCACTCTTAGCTCCTCTGGCCATACAGAAACAGGCTCAGGCTGTCTTTGGCCCTCTGGCCACAGTTTGCAGTCTTCTAGACTAGAGCAAGAAGACAGAAGTGTTAGGTAAAATAAAAAGCAAGGCTGTTGTGCAGAGAGCAGAGGAGGGCCTGGACTAAGGCCTTGGTGACAGAAATGGTGGTGAGGAGATGGATGAGATATATCTGAAGTAGAATGATTTACTGTCAGTGAGTGTTTGGCTGTAAGAAAGTAGGAAGAAAAGAACAAGTCAGGTGTGATTCTCAGGCCTGTGGCTTGAGAGACTAGGTAGCAGTGCTGCTGTTATTTGGCATGGAGACTGTGGAATAGTTTTGATAGAAGAAGCTGGAGTCAGTTTGGAAGCTGCTGAGTTTGATGGGTTCGTGGCACATCCAGATAAAGGGCACCTGGAGCCTGGTGGCTCTATGGGCCTGATGCACAGTTTCTTCCCATCCAGGAAGACTGTGAAGAAACCAGTTTGGAAGTATGAGGTGTCACAAGAGTCTATAGGACAGGAAAGAGCTGTCCTTAGCAACCCCAGACTGGCAGCAAGAGTTGGGATGAATTAGAAAGGATACAAGACTGAGAGACAGGGGCAAGGGGAGGGGGAGACCAGGTAGGAAGCTCTTCCAACAATCTAGGGAAGAGGAAGTGAATGTCTTACATTGACCAGTAGCAATGGAACAAAAAGAAGACAACAGATGGGAAAGGTATTAATGGAACAAAAAGAAGACAACAGATGGGAAAGGTATTGTGGGCAGCAGGACTTGGCACTCTGTGCATGGAAGATGAAAGAGGCCTTCTGCGATCATTGTCTTCAAATTCCAGTGTCCTATGTGATGTTACTTCTGTCTTGTTCTTTTCTTAGTTCTTATTTTAGGTACCTAGTTTAGTGACTGAAGTACTCACAGGGCACATAATATGAATGCTCCCATGCTTTTTCAATTGTTGAAAATATTCTGTTGTATAGTACAGTGGAGGATAGCCATGACCCACCTATGAAAACCTTTGTGGAAATGTAGAGAAAACGAAAACACTTGATGAAAGAGGTTTTTTCATTTATTTAAAATTTTGGACCTGGAACACATTTTAACCAAGGGTTTGTAAATTGTCTGTCAGCCTGGGAAGCCCTCAGTCAAGGTAGTTTGCATGTTGCCAGCCTCCATGAAATTCTTCACACTAAGATCTAAAGTCTCTTGTGCCCTTATTTTAGCAGATCTTCCTTAAATGTGTGAGTGCCATTGAGATATAGCAACCGTGCATCTGTCTTCCAAGTGCATTAAACTGCTGTGTTACAATACAGATATAACCATCTTTATTCACAGTGCGCACCTCACTCTAACACTCAAGATGCTTGGCAGTTAGAATAGAAAGGGCACAAAACCTTTTTTTTTGTCTGTTTGGCAATTAACCATTCACTGGCTTTTTTTGTTGTAACATGCACTTCCTTTCTCTTGTTTTCATTCAAGCTGTGTACGCCATGGAAATTAATGTGGAGAAAGACAAACAAACAGGAGAGACCAAGATTCTCTCTACATCTACCATTGGCCCAGAGGGGGTCCATCAGAAAGGAGTCAAAGTCTATGATGATGGTACCAAAGTAGTGTATGAGGTGCGCTCAGGAGGCACCGTAGTAGAAAATGGAGTGCACAAATTAAGCACAAAGGATGTAGAAGAGCTTATTCAGAAGGCTGGACAATCAAGCTTAGGAGGAGGGCACGTGTCTGAAAGGACTGTGATTGCAGATGGGAGCCTCAGCCATCCCAAGGAACACATGCTCTGCAAAGAAGCTAAGTTAGAAATGGTACATAAGTCTAGGAAAGACCATTCTTCCGGGAACCCAGGGCAGCAGGCCCAAGCCCCCAGCGCTGCAGGGCCGGAGGCAAACTTGGATCAGCCCGTCACCATGATTTTTATGGGCTACCAAAATATCGAGGATGAAGAGGAGACGAAAAAGGTGCTAGGCTATGATGAAACCATCAAGGCTGAATTGGTCCTCATTGATGAAGATGATGAGAAGTCATTGAGGGAGAAGACAGTGACGGACGTGTCCACTATTGACGGGAACGCGGCTGAGCTTGTGTCCGGGAGGCCGGTCTCAGACACCACAGAGCCCTCATCCCCAGAAGGGAAGGAAGAGAGCCTAGCTACAGAGCCAGCCCCAGGTACCCAAAAGAAAAAGCGCTGTCAATGCTGTGTTGTCATGTGACCACTTCTTTCTTCTCCTTTCTTCTGGGCAGCCTGTACTCTCCACCACTCACGTAGACCTCACTGTACCACTAACTGCAATACTGTGAACTGGAAGCAAACACCTGCCTTGCCTTGCAGTTGAATTGCTTTGATCTCTCTCATTTTTTTTCCTTTTCCTCACCTGAGAGACAACGTGCATGTGTGTGCTTCATTCTCTCCAAGAACTTGCTTTTCCTCTAAACCTTTCCTTGTGTCTTCAAGAGTGAATCACTTCCTTCCTGCTCGATTGGAATGGACTCTTCGTATCAGCCAGTGATATGGTAGCCTTAACTCACTTGACTGGAATTGAACCCATTGGCACTGGGGGTTTCATTTTGTAGTGTGTTCCTGTAACGTAGTCACACACTGCCATGTCTCTGGTTTCTCACTTGCCTCCTTTGCTGTGGATCTTTGTTTTTATATCTTGTGTGGCAAAATGCTGTTGGCTCTAGCCGGTTGCTAGTGTAGCCAAAAGTGGACCTTACTTAGTCTGTCCGATCTAGGGTGATGCTTTTTGCTGCCTTACATAAGCTTCCAGATTACAGTATTGTGCATTCATGGCTTTCTTTCTGTTAAAACTGAAATGAAGTCAATGTAGAAGAACCCAGAGCTTGTCACAGCTGAAATGTAGGGACTGATTCCATAACCTGCCCATCAGCGGTTGTCTCTCTTTCTATGGTTTAACCGATGAACCCTTTATATAAGAAGCACCATTTTAAAATTTCTAAGGACATGAAACAAACATTGTTTGAAGCATCAGTAGCAATTGATCTCCAAACTTAGGCAAATTCACAAGCCTTGTTTCTATTCTCTTAAAAAAATGTAAATTTTTATATTGTTTCTTTTTTCTGGATATTTTCTGGTCATGTTAATCTATTTTCAATGAGGAGATCATCTTGAGAAGTATCTTTGCAGTGACCATATTTCTAAAACAGTCTGTCCAACCTACAATGGTTGCCATGATGCTCCCACTTCATCATGGATGGTGCTGTAATGCATTAACTGTTCATCTCCTCCCCAGTTGATTACAAAGCCTTGCATCCATACTCTTTTCTTTCTGGCCCCATGAGAAAGAGAATGTTTTAGGTAACTTCAACTTGTAGGTTTATCTGCCCTTCAAAAAAAAAAACTTTAAAAAACTTTTAAAAATTAAGAAAGACCTATCTTCTCAATGTTAAGCACTTAATTTCATAACAAATATTAAGTGGCACATAGCTGAGCTTCTTAGGGCATTGTTTTGTTTTTAGCTTCTGGAGATTCCAGAAGAGCAAAGAATATTTTTTATCTAGAACACAATGAACAGTTTTTGAAATACCTTCTCAGCACTCCCCCAAAGCAAAAAGCCACATATGTAGTAAAACCAAAGGGAAACAATTTAATAAAATAACAATAGTATAGTAATGAAATAAAGATATAACATGATTACTGGTTTTAATAAGAGTTATCTTAACTTTAAGTTATTTGCCCATTTATAGCATTGTTATGAATTATTCATAAAATTATGTCCCACAGTATATAGTTTTGAAAAAACATATGATATACTACATCCAGTCTAACTTCTGTGGAAAGTAGATCAGAAAAAATAAGATAGTCTTGAGAGAATTTTATTATAGAAGCTGTCTAATTTGACCTATTTTGCTTGCTCAGTGCTAAATCTATTGCTTTTTTTTAATCTCCTGGCTTGAAATTATATTTACTTCAATAGGAAAGGTAAAAACATCAGTTTTTACTTTTCAAAGTTAATTTTCTGAAATAATTGCATTTTAATGAGCACAAAATGGGTCATTTTATTTTTATTATACTCATCTTGTTTACACCTATACATAAACAGAAAACGTTAAAGAAGAGAAAAATAAAGGAGCTAAGTTCTGCTGTTGAAGATTATTTCATCCAAGGCTTGGTTTTGAATAACTGAGGGAAATATCTCTAAATCTCAAGTTCATCAAAGCAGCTGCAATGGAATAAAATTGCTATTTTATCGAGAAACCTGGTTTGGATGCTTATAAATTCCACTACTCTCAGCTTCATTTTCCTGAGTACGTGGTCACTGAAGCATCATTTAGACATTACATAAACTGGCATGCAGATAAACCTATTTACATAGAGGGAGAAAACAGTTTCAATGTCTTGGACAATCTGTTATTTTAATGATTTACTTAAGAAAGAAACAATCTGAAAGCTTACCATAGCTTATCTTTTCTACTCACTTGGAGATTCAAGCTATTCAATGTGAGTTTTAAAAAGTTAAGCACAGTTAGTGAGTGAAATGGTAGAATGTAGAACCTTTAAGCTTGCTGGTTGATAAACAGAATCAATCTTCCAGGACAGATAATTCCCTGAAGGGACCTATCCTTGCATAAGTGAACTAGTTACTCATACAGAAAATGATCTGCACATCTTACTACAACACTACACACAAGAACTAAAAGATTAATGATTATCTGTATTCTCTTCACTAATTACTATTATGGGGGAATAATGATTAGCAAATTATATGAATTCGAGTTCTCTCTATACTTTTATTAGTAAAGCTTATCATTTAATGGACTGAAGTAAGATGTGTTACCTTTATTCGAGCTATTTGTAGCCACACTAAATGAAGGTGTGTTTGAATATGGCGCATATATTTGCATATGTCCCATCATTTTCTTGTCATAATGGGGAATTCAGGCTTAGCCAGTACTTCTATGGGATGAGACCTATAATCCCACCTATAGCAGCAAGTAACTACCCTTCATGATGATAGTGTACATGGAGCTGTGATTATGAACATGCTGCCTTTCCTGCTGCCATTGGCATTCTCTCTGTAAATTTTATTATGTGTGGTATCACACTCTCCAAAAATGCAGGGTATTTGGTTACATAACCAAACTAATTAAAGAATCAGTAATGAAATTGCAAAACCATGATCTTTTTTGAGCTAATGATTAGTTGGGCTTTCCTTTAAAATAATATAATCAGGCCGAGTGCAGCGGCTCACACCTGTAATCTCGGCACTTTGGAAGTCCGCGGCGGGTGGTTCACCTGAGGTCGGGAGTTCAAGACCAGCCTGACCAACATGGAGAAACCCCCATCTCTACTAAAAAAAAAATACAAAATTAGCCAGGCGTGATGGCGCATGCCTGTAATCCCAGCTACTCGGGAGACTGAGGCAGGAGAATCGCTTGAACCTGGGAGGCAGGGGTTGCAATGAGCCGAGATGTGCACTCCAGCCTGGGCAACAAAGAGCGAAACTCCATCTCAAAAAAAAAAAAAAAAAAAAAAAAATCATATAATCAGTTCCCTTTTAAATAGAAAGAGGAGGAAAAAAAAAAGGAAAAGGGGGGGTATCTCATTTGTATACAAATAGATTTTCAATGGCATTTAATAAAAGATTCTTTAATGGTTAAAATGATAAAGATTAATTCTACATATCTTGAAAAATCTTAATGACTTCTGTATTCTTGACTTCTTAAAAATATTTTCTTTCTTTTAGTGTGCAATAAGACAAACTAAGGGGAATTTTTTCAGCTTGTATCTCTTTTACCCATATTATTTTCCTTGCATAAGCAAAAAAATAATAATTGCCTCTAAAACTGATTTGACAGTGTTCAGTGACATCATTTAATATTGGTGATGGGGTGGAAGAGAAGGTAGGGAATGCCCTTATGGCCAAACCTAAAACACAGTTTCCTTGAGCCTTCTGAGCAATCTTAGAATTATTCAGAAGCTTTCAGGAAACTCAAATTCTATTAATTTGATTTGGTTCCTTTCCAAAATGTTAATAGACATGTATTTGCTTAAAACGTCTACCTATTCCATTTAATTTCCTGCTGATAAATGTATTTTATCTACAAGCAAGTAGAATATTTTGTTTTGGTTAAAGTCAAGTTTTTATAAAAGGAGGGGAAGTATAAGAGAGAGTTTCCTAGAGATACAATATCATCTCTGGAGCAAAATGTTGAGGCCAAGTGTAAAAACAGACTATTTCTCTTTACTTCCTGCAGAATTTCATTTCAAGGGACCACAGCACACCCTTGAAAATTACCATTTATTTAATGCCAGTTGAACCAATGGGTAGCAAAAGAGGAGGGAGGGAACATGGTCATAGAGACAAAATCTAACTACTATACCAGGTCTTCCTTTGTAAGAAATATTAGCCCTGCCAATATAAAACGCAGATGGACATAGACAGAATAAGCATCGAGGACTTTTTCTTATTTACTTGAAATCTAGAAGCTCAGTCATCTCTGCTCATCCCTGGACCCACTGGAGAGTTTTACTCACTAACAGGTCCTTTCCTGGAAGAAATAACCTCATCTCCTGCCATATTAGTTTACAATAAAAATCATTCCAAAGTGAGCCATTTCACATTGCATTTTTGCCACATGCACATTTGCTATTGAAACCACAGATTCTCAGCATAAGTAAGACATAGGTGTTTCAGAAACTTCATAAATACACGATCTTTCAGGTGCTCCTCAATTTCTTAATCAAGGTATATTGAACTCCAGTGATTAGGATAGAACCTGAAAACATCCTTTGTTCTATTGGATAGTACAACACAGCAAGAGCACACAGTTATTTGTATAATAAAACAACTTAATTAATGAGGAAGATGGGATGTTTGATTCCTGCTACCACCAGTTCACTTCACAAAGGCCTTCTTCTGGTATTACCAGGAAAACTTTCCTGCATTTTCTAGGGAAAAAGAAAAGTCGTTTATTAGGAGCACAATGCAGATATGTATCTGTGTTTTCATAGCTTCAGCAAACTTCTTAGTAAAATTCCCATTTCAACAAAAACCAAAATACTGATTGTTTGAATGTAGAAAGGTATAGAATAAAGACTACAAAGGGGAATTTTACCAGGGCTCCTTAGACCAGCTTCCCCAGCATAATTTTTATATAACTCAAGTAAGCCTCTGCTTCCCCTCTCCTTTCCAGTATAATATAAGAAGGTCGGAACTGTCGCACAAAAGAACTTGATTTCAATATGAAAATATAATATGTAATTTTGGGGACTGCAGACTTTCTGCATCAAAGATCTGGACAGCCTTAACTTTTATAAAAATAATTTTTCAATGTTCTCTTTTACTAACCAGGAAAACAAGATGTTTTCTGAAATTAATGACTTTTTCTATTTTGGGTCTGTTTTCTAAGTTTTTACAGGTTGAGGTATAAAGGGTCGTCTTCTCCTCATATTGCCTCTTCATAATCACCTGGGGCTATTTTTTGCAAGTCACTGCATTTTTACAAAAAATAAAAATAAAAAGTACATCTCACAAATCATAAAATTCTCCCTAGACTTCAGACAGTCCTTCTGGAGTGAAAGAATAGAAATACAGAAAGAAAAGAATTACAGGGTGGCTTTCTTTTTATTTTCCTATGGTTAATGTACTGTATGGTATATATGTTTACAGAATGTATCTGCCTTGTGATGTTAACAAAATGAATGACAAAAAATAGTACTGATGTGCCATTTGACAGTTTGCCTTAGCATCACTGTTTATGTTCTTCTTTTCTGTCCTTTTTGGTAAAAAAAAACGCAGGTTGTATTCCAAAGCTGTATTAACACAACATTCTCTTCCCCACTCCTACCCAGCCTTCTTCAGAGCTGTGAATTTCATTACAGGAGCATTGAGGCAGAACCTTGCAGGTGTGGCCCAAAGGGGCTAAAGTGGGCATAGGTTGGGATTTACTTCTGCCCGTCTACCAACCAAACACGTATCTGTGTTCTCATATAAGCCTGCAAAATTTTACACCCTGCCTTTCAGGGAGACAGGCCACATGGAGCGCATGACCTCTTGTAGTCGTCTCCTCACAGTCCTTCCCACTGTGAGAGAAGGAAACTTGCAGACCCCCAACTGGATCTGGGAGCATATTTTTAAGCACAGTTGGCATTGCTTGAAAAAGCAAGAGAGATGGACTCAAATTCTATGATTGAGCCATGACTGAGGAATGTGCCCATTCGTTATAGTCGAAGATGAGTAGGATGATATGGGTGAGAATAGGAGTGGCTGTAGAAATGGAATATTTTACAGTTATGTATTTTTTTAAGGAATAGTATTTTTATAATGAAATCTATATACATTATGGAGCTTGAGTTGGAAAACACCCTTGACTGAGCTATTTCTTCATTCCATTAAAGGTAACTTTCTGGGGAGTCCTATAGCACTAGGCCAAGCCTTGGGGGCATGAACAAAGGGCCTGTCACTTGGCCTTGCACTGCCATTACATGAGATCCAGTGTTTCCAAATAGGCCTTGGTTGGAAGATTGAGCTTTCTATACCTGCCATTAGGTAGATTAGATAGATGGCTTGATAGCTCTCTGGGCTATACTTTTAATAATATATAATAATCTTTGGGAAGGAGATAGCTATTTTAAATGCAAGCAAAGCCCAGAAACTATCAAAGTCCAAATCTTTCACATATTTAAGGAGTAATTGCCACATTTGAGGTTAAGGGACCACTTACTATGGTGCATTTGAGAAATATATATGAAACGGTGAGTCAGAGCCCTCTGACCATCTTCAGTCTACACATAAGCAGATAAACCACCAATATAAATCTTATAGGGGCCAGACGAGGTGGCTTATGCCTGTAATCCCAGCACTTTGGGGGGCCAAGGCAGGAGGATAGTGTGAGCCCAGAAGTTCAAGACCAGGCTAGGCAACATGTTGAGACCATGTTGTTTAGTCTCTACTAAAAAATATAAAAATTAGCCAGCATGGTGGCACACACCTGTAGTCCCAGCTACTTGGGAGACTGAGGCAGGAGGATCACTTGAGCCCAGGAGGTGGAGGCTGCAGGGGGCTGAGATCTCACCACTCCATTCCAGCCTGGGCAACAGAGCAAGACTCTGTCTCAAAAAAAAAAACAAAAAAACAATTATCAGTTGGCCTTCTACATAACACAGGGCTACACTGTATTTTTAGAGTTAAGTAGATACAGGAAAAGATTGTCTTTATCCATAAAGGAGATTCTGAATTTTTAGAGTTCCTGAATATTTTCCCCCAAGTTTCTGTCAAATTCCTGAAGTCCCTTCCCTATCACACTCAGTTTCCTGAAGCTCTTCCCCTACACCTGCTCCTCTGTCTGGCTAACAGAGTTGTCATGTCTCAGAAACTACTCACCACTCTTGTGAGACTCTCTTCCCAAGCATCATCCTTCCTCAGGATGAGGCCTTTTTCTACTACCCAAGAGATCAAGACCCTTTTTCTAACAAGACAAGGTTATATCTACTCCATTTTCAAGAGAAATAACCCCTCTGGTTCCCATGCAAATCGCTTAAATTCCTTCATCACCAGAATCTCTCCAACAGGCCCAACTCCAGCCCAGCTGTGAACACTGCTGTCATGGAGACAACTCCAAAATGAAAGAACTATGCAATTGCCTGAAGGTGCTAATGGAGAGCCAGTTTACTCTAATCTCTTATTACTAAGGAACCTCTCGGTTTCGAGATTAAGTGGGCAGGGAGACATCCAGTCACTTAGTTTTGCAATGACAGGTCTTGATATACACAGAGGCCACCAGGCAATGCCTGATCCAAACTATTCTGTATGTAGCTCCAACTCCAATTCTGTGATATCCTATTCTGGCAGGTGGGAAGAGTTCTATTCTTTGCAGGGTTCTGGAACATTCTTTCCTGCTCTCAAGCTCCTGACTTAGGAGAGTCAAAATCATACAGGGGTTCCAGAAAATGTTGTGTCTGATGCAGCTTCTCAGTGAATGTAGGTTGTTGGTGAAATTTTCAGCTTTAGCATCTCACTCGGGGTGAGTGATGTCTCTGTAAATACTTTCATTTGTGGTTGGTTGGTGGGGGTGGGGGTGGGAGCCTGTCGTGCTTACTCTGAATTAGCTTACTGGGCTAGCTGCTGTACTTTGTAACCTGAAGTGTACTTTGACTGTTCTGTTTCCTTCAGATGAAAAACAAAATAAAAACCGACTTCAGAAAAGACACTACCAGCGACAGCTGATGCTGTACTTGTAGCTTCTCTCTGTTCCTCTGTACAGTATTAATAGACAATAAACTGCCTTTTCACTGCATCTACCTCTGTGTGTCTGTGCCCTGATTCTTTCCCCTTCTCACCTGCCACTAGCGGACTTCAGGCCAGACCGTGTTGGGAGCACCTTCCGCTGTTCACTAAAACTAAACACTAACCCAGTGCCTCTCAAACTCCAGTGTGCTTCAGAATCACCCGGGGGTACCTGTTAACAGTGTGGAAGCTTAGTCACACCTCTGGAACTCAGATTCCGATTCCCAGGTGGGGCCCAGTAGCATGCATTTGTAATAATGTCTCCAGGTGATTCTGATACATGTGGTACCTGGACCGCCGGTTTGGGTGCCCCTTGGTGGGAATCCTCATGGCCCACCTGTTGTAGTTGGTTTCTACACTAATCCAATCTCCCAACATGTCCTCCCTCTAACCCCCTTTGCATGTCTCTCTCCACAACTGTCATCCTTTTCTTGTTCCTTGCAAGCTCCCAGCAGCAGCCCAGACTGTGATCAAACTTGGGCTGCCCCTTAGGCTAAGTGACAGGGTTCATCTGGTGCAGTCTGCTGTTTAAGAGCATCTGAAGACACGTGGGGACTTTGTTTCTCTTGTTCACCTCTCTTTACCTGGAACAGGGTCAGCATAGTTTTTCAATAAATGGCCAGATAGTTTTGGCTTTGTGGGCCAAATGATCTCTGTTACAACTACTCAGCTCTGCTGCAAAGCAGCCATGTATGACATTTAAATGAATGAGTATGGCCATGTTCTAATAAACTTTATTTACAAAAACAAATGCTGGGTCCGATTTGGCCTATGGGCTTATAATTTGCCAACCCCTGGCCTCAAACAGGGCCTGGTCCATAGTAAGTGCTCCAAAAAAAAAGTTTCAAAAAATTATTGCATGAAAGAATGAATGAAGAGTAGATATGATGCCTACCACCTGCAGAGCAGTCACAGAAAATGGTTTTCTTTGAGGAGATTAAGTAAATGAATCAGTTGGGAGTTCTCATCTGGTTGGGTTCCATGGTAGATTTTTTAAATGTCTTTATGCATGGAAGGTAACTTTAAAGATGGAAATATGAGTGGTGTTTTATAGATTGCTCAAACCGCCAGGTTAAGATTGACAAGAGTTTCAACCAATAGAACGTGGAGGAAATGCAAGAACATCTTGTCCTCATCAAAAGTGCTGGGGATACCAGAACTGGGTGCTCCCTATGTACCTAAGCATTTAGTGCAGTTGTTTGTGGAGCTATGTTTTGTCAGATTCATCTTACACAGTGAATGGCAGGGCTTTCTTTACATTATTCTCTTTGTTAATTGAAATACTTTTTAATGTGTAGTTAGGTAGGCTGGAACCATGATAGCACATTACACATCCCACAGTTCTAGAGCATACCAACGGGTTCAAATGTAGGAGCATATGGAAAGTCGTGTGCTTACATTCATCCCTAGTGTTGTTGTGAAGTTAAAGGAAATTATATTTATTAAAAGCACTGTGTAAGCTGGAAGTAGATGACAAATGTTAGTTTAGTTATAATGAGAAAGTGTCTGTTGCCCAACCAGAGGCCTCATGCTGTCCAAATATAGAGATTATAAGCTGTTCAGGTGTGTTTCAGAACTAGTATAGAAAGGGAAGCTGCTTTGGCCTCCTTTAGATTTGTGACTAGTTTTGTAGTACATTGAACCTTATGAAATTGCCATTTTGTAGATCCATAATATTGACTATTGACAGTTCCATATAGTTCAACCTCATAATTCGATTCTGGGGATTATATCTCATCATGGAGGGCAAATGATTACCAGATGAACTCTAAATATAGCAGGAGGAATTAGATGAGAAAATTAGAACTTTGGAAGGGAATGTAGTTCAGTACTACCAAGTAGACCTAGACATTTCACCTGATAGGGTAGGATTTCCTTTAATCTCACATCAACTTTGTAATGTAGCCATTGAGGTTACTGTCCTTTTATACATGAGGAAACTGAGTTATAGAGATAGTAAGTACTTTGGCTAATGTGGCAGGGCTAAAAATCCGTGTGGGGTGGAGGAGGGCCAAGTTCCAACCTCAGTTGTCTTTACTTCCTCCCACACAGAGAGCTATGTTATGAAAGTGGTGTGGAGGCCGGGCGCTGGAGGCCAGGTGCGGTGGCTCATGCTTGTAATCCCAGCACTTTGGGAGGCTGAGGCAGGTGGATCATGAGGTCGGAAGATAGAGACCATCCTGGCCAACATGGTGAAACCCCATCTCTACTAAAAATAAAAAATTAGCTGGGCTTGGTGGCACGTGCCTGTAATCCCCGCTACTCAGGAGGCTGAGGCCGGAGAATTGCTTGAACCTGGGAGGTGGAGGCTGCAGTGAGCTGAGATCGCACCACTGCACTCTAGCCTGGGTGATATAGCAAGACTCCATCTCAAAAAAAAAAAAAAAAAAAAAGAAAAGAAAGTAGTGTGGAGATGCCCCTGAGACTGGAGACAAAAAGATTTAGATAATGAGGTTATTTATGCAAGAAAGACCCAATGGCACCAGTTCTTATTTTGCACCTTTACCTACTCAAGCAAATGCTCTGTTAATTATACCACCCCCTGGAGGCTGGGAGGCATCTCTGCAGCGCTTCCTTACCAAAGGAGAAGCGGAGGGTAAAATCACTTTGTTTTCTTATCTGTTCATCAGGAGTCCTGTTGTTCTATTTGACAGTTTTTCCTTCACCATTCATAAAAAGGATTAACAAAATTGCCCAAAACAACTCTATAAAGTCTAGGAGTGGCACGTCAGTCTCTGAAAAAGCAAAGGGGGTTTTGTTATTGTTGCTGATGATGGTATTGTTACTATTTCACCACTGTCATAACAGCAAAGAGGAACAGCTGCCCTATGGTGTTATGCAAATGCCTTTTGATCTAGGCTATATCATCCTTGTGCAGCTATTAATAGACCACATCATCTCCCCAGCAGCCCCCAAGCCCTAGCTTCTGTCCTGCTTTTCTCAAACAGTATTAAATCTTGCATTTTATCAACAGCACAAAAAAGCAAAGATTTGCTATTTAGAAGTGGACACAGGAAGGGGAATATCACACTCTGGGGACTGTAGTGGGGTGGGGGGAGGGGGGAGGGATAGCATTGGGAGATATACCTAATGCTAGATGACGCGTTAGTGGGTGCAGCGCACCAGCATGGCACATGTATACATATGTAACTAACCTGCACAATGTGCACATGTACCCTAAAACTTAAAGTATAATAAAAAAAAAAAAAAAAAAAAAAAGAAGTTAAGGTTGCAAGATCTTAAGTGATCATGTAGGGCAGAAGTCAGAAAATGGTTATGCAGATTCTGGGCTGAATCTGGCCTACAGTAAGGTTAGTTTACCTGCACAGCAATTAAAAATCATTTTGAATTCATTGCCAATAATAATAAATTAAGAGAGTTCTTATTTTAAAAGTATATTTCCGACTTCTCTTGAGAATTCAGTCTCTGGCAATAATAGCCTGTTCTCCCCACTGGCAATTGTCTGGAGCTGATGGTGGTTGCTAACTTTAGAGGAGCCATATTCCGTTGTTCATCACCACCAACACCAACACCACCACCATCTCCTATTATTTTTACCACCTTCTATTATTCTTACTCTTGGCCCACTTCCTTTGTCTGTATCACCTGCCTGGCCCCTATTGGCATTTGAGCATGTGACCCCTAATCTACCATCATTCACTCATTTTATGGCTGGGTCAAATAAGTCCTAGGTGGAAATGGGACTTACCTTAGCAAGATAACAGCAGACTCAGAACTAAAGTCCCCTGAACTCTTTGGATGAATGAGGCTTTGTACTGTGTTGGGATTCAAATCTTCTAAGGGCATTTTTAGTTTTGAACAGGCTACAAGCAGAAAGCTAATGCCAGAATCTAGTGCTTTTGCTACAGAGGAACCCATGTGACTTATATAATGATGAATTAACCTTAGGTTAAATGAACAGTGTAAGTTTGTAAGGAACTTTAGGGTATCCTGTGTTTCATGGTAAAAAGTTTCATTCCCAGGAAAATAAATAGATACTTTGTAGTCAACACCTCAATAGTTCTGGAGGCTTCATGTTCCTTCTTAGCAAAAATAACAAGAGGCACAGCCCATACTTATTTAAATTGAAATGTGATCTTCCATGCCTTCCTAATCCTTAGTCTTTGATTGTGTTCCTGAGGTCATGTGGTTGTAGAATACTACTATTCTGTATTGTCCACTTTTTTTATCTTCCTAAGAGCAATAATCCTCACAGAAGCTTGATAATTCAAAGGACTAATGAAACAGAGATCTTTACTCCCAGGGCTTGTCATAAATCCTGGCCAATATGGTGAAATCCCAACTCTACTAAAAATACAACAAAATTAGCTGGGTGTAGTGGTGCGTATCTGTGGTCCCAGCTATTCAGGAGGCTGAGGCAGGAGAATCGCTTGAATCTGGGAGGCGGAGGTTGCAGTGAGCCGAGATCGTGCCACTGCACTCCAACTTGGCAACACAGCAAGACTCCTCTGTCTTAAAAAAAACAAAACAAAACAAAACAAAAAAACTGATATGATTTAGTGTTTGTTTGTTTTAAGGAAAGACTAATTTTTTTTTTTTTTGAGACAGTCTCACTCTGTCACCCAGGCTAGAGTGCAGTGGCATGATCTCAGCCCACTGCAACCTCCGCCTCCCAGGTTCAAGCGATTCTCTTGCCTTGGCCTCTCTAGTAGCTGGGATTACAGGCGCATGCCACCATGCCAGGCTAATTTTTGTATTTTTAGTAGAGATGGGGTTTCGCTATGTTGGCCAGGCTGGTCTCAAACTTCTGACCTCAGGTGATCTGACTGCCTCAGTCTCCCAAAGCGCTGGGATTACAAGTGTGTGCCACCGCATCTGGCCAAGGCTAATTACATTTAAGATGATAATTGTATTTCCCAAATTAAAAAAAATATTTCCAAGTCACTGAATATTAAAAACACGAGCTGTGGGCCTATTCTCTTCAGGCCAGGGTTCTTAGGTCAACCTCAGACAACCTGAAAGTGAGATAAATTCTGCAGTTAGTGTGAATTATTCAGACTATCAGAATCTGCCAAATCAAATTCCATTTCTTCAAGAACTTATTTCCAGTCAGAGTACAAAGATAGAGTCAGCTTTTCTACTTTTCCTGAAAGACTGCCTAAATTCTAACTATAGCTCAGAGACTCAGTGTGAGGTGCTGTCACATACCTTAACTCAGTTTTTCCTCAAACTTCAGACTTTTGGGCATCATATTTGTTATTTTTGTCCTGTGTGTACCAGCTCGCTCCTGTTAAAAGAAGGAAATAGCCAGGTTAGAGAGGTGTCAAAAACATAGCTCCATCTCTTTAATATAATCAGATGGGAGTGAAAGAGAATCAAGATAGCAGTAACTTTCTTGCTATGTGAGTCAGTGTTACATAATGCCATGCCCACTTACCCCCAAAATTTAGGAAACACTGTCTTGCCTCCTTGCATCCTCTTAAAAAAAATAAAAATCCCAATTCCTCGTTTCAAAGAGACTAGGGTTAGAAATAGAAAGTGACTTGCTCAAAGCCACAAGAAGAGCAGAGACACAGAGCTGGGATTCAGACCCAGGCAGGGTGACTTCAAATTCTTTCCATTGCACCAGGTGCCTGTCATGCTGTTCCTTTTATAAGGATTGAATCGAGTACATCAGTAGCAAACTTAAACTCTCCAGTAAGATCACGATCGTTTAAACAAACAAAAGTAACATCTGTTCCAGCTAAAGAGCTGTCTCTGGCATAAGCAATTTTTCACCGATGGAGGCTAGATCTGATTGGGCTCTTGCTGAGTTAATTGAGCAAAGTTACGTGGCCAGATGTGAGTTTTCAGATAGAAGGGGAAGGGAATGCAATATACAAGCACATGGGGAGACTGATGGACCAAATGGCTGGCTCCACTATAAAACACTCCAGCGTTTAGCCTTTGTTCTGCCTCCTGGGCGTTAGCAAGCTGACTCCCGCACAGAAGACTTCTTGGTTGACTCTTGAAGAGTCAGGGATTTAGTCAATGCAAGCTGTAAACTGGCTCAGCACTAGAGAAGCAGCAGACATGAGTAGAAAAAGGTTCTCCCAAAGACAGCTCAGCTTCACTTTTCTCTTCTCTCTTCACTCCTTTCTTCTCTCCTCTTTTCTACTGAATGAACTTAAACATTTTTCAGCTGAGATGCATTCCCACCTGCAGGGTGAACTGAACTTTTAAGAAGCCTATTAATTCTCCCAGGAAGCACCAGGCTGCAGCTCTCTGGTTCTCATTTCTTGCTTGCTATGTATTAGAACCTGGGACATTTTCTCCAAAATATAATGCTATGAGGGCCCCCACTCCAGAGATCATTATTTAATTGGTAGGGTGAAGCCTGGCACATTTATTAAATGGTTCCAGGTGATTCTAATGGAGATTCAGCCAGTGTTGGAAACAGCAGCACACGGGTGCCCAGGGCTGGCCGCAGTGAGTCCGGGCTATGATTCTTGCCTCAATTCTGCAAGCCAAGAAAAACGGGCTTTGGATTCAGGAACAAAGCAAAGCCCAAGTCTGTCATTGGCCAGCTGAGTAATCTTAGGCAATTAATTTCAATTCACCAAGCCTCAGTTTCTTCTTCTGTAGAATGGGAATAATACCTACCTTGCAAGGCTTCTGTTAGGAATGTTTCCCTTCTCCTTTCCTTCCCATTACAAAAGAAATATATTTGAGGCAGTTGATTGAAAAAAAAAAACAGCAGAAAAAGAAACAGATGGAGAAATTAGGCCAAGAGAAAAATAAGATGAAATTAGAAAACTCCATCTAGCTTATATTACTGAACGTTTACTTCTCTCACTTGTTTGAGCAATTCAGTTTGTAAAATGTACCACATAATACTACTTTATCAACCAAACCACTTAATTCTAAGATCTTGGGTCTATTTTGAAAACAACAAAAACATGATGTGACAGAAGCAGCATTCTTGAGTGTAAAGGGACCCATGGACTGAGCTTTGTCTCATTTATGCCTTTATCGTATGACTTAGAGGAAGTCATTTTTCCTCTCTTGGTCCCAACTTGCTCATCTATAAAATGAGACAACGTGATTGTGGGTGACATTCTGAGTGGACGCCAACCTCAGGAGTATTTTTCTATAATTTAAAAAGAAAGGAGAGAAGAAAAAGAGAAGGAGAAAAGGAAGAGGAGCGAGAGAAAAGGAAGGAAGAAAGAAGGAAGGAGGGACAGAGAGAAAGAAAAGGAAGAAAGGAAGGATGAAAGAAGGGAAGGAGAGGAAGGAGAGGAAGGAAGGAAGGAAAAGAAAGAGAAAGACATTAAGAGGAGGGGAGTTGTTCCTTGAAGGTGCTGAAGTCCCTGGCCTTTAGAAGCCATCACATCAGCCATCTGCTGTGCCTGGCCCTGTGAAGTTACTAGTAAGCCACCCGTCACTGCCTTGTTCCAGGGTCTTGAAACCCTGTGGCTATTTTCCTGTGTATGAAATTCAGTGGGGGGAATACCTGCCTGACCAAAATTTGTAGTTCCCCATGGTTGAAAATAAGAGTCTGAATCTTCCTTTTAAATATATGAACAGAATCGTCTTTGCCTGCCATCTTTGTGCCCTCACTTTCTCCTTGGAGACTTGGCAAACCCCCCCACCTTGAGGGAGAATACTGCAGACACGTGCCACTGCTCCCCTATTCTAGATGTTTTCTCCAAAGGAACGTTGAGTTTGTGAGCAACAGGCTGACAGTGCTTCTCTCCACAGACAATGTTTAACTCTGGACAAAATACAGGCTCCTTCTCTTGTTCTCACTTGTGACTCCCTGCTCCATGAATGTCCAGTGTACTGGGTCTGAAAGCAGTAAGCCAGTTCTGCTCTTTAATAGCTCTGTGTCTTTGGGTCAGACACTTAGCCTCTTTGCTCTGTAATACACCATAGAGAGTTGTCTTAAGTATAAAGATCCAGGCCAGGGGTGGTGGCTCAAGCCTGTAATCCCAGCACTTTGGAGGCCGAGGCGGGCAGATCACAAGCTCAGGAGATCGAGACCATCCTAGCCTATACAGTGAAACCCCGTCTCTACTAAAAATACAAAAAAACTAGCCAGGCATGGTGGCGGGCGCCTGTAGTCCCAGCTACTCGGGAGGTTGAGGCTAGAGAATGGCATGAACCCGGGAGGCGGAACTTGCAGTGAGCTGAGATCACGCCACTGCACTCCAGCCTGGGTGACAGAGCAAGACTCCGTCTCAAAAAAAAAAAAAAAAAAATCCTAATATTTCCATTGATCCAAAGAATTTTAGAAGTGGTAGATAGAAAGTTAGGCATAGAAACTCCAAGTTGAATGGGGTTAGTTAGCTGAAGTTTGGCTGAAGAGAGTTTGTTTTCATGTCTTTTCACCTACCAGGAGAAAATTTCCCTCATTGAATGTTGGAAGGAGACGTGGGAATTTTTGGATAATTTCCTGAGGCAGTGGCTGGGTAATGGAAACTCTCATTGTGAGCGTACAAGCATCCATCCTCATCACTAAGGCACTCTCCTACTCAGTAAGAACAGAGAATCACTGCTTTGTTCTCTTTCTCCAGAATTAAGATCAAACCCTTCTCTCTGGAATTCAACATTTGCTAAAATGCAACAACTTCTTCTCCATCACCCCCCTCCGCGAAACCTTAGTTCCCACTGATTCCCAACATAAATTTTTCTTTTTAATTAAGGATCCCACCCTGGCCCTCACTGGCCATTTTCACCCCTTCCCCACACTTGGCCCATGCTGTTCTGTGCACACTTGGAATCATGTCCCTCTTCCCCTGGAGAAGCCTTCATCCTGCTCAGCCCAGCTGCAGTGCTTTCATCTCATACTGCCCCCTGCACCCACCCACCTTTCGCTATCAGCCCTCCTCTGCACACTGCACTCCTGCTGTCTTTACCATACGGCTGACCCTTCAGTGGGGCTCCTCTGTATTCATTGGATAAAATACTAATTTTTTAGTTCCAAAATGGATCAGTAGCAGCACCTTTGATCTCTGAAGTAGTTGACTTTCACCCTGAGACACAGACTTATAGACCATAGATGAAAAATGACAATCAAGATATAATGCATAAGTTGAGCACGGTGGTATGTGCCTGTAAATCCCAGCTACACAGGAGGCTGAGGCAGGAGGATTGCTTGAGCACAGGAATTTAAGTCTAGTCTGCACAACATAGCAGGACCCTATTTCTTTAAAAAGAAAAAAAAGATGTAATGCTATCTTTTGGCTCCCAAGAGTCAGTAGGAAGGATGGGAGAGGAGGGGACAGGAGCCCTTGCCAGAAAAGGAAATTGTAGTTTTATTTTCTCCCGTATGTCAGAAGAGAACAGATTGGTATGGTGTGCAGGTAGCCATGGGTCTTCTCTTACCAGGCCAGAGGAGAGGCTGAACTTCCCTCAGCAGTTCCCAAGCAAGTTTAGCAGCAGAATCATAGACAAATTGTCTTCCTATGCCTTGCAGTGTGGGTGCTTGTTTACTATTTGAGGGAAAAGTGTTTAGGCAAACAGGTATCCTGAGGGTGACCAGCTGTGCAAGGATTAGGCTACTGAAGCACACCAGTTCTGGCTGGTGGGAATGGAACTGGAGCTCCCCAGCAGGGCTGCCAAGTATGATTGTTCAGGTTGCATACTGCACAATCCTGGAAGGCTCCATTCACATCAAGTACAATGTGAATGGTGCTCTTGGAGTTGTTCAGTGCATAACATGCATACTACACCTGCTCAGGCAAAAGCAACCTATCCGTTCTTTGGAACATATAGCTAAAATTCAACCAGAAACTTACTTTATAATCATAGCATTGCACATATATTAAACTTGCTGTAGCCTGTCAAGTTGCAGGAATCAGTTTATACCCTGAAGACTATGGACTTGACTTCTAGGAACCGGTAATGAAGACATACTTCCAGGGACCAGGCATATTCTTCCTTGATTTTCTCCAGTGAAGTTTAGCATGGTATAAACACATGGTATGGGGTAGATATTTCATGATGTTGTAGCTGGGATCATGGAGCAGAATGAAAGGGCAGAACCAGTTGCTCTTTTCTCAGGGGCGGCATTGCCCAAGCATGAATTGTTATTGAGTGGCCACTTAGAAGAAAGATTTCTCTGACTGGGGTGACCATATGTCCCAGTTTGCACATGTTTTACCAGCCTAATTTTCAGTAATGTTCAGTTGGGATGATGAACCATATGGTCGTGTGACCTCTGGCATGGAGATGGGCATCTCTGCTTTGTCAACTACTCCACATCTGCAACCAGCCTTTCCTTTTATTGATGCCTTGGCAATTCTCCATGATACAGACACAATGCTGAGGGCACGGCAAGACTCCTGTACGCAAACTGTTCTGAAGGATCAGAGTGTTGTAGGGTGACAGTCAGCCTCATCCACATCAAAGCATTTCCTTTTTTTCTTCACCATTTTTGATCAGTTTCATATTCCTGTGGGTACTAATGAAAAGGAACAGCAGAACCACTATCAAGTCCAGTACTTACTAGGCAGATAGAGACCCACTGGCTTCTGGCCTGTGCCACTTGCTGCTGCCCACACTCATCAGTGGAGGAGAATTCCCTACTAAGTTTTCAGTAGTTATAATTGCCACCAACATTGCATGGGAGAGAGGAGCATGACTTGAAGTCGTTTGCAAATGTATGTTCATCCAACAACAGCCAAGAAGCATACCCGAGACTGTGCAGGTGCTGCCCAAGTCCTGAACACATTACTGCACAGTTGCTCAGAGTTCTGGTTCGACTGCTACCTCTTGTACCCCAGTTTCTTCATGTGTAGAATGGCAAAGAGGGTTAAATCTCTTACAAAGTGTTTTGGACACTGCCTGGTAAATACTGGCAGAACTAAAATATAGCTATTAGTAAGAATAGTATCAGCAGCTTTGAGAGCCAGGGAACAACCCCTAAGAATGGTATGAAGTAGGGATCAGCAACTATGGCCTTTGGAGCAAATGTGGTCCTCTGCCTGTTTTGTAAATAAAGTTTTATTGGAACAGAATTATGTCCACTTATTTAAGTATTGTTTATGGATGCCTTATTGAGTAGTTGGGAAAAAAATCATATGGCCCATAAACCTAAAATATTTATTGTCTGGTACTTTACCAAAAAAGTTTACTGGCCCCCAATTAAAGCATAAGTAAGATACTCAAAATCTCATTCCTATTCCTATTCCACTAGCAGTTACTGAGCACTGATTAAATGCCCTGAACTGTGCCAATTTTTTTTTTTTTTTTGTAAGACAGAGTCTTACTCTGTCACCCAGGCTGGAGTGCAGTGGCACGATCTCGGCTCACTGCAACCTCCGCCTCCCGGGTTCAAGCGATTCTCCTGCCTCAGCCTCCTGAGTAGTTGGGATTACAGGTGCATGCGACCAAGCCTGGCCAACTTTTGTATTTTTAGTAGAGATGAGATTTTTGCCATGTTGGCCAGGCTGGTCTCAAACTCCTGACCTCAGGTGATGCACCCACCTCGGCCTCCCAACAAATGTTTTAACATAGATTATCTTATTTAACTTTCATGAGAAGTAGCTCTTCAAGGTTAATGGAAATATCCCATTTTATATGTGAGGTTCAGAGCACTTGTGCTTGTGTACAATTGCAGAGCTAGGATTCATACTCTGGTCTGGAACTTTAGGAGTTATGAGGACAGACATCCTGGAGGAGTTCGGTTTGCACTTGTTCTTGAAGAATGAGTATGGTTTTCAGTAAGCAAGGAGAAGACCCAGGGGAGGGTATTGCAGAAAGAAGGAATTGACTGAGCAAAGGGCCTGAAATAGGAAGCTTGGGCTGGTTGTCTGATTTGTTTAGCCTGAAGGGACTGAAGGAGACAAGGTGAAAGAAGTGGCTGTATGCCAGGATGTAGAGAGACAGGTACTTCCTCGAGGAAGCAGCTATAAACTGAAAGTTCAAGGTCAAGCCCATAGACATATTGTGTTTGGCCTTTACTGTATTGATTCACACAAGGATGTTTGCTTTGGTTTTCACTTGAATTTATAACCAGCCCATCCTACATTTCATCTTCTCTTAAAAGACTGCAAGATCTAGCCAGACTCAGCCACATTTCCAGGAGGTGGGAACTAGCTAGAGTTGAGTTTAGCTGCCCTCTTTAGATGCAGCATCTGCTTTCCTATGGGCCTTTACTCATCTTAGACTCAAGCAAGCACAGCCCCCATACTGGGCCCTGGGCTTTATAGGGCCTTGCTCTAGTCACACTCTTTTCTAAGGGGTGAGGAGTCTTTGGGCCAAGGTGACTTGCCTGCTCCCTACCCCTGTCCCCTGACTGTGCTTCACCTCCCAAGACTCTGAATTGTCTCCTGAACGGTCCCAGCTCACATCCAGAACTCACATGGGCCTCTTCTCTGCATCTGTCTTCCCAAGGATGGGCCACTCTGAAGGGTGTACCAAAGGGAAGCAGTTTGCCTTGAAGGTAGCGTATGTGTGGATGGACCTTTGAGGTGCAGGCTAGGGTGTCCACCATGGGTGTGCAAGGCCTCTAGAGGTGCAGGACAGAGCAGAGGGTACAAAGAGTAGGGAAGAAGGTAACAGGCCACAGAATCTCGCTCTGCACCACCAAATCTCAATATGGGACACGCAGGAATCCAAGAACTCACAATTTGAACTTGGCCTTCTCAGTCAGTATGAAGTATATTTGCCAACTTAGTAAGAGAGAACATAAAATATTTAATAATTTTGAATTTGATTTCAGATATTGAGATATACTGTATGTCAGCATCTATTTGTGCACTTGCTCCAAGCCCCAGAAATGTTCGGCATAGGCCTGGCTGCAGCCCTACCAGTTCCCATTGTCTTACACCAGAGCTGTGTCTCTCATGGACATGACCTGTCTGGTGCTTACAGGAATGAGAGGTTTTGGCCCTAGCTAAATTGGTTTAGTGGTGAAGAAGATTGAAGGTTTTTGATCAGGGCAGATTGTGCCAAATGGGCTACTGCAGGCAGAGGCAGAGGCAGGAAGGCCAGTGAGGGAGCTATTGCAGGAGACCAGCTGGGAGGTCAGAGATTTGAACCAGTAGGAGCGAGAGAAGAAGGGACAGATGCAAGATTAATTATGTCTTTTCCTTCCACAATGATCTTTAGGTTAAGGTCGCCAACTTAACCCAATTTAGCCTGTGACTTTCTTGGTTTTTGCTCTGCAAGCTTCTGTCCCAGGAAACCCCACAGTACTGGTCACACTGGGGAGGCTGGCTTGCCTGCCTACCACCTAAATATCAGCCACCATCATATTGAGCTCTTACTATACCTCAGCTGGGAACTTGAGCTCAAGGCTTTGGACTTGAGTATAACTTTGCTCCTGGAAGCAAACTGTCTGGCTATTTCTATTCCTTGACCCTAAATCAAAAAATGGCAAATAACTCTCAGGCCATGGAGCTTCCCTTGGGTGTTACAGTTACAGATTTTCAAGTCAAGGATATGTTCAGGACCTAATTAGCTCATCCAGACACTTAGAATCTAGATTCATGCTGGAAGGGAAGAAAATGTCTCCCTCCTCACCTTTGCTGGACACAAGGATGTGTCATCTTTCATCTGTTTCTTGCCATTGTCATTACCATCAACATTGACAGAGATAACACATAGAACCTTGAATTATGGAATCCTTATTAAGTTAGATACTCATCTCTTCTAGAAAATAAAATGTTTATTAGTAAAAGCAGAATCCTCAGGAAAACAGTATTTATAAGCCCTAGACACATGGCCCTGGAAAAGTCACTTAACTTCTCTGAACCTCTTTTTCCTATGAAGTGGGACTAATAATCCCTACGATAGATTTGTATGGAGAATAAAGTTTAAAATGCCTCATGCACAAAAGAATTGAGAGCAAGGACTCGAACAGATATTTGTATACCAATGCTCACAGCAGCATTATTTCCAATAGCCAAAAGACGGAAAAAACCCCAAGTGTCCATCCACAGATGAATGGATAAACAAAATGTGATATATCCCTACAATGGAATATTATTCAGCCATAAAAGGAATGAAATTTTGATATATGTCACAACATGGATGGACCATGAAACATAGTGCTAAGTTAAACAAGCCAGAGAGAAAAGGACAAATATTGTATTATTCCACTTACATGAGATATCTAGACTAGTCAAATTCGTAGTGACAGAAAGGTTACCAGAGGACCTGGGGGAGAGAAGAAAGGAGAGTTATTGTTTAATGGGTACAGAATTTCAGTTTGGGATGATGAAAAAGTTCTGGAAATGGCTGGCGGTGATGGTTGCACAACAGTGTGAATGTACTTAATGCTATCGAACTGTAAACTTAAAGTGGTAAATGGTATTATGTATGTTTTACCACAATAAAAAAATAAATGCCTCGTGCAGTACCTGGCCATTGAAGATACTCAGGGGGAAAAAAAAGAGCTAAAAAGAGATATTAAGATGTTTCTAAGTGTTACTGAGTTCAGAAGTGGGAGTTCATACTTTAAACTAAAAGTAGTCAACGAAGGATTTGCCAAGGAGGTGGGATTTGAGATGGAGTTTGTAGGACCAGGCAAGGGAAAAGGCAACCCAGCCAGGAGGAAATGTGTAAGCAAACCATGAAGCTCCTGTGTGTGGTGATGGGGACCCGGTGATGATGTTGTGATCTGTTTTGTTTTTTGTTGGAGACTAGATTTGGGATGGGGTTTCAAGGGACTTGGAGTCCAAGTTGACCTGTTTAGGTGCCAGGCAGAGCAGAGGCACTAAAACTATCTGGGCAGGGAGGATGAAAAGATCAGTGTCGGCAGAAAGATCAATCTGGGGCATCGTAGAAAATGGATTGAATGGTGCCATACCAGAGGTTCAAGGCAGCCAGGGCAGTGTTGCACAAGTCCTAGACTAAACTAGGATGGTGGCTGTGCAAAAGAAAAGGGAGAGATGGAGACTAATTTCAGAAGAGCCTTGATAGACTTAAGATATCAAGGAAGAGGTGGCAAAGTGTTAAATGTTTAGCAGAATAGCTCAACCCTGGAGCCAGGTACCCTGCATTTAGTACTGCTAATGTTCTAATACCAGTACTGCTGCTTATGAGCTTGTGTGACCTTGAGTGAATGACTTAATCTTTCTGTCCTGTTTCTTCCTCTATCACATAACAATGAATGACAAAGTAGTGCCTCTCTCACAAGGCTGTCATGAAGGTTAAAGGAGTCAATATTTGTAAAGATCTTACAATAGTATTCAGCACAGAATATATGCTTGCTATTTTTTATCTTTTAAATCTGGATGGTTGGTACGTTGGTGTCTGTTACGTTATTTTTTGGTGTTTGAATATTTTAAAGCATGACCTTAAAATAATGTACTTTCAAAACAGTCTTGCTAAGCAGTGCTTCTTAAAGCTTAACATGCATGTGAAATGTTTGGCAGTCTTGTGAAAATGCAGGTTCTGGTTCAGTAGGTCTCAGGCGGTACTCAATGGTCTGTGTTTGTAGCAAGCTCCCAGGTGGTCTGGTGCCGCGGGTCTGCCGGCCACTCCTTGAGTAGCAAAGTTGTTAAGGAACGGAGTTCCATCACGGTGTTTCTAGGATTGTTCTGGTTGTCTTTTGCCACATAACAAATCATCCAAACCTAGAAGCTAAAACGAAAATGATTTATGTTCTATGCTGTTGTTGTTATTATTATCTCTTGCAGTTCAGCTATGTAGTTCTTGGGATCTGTCACAAGCTGGTGGTTAGATGTAGCTGGGGCAAGAGTCAAGAGTCATCCTGAAGGCTTCCTCCCCCTCGTGTCCGGTGGTAGATGCTGGCTGGCTGTTGGGACCTCAGCTGGGGCTGTCAGCGAGAACATCTCCCCAGGGCATCTCCATGTGGCAAGGGGCTCTTCACAGCTCAGCAGCTGTATCTCAAGACAGAGAACCAGGCAGAAGATGTATTACCTTTTCTTGCCCAGCCTCCAAGTCTCACAGCATCGCTTCTGCCACCTTCTATGTATTAGAAGCAAGGCACTAAGGCCAGCCCATATGCAAGGGTAGCGCAGTGAGACTCCGTGTCTTTTTTTTTTTTTTTTGAGACAGAGTTTCATTCTGTTGCCCAGGCTAGAGTGCAGTGGCACGATCTTGGCTCACTGCAACCTCCACTTGCTGGGTTCAAGTGATTCTTGTGCCTCAGACTCCCGAGTAGCTGTGACTACAGGCAGGCGCCACCACACCCAGCTAATTTTTGTATTTTTAGTGGAGATGGGATTTCACCATATTGGCCACGCTGGTCTCAAACTCCTGAATTCAGGTGATCTGCCCGCCTTGGCCTCCCAAAGTGTTGGGGTTACAGGCGTGAGCCACCGCACTTGGCTGAGACTCCATGTCTTGAAGGGAGAAGTGTCAAAGAATTTTTAGACATGTCTCAAAACCACCACAATGGCCTGCTTAAGGAAGCTCTGGGAGGAACAGAAAGTGGTGGATGAGTCAACCAGGGAAAGTTGACTTTGTTGTGTTTAAATTTGTGGGTTTGGGGTACCATGAAGACCACTTGAAGTTATTCTCCAACAGGCAGGATGGTGTGTGAGTATCTGAGTATCTATCTCTCACACCAGATCATAAGCTTCTTGAAAGCAAGGACTTGGTCTTTTTCTCTGCAATAGTTCTGGTGTCTACCACAGTGCTTGGCACACAAAAGTGACCCAAACAATGTTTGTTTGATGAGGGAATGAATAAATGAATGAATGAATGAATGGTAAAGGATTTAGGACTGAGGCTGTGTGGTCTGAAGAAGAAAGGATACTGGAATTCTGGAAATCTCTCCCAGAACAGTCCTCTCTGGCACTTCTCCCAGGGAGAGGGACTCCTGCATTTGCTCAGAGGCCACCATGGCCCTGGGGGTCTGGCCTGCCTGCTTTGCAACTTGAGGCCCTCGCGTACCCCATAGGCTGTGGAAGGCCTGGATCTGCTGGGAAACCTCCTTCTTCCACTAAATGGAAACTGGAATTCCAGGAGAAAGCAAAAATCAACAAGAGCTATTTTGATTATAATGATATCTCATTTCTAAGCAGCTCTCTCTATTTCCTGTTTATAGCCCAAACTGAGAGCAGAAGCGACTAGATCTCTCAGTGAAAGGTTTTCTCCGAAGACGTCTAGCTATATCATCAACAGGAAACAGTACTCTCCCAAGACAAAAGTCCCTGTCTCTGGCCACTCTGTTGGGTTTCATTGCACCCTACAAAGGGAGGTGGGAAACCTGGGTTTCTGAAAGAGGCCCTGATTTTGTGTTAGCCTTCAGCATCTACCACTTGTACCCAGCTCCCAGTCCCCCAAATTTCTGGGGACTCCATGTGAAATCAATGCACAGGAATTGTGGGGGGAAGCCCTAAGGAGTCCAGCCGCGATTTTCAGCGCGATTTTCAGGGCAGCTACATTTCACTTCAAAACTCCCAGTAAGTCTGCCACTAAGACCCCTGGAAAGGCTGGCTATGTCAGCCCTCTGTCTTCATTAGAAGAATCTCAGGATTTCTTCCAGTGACAGAACATGATCCTCAGATTCCAGGGAGTGACCCCAGACCCAGTTCCTCTCCGGGCTATAAAACTGTGGAGTGTGACACAGACAGAGAGACTGTGGTAATTTAGAGACTAAGAAAAAAACTGACTAGAAAGCAACTGAACAGAACAGCTGCAGGAATGTAAAATGCAAGACCCTCTGATCTGACAGTCTTTTCCTGCACCTCTACAA
Source organism: Homo sapiens (assembly GCF_000001405.40). Lineage (NCBI taxonomy): Eukaryota > Metazoa > Chordata > Mammalia > Primates > Hominidae > Homo > Homo sapiens. The sequence continues at coordinate 109,969,080 of NC_000009.12, forward strand.
ATGTGCGTGCACACACACACACACACACACACACGACTCCCAGAAAGGACCCTCTGAAGACAGGACATTTCAGCTGACATCTGAAAGATGAGGAAGGCAGCCATGCCAAGAGTATTCCAGAAAGAAGGAACAGGGTTTGCAAAAGCTCAGCAGCTCCACAGCTGCTGGTCTGGGCCAAATAGGACAGACAGCCTGTGGCTCTCCCCACACCTTGTGCTTCCTCACTCAGCCACTGTGAGTCTCCTCTCGCCTGAAACAGTCTCCCGCTCTGTCCTAACCTTCCAGCATCTTTCTCATTCACTCTGTCTCCTGAATATCACCCACAAAGGGTAGCAGTATCAGTCTTGGTCCACACACTTATGCAAGAAGTGCCACTTTGTTTTCTTTAAATCAAGTGATATCAGACTCTGTACCCCAAGGCTGCTGGTCTGGCAGGCAGTTCAAACTCAGTCGTTCACGGGGCTCTCTCCCACCCAAGGTCATGCAAAGGTGACATGCTCATCTTGGGGAAGGCCCATCATCACTGGTTCTCACTGGATTTATCCTTGGGTGTGCATTGTCCTGGTTTTCAGAGCCCCTTCAGGGCTGAAGTCTGTGTGGCTTCTGAGCCAAGCTTGGAGACAGGAGCCTTGGCAGAGGCTGGGAGCCTGGAATCAGCATCCAGCTTCCCTGCTTACACCACAGTGTAGCACTCCCACATCCTCACCCCACCCCACCCCAAGTGCAGCCTACAGCCCCTCCCCTCTACTGCTTCTGGGAGAAAGTGCACCCCTCCCCGAACCCCACCAGGATGCCTAGCTTCATCTCTTTAGTGAACTTTTGGCTTTTGCAAAAGACCTGAAGGCCCATTGACCAAAAGTAGCCTCTGCCCAGGCAAGGGAGCACAAAACCCACTCATCTTCTAGAAATGGACTGGAGAGTGCAACACAGGAAGTGCCCACACAGATGTTTCCTAGACCTTGCCTTTAGGGTCCCTCTGTTCTCAGGGATGCAGTCTATCCAGCCCTGGGAACTTGAACTCCCTGAGAACAATGTCCCTCTCTATCTATGGTAAAGGATTAGGTTTTGTTTTTTTTCTTTTAAGCTTCCAGTTCATCTCAGAACAGTACTTTTGTAAAGTACAATGAAAGTGAATGATGAGAAAAGTAAAATTTTTGAAAGACACACAGAATACAGGTACTGATTTTTTATTATTAGATTCAATAAATTGTTATTAAGGGTTCTAAACATATTCTTTCCATTTCTGCACTCACTTGGTCACCGATCAGTAACCAACTGTGGAGGGACACGGATTGGTGGGCCACTCACTTTGAGGAGCGCTGCCTTAGAGCACTCAGGAGGGAGCAGTGAGTCCTTCTTCACCTCTAGAAATGTGGAGCTTAGTGAACTGTAGAATCTTCAAGGGGTTAGGGTAGAAGCTGGAAACAAGGACAGCCTTTACCTAGTGAGCCAAGAAACTAAAATCCAGCCTCCTCTTACAACTACTTACAATGCAAAAAGAATTACAGTGTAGGACTATGGAGCCTGCCTCTGGGGCAGGCTGCCTGGTGATACATTCAGCACTGCCACTTACTGCCTTGACCCAGGATGAGTTAATAGCTCACAGCCTCAGTTTACTCATCTGTCCAATTAGGATAGTAGTACTATCTCATAGGGTTTTTGTAAAGACTGAAGTTAATAAGTGCATAATCACATAGAGTTGCTCTTGGAAAATAGTAAGTGCCTGTGAATATTAAAAATTTCCTGGCCAGGTGCCGGGGCTCATGCCTGTAATCCCAGCACTTTGGGAGGCCAAGGCAGAAGAATTACTTGAGCCTAGGAGTTTTGAGACCAGCCTGGGCAACATAGGGAGACCCTGTGTCTACAAAAAAAATTTAAAAAATTATCTGGGCATGGTGGCATACACCTGTAGTCCCAGCTACTCAGGTGGATGAGGTGGGAGGATTGCTCAAGCCCAGGAGGCCGATCACACCACTACACTGCAGCCTGGGCAACAGAGCAAGACCCTGTCTCAAATAAAATAAAATAAAAGTTTCCTTAGAAAGAAAGCTTCAGGAGGTTAGGGATCTTTATTTCCTGATGTTTCCCAAATGCCTAGAACCATGCCTGGCACATAGCAGTGCTCAGTAAATATCAGTGAATGAATCCATCTCCTTATCCAATGCTGAACTTCAGGCTTCCATGTTTATCCCACTCTTAGTCCCTTTTTTTTTTTTTTTTTTTTTTTTTTTTTTTACAGAGAAAAGGGGTCTGTTTGCTCTTTGTGTTCTTTGTGTTCATAGTGTTTCCAAGCCCCAGGCCATTCAGAGCTTTTGTCTCCAGTGCCCCACACATTCAAGAAAGACTTGAATTGCCTCTCAGGTCTGAACCTGTTTTGTGCAGGGTGTCCAAGCTGGAGTGCAATGGACCGGTCTTGACTCACTGCAACCTCCCACTCCCGGCTTCAAGCGATTCTCCTGTCTCAGCCTCCCAAGTAGCTGAGATTACAGACGTTCGCCACCAAGCCTGGCTAATTTTTGTATTTTCAGTAGAGATAGGGTTTCACCATGTTGGTCAGGCTGATCTCGAACTCCTTACCTCAGGCAATCCGACTGCCTCAGCCTCCCAGAGTGCTGGGATTACAGGCGTGAGCCACCGCGCCCAGCCAAGATACATTGTTGCAGAGTGTAAAACCAGATCTTGTTGACCTGGCATTTAGACCTTCCAAAATCTGATTTCCACCTGTGTTTCTAGGCATGTGACCCACTGCACACTACACAGCCCCCACAGGGACCATTTCTCCTACCCTGAGCAAGCCATTCCTCCAAGACACACTTCTTTGCAACTCCTGCCCGTTGAAAGATTACTCATTCTACCAAGCCAGGCTTAAATGCTGCCTACTCTCTGAAGCTGTCTCTGATATTCCACCAGAGTTCGTCTCTCATCTGCACATCTACTAATTCTCTGTTCTCAACTCCTGTTCAGAAGACCTTGTAATCAAGTTCATTGTTTGCACATCTGTCCCTTTACTAAGGTGGAACTCCTTAAGGACAAGGGACCATATCTTCAGCAGCTCTGAATAGCATTGGTGCTTCATGCAGGGCCTTGCCTATAAATACAACTTCAACAGGTGGGAGTTGTTGGTGGGTTCCCACCTGCAAGCATAAGTCAGCAGGCTTCACAGTGAGTGGCCTAACATAGGTGTGGATCAGAAGGAAATGAAAGCTTCATTCTAGCTTCCCCAATACTACTTGTCTCTTACCATTCCGTTGTCTTGAGTATTCTTTGGGGAACCTGCTGATATAGGAGGAACAGTGGCTTCAATCTGAAGGACTGTGCCAGCTTAGGGTGAGTATGACTCAGTCTGGAAGCAGAAGCAGAAGGGAATATGGTTTTGTGGATGAACGTGGGAGACAGCATGGCATGAGGTTAGTGCTCTGAGGTCTGGTGCATCTGGCTTCCTGTCTAGGCTCTGCTGCTGACTGGCTGGATGACCTTTAGCGTATTCTTCATGCTTTGATGCCTGTTTCCCCATCAGTATACTATAGACAATGTTGGGACCTCCCCTAACCCCTGCCACTAGGGGCATAATGAAGAGGAAGCCAAGGGGTGTGCATATGACCCCACCACCAGTCTGCAGGGAATGCCACAAAGATGCTAGCCTTTGCAAATTCTGGTGCAGTGTTACGAGGAGACAAAGTTCACAAACATTACCTTGCCCCTGGGTACCACGTGACTTTTGTCTCCCTATATCTCCTGCACAATTGCAAGGATTAAACATGCTAATATGTATAACGGACTTAGCACCCTGCTCTCCAATAATGGCTTAATAATGCTCTGGTTTCTCTTCAGATCATATAAATCTTTCACCTTTTACCAATAATGGCTTAATACACCTTTTACCAATAATGGCTTAATACACATAAGCAAAAAGACTCAGTTAATATAGGCTATAAGTTGGAATCAATAATCCATGAAAGAAACCCTGGATAGGGTTTTTAGGACACAGGCACTGCTATACCCTAATAGAATGGATCAACTTTCATTCAGTTAAAAAAAAATCTACTTCTTTTTTATGCCACAAAGTGCCACCTTAAATTTATCTTAGTGATTGAATGTCATACCCAAAAGAATCAAAAGCACTGGAGCAGTTGATCTGGTAGAAACTTCAGCATGTGTTTGTTCATTCCACAAAGGTTTACTAAACCCTTGCTTTGTGACAGGCACTGTATACCAGTTGGCCTTCTCTCTACATTATGCTGTTGCAACAGGCAACCCCAGTAATGGTTTCTTTCTTGCTACTGGAGCTCTGTTCTAGGTGTCTTCATTCCTGGACCCAGGCTGCAGGATCAGCCCCTATATGGAACATGCCATTCTTATGACAGAGAGAAAGGGGTACTAGGAGAACCATATAGTGGCTCTTAAAGTCATGCTTGGATGTGGCACGTGTAGCTTATATTCCATTGGCCAAGGCAAGTCACATGGCCAAGCCTGGCACCAATGGGGTAGGGGAGTATCCTCCTCCCATAGAGCAGCACTGCAGATCTCTTGACAATGAGTGAGGATATATAATCCTCCCACAGGGAAGGCAGAAAGGATTTGGGGGCAATAATACTGTCTGCCACATGCTGTCATGAATGCTATCTAGTTTTAGTCTCTTGATAACTCTGTGAGGTAGGTATTATTATCCTCATTTTACAGAGTGGAAAATTGAGGTTTGGTGTGGCTAACCAACTTGCCCAAGATGTAGCCAGTAATAAGCACAGCTGCCTGAATCGAAGCCAGTACCAATGGTATATAGCCAGCCTTGGGCTTCTTGAGGACTCATTTTCATATAGATGTTGTCATTCAGTAAACATTGATAAAGCATCTACTATGTGCCTGGCGCTGTGCTGGGCATTGGAAACACAGTGATGTGCAAGACAGACACTCTTCCTACTCTCATGGAGTTTAGAGTCCAAAGGAAGAGAGAGGCAGACAGGACACATGTAAAGTATGACTGGTATGTGCTTCTATGAGGGAGATGCAGACTAAAGCAAGAGTCCATGGAGAGAGCATGCAACCAGACTCAGAGCATAAGAAATGGACATGTCTCTGATGACTGCACAGAATGTAAGAGCTGGAGGACTGGGTCACATGGCTGTTGTCAAGGCCCTGCCTGGCAGGGTGAGTGCCAAGGGCAGTTTCTGATTCAGAATTCTAAAGGGCACTCACAAGAGTTCAATGCCGATGGGCATATGCCCAGCCTGTTGCTAACGGGACTGGACAAACCAGTGGCTGTGTGGCAGGAACCTACCATGTGCTTCCGACTAGTGAGTCTGACCCAAAGCCCTTTTCAGGCTTCTTCTGGGAGTGTTGCCTCTGCCTTACCTACACTCAGAGCCATGCATGCTGAAAAAAAAAACCCAAAGACCCAGAGATGTCAACAACAACCTGAGAGAGAAAGAGAAACCCAGATTTGATCTGATTTTGAATCGGCAGAGTGACACATGTTGCTTAGACTGCCAACGCACGCCACTCTCACTTCCCTGAATGGTTTCCATTTTAGTGGCATTGTAATAAAAAGAAGAAGGAAAAAAATCCCCTGCAATGGTTTACAAAGTGTACCGCAATAGTAAGAAATACCATTTTCTCATCACTGCTGCTGCAGCACCAGAGTATGGGGCCCAGCACTAGGCCTGTCTTTGCAAGCAGGACTAATTACATAGTAAGTGATTGCCCCTCAAACAGAGATGGCATGTGTGCTGGGAAATAGGTCACTTCTTAATGAGGTGAAGCTCCAGCAAGAAGCAAGCACAGATGCAGACTATTCCTCTTGGGATGCAAAAGGCATCTGAAAGGTGAGCACATATGTCCCATAGGGGAGCCTCTGGCCAAATGTCACATCTCCAGGGAAATGTCTTTGAAACAGATGACTCTACTTTCAGCTTGGTTATGGACACACACAACCTTGAAAGTTTCAGAAAATATCACAAAGCCAAATATATATGTATCTGCACGTGCACACACACACACACACACACACGTTTGTGTATATTAGGATTCTTAAGAAAAGCAGAACCAATAAGATGTATGTAGACATATGGAAAAATATTATGAGGGATTGGCTCACTCAATTATGGCGGTTGAGAAGCCCCACGATCTACTATCTACAAGCTGGAGGCCCAGGAAAGCCAATGATGTAATTCCAGTCCAACCCAGAAGGCCAGAAACCAGGGGAGTCAGTGGCACAAGTCCCAATCCAGGTCCAATGGTCCAAGAACCAGGGGCACCAGAAGACGGACATCCCAGGTTAAGCGGAGAGAGAAAGTTCACCCTTCCTCCACTTTTGTGTTCTATTCTGGCCTTCAACAAATTGGATGATTGCCCACCCACACTGGTGAAGGCCATCTTTTTACTCAGTCTACCAATTCAATGCTAATCTCTTTTGGAAACACCTTCACAGACATACCAAGAAATAATGTTTTACCATCTATCTAGCCATTCCTTGGCTCAGTCAAATTGATACATAAAATTAACCATCACAGTAGGTATATGTATCTTCTTACCCTTGATTGTATTTGAAAACTACACATGGACACTACTGGGCTTTGAGTGTCGACTTGCTTTAAAAATAGTCTTGGAGCTTGGAAAGGAGCCCTTCTTGGAGAGACAAGCAAACTGACTCAGCCCGAGGGTTATGGGCAGAGAACCTGCAAAAATTGTGGTTCACAGCCACCATCATACATTCCTTGCTAACTCTGACACAAATGGTAAAATGATGAAGAGCTACACATTGCTGGGGAACCACGGGGCCTGTGCATTCAGGGTCAGCCGGTGGGGAGGAGGAAGAGCAGATTAAGCAAGTATGTCCCATGCCCCATGCCTCAATAATCAGGATAAATCATATTTTAATAATGCAGTATTTTAGAAAATCAAATTAGCAAACTATGGCCATGGGCCATCTGCCTGTGTTTATAAATAAAGATTTATTGGAAGCATTTTTTCTGAAACTATTCCAAGTTTTACTGGAACGGAGTGTAGTGTGCCTGTTTAAATTTTACACCCAAGCCAAGTCCTTACCACCTCATCTTAGTCCTGGCCCTGCCTCATATCCATTTACTCATCATTTCCTTCTCATCCAGCACTACAGAGTGCCAGGCACTAGGAGACAGAGCTAACAGTTACTGAGCACTTAATATATGCCAAGTACTATCATTAGCAGTTTACACATATTACCTCACTTAATCCCCACAACAATTTCATAGGTAAGAACAGTTATTCATGCCATTTTACAAAGGAGGAAACTGAGGCATAGAAAGGTGAAGAAGCTTTCCCAAGATCAAACAAGTAGGAAGAGGTAGAGTCAGGGTTCATATGAAGAAGTTTGAGGGCTTTGATGGAGATGGATGCCTGGAGAAAGGAAGGATTACTCAGCTCTGAGAGGTCATCACAGAGGAGGTGACTTTAAGCAGGGTGTTGAAGGGTGAGTAGAAGATTGCTAGGCAGAAATAATAAATCTAGGTTGCTGTAGTGTTTCAGAAGAGAAAATATATCTGGAGAGGTTTTCTCTGGCTTCCCTAGGCCCATGTGTTGCCCTAAAATCAGAACAGCAGCAAAATAATACAAATAACCAACATTTATTGAGTGCTTACCCTATGTGCTAGGTACTGAACTAAGTACTTTATATGTGTTATCTCATTAAATCCTCAAATAAACCTGAGAAATGGGCACTACTCTTATTTCTGTCTGACATATGAAGAGTCTGAGGCTCAAAGGAGTTAAGTAACTTGCCAAAGCTATACAGATAGTAAGTGGCTGAGCCAGGATGCAAAACCAGGGGATGCCACAGTGTGAACCGCAGTGGGCACTGCTCATCTTGTAGTCTGTGCAAAACCCAAAAACTTGGTGCCAGAGCTTCAGGCTTAGCAAAAGCAATATGCCAGTGGTGCTCAAACTTCACAGTGCATCCAGTTCACCTGAAGGGCTTGTTTAAAAAAAAAAAAGCAAGCAGATTTCTAGGCCACCTTAGAATCAGAGATTCTCATTTAGGAGGTCTGAGGTGAGGCCAAGAATTTTTATTTCTAATGCTGCTGGTCCTGGGACCAGACACGGAGAACCACTGTATCACATTGACTCTCAGCAACAGCAATAGTACTGTCCTCCTAAGCTGCACCAGGGAATACAAGTACAGGAGGTAGTTGAAAGAACATGCTTCTTCCTTCTTAGTATATAGATCAGGATCCACTTAGTGAGAAACATTCAACCTCCCTTCTTTTTATTCCAGTTGTCCTTTTCTCTGACACTTGCATCAATTTTCTGATTGCCTAGGCTCTTAATATTGCTTTCTGTTCATGTGGGCTTTAATGACTTGCTCGACATGCTAGTGCTTTTGCAGAATTAGGCAGCCCATGTCCCACCACTTCTGCTCTGAGCCTGATGTGCCTCTTAAATTGACACAAACTCCAGCTATCAATGTGAGAAGGATCATGTGTTTCCTGATGGTTCTCTAGGCTCCACAGGGGCCAAATTACACCAAAAAGTAATTGGTTTCATGTATTAGTCAGGAGTCTTTGGGTTGCAAGTGACAAAACACAATTTGAACTGATCTGGAAAAACTGACATTTACTGACATACATATCCTGATCACAGGAAGAGCAAGGGTGCCGCTGGTCTGCAAGCGTGACACATCAGGGCTTTAAATGCTACTGGGACTCTGCCCTTCACCCCCTGCCTCTCTCTGGGTATCAGCAACATCCTTTCAGGCAGGCTCCAAACAGCTTCCTTTGACTCCCAAGCTCTGTTTTCAGTCCCACCTTGAAATAGGGATAAACAGACCTGGTTTCTGGATTCTGGGAAAGGGCTCTTGGTGGCCTAGCTTAGATAGTTGTCCATCCCTGGACCAGGACCTTGGCCATTTTGGATGTCTACCCATACCCAATCTGAGATGGAGTGGGACAGGGCTTGTAGAAGATGTTAGCTTTCCCTCAAACCATAATGTCAGAGTGAGTGAAGGAGCATTTCTAGAAAAGAGAGGAAGAGATATTTGGTAGGAAAATAAAGCCCCAGAGGTGAGTGGGTGAGTGGAAGGAGGGATGCATGCCTCCTCAGGACCAGGTGCTGAGGTGGCAGAGGGGAGATGGAGAGAGGGGAGAAGGAAAGTCTCAGCCTTCCTGGAACTCACAGTCTAGAAAGGCCAAGTCATGCCAGAGATGTCAGTGGAGGTTGGCAGACATTTCTGTGGATCACAGCAGGAGGCATAGCAAATATTTCATCTCAAATATTTTGAGAAAACCTGGGTTCTTCTGGATGGGCTCATCTATTCACCCCCACCCCCAACCAACTTTTGAGCATCTACTGTGTGTTAAACAACATGTCTGCACTCAAGAAGCTGAGCATTAATGGAATGCCCTAAGGTGGCATCAGACCTTGTCTCTAGTGGATCAATCACTCCCAAAGATGCATTTAAAGCTCCCTGAAAAGGAGCATCTGCGTCTTCACTGGCTACTGTCCCCATCCTCCTTATGTTGCCTGTAAGGACTCTCTTTCTATATCCACTCAGGCTTTCACAGGCCAAGGCTCTACCTCACTTTTGCAGGGTAATCTCACTGAGAATGAAGAGTCCCCTCACTGTGGCTTTCTATTTTCTCACTCTGGGTCTGTAAGTGGAGACAGTCTTCTATCTCTTTATGTCATTGCCTTTGATTTCCTTGGGATTCTCCCTGAGATTCGTTGGCCATCTTAAGCTGTGGCTTCCAGAGCTTTTTATTAAAAATGGAACAATCATTGCAAAGCCCCCTCAGCCATTCAATAGTGTCACTAGAGACACGCTTGACTCCATTTCTCTGACTGAGCTGGCAGATGTTGACCCTGGGAGAGGACAGGAGGCAGGTACCACTGGGCCCCTGTTTCCCTTTCTGTCTTCTCCACAAGCCTCTCTGCTCCAGGCCTTCTTTTTTTTTTTTCTTTTGAGGCAGAGTGTTGCTCTGTCACCTGGGCTGGAGTGCAGTGGTGCAATCTTGGCTCACTGCAACCTCCTCCGCCTCCCTGTTTCAAGCAATCTTCCCACCTCAACCTCCAGAGTAGCTAGGACTACAGGCACGCACCACCATGCCCAGCTAATTTTTGTATTTTTAGTAGAGATGGGATTTCACCATGTTGGCCAGGCTGGTCTCAAACTCCTGACTTCAAGTGATCCGTCCACCTCGGCCTCCCAAAGTGCTGGGATTACAAGTGTTAGCCATTGCGCCTGGTCTCAGGTCTCCTCTTTCTAAGAGTCTAGCCATGAGGGTGGAGGAAGAACGCAAGCCTTGCTCTCAAGCCCCGCCTGTCTTAAGAGTCTGAGGGGCAGCATAGCCTGAGGAACTTATGTGTGGCAACGTGGGGATATCAGTCACCTGTCTCTTACCCCACTGGGAATGTCAGTAGCCCCTGTCTCTACCTCTGCAGCAATGTAGTAAACCAAGTTTAAAGGTGTCTTGCTTCATCTTTGTACTTTCCATATTGAGGATACCTTTCTCTCTGCCTGTCTGCCTGGGAGCTTCTATTTGGTGGCTGTCTTTACTGTCTTTATTTCCTCAATGCCTAGCATAGTGCTTGGAGCACAATAGGTATTCAACAAATGACTGATCCCATTAATGGAACTAATCAAGGAACCATCTCAACCATTCCCTTAAAAGTAAGGGATGAGTAGGGACAATATTGTGGGGGCTTCTGATGTTATTGTTGGATTTGGTGAATGATAATTAAGAGCACCCTTAAATTCCCTTTAAATTCAAAATAGATTGAAAAATGAGACAACATGAGCTTTTTATTTGTATGGCTGATTAGTGAATATGATTTAGATCTGTGTGCTGAATACATCCTCTGCTGAATTAAACTCTCCCCCAGACGCAGACAGGCCTGGATGACACCGGCATCCTCTGGGAATAGGCTGCTTTTCAAAGGACACAGGAAAGAAGTGTGTCCTCAGGATATTCCCAAAAGGGTAGAAAGGCCACCCCACACATGCCCATCCCTGTCATAGCTGGGCCTGCTCTGAGCTCCCTAAACCCTCACTGTGCCCTGTGCCCATAGTAGGCCACTCCACCATCACTCTTCTTGGTTCTCAAGTTCCAGGAGCTTTGCAAACAACAGATGCTTCCCTAGTATAAAGGAAAGAACAAGTCTTTGGGCCATGGGTCCTCCTCTTCTCAGTGTCCCTGGATAAAGTCATCTAATCACCCTGAGCCTTGCTTTCCTCAGTGAAAGAATGGGGCTGATCTCAACCTTGCCTGCCATCGAGGCTCAGATGACCTCCAAATGCATCCTAAACTGCTCACATTCTTTTGCAAGGAGGGTTTTTCTTCCTCAAAGCAAATGGGAGGGCCAAGTAAGAGAATTTATACAAGGGCTTTGAAAAGAGCTCTGCATGCTCCTTTTGGAAACTGAGGCAAGTGAGCGCTAAGTAACTTTCTGGAGGCCTCATCGTACACCAGCTGGGATTCAGCCTCAAGTTGTGCATGTTGGCCTCCAAAAGCCCTGACTTCTCGCTAGAAGGAGCCTTCTCAAATGAATCCTATGACGACCTAATGCAGGCTCATAGGTCTCACTCCAGAATACTGAATCAGAGCATCTGAGATCAGGGCCTGGAAACCTACAGGTTAACAGGTTCCTTGGGTGCTTCTTACTGCAGTAGCTCAAGCTGTCCCATGGTGATGGGCTGGAGCTGCCACATACAGGCCAATTGTTCTACTCAGTTATTCTCATCTCTGCCATTTCCATAATGACTTAGCATCTATACCCATCTCTAAAATGTTAAGGCACTTTGCCAAACATTATTTTGTTTAATTGACAGACAGAACCATATAGTGGTTAAGAACCTAGTTTCTGGAGCTAAGCTCCTTGGTACCCAGTTGCAGCTGGGGTGCCTCCCAGCTTCGTGGTTTGTGCCTCCATTTCCTTCTCTGTACCATGGGAATGCGCTTTGCATCCTACCTCATAAGAGTTGTTAGCAGTGAAGACTTCAGTGCACTAAAGTACATAGAATAGTGCCTGTTGTGGAGTAGGTGCTTAATAAATCTTCATTTATTATTCCTAATGAGGAAATGGAGGATAGATTTGTGTAGGATACAGTAAAAAGTGGACTGACCACAGCCAACACCCAGGTTTTCTGGTTCTACTTCTACACTTCCATGAACTTAATCTTTGTTTGCCTTTCAAAGTCACTTAGAATTTAAAGCAGTAGTAAAAATACCTCAAATGCAGTCAACCAACAAATATTTATTAGGTTTTACTGATGTGTGCAGGATGCTGTAGGAAGATATGAATGGATGTTATTAGCACACCTAAGCTGCTTAGATGGGCTTGAAGGGTTGAGAGAACAGAGAAGTAGCGGAATGAAAGCAGCTTTGAATGGCAGGAGCTTGTCTAGGGAGCAGAGGCCTAGGTCTAGCTGAGCTGCTCACCTGGTCCCCATCGCCCACAAAGCTTTAATCAAGATATTCTGATCAGGCCAATGCTTCTGAACAGGCTAATAAGGAATTAACACATAAATGTTGCTTAGCAAACTTCTCCCTAGCATGGAACTGAAACAGGGACAGTGCTGAGAGGGAGGTTTTGTTTTGTTGTTGTTGTTTTGTTTTTGTTTTTGAGATAGGGACTCAAATGGCAAACAGGTATTTGACAAGGTGCTCAACATCATTGATGATCCAAAAAATGCAAATCAAACTACAGTGAGAATCATCTCACCCCAGTTAAAATGGCTGTTACCTAAAAAACACGCAATAACAAATGCCGGCAAGGATGTAGAGAAAAGGGAACACTCTTGGTGGGAGTGTAAATTAGTACAACCACTATGGAGAACAGTTTAGAAGTTTCTCAAAAAACTAAAATTAGAGCTACCATACGATCCAGCAATCCCACTGATGGGTATATACCCAAAAGAAAGGAAATCAGGATATTGAAGAGATGCCTGCACTCCCATGTTTGTTGCAGCATTATTCACAATAGCCGAGATTTGGAAGCAACCTAAATGTCCATCAACAGATGAATGGATAAAGAAAATGTGGTACGTGTACACAATGGAGTACTATTCAGCCATAAAAAAGAATGAGATTCTGTCATTTGCAACAATATGGATGGAACTGGAGGTCATTGTGTTAAGTGAAATAAGCTAGTCATAGAAAGACAAACTTTGTTTATTTTCACTTGTTGGTGAGGACTAAAAATTAAAACAATTGAACTCATGGACATAGAGAGTAGAAGGATGGTTACCAGAGGCTCGGAAGGGTAGTGGGGAGGGGGAAGTGGGTATGGTTAATAAGTACAAAAATATGATTAGATATATAACTAGAATGAATAAGATCTAATATTTGATAGCACGAAGGGTAACTACAGTCAATAATAATTTATTGTACGTTTTAAAATAACTAAGAGTATAATTGGATTGTTTGTAACACAAAGAAAGGACAAATGGATAAATGCTTGAGGTGATGGATACCCCATCTACCCTGATGTGATTATTTCGCATCGTATGCCAGTATCAAAATATATAATGTACTTCATATATTATACCTACAGTGTACCCACAAAAATTAAAACAGTAAAATTTTTTTAAAGAGAGAGAGAGACAGGGTCTCATTCTGTCACCCAGGCAGGAGTGCAGTGCATGTTCATAGTCCACTGCAGCCTAGAGCTCCAGGGCTCAAGAGATTCACCAGCTTCAGCCTCCCAAGTAGCTAGGGCTGTTGGTGTGTGCCACCACGTCCAGTTATTTTAAACTTTTTGTAGAGATGGGGTCTCACTATGGTTGCGTAGGTTGGTCTTGAACTCCTGATCTCAAGTGATCCTCTTGCTTTGGCCTCCCAAAGTGTTAAAAATATAGGTGTGAGCCACTGCACCTGGTCTTTAGTCTGGTTTTTGACAAGAAAGAGCCAGCCAGCTGTCTGCCCATGTCTTTGAGCTACATGAAGATTAGATCCCATTAGTCTTGGAGAGGGAGCAACAAGAAATAGAAGAGGGCACAGAACTGCACGTAGCCTCACCTACTTCAAAAGTTTCCCCTAAAACCCCTTAGGCATTCAGGAATGGGTGAGAAAAGGGTTTTCTTTCTATGAGAGTGGGGATTCCTCTATAAAATTTCCGGCTTTCAGGATAGCGGACTCACATTAAAGTGTTAGGGGCTAGCCTGAAAACCTAAATTGTTTTCCTTGACAAAATGTGCCATAGATGCGAATACCTGATTCTGGTTAAAGAGTTGGTTTTTGCTGATTATGTAGTATAAAATGGAATCTGTTTTCCACTTTCCTTCTCTTCTACCATCCCTTTGCTTTTTCTATGCTCTCTCCTCTCTCACCATTTGTTCCATTCATGCTCTCTCTCTTCTTTTTCGTCTCCTTCTTTTTCCTTCTCACCCCACTCCTCCTTTTTTTCCTCTCTCTCTCCCTCTTCTTTTCCTCTCTGTCTATCTGTTCTTGTTTTCTTAACCCCATATTCTACAAAGCATTTAGGGTGGCTTGCAGAAATGGAAACTAATATAGTAAAATGTAAGTAAAACATGTAAGATCTGGCTGGGTGCGGTCTCATGCCTTCAATCCCAGCACTTTGGGAGGCTGAAGTGGATGGATCACTTGAGGCTAGGAGTTCGAGACCAGCCTGACCAACATGGCAAAACCCCATCTCTACTAAAAATACCAAAATTAGCCAGGCATGATGGCACATGCCTGTAATCCGAGCTACTTGGGAGGCTGAGGCATGAGAATCGCTGGAACATGGGAGGCAGAGGTTGCAGTGAGCCGAGATCATGCCACTGCACTGCAGCCTGGGCAATAGAGCCAGACCCTGACTTAAAAAAAAAAAGAAAAGAAAAGAAAAAAAAATTGTGAGTCAGATGCTCAATGGCATCAAGGAGATAATTCATATAGAAAACAAGTATTCAGGAATGAATTTATTGAATAAATCATCATAATTAATGTGTTTTTCAGGATCAAGAGGAGCAAAATAATTTAGGAACAAATAGTTCTGATGAGATGCTAAAAACTTACCTAATGTGTATACGACTTCATCTTTTTTCTTCAGTCTTGACCACTTTTTGGTGCGAACTTCTCCATTGACTTTGAGACCCTTAACCCTATATATTTTTAATAATACTATTGGGGTAGCTAAAATAAATTAGTACAGTGAAGTATATCTCTAGTCTCTTAAATACATCTCTAAATAATGAATATATTCCTGAAGATTTCTTTGTATTTGTAATTATTGCAGATCAAATATTTTATTTCCATAGAAAACTGACCTTCTAAAGATGATACAAGGTGTCTCTCTTTAGTATTAAAGAATTTATGCTTTAAAACTTTAGATACTGGGTATGGTGACTCTTGCCTATAATCCCAGTATTGTGTGAAGCTGAGGTGGGAGGATCACTTGAGGCTGGGAGTTCGAGACCAATTTGAGTAACAAAGCGAGACTAGATTGAGCAACAAAATGAGGCCCTACAAAAGAATTAAAAAAAAAAAGTTAAATTAAAATAGATAAATAAACAAAATTTTAGAAACTTTGGGCCAGGTATGGTAGCTCATGTCTGTAATCCCAGCACTTTGGGAGGCCAAGGCAGGAGGATTGCTTGAGGCTAGGAGTTTGAGACCAGCCTGGGCAGCATAGGAAGAATCTAGCTCTATAACTTTTTTTTTTTTTTTTTTAAAGAAAAATCAGCTGGGTGTGGTGGAGTGCCTTTAATCCCAGCTACTCAGGAGACTGAGGTGGGAGGATCACTTGACCCCAGGAGTTCGAGGTTTACAAAGCACTATGATCGTGCCACTGCCACTCCAGCCAGGGCAACAGAGCCACACCCTGTCTCTTAGAAAAAAATTTTAAAAAGGCCGGGCGTGGTGGCTCACGCCTGTAATCCCAGAACTTTGGGAGGCCAAAGCAGGTGGATCACCTGAGGTCAGGAGGTCAAGGCCAGCCTGGCCAACATGGTGAAACCCCGTCTCTACTAAAAAATACAAAAATTAGCCAGGCATGGTGGTGCACGCCTGCAGTCCCAGCTACTCGGGAGGCTGAGGCAGGAGAATCACTTGAATCAAGGAGGCAGAGGTTGCAGTGAGCCAAGATCACGCCATTGCACTCCAGCCTGGGTGACAGAGCAAGACTCCGTCTCAAAAAAACAAAACAAAACAAAAACAAAAACAAAAAACTAGATATTTTGCACGTTACCTTTTTAAAAGCCTGACATATCTGTATGATATCCCTGCACTAAACATTTGCTATCCATAATGAGGTAAAATGTGCTTGGGCTTTTTCCCCAATGTGAAATATGCTTAATTGTCTTGTAAAACTGTCTTGAGTAATCCCAGCACTTTGGGAGGCCGAGGTGGGCCGATCGCGAGGTCAGGAGATGGAGACCATCCTGGCTAACACAGTGAAACCCCGTCTCTACTAAAAATACAAAAAAATTAGCCAGGCGTGGTGGCGGGCACCTGTAGTCCCAGCTACTCGGGAGGCTGAGGCAGGAGAATGGCGTGAACCTGGGGGGTGGAGCTTGCAATGAGCCGAGATGGCACCACTGCACTCCAGCCTGGGCGACAGAACGAGACTCCGTCTCAAAAAAAAAAAAAACTGTCTTGAGTTTTCTTTCTTTCTTTTTTTTTTTTTTTAACAGTCTTGCTTTCTTGCCCAGGCTGGAGTGCAGTGGTGTGATCTCTGCTCACTGCAACCTTCGCCTCCTAGGTTTAAGCAATTCTCCTGCCTCAGCCACCTAAGTAGCTGGGATTACAGGCATGCACCACCATGCCCGGCTAATTTTTGTATTGTTAGTGAAGATGGGGTTTCACCATGTTGGCCAGGCTGGTCTTGAACTCCTGCCCTCAAATGATCCCCCCACCTTGGCCTCCCAAAGTGCTGGGATTACAAACATGAGCCACTGCACCCGGCCTTTGAGTTTTCTTTTATTCCGGCTGCATACCTCCCAGTTAATCTGACATCTTTCTCACCTCATTAAACTGGCTCCAACTGCTAATACGTCATCAAATTCAAAAGAAATGCGACCCGCTACCAAAATCCAGATCTGAAAACATTTAACCTTAGGCTGTGGTTCAAGGTGCAAAGAAAGCTAATATCTAATAAAGCCTTGGTATAGTGTGTTCCTTGAGTCAACGTTTGAGAAACTGAATGACATAGAGCTGCGTGAAAGTTTAGGGGGTAAAAGTGTATTTGATTGAATGTAATTAATGTGTTTTTCTGAATGATTTTCTTACAGTTCACAATGAACCTTCCAATTTTACAGTAATTTTCTTGGCCTTGATTTTCTGATCTGTCTTAATTTAGCTGTCAATACTATGAGTAACAAAATTCAGTTTCATTGGTGATCCTTGAAAGAGAAATTCCAAAAATAAAGGGCTATAAGCACCTCCTATGAAAAGATTCATGCAGCTGTTTCATCTAATATGGATCTGATAGGTTTCCTTTATGTCCAGTTCTTCCTTTCTCAACATTTTCTCTGATTTTCAGGCAGATGCAAATAGAATTTTCAGTGCTACGGCTTCTCTGACTTAAATTTTCTGTTTCCCTTGTGTTTGTGCCAATTAAAACAAGACTCAGTCTGTGCTTGTGACATATTTTTGGAAATTCATTGTGTAAGAAATATTGACATTCTCTTGTATTATTTTCTCTGAGTCTTTACCCACTTCATCACAATTCTTGCCTTTCTTTTCCTTGAAGTCTGTGTGTTTCATATGTTTTGAAAACTTCTGTCACATATTTTAGTTATTATAATGGATAACTGCATTGAGGAGAAAGCTCTAAATCATAGGCTTGGAATGACTAGTTCTAGAAGCATTTCCTAAAGCACATGCCCCTCCTCAATAGACATTTCTCTGCCATTTATTTTGTGCAGCAGTTCATATTTGTGGCCTGATGCTATCTCTTTTCTCAGAAATTTCAGTAAGTGTTTCAACTTGAGTAATCATTTACAGAAACATAATGTAGTGGACATTCAATAATAAACTATTGCCATGACATTGAATTGTCTTATGATCTTTGGTGGAAGCTGTGTGAATATTTACATTGTCAGGATCATGCACCTACCCGTTATGTTCTGCCTTCCTTTCTCTATTCTTTTCTTTTCTTTTTTTTGAGACAGAGTCTTGCTCTGTTGCCCAGGCTGGAGTACATTGGCATGGTCTCAGCTCACTACAACCTCCACCTCCTGGATTCAAGTGACTCTTCTGCCTCAGCCTCCTGAGTAGCTGGGACTACAGGTGTGCGCCACCACACCTGGCTTATTTTTGTATTTTTAGTAGAGAGGGGGTTTCACCATATTGGCCAGGCTGGTCTCGAAATCCTGACCTTGTGATTCGCCCACCTCAGCCTCCCAAAGTGCTGGGATTACAGGCATGAGCCACCATGACCAGCCTGCTTTCCTTTTTCATAATGTGATTTTCATGTACACGTCTCTGTGTTTTTCAGCTTCAGATAAAAACTTGCTATCTTTTGGGCATTTCTTTGATATATCATCTCCAAAGTGACTTATTAAGTCAAAAATATAAATTATTTTATCATTTCCTGGAATGCTTTTTCTACAAGTAACAGAAAATTATATCTCAGTTGGCTTGAACAACAAGAAAACAATATAATTGCCCATAACAAGAATTCCTGTGGTAGGGCTGCTATGGAGTTGTTTAATTTTACAACACAGTGACATCCTCAAGGGCCCAGTTTGCTTCCATGTTTTTGTTCTGCCATCTTTGGGGGAACATCTCTGTTGTGAAGGATGTCCTCATGGTCACAAAATGGCTGCCACAGCATAAACATCACCGTACCTCACAGATATGACAATGTTCAGTGGAAGAAGAAAAGGAAGTTTCTTCATCTGTGTCTCTTTTAACGAGCAAGAAAATATTAGAGATTCCTCATCAGTCTCTGTTTCATTGTTCATTCAACATTTCTTTGGCCAGTCCCTTTCCTAAACCAGTCCCTGGCAAGGGACATAGGATTTCTACCATGAATTTAGTATGGGTTCTGTTCTACAGAGTAAGGGTGCTTTCTGCTACATGTCCTTTGACATGTGGCCTAGGTTATTATTATCTCAAGAGGCAAAACTGCTTTATAGTACCAATCTGCAGTCTAATAAGTGTGTTTGTTCCCTAACAAAGCTAAGTTTCTATATGTTTTTGCTTATTGTTATAAATTTGAAGGGTCCTTGTATAATGAAAATATTATTGTAATTTATGTTTCTTCAGTGATAACAAAGTCATATGCAGTCTTTTTAGAATGAGTTAGTTTGTTTTCATTTCCTCTAGTGTTTTACCTACACTGAATTTGAAAACTCCATTCTAACCAATTTTATATAGTCATTGTGCCAGAATATTTGCCACCACTCATTATTCTGTAACATTTTTGAGTCACAGACCATATCTACTAAATAAGCCAACATTCCAAAAGTCTTCCTTATAAGATGTTAACATTTAAAAGTAGGGGAAAATAAAAGAAAGAAAAGGAAGGAAGGGAGGGAAGAAGGAAGGCAAGAAGGAAGAAAGGGAGGGAGGGAGGAAGGAGGAAGGAAGGAAAAAAGGAAGAAAGGAAGGAAGGAAGGAACGAAGGAAGGATCGAAGGGAGGGAGGGAAGGAGGAAGGAAGGAAAAGAAGGGAAGGAAGGGAAGGGAAGGGAAAGGAAGGGCGGGAGGAGGAAGGGAGGAAGGAAGGAAGAAAGGAAAAGAAAAAGCAAGCAAACAAAGAAGTGAAGGGATAGTAATGTGGTTTGGTTGTATCCCTACCCAAATCGTATCTTTGAATTGTAGCTCCCATAATTCCCACTTGTTTCGGGAGGGACCTGGTGGGAGATAATTGAACCATGGGGGTGGTTTCCCCCACTGTTCTCGTGTTAGTGAATAAGTCTCACAAGATCTGGTGGTTTTATAAGGGGAAACCCCTTTTGCTTGGCTCTCATTCTCTCTTGTCTGCCTCCATGTAAGATGTGCCTTTGCCTTCTGCCATGATTGTGGGGCCTCCCCAGCCAAGTGGAACTATGAGTCCATTAAACCTCTTTTCCTTTATAAATTACCCAGTCTCAGTTATATCTTTATCAGCAGCATGAAAACAGACTAATACAGATGTGTTGAGAGGTCAAAAATTCTAGATACTTTGGGATTGAAAGACATATTGAATCTGGAGCGAAAAGGACACCCCATTTAACAAACTGCCAAATGCCCCTCTCCCAAGGGCCCCTCCCTTCCCACCTTTATCTGAACATCGAAGTGTGCCATCCTGTTGTCTTGCCCAACAATGAATGGCAAGGCAAGCAGCTGGGACTATCTACTCGTAGCTTGTCACAAATGTGCTCCAACTCCAGAGGATGGTGCAGTAATTTCCTCCCTTTTTCTTTCGGGTTGTGCTTTCTGCTACTCAAAAGTTCTGCTCTCCTGTGATCAAGATGGTAAGTCCTGTTTCATGCTGTTGCCCCTTTGGAATTGTGCCTTCAAATTCCATTTGCCTGGAACAGTCACATTCTTCAGAGTGATGGGCCTCAACCACAAAACAGCAACAGCAAAAAACATTTTTCTCTAATATTTGTTACTCCAAATAGGTTATCTTCAATACGTTATTGTGGTAAGAGATTCTTCTCAGGAGTGTTTGCTGCTGTCAGGGGTAACATGGTGAAGGATAGAGCAAGCCCTGCCATGCTCCAGTCTCAGCTGGCTGTGTGGATTCCACCCAGGAAAACCCTGCCAGCTTCTCCTACTGTGGGTCCATCACAGTCTGTCCATTCTTGTCCCATCTAAGATATAAGTTGTCATAGATGGCTGCCCCCTCCACCATTCGCCACGTGGGCATGTAGGTCACATCTCAATATGTCCCTAAAGATCCCTCTCCTAATCTAAATGCTGAACTTCCACGTCAGTTAAGGATTGTTTCTCTAAACACACACCAAAAGGGGAAAACATAGTTACTTCCTAAATTCTTATATCCAGAATGGAAATAATTTCGGGAATAACAAACTCCTTATGTTTACCACTGTTCCACTGTTTAAGTCACTGTTTTCTTTTTTCTTTCTTTCTTTTTTTTTTTTTTTTTCTTTTGTGGCAGGGTCTCACTCTGTCACCCAGGCTGGAGTGCAGTGGTATGATTTTGGCTCACTGCAACCTCTGCTTCCTGGGTTCAAGTGATTCTCGTGCCTCAGCCTCCCACGTAACTGGGGTTATAGAGCCCAGCTAATTTTTCCATTTTTGGTAGAGACGGGGTTCCAGCCATGTTGGCAAGGCTGGTCTCGAACTTCTGATCTCCAGTGATCCGCCTGTCTCAGCCTCCCAAAGCGCTGGGACTACAGGCGTGAGCCACCGTGCCTTGCCTGAACGCATTGTTTTCTTAGGGGTTGGCTAGATGTCTTCATGAAGATGCAACAGGCTGCACTTCAGTGTGTCAGAACAGGTGTGGCACAGTGAGCCCACATATTTCTGTATAGTGTCGTCAAAGCTCTTTCCATTAGTGACCCTATGTAAGCGTACCCCAAGTTGATCCTAGTCTAAAAAGCAGGGTCTCAGGGCAGAGTTCAGAGCCAGCTCCTCAGATTCTTAGTCCTTGCTTCAAGAGCTACCTTTAAAATGGCTCAAAAATTCAACTCTCTGTCAAAGTAAAAGTGAAGCCATCTGGCTAGGTTGAACAAAGGCAGCTTCGCTTTACTGCAATAGGCATCAGACCAAAGCCACAGATCATTTGGGTGTGGGAATGTAAAGCTGAATCAGTGACATTGCCAGAAAATGGCACATTTGCCAGAATACTTTGCCTTTTGTTCCTTGTGAGATAAACATGAGCCCAGAATCCTGTAAATCTGTGGTAATATTTTTACTCTTGGAGAAAAAAATTAGAAGACAACGTTGAGAGGCTTTTTCCGCATTTTCCAAATTTCCTTTTGGTGCCGAGTAATTTGTTTTCAACTAGTGTAAGAGGGCCATCTTGGGCTAGTAGGGAAGTCCTCTAAGTTAGGGCTCAGGGATATGGGCTTCCTAGGGCAATTACCCCTTACCTCTGTTTCTGACTGTTGGGGGTTCTTGAAGCAGCTCACCCAGGGTGAGACTGGTGCAGAGAGCAACATTTCTGCCTCCCTGGTTGGGAAGGGAGCCAGGTTATTTTTTTAAGTGCTACCTATTGACAGCATTTTCTCTATGTCTCAGTTTTTCTTCTTCCTCTAAGAGCTTTTTATAATAGCCTTAACCATCATCACATTTTTTTTTTTCTTTTTTTTTTAAGACAGAGTCTCCCTCTGTCACTCAGGCTGGAGTGTGGTGGCGTGATCACGGCTCACTGCAGCCTCAACTTCTTGGGCTCAAGGCATCCTCTCACCTCAGCCTCCCGAGTAGCTGGGACTACAGGCAAGCACCACCACACCCAGCTAATTTAAATTTTTTTTTTTCAGAGATGGGGCCTCCCTGTGTTGCCTAGGCTGGTCTAGAACTCCTGGACTCAAGCAATCCTCCTATCTTGGCCTCCCAAGGTGTAAGGATTACAGGCGTGAGCCACCACACTTAGCCACCACACTTGGCCACCACGTCTTTAAGATTATGAATAAAAAGGTGTCACTTTCGAAGATTCTCAAAGGGAGTAACTCCTCCCCCTAATACTGAGCTGCAGTCCATCTTAAGCCTTGCTGGTATACATCTCAAAGAAGAAGATATTGAGGATAGCTTGTGCAACGTAGCTCTGGTGGCCGCTAAGGAAAGAGCAAACAGCTCTATGGCTGCAGACATCAGGCTTTAAATGACACCAGGATGGTGAATGACCTAGGAACATAAACAAAGGGATGTCTCAGCTGGGACATAATCGCATCCTGGAAGCTTGAAGGCTGTTTTGTAGAGGAAGAATAGACGTGTGTTTGACTCCAGAAGACCATGCTAGGACCAGTAGTTACATAAAATTAAATTCTAGCTCAGTGTCGAGAAGAACATTCTGACCTGAAAGTTGCTAAAAATGGAATGGGCTGTGTATTGGTTTCCTAGGACTGCCATAGCAAAGTACCACATATTGGGTGGCTTGAAACAACCTTGTTTTTTTTCTGGGTTGAAATTAATTTCTTCTCTCACAGTTCTGGAGCCTAGAAGTCCAAAATCAAGGTGTTGGTAGGGCTATACTCTCTCTGAAGGTCTAGGGGTGCTTCCGGGCCTCTCTCAGCTTCTGCTCCCCGAAGCATTGCTTGGCTTGTGGTAGCATAACTGTCATCTCTGCCTCTGTCTTCATGTAACCATCTTCTTGGCTGTCAGTCTCTCTTCTTATTAAGGACTCCCAGTTATATTGGATTAAGGCCCACCTTGATGACCTCATCTTAACTTGGCTACATCTGCAAAGATCCTATTTCCACATAAGGTCATATTTTGAGGTACTAGGGGTTAAGATTTCAAAATATCTTTTTAATTTTATTTACTTTGTTTATTTATTTTGAGACAGGGTCTACTTCTGTCGCCCAGGCTGGAGTGCAGTGGTGTGATCATGACTCACTGCAGCCTTCCTGGGCTCAAGTGATTCTCCTATCTCAGCCTCCTGAGTAGTTGGGACTGCAGGCATGCACCAACACAACCAGCTAATTTTTGTATTCAAAGTATCTTTTTGAGGAACACAATTCAATCCATAACAGGCTGCCTTTATGAAAGTGAGTTCCTTATCCCTGGAAGTGTGCAAATGTAATCAGAGTTTTTCAAAATACTTGAAGAGGTGTAAGCGCTAAAGAGAGAATGCAACTAGATGACTTCTAGCATCTCTTCTGACCATAGCATTTCCTAATGCTATGAGTCCTGTAGTAAATGACTCTACTAAATCCTGGGACCACACTTGGGAAGACCACACAGTCTTGGTGAAATGTCACATGCACGGAAGCATAGTCTAGCTTCCAAAAACCATTGAAAGGAGTTTCAATCTTTTCTTTTAAATTCATATATATGTATATATATATATATAGAGAGAGAGAGAGAGAGAGAGAGCAGAGAGAGTTTATTTGGGCCAAGCCTGGGGACTGCAACCCAGGAGCATAGATTCAAGTTGCCCTAAATATACACTCCCTCCTTTTAATTCTTAAAGAACATCAATGAAGATCCCTTTTTCTGTCCCCTGCAGCTGCTCCTCTTGGAGTCTCTCTGTTCAGTACTCTTTTGGTCACACATGACAGAATCCTAATTCAAAGTGCCTTAAAAAAAAAAAAAAAGATAATATCTTCTTGCAAATTTGAAAAGTCCAGGAGTTGTTGTTTTGGGTTGGACTCCATTTCCCAGCTTTGCCTTCCTCTCTGTGGGCTTTCTCTTCTGCATAGTGTTTCCACTAAGAGGTGGCCACCAGGGTTCCCAGGTGTTATTTAGCAATTGAGCAATTTAGCAAACTCATTGAGAAGAGTTTCCTTCTTCCAGCATTCTAAGGGAAGTCCCAGGGCTGGCTCTCATTGGGCCAACTCTGTCACGTGCATTTATCACATGCCCATCCCTAAACTTGTCAGTAGGACACTGACCACCTCCTGAGGAAGAAAACTTAGGAATGGAGGCACCTCTATGTGAGTTGCATAAACTAGGAATAGAAGAGGGTAGCAGCCCAAAGGGAAATTGGAGTGCTATTAACATAATAAGGGGGAGTCCGTGTTGGGAGGGCCAAAGGCCAAAACCATCACTGTCTACTCTGATTCCTCCCCTCACACCACTATTCTCTCTTCCTTCCTCTCCTCATTCTCCCTCCCCTTCCTCTCTCCCTTTCTTCTCTCCCTCTGTTTTTCTCTCTCTCCTTTCCTCTCTCTCTCCCTCTTCTTTTTCACTCTCTTTCTCTCTGTCTCCCTTTCTTCTCCTCCTCTCTCTTTTACTCTCTCCCCCTCTTTTTCTCCCCTCACATCTCTCTTCATCTCTCCCTGTCTCTCACCCTCTTCCTCCTCTCCCTCAAGTCTAGGCAGCTCAGCCTCTCTCTTTTTTCTCCTTTCTTTTTCCTCCTGCCTCTCCAGCTTATCTCTTCCTACTTATTTTCCCAATTCAGTATTATAAATACCTAGCTACTGGGCTGGCAAATACTGAACTCTCCCTTAAGGGTAAGGACGGGAAAGAAATGGAGCCTGCCAGTGCCAGGTTCCTTTAGCAGCTAAGGGGAGGGAGGACGGGAGGAACTCCCATTGGTAACTTTTATTCACATCGTATATCAAATCATCAGAGTGATCCTGTGTCATTTTGAGTTGTGAGTGCTTTAAAAATTTGCATGTGTGTCCAGGACAGAGATAGATGAATTTGCACATGACGGCAGAGGAAGACTTTGGGATGTATCCACTTTGATGCTAAGTTATGGATACATCCCAAAAGACTAGACAAACAGTATCTGTGTTTTAGCTTCCAGACTTCTGTAGTGGGTCCAGCCAAACTCCCGAATGGGTTTTTAAACTTGAGAAACCTCAGGCTTTTTTGTTTCCAATCATACAAGCACTCTTGAATTGAAAGCAACACTGGGTCATAAAGCAATATGAAAACTACATAACTAATATCTTGATCCTTCTGCTTTCAGCACATTTAGCCCCACAGCAGTTTAGACTCAAACCCTCTAAACAAACCAACCCCCTCACCCCACTCACAAACAGCCTGCCAAGAGCATTGAGCGTCCAGTCCCTGGACTCCATCCTGACCACCTCCTACTCCCCCGTCCTGCATCACTGGTCTTGCTTTGGTCATCTCTGTGTTCTCCATTGCTCTGTCTCCCCTCCGCCACCCCACACCCACAGGCTTGGTGAGTTGTCCCCCAACACTCATATTTAGACTCTCCCTTCCTCAAGCCCCCTTGCTCTCTGACTCTGCTGGGAGGCTCTGATCCTGAGCCCTGCCATGGACCTGGTTCTGGGAGTTGACCTTTGCCCCACACCCATCAGCTGCGAGTCAGGGGCTCTCTTGTTCTATGCCTTGACCTGGTGGTACCCAAGTGCATTCATTTGCTAGAATTCATTTGCCATAACAAAATACCACAGCATGTCTACAAGCCACCAGGGCTGCCATGTATAACACTGGGTGGATGATTACCCTAAAACCCTTCTGGAACTTTCCAGATAATTCTTTTAAAAATATTCTCTTTTATAGGCTTCTACATGATTCAAGTGAGTTTCCTAAATGGCTGGGTGAGCTCCCATAGGTGACCTGACACTGCCACAGCCCTCTCCCACCCAGGGACTGGAGAGGAAGCTCTGGCAGGACACCCAGAACTCAGGGTGGAAATGGAACATCCTGGCCACCTACCCAGGAGAGGCCTCATGTAGTAAGAAAAGGGAGAGGAAGGAGCAGTGCTAGAAATCAGATTATACAGACAGAAAACCACCTCCCAGACTGCCTGATGGCAGGGGGTGGGTCTTTCCATCTTAATCTTTCCAGCCCAAGCACCATGCCTGCAACACAACAGAAATGCAAGGAATGCAGTTGAGGTGGTGCATTAGTCTATCCTCACGCTGCTAAAAAAGACATACCCAAGACTGGGTAATTTATAAACAAAAGAGATTTAATTGGCTCACAGTTCCACATGGCTAGGGAGGCCTCACAATCATGACAGAAGGTGAAGGAGGAGCAAAGTCACATCTTACATGGCGGCAGGCAAAGAGAGCATGTGCAGGGGAACTCCTCTTTATAAAACCATCAGATCTCACAAGACTTATTCACTGTCATGCAAACAGCATGAGGAAGACCCGTCTTCATGACTCAGTTACCTCCCACCAGGTCCCTCCCATGGCGTGGGCATTATGGGAGCTACAATTTGAGATTTGGGTGGGGACACTGCCAAACCATATCAGGTGGGGAGTGATGTGAGCACAGCTACATTTCTGAAAAATAATGATGGTCATGGAATGGAAGACAGATCTGAGCTGAGGACCTTGGAGGCCTGAACTGGTGCACTTGCCATGAGGATGGAGAGGAAGGATGAGGCAGGAAAGATACTGCAGGTCCCAGCTTCTCCATGAATCCAAGGGCTTTGCTCTCCACTCTGCCTTCAGCCTAGTGACACAATTTATACAGCAAGAGAAGGAATGTCACAGACCACCAGATGGGTAGCTGACCCTTCCAAGAGCACAAAGACTCTAAATATGTCCCTGTCACCACCTGCTGTTTTAACAACTAGTTGTTTAATACATCTCCTCTGGATGGAAACTAGATCCAAGACAGTGACTCTGGGTTTTGTTTAATTTTATGTCACATTTTTAGGGAGCAAATGTTAAATATGTTTCCAGCCTAGTAAAATAAGGGTGGCAAACTTAATCATTAGAGTATGTGGAGAATATAACAGGATCTTTTATTGGACCTGGAAAGGGGCCCCACTGAATGGTAATATTTGTGAAATAATTGGAGAGGAAACCAAGTTTTAAGCTATTAGTTCTCTAACCTTTGAGTAGGGAAAAGGAACAGTCCCTTGAACTTGCTGCAAGTCTCATGGTTGCTTAAAAAGGCTTTAATTTCTGAGGACTGGCACAGGCTAGCCAAAACAAACCATTTCCAAAATTAGTTTGGGCCTCAAGGGTCCTGTAAAACTCATTTTAAACAATGTACCATGATCCTTTTTTGCTCTCATTTTGTGCAATTGGAGTCTGCTTCCTTCTTCATATACAGAAGGATGTTTAAAACGCACCTTTGAGGGTAGGGTGTTGAAACACCCAGTTTTCTGACCCACTCTCAGATGCTATGACAGAGAAAAGCTCTTTTCTCCTTCAAGAGAGGTCCAAGCTTCTGAGTGTACTGTGGTAGCTGGAAAGCTATTGCAGCTTCATGCCCAGATATGCATCTGTGTGTGCACATGCACATGGGTGTGTGCATGGGCTGTGCACATGTATGTGTGTGGGTTGGCATGCGTACACACAAGCCTGCACATAAATGTCTAAGAGTGCATGTGTGTGTGCATGTGTGTACATAAGAACATATGGGCCAGGTGTGGTAGTTCACGCCTGTAATCCCAGCACTTTGGGAGGCTGAAGCAGGTGGACCACTTGAATCCAGGAGTTCAAGACCAGCCTGGCGAACGTGGTGAGACCCCATCTCTACTAAAAATACAAAATTTAACTGGGCGTGGTGGCATGTACTTATAGTCCCAGCTACCCAGGAGGCTGAGGTGAAAGGATCACTTGAGCCCAGGAGGTTGAGGCTGCAAGTGAGTCATGATCACGCCACTGCATGCCAGCCTGGGTGACAGAGCAAGAGCCTCTCTTGAAAAAATAAATAAATATATAATAAAGTAATAAAAAGTAAATAAATAAATATTGATTCCATCACTTGTTAGCTCAGTCATTTTAACTTTTGCAAGCCTGTTTTCTCATCTGCAGAGCGGGGATAATATTGTGTCTACCTCATCATGTTGTATGAGGATTAAGTAAGGTAATACACATAAAGGCTATATATAGTACATCCTCTGGATAGTCTCGCTGTCATTACTGCTACTATTGCAGCCCCGCTGGCAAACAGAGCAAGGGGGTTGAGAAGACATGGGGCCACACTGGCAAGACATTGAGGGTTTTATATACACATATATATATTTGAGATCCTTTAACATCCACTCAGAGGCACTCAGAGAGGACTCCCCTACTCAAGGAGAAATAGTTGGGGTTGCAGGAGAGGTTTCCAATAACCTATGGTGAGTTCGAGAAAAATAACTTATCCAAAAGATGGACCTTCCTGTTTCTCAATGAGCTCTCCTAAGAGAGAGCAGAAGAGGGAGAGGGAATTGCCCTCTATTTGGAGGCCGCAGGGCCTGGTCCTCATAGCTATCCTAAGGAAGAGAAAGCTCAGGACCAAGGAAGAGCCACCACCTGGAGTGGGGAGGGTGGGACGGGGTTGCATCCTGCCCTCCTCCTTCAAACCCGGGGCAGAGCTTCCCATCCAGAGGAAGCAGGCCCCATCAGCTTATCCTGGGGTGGGGCTTCCTAAAGCCAAGTGTTTAAAGGCAGATCATTGTTCTGAAGTTCCGCTAAGTTCTAATGCCCACCCTGCTGAGAAATCCTCCAAGAACAAAGTGAGATTTTAAAAATCCACAGGGTTACTTGGAGCCAAAGGCAATTAAGAGGAAGAGAAATAACTGGCCAAGTCTCAATGTGATGGCTGTCTGTGCAGAGACTCTAGTGAGGAAGAGAGCTAACCCCATTCTTTTTGTTGTGATCAAGCAAGATGATTCCCCAGTGGGCCAATCTTTTGCCTATAAAATGGGGTTGATATGATTTTGTCCAGGAAGAAGTCTGGTTTAGGAAAAGCAGAGGCATTCTTGTCTCCTTCAGTCCCAGCTTAGTGGCTACTGACTGTGAGACTTTGACAACTTATTTTCCAACTCAGAGCCTTGTATCTCTCCTTGAAACCCAAAAGGCCGGGCTCCAGACTTCCTCAAAGTTCCTTTGCTGTGTCTATGACAGTGGGCTGATGAAGGTAGAAGCAGGGGTGTGATGAGGACGAGAATAATCAGGATGGATAGGAAGGCTGGAAGGCTGAGAAGGGTATACCAAAGTCCCAGCAAACAAAAGCGAACACTCAATAGCCGTGGAGGGCGCCTCACCATGTCCTCTCCATAAGCCAGGCTACATAGGTCATCATCTGGGATCTTATTTTTCTGAATTGTTTGTGGCTCAGCTCTTCTTAATATGGTACTTTCTGACCAGGGCGGGGGAGTGGGGAGCCTGTAGTCTCAGCTACTCAGGAGACTAAGGTGGGAGGATTGCTTGAGCTCAGGCATTCAAGGCTGCAGTAAGCTATGATTGCACCGCTGCCGTCCAGCCTGGGTGACAGCGAGACCCTGTCGCAAAAAAAAAAAAAAAAAAGGGGGGATAGTCCATTCTAGCTGCCCAATGTGCATGACCTTGTGAGGTAGTAAGAACCATGACCAGGAAAAGGCCATGTCATCCATCAGGTGACTTTGTAGAGGAGGCTTCTGCCCTGATGGGAGAGTAGCTTAGGCAGCCTCGAGGCCCCTTCCACTTCAATTTGGGAAATATTTAATGAGCTCCCACTGTGTGCCAGCCCAGACTGTGCTGACTGAGGCCTGGGGTGGGACAGCAGGGAGGACAGTCCCTATCTTCAAAGTGCTCAGGGTCTGGCTGGGCACGGTGGCTCACGCCTGTAATCTCAGCATTTTGGGAGGCTGAGGTGGGTGCATCACCTGAGATCAGGAGTTTGAGACCAGCCTGGCCAACAAGGCGAAATCCCGTCTCTACTAAAAATACAAAAATTGGCTGGGCTTGGTGGCGTGCACTTGTAATCCCAGCTACATGGGAGGCTGGGTCAGCAGGATCACTTCAACCTTGGAGGTGGAGATTACAGTGAGCCAAGATCACACCAAGATCACACCACTGCACCACTCCAGCCTGGGTGACAGAGCAAGACTGCCTCAAAATAAATAAATAAATAAATAAAATAAAAACAAATAAAAATAAAAAAAATGTGCTCAGGGTCTCACCACCCAGACATGGTCTAGTCTAGTCCACCCATGTGGTTCCTGCCTCTCCAGTTTAGGGGGATGGACTGAGGCCTGGGACCATCTGTTCCCAGTGCCCTCTGCCTTCTCTCTTGTAGCATTCTTCTTTTCTCCTTCGGCACTCTCTGAAGCTCCTGTCGCCCAAAACTTCCTGCCCAGAACTAACACTTCTCATTTAACAAACACTTGGATGAGACTAACTGTGTATAAGCCCAGTTCCTGCCCACAGGTGCTTTGCGTGGAGAACGGCCCGCTGAAGCAGCATCGACCAGGAAGCACCATGAGACACATGTCAGGGCTCTCCCTGCCTAGGCCCTAATTTGTGTCCCACTAAATGGGGCCATGATCAGAACTGTGAGTTCCCAGCAGAGGGTGGAGGTGGAGATGCCACACTGGGGCTGAGCTAAGACACCACCAAGGAGGAGCTGGCAGCAGAAGGCTGAGTCCCAGGATCCCCTGTGTACTTAGCTTACACAAATTTGAGTGTAGATTCTTCCTTTTCTTTCCTTTTTTTTTTTTTTAAAGACTGAAATTTTTGTATTTATTGAATGGACCATTCCATTTTTCTCTATTTTTTTTCTTTTTTTAATTATACTTTAAGTTTTAGGGTACATGTGCACAACATGCAGGTTTGTTACATATATATACATGTGCCATGTTGGTGTGCTGCACACATTAACTCGTCATTTAACATCAGGGATATCTCCTAATGCTATCCCTCCCCCCTCCCCCCACCACACAACAGGCCCCCGGTGTGTGATGTTCCCCTTCCTGTGTCCATGTGTTTTCATTGTTCAATTCCCATCTACAAGTGAGAACATGTGGTGTTGGGTTTTTTGTCCTTGCCATAGTTTGCTGAGAATGATGGTTTCCAGCTTCATCCATGTCCATAAAAAGGACATCAACTCATCATTTTTTATGGCTGTATAGTATTCCATGGTGTATGTGTGCCACATTTTCTTAATCCAGTCTATCATTGTTCGACATTTGGGTTGGTTCCAAGTCTTTGCTATTGTGAATACTGCCGCAATAAACATATGTGTGCATGTGTCTTTATAGCAGCATGATTTCTAATCCTTTGGGTACATACCCAATAATGGGATGGCTGGGTCAAATGGTATTTCTAGTTCTAGATCTCTGAGGAATCGCCACACTGACTTCCACAATGGTTGAACTAGTTTACAGTCCCACCAACAGTGTAAAAGTATTCCTATTTCTCTACATCCTCTCCAGCACCTGTTGTTTCCTGACTTTTTAATGATCCCCATTCTAACTGGTGTGAGATGGTATCTCATTGTAGTTTTGATTTGCATTTCTCTGATAACCAGTGATGATGAGCATTTTTTCATGTGTCTTTTGGCTGCATAAATGTCTCCTTTTGAGAAGTGTCTGTTCATATCCTTCGCCCACTTGTTGATGGGGTTGTTTGTTTCTTTCTTGAAAATTTGTTTGAGTTCATTGTAGATTCTGGATATTAGCCCTTCATCAGATGAGTAGATTGCAAAAATTTTCTCCCATTCTATAGGCTGCCTGTTCACTCTGATGGTAGTTTCTTTTGCTGTGCAGAAGCTCTTTAGTTTAATTAGATCCCATTTGTCAATTTTGGCTTCTGTTGCCATTGCTTTTTGTGTTTTAGACATGAAATCCTTACCCATGCCTATGTCCTGAATGGTATTGCCTAGGTTTTCTTCTAGAGTTTTTATGGTTTTAGGTCTAACATTTAAGTCTTTAATCCATCTTGAATAAATTTTTGTATAAGGTGTAAGGAAGGGATCCAGTTTCAGCTTTCTACATATGGCTAGCCAGTTTTCCCAGCACCATTTATTAAATAGGGAATTGTTTCCCCATTTCTTGTTTTTGTCAGGTTTGTCAAAGATCAGTTAGTTGTAGAAATGTGGCATTATTTCTGAGGGCTCTGTTCTGTTCCATTGGTCTATATCTCTGTTTTGGTACCAGTACCATGCTGTTTTGGTTACTGTAACCTTGTAGTATAGTTTGAAGTCAGGTAGCGTGACGCCTCCAGCTTTGTTCTTTTGGCTTAGGATTGACTTGGCAATGCAGGCTCTTTTTTGGTTCCATATGAACTTTAAAGTAGTTTTCTCCAATTCCGTGAATAAAGTCATTGGTAGCTTGAGGGGGATGGCATTGAATCTATAAATTACCTTGGACAGTATGGCCATTTTCATGATATTGATTCTTCCTACCCATGAGCATGGAATGTTCATGCTTTTGTTTGTATCCTCTTTGATTTCATTGAGCAGTGGTTTGTAGTTCTCCTTGAAGAGGTCCTTCATGTCCCTTGTAAATTGGATTCCTAAGCATTTTATTCTCTTCGAAGCAATTGTGAATAGGAGTTCACTCATGATTTGGCTCTCTGTTTGTCTGTTATTGGTGTATAAGAATGCTTGTGAATTTTGCACATTGATTTTGTATCCTGAGACTTTGCTGAAATTGCTTATCAGCTTAAGGAGATTTTGGGCTGAGATGATGGGGTTTTCTAGATATACAATCATGTCATCTGCAAACAGGGACAATTTGACTTCCTCTTTTCCTAATTGAATACCCTTTATTTCCTTCTCCTTCCTGATTGCCCTGGCCAGAACTTCCAACACTATGTTGAATGGGAGTGATGAGAGAGGGCATCCCTGTCTTGTGCCAGTTTTCAAAGAGAATGCTTCCAGTTTTTGCCCATTCAGTATGATATTGGCTGTGGGTTTGTCATAGATAGCTCTTATTATTTTGAGATACGTCCCATCAATACCCAATTTATTGAGAGTTTTTAGCATGAAGGTTGTTGAATTTTGTCAAAGGCCTTTTCTGCATCTATTGAGATAATCATGTGGTTTTTGTCATTGGTTCTGTTTATATGCTGGATTATGTTTATTGACTTGCATATGTTGAACCAGCCTTGCATCCCAGGGATGAAGCCCACTTGATCATGGTGGATAAGCTTTTTGATATGCTGCTAGATTCACATCAAATAAAATACTGATGTGCCAGTATTCTATTGAGGATTTTTGCATCGATGTTCATCAGGGATATTGGTCTAAAATTCTCTTTTTTTGTTGTGTCTCTGCCAGGCTTTGGTATCAGGATGATGCTGGCCTCATAAAATGAGTTAGGGATGATTCCCTTTTTTTCTATTGATTGGAATAGTTTCAGAAGGAATGGTACTAGCTCCTCTTTGTACCTCTGGTAGAATTCAGCTGTGAATCTATCTGGTCCTGGACTTTTTTTGGTTGGTGAGCTATTAATTATTGCCTCAATTTCAGAGCCTGTTATTGGTCTATTCAGAGATTCAACTTCTTCCTGGTTTAGTCTTGGGAGGGTGTATGTGTCGAGGAATTTATCCATTTCTTCTAGATTTTCTAGTTTATTTGTGTAGAGGTGTTTATAGTATTCTCTGATGGTAGTTTGTATTTCTGTAGGATTGGTGGTGATATCCCCTTTATAATTTTTTATTGCGTCTATTTGATTCTTCTCTCTTTTCTTCTTTATTAGTCTTGCTAGCGGTCTATCAATTTTGTTGATCTTTTCAAAAAACCACCTCCCGGATTCATTGATTTTTTGAAGGGTTTTTTGTGTCTCTATATCCTTCAGTTCTGCTCTGATCTTAGTTATTTCTTGCCTTCGGCTAGCTTTTGAACGTGTTTGCTCTTACTTCTCTAGTTCTTTTAATTGTGATGTTAGGGTGTCAATTTTAGATCTTTCCTGCTTTCTCTTGTGGGCATTTAGTGCTATAAATTTCCCTCTACACACTGCTTTGAATGTGTCCCAGAGATTCTGGTATGTTGTGTCTTTGTTCTCGTTGGTTTCAAAGAACATCTTTATTTCTGCCTTCATTTTGTTATGTACCCAGTAGTCATTCAGGAGCAGGTTGTTCAGTTTCCATGTTGTTATGCGGTTTTGAGTGAGTTTCTTCATCCTGAGTTCTAGTTTGATTGCACTGTGGTCTGAGAGAGTTTGTTATAATTTCTATTCTTTTACATTTGCTGAGGAGGGCTTCACTTCCAACTATGTGGTCAATTTTGGAATAGGTGTGGTGTGGTGCTGAAAAGAATGTACATTCTCTTGATTTAGGGTGGAGAGTTCTGTAGATGTCTATTAGGTCCACTTGGTGCAGAGCTGAGTTCAATTCCTGGATATCCTTGTTAACTTTCTGTCTCGTTGATCTGTCTAATGTTGACAGTGGGGTGTTAAATCTCCCATTATTATTGTGTGGGAGTCTAAGTCTCTTTATAGGTCTCTAAGGACTTGCTTTATGAATCTGGGTGCTCCTGTATTGGATGCATATATATTTAGGATAGTTAGCTCTTCTTGCTGAATTGATCCCTTTACCATTATATAATGGCCTTCTTTGTCTCTTTTGATCTTTGTTGGTTTAAAGTCTGTTTTATCAGAGACTAGGATTGCAACCCCTGCCTTTTTTTGTTTTCCATTTCCTTGGTAGATCTTCCCCCATCCCTTTATTTTGAGCCTATGTGTGTCTCTGCACATGAGGTAGGTTTCCTGAATATAGCACACTGATGGGTCTTGACTCTTTGTCTAATTTGCCAGTCTGTGTCTTTTAATTGGAGCATTTAGCCCATTTACATTTAAGGTTAATATTGTTATGTATGAATTTGATCCTGTCATTATGATGTTAGCTGGTGATTTTGCCCGTTAGTTGATGCAATTTCTTTCTAGCATCGATGGTCTTTACAATTTGACATGTTTTCGCAGTGGCTGGTACCAGTTTTTCCTTTCCACGTTTAGTGCTTCCTTCAGGAGCTCTTTTAGGGCAGGCCTGGTGGTGACAAAATCTCTCAGCATTTGCTTGTCTGTGAAGTATTTTATTTCTCCTTCACTTATGAAGCTTAGTTTGGCTGGATATGAAATTCTGGGTTGAAAATTCTTTCCTTTAAGAATGTTGAATATTGGCCCCCACTCTCTCCTGGCTTGTAGAGTTTCTGCTGAGAGATCAACTGTTAGTCTGCTGGGCTTCCCTTTGTGGGTAACCTGACCTTTCTCTCTGGCTGCCCTTAACATTTTTTCCTTCATTTCAACTTTGGTGAATCTGACAATTATGTGTCTTGGAGTTGCTCTTCTCGAGGAGTATCTTTTTGGCATTCTCTGTATTTCCTGAACCTGAATGTTGGCCTGCCTTGCTAGATTGGGGAAGTTCTCCAGGATAATATCCTGCAGAGTGTTTTCAAACTTGGTTCCATTCTCCCTGTCACTTTCAGGTACACCAATCAGATGTAGATTTGGTCTTTTCACAAGTCCCATTTTTCTTGGAGGCTTTGTTTGTTACTTTTTATTCTTTTTTCTCTAAACTTCTCTTGTCACTTCATTTCATTCATTTGCTCTTCCATCACTGATACCCTTTCTTCCAGTTGATCGAATTGGCTACTGGGGCTTGTGCATTCATCACGTAGTTCTCGTGCCGTGGTTTTCAGCTCCATCAGGTCCTTTAAGGACTTCTTTGCATTGGTTATTCTAGTTAGCCATTCATCTAATATTTTTTCAAGGTTTTTAACTTCTTTGCCATGGGTTCGAATTTCCTCCTTTAGCTCGGAGTAGTTTGATCGTCTGAAGCCTTCTTCTCTCAACTCGTCAAAGTCATTCTCTGTCCAGCTTTGTTCCATTGCTGGTGAGCTGCATTCCTTTGGGGGAGGAGAGGTGCTCTGATTTTTAGAGTTTCCAGTTCTTCTGCTCTGTTTTTTCCCCATCTTTGTGGTTTTATCTACCTTTGGTCTTTGATGATGGTGATGTACAGATGGGGTTTTGGTGTGGATGTCCTTGCTGTTTGTTAGTTTTCCTTCTAACAGTCAGGACCCTCAGCTGCAGGTCTGTTGGAGTTTGGTGAAAGTCCACTCCAGATCCTGTTTGCCTGGGTATCTGCAGCGGAGGCTGCAGAACAGCAGATATTGGTGAACAGCAAATATTGCTCCCTGATCATTCCTCTGGAAGTTTTGTCTCAGAGCAGTACCCGGCTATGTGAGATGTCAGTCTGCCCCTCCTGGGGGGTGCCTCCCAGTTAGGCTACTCGGGGGTCAGGGACCCACTTGAGGAGGCAGTCTGTCCATTCTCAGATCTCCAGCTGTGTGCTGGGAGAACCACTACTCTCTTCAAAGCTGTCAGACAGGGACATTTAAGTCTGCAGAGGTTTCTGCTGCCTTTTGTTTGGCTGTGCCCTGCCCCCAGAGGTGGAGTTTACAGAGGCAGGCAGGCCTCCTTGAGGTGCGGTGGGCTCCACCCAGTTCAAGCTTCCTGGCTGCTTTGTTTACCTACTCAAGCTTCAGCAATGGCAGGCACCCCTCCCCCAGCCTCGCTGCCGCCTTGCAGTTTGATCTCAGACTGCTGTGCTAGCAATGAGCGAGGCTCTGTGGGTGTGGGACCCTCTGAGCCAGGCGTGGGATACAATCTCCTGGTGTGCCGTTTGCTAAGACCATTGGAAAAGTGCAGTATTAGGGTGGGAGTGACCCGATTTTCCAGGTACCGTCTGTCACCCCTTTCCTTGGCTAGGAAAGGGAATTCCCTGACCCCTTGCACTTCCCAGGTGAGGCAATGCCTCACCCTGCTTCGGCTCATGCTTGGTGTGCTGCATCCACTGTCCTGCACCCACTGTCCAACAATCCCCAGTGAGATTAACCCAGTACCTCAGTTGGAAATGCAGAAATCGTTTGTCTTCTGCGTCACTCATGCTGGGAGCTATAGACTGGAGCTGTTCCTATTCGGCCATCTTGGCTCCACCTCTTT
This sequence comes from Homo sapiens, assembly GCF_000001405.40. Lineage (NCBI taxonomy): Eukaryota > Metazoa > Chordata > Mammalia > Primates > Hominidae > Homo > Homo sapiens. The sequence goes on from NC_000009.12 coordinate 110,006,177, forward strand.
TCTTTTTTTTTCTTTCATTCTTTCTCTCTATATCTCTTCTCTTTCCTCTTTCTCTCTTTTCCTCTCGCCTGCCTGCCTTCCTTCCTTCCATTTTCTCTCTCTCTCTTCCTTTCTTTCTTTCCTTTCCCTCCCTTTCCTTCCTTCCTTCTCTTTCTTTCTTTCTTTCTTTCTTTCTTTCTTTCTTTCTTTCTTTCTTCTCTCTTTCTTTACAAGATCTTACTCTGTCATGCAGTGTTGCAAACACAGCTCACTGCAGCTTCTACCTCCTGGGCTCAAGTGATGATCCACCTGCCTCAGCCTCCCAAGTAGCTGGGAATACAGGCTTAGACCTATGCCACCATGCTCAGCTAATTTTGTTTGTTTGTTTTTAGAGATGGGGTCTCGCCATGTTGCCCAGGCTGGTCTTGAATTCCTGGGCTCAAGTAATCCTCCCACCTCAGCCTCCCAAAGTGCTGGGATTACAGGCATGAGCTACCATTCCTGGCCCTGAGTGTGTATTTCTAACTAAATTAATGAGAACGAGAGAGAAAAAAATATAAATTTATATAACATAAGTGATTCTGCCTGCCATTCCAATCTACATGTGCATCCTCTTGTGACAGACTGACTCTACTAAGTGCTTAGCTGATGGCCCCCTACCTATTCCTGTCGTTGCTAGTCAAGATCCTGTTTCATTCCTTTTTTCATCCTCCAGGTGGCCACATCCTCAGGGAAGGCTGAGACCTTCCTCAACCCAGGGTTTATTCTTGGTTCATTAACTCCAAGCCAGTTTTGATGATTCTATTCCCTTTCCCTTATTGGTTTAGGAGTAGGTTTATGCTGTATTTTTGATCAGTGAGACTTTGGGGGTTCAGCTTTGGTGAGGGGTAGGGGGTGCTTTGGGGAAAGCTTCTTTTTTCTTAAAAAGGGAGGAGAGGAGAATCCTCCCTTTTCCTGTCTCTGAACATTTTAATGACACATGGAACTTCTGTGTCCATCTTGGGACATCAGAGAAAAGCCAGGAGAATTGCAGAGAGGTCAAACTGAGGCCATCAGGGCATTGAGCCACTGAATTAGCCACCTCTGGTGCCATACTACCTTGGGACTTGTTATATGAGCCAATCAATCCTCTGTTGTTTAATGCCCCATTAAATAATCTTTCTACCACCTGCAGGTAAAAGCATTCTAAATGATACAGTATGAGGATGACTGTTCCCACAGTTGGTCTCAGCATCTTGTATCTCTCAAAATCTGAGCATCAACAAATCCCAAGAAATTCTAGAGTTTCAAGATACATATTTTTGTACAACATGATTCTTAGTACAAGCCAGCAACATCATCTGGTATTTAACATGAGAAAAGGAGGTCTGTTCCTAAGCTGGAACTTTTGGGTTTTAGTGAGGTATGACACTATATTGTACTTATTGGGAGATTTAAGGAATTTTCAAGGGGAGTTTTGACTATGCAAACTTCTGCCTTTTCTCTTTAGAACCTAATCCTTTTCTGAGATGCCACTGTAGGGAACTGAAAGGAACTTTCCCTTTCACCCTGTGAAGGTTCACTGAAAAATCAACTCACGAAAGGCTAATAATTGGTGGAAAGACGTATAAATTTATTTAACATGTGCATGGGAGCCTTCAGAAGGAATACCCAAAGATAGAGGTGAAATTGCCCATTTTTGTACTTAGTTTCAACAAAGTTTGGACAGCCATGTAGATCTAAAAAGGATATAATCTAATGTTAATAGACAGTGAGGAAACCCAGCAAGGCCTGTCTGTCTAGATTCTTCTTCAGCATGCATCCTCTAAGCATGCATTCCTTCCTTCTGAGTGTGAGGCAGGACCCCTTCTGGAATGGGGGCCTTATGACTATAGTCAAATTAGGTAGGTCAGATAATTTTTCATGGCCAGTTGTTACACAGAAAGGTGGTGGGAAAGTTTGAGTTATACCTGTAGGTTTTGTGGCTGGCTCTGGGGGAATAAAGTGTTCTGGTTTCTGTGACTACCCTTTGGGGAACAGGGGTTCTAGTTTCTACGGCTAGCCCTGGGGAAGAATGAGAATGAGAGACAGGAGGACAGAAGAATGTCAGAGAAAAACTGTTGTTTCTGAGGTTTTCATTTTAGGGTATGTTTTCTGAGTCCCAACACAACTAAACCGTGCAACTGGGCACAGTGGAAACAGAGAGTGGCCCAAAAGAAGTATAAAGTATGAGCCATTCAAGACCAGCCTGGGCAACATGGTGAAACCTCATCTCTACAAAATTAATAATAATTATTATAATAATAATTAAATTTATTTAATAAAAAAGAAAGTATGGGCCATTATAACCTGGTTGAGGAGAAAAAACTTAAATGGCAGGATTGATTTTGAGGCTAGAACACAGCAAATTTATCCAAAGGAGTCTCTATCATGGGACTTGGAGGTTGATGGGGAAGGCGAGTCTAGAAGGACTCCTTCTTCCCATGAGGCTGGGCTAGGCTATGCTGGTGTAATAAACAATCCCCAATCCTGTGGCTTCAAACAATAGCAGTTTAGTTCTCACTCATATTACATGGCCAAGGTGGGTTGCTTGTGTCTCTGTGCTGCATTGCCCTTACACTGGGGCTTAGGCTAACAGAATTGCCACTATCTAGGATTGCCAGTTGCTGTGGTAGAGGGGCAGGGTCATGTGACCAGTTCTGGCCAATGGGTGTGGGCAGCAGAGACATCTATTACTTCTGGGCTGGAGCATTTAACTGCTGATGTAGGACACCTTGCTGCCCACATCCAATGGCCAGAACTGGTCACATGACCTCAGCAACTCTAAGGAGGCCAGGAAGTGAAATCCTGTTACATGTCTGCAAGGAGAAAGAACTGGGAATATTTGCATGAGCGGCATTAATGGCCACCAGTCACCCTCTTTGTCCAGTGATCCATCTAAAATCTGTGTAGACAATGAGCGAGAGCAAATTTCCACTCTCTTGCACATTCGGGTCCATTCAGACTTGTCTTTCTCTCTTACTCTGTTTTCACGTGGTGGTGCCTGGTGATTACAGGGAGTGTGGGTACAGTCAGTGTCCTTCCATGCGTGCCACTCTCTCCCTCTGAGGCTTTGACCCTTTAATTTTACTTTTACTTTTATTTTATTTTTAGTACTAACCAAGGTCAGAGCTAAGGAAGTCACCCAGTGATTTTTTCTGGAATGCCATCCATTGCTGCTTCACCAGGTCTCTTTAGCCGCCTGACGCCTTCATTGTTTACTGTTACATTGTCTCCCTTTGTTCAAAGATGCAAAGTTGGCCGGGCGCGGTGGCTCACACCTGTAATCCCAGCACTTTGGGAGGCCGAGGCGGGTGGATCACGAGGTCAGGAGACCGAGACCATCCTGGTTAACATGGTGAAACCCTGTCTCAACTAAAAATACAAAAAATTAGCTGGGCGTGGTAGCGGGCGCCTGTAGTCCCAACTACCCCAGAGGCTGAGGCAGGAGAATGGTGTGAACCCGGGAGGTGGAGCTTGCAGTGAGCTGAGATCACGCCACTGCACTCCAGCCTGGGCAACAAAGTGAGACTCTGTCTCAAAAAAAAAAAAAAAAAAAGATGCAAAGTTATTTTGTCTACAGGGTACTCTACTCAAACCCTCATGGCTTCCTGCTACCAGCCCAAATCCCTCTCCCTGCAGATCCTCATGTGTGTCCCTGGCTTCTCCAGCTGGGGCCTGAACTCAGCTCCTTTGTTCTGGTGGCACACCTCTGTCTGCCCTCACATGCACTCTTCCCAACAGAAGTTAGTAGCAGAGAGGGCAGCCATGTAAGTCAACAGAGCACGCCCTGTGAATGGAGACACAGATGTTGGCGCTAAGGAATTGGAGCCTGGGCTAATGGACTTATTCCTCTGACTGTGCAGCTAGGTGAGAGGGTGTATAAAAAGCAATACAAAAAATGTTATGGTGGTTGATTTCATTTATTTCTGAGAGGTCTTTATAAAACTGTCCCTGATGGATATTTATAAACATAACCTCAGCTACAAGTAGACAGGTCTCAATTTCTCCTATCGCAGGGAAATGCAAACTTATTCTCTTCTTTCCTCAAGGTTTGGTCTTGTATTTTAAAAATGGAATAAAGATTGTAGTAATGTTGCTAGGGATTATAGGAATAATATAAATGTAATTTCTCTTCTCAAAGACATTATAAGTAAGAATTTCAGCAAAGGGAGAAGAGGAATGTAAGAGGAAAATGGTTGTTTGAAAGTGCAGTATATAGAAGTATAATATCTATTTCTATATATAGAGATAGAATATACAATTAATATACATACTATATATATAATATGTATTATACATACTATATATGTATAGAATAGTTAATATAGCAATATATAATATAATTATATAAATTCTCTACATATATAAATTCTATATATAGAATATATAAATTCTCTATATTTCTATATGTTCTATACATTCTATTCCATATATTCTATTCTATTTATATATTCTATAAATATATAGAATACTTAAATTTATAGAATACTTAAATATATTTTAAAATACTAAAGTATATTTATAGAATGTATATACTTTTGGGCTGGGTACGGTGGCTCACGCTTGTAATCCCAGCACTTTGGGAGGCCGAGGCAGGTGGATCACCTGAGGTCAAGAGTTCGAGACCAGCCTCAACATGGAGAAATCCTGTCTCTACTAAAAATACAAAATTAGCCGGGCATGGTGGTACATGCCTGTAATCTCAGCTACTCAGGAGGCTGAGGCAGGAGAATTGCTTGAACCTGGGAGGCGGAGGTTGCCATGAGCCAAGATGGTGCCATTGCACTCCAGCCTGGGCAACAAGAGCGAAACTCTGTCTCAAAAAAAAAAAAAAAAAAATATATATATATATATATATATACTTTTGTATATAAGTATACAAAAGTATATTTATAGAATATATAAATTATATATTTCTCTATATATTCCATATATATTCTCTGTCTAGAATATATAAATGTATATATGTGGAGAATATGTGTAATTTTTTATATGTATGGAATATATATATTAATTTATATATGGAGATAATATATATAGGATTTATGTATATTTCTATTATATATATATATACTTTTTTCCCCAAGTTCTTAGGTCAGATTCTTTATATAGGTTCTTCCCCTACAACCAGAGGAAACTGTGTTTTTATAACTAATAATAGAAATACATCAGCCTAGAATATGTGTCTTTTACAATTGAACATCTAAGCTTTGCAAATGTTGGTGCTATAGTTATAAACCATGGATGTTAGTCGAGGGGAAACTCTTCTCCGGAACTCAAACATGAAAGCTGATGTTAAAAGTCATTGCTAAAATTCTAGAGCTGAGGGGATTACAAATCAGCATTCTAAGCTATCCTCCTACCCACTGGTCCAATGCATTACATGTTGGCAGAATGGAAATCATTTTGGAAAAGGGAAGTGGCATTTTCAGATGTATAAACATCTTCCTATAAAGAAGTGTCTGTCATTTTCTATCTCCAAGTTCTCAAGAAGACAGGGTCTCCTGCCCCTTGGTATCCAAATAAAATTGGCCTGTAGTCTACTGTGCGCAGTGTGTGGGTTAAGTGCTTTCTCCAAGATTCTTAGCATTGTGTCCTCCTTCGACTCCACATTCTCCGGGAGCTCCCATGGGCACACAGCTGCTCTCTTGTTTCCATCCCCAAGTCCAAGTGGGATGTCATTCAGCTTCCAACAGACAACTCTAGCACAAGATACTGGTGTAGAACAGATCTCCACCATAGGTACGAGAGTGAGGGAAGAATTACATCATGACACAGCATAATAAATACTTTAAAATGAATTTGTAAACATTGCTGTTCTGAAAAGCCCTTTTTAGGCTGGGCACGGTGGCTTATGCCTGTAATCCCAACACTTTGGGAGACTGAGGTGGTTGGATCACTTGAGGTCAGGAGTTAGACCGGTCTGACCAACGTGGCAAAACCCTGTTTCTACTAAAATTACAAAAAGTATCCGGGCATGGTGGCGGGTGCCTGTAATCCCAGCTACTTGGGAGGCTGAGACATGAGAATTGCTTGTGCCTGAGAGGCGGAGGTTTCAGTGAGCCGAGATAGTGCCACTGCACTCCAGCCTGAGTGACAGAGCGAGACTCTGTCTCAAAAAAAAGAAAAAGAAAAAGAAAAAGAAAAGTATTTTTTTATTACCCCCTGGTAATTTCTTACTGCCAATTTTTGCCCTAATTTCTTTCAATTTCTTTCCCTCTTCTGACTGCACCTCTTCCTTCTTATCTTCCTTCTGTGATGTGGGACCCACATTTTCACACCCAAATGGTCCATAGAGTTGCTTTGTTCTCCAAAATACAGTTTTCTCCTTGGAAGGAATTTTACCTCTAGCTTTTAAAATAACATTTCTGTTCTTACAAACTTATCATCAGGATTAATCACATTTTTAAATTAAAATGTTATTACTAAAACACTTAAAACTAAAATAGCATTTTTAAACTAAAATGCTATGTCTGTTTTCTCTCACTCTTGTTATGAAATGTTTCCTAATGTGAAGTGTTTTCTTGATGGAAGACTAAAATATTGAGACAACATATATATTTATGTCTCACATCTCCTTCTTATGGCCATATAGCCTTTAATAAAGGTAGTGTTGCTTACAAAAGGAATGATTGTATAATAGCAGAGAAAAAATTCTTTCCAAAGTGAAATAATAGAGATGATAGAGATGAAAACCAACACTTGTGAATGAAACTTTTATATGCAGAATTATATTAGCATAGTTAAAGGTAAAAATACTTGATCCATAATGATTTTCATTTATAATTTTGGTTATAGATTGTATCTATTAGCTATTGTTACAATAATGCTGCTTGACAAACCATCCCAAAACTCATTGGCTTTCGTTGTCATGCATATGCAGTTGGCTGGGGCTTGGCTGATCTAGACCTGGCTTGGCTTCCAGGTGCAGATTGGATCCAGATCTGCTCCCCAGGACTCTCATCCACTTGCAGGCTGACTGGGGCTTGTCCTTCTCATGCTGTAGCAGAGTGCAAGCCTCACCTCTTAAGCCCATTTCAAACCTTTGCTTGCATTATGCCCTCTAACATCCCTTTGGCCAAAGCAAACATCAGTGAGACAGGGAAGATCATTTCTCCCACAGCAGGAGAGGAGGAGAATGAATATTTGCTGAACAGTAATTCAGACTCTTACATAAGTGAAGTATCATCTGATTGTCCATCATGCCCAACATCTGTGTCTCTCTGCCAGCCAAATCCAACAGGTATCAAAAGTGGCTTAAAGCAGGAGGGGTTATTAGTCGGTTAAAAGCAAAGCATGTCAAGGAAATAATCTATTCATGTAGGAGCAAAGATTTTTCTTCTATAAACTTGCATTTAAGATAAAGCTGACAATCTCCTTGCAGCAATTCCTTGAGAAGAAAGTGTAGAACAAGGCACAACACTCCTCTGACCCAATTCCTGCAACCTAGTCAGAGAGGACAACTATTTGCACCATGAATTGAATTATAGCCAAACAGGTCTTGAGTAATTCATTGTGCATATATCCTATGAAATGAAGCTCTCAAGGACCCAGAATGTAAACTTTAAAAAGTAACCAGTGTTAATACATTAAAATTTCATTAATTTCGTATTAATTTACTTAAAGCATCATGTAATTTCAAGTAATTATTAGTCATTCATCACCTTTTGTTCAGTTGATTCTTACTAGAAATGCTGGAGTATGGCAATCTTACACATCTCTGGGTTCTTGATTTAGCACAGAGGCTGGTAGAGTACATCTCATGGGACAAACTAGCTGTTTTTGTAAATAAAGTTTTATTGGAACATACTCATGCTCATTTGTTTCTATGTTGTCTGTAGCTGCTTTCACTCTACAAGGGCAGATTGAGAAGTTGCAACAGAAATGCTATGAACTCAAAGCCTAAAATATTTACTATGTGACGAGCAGAAGAAAGATGGCCAATCCTGATTTAACATAATGCTAGACAGTTGAAATTTTGGAATTTGGGTTATTCACACAGTTCTGGGATGAATATTGTTCTTGAGCTATCCTTAGATAACTATCTAAATACTTAGAGAAAAGTATTTTTTTAGGAAAATCAATAATGTAAACAAATATTACACAGATAATTTTAACCTCCTTAAGAAAATAATCTTTTTAATACATTAGGTTATGAGCACTTATTTCTAAACAGTTATTATACCAATCATAAAATTTGTATTTGCTTGTTAAAGGAGACTCTGAAAAACTCTATCAAATATTGCTTTATTAACCTTTAAGGAGATGATTATTCTTGCAATAAACCTACGGTTTTTAAAAATATACACTTGCCAGTTGGGCACAGTGGCTCACTCCTGTAATCCCAGCACTTTGGGAGGCTGAAGTGGGCACATCACGTGAGGTCAGGAGTTCGAGACCAGCCTGGACAACATGGTGAAACCCTGTCTCTACTAAAAATACAAAAATTAGCTGGGTGTGGTGGCACATACCTGTAATCTGAGCTACTTGGGAGGCTGAGGCCAGAGAATCACTTGAACCTGGGAGGTGGAGGTTGCACTGAGCCAAGATTGCACCACTGCATTCCAGCCTGGGCGACAGAGCGAGACTCTGTCCTCTGTCTCAAAAAAAAAAAAAAAAAAAAAAAAATGTATATATATATATATATATATATATATATATATATATATATATATACACACACACACATATATCTTGCCATTTCTTCAAACTTTTCACCAATGTAGATCATTTTAACTCTATTCACGTACATAACTGCATCTGAATTAGTACAATTTTACTATATTGTGTTTAAAGATATTTCAAAACACCACACTGGCCCCTGATCTTTTCTTTGATATTAGAAAAAACAAAATCTTGTGTCTTGCCGGATGTCCACTCTTGGAGACAATCGGGTAGCTTTAGAAGAAAGAAACATTAGCATTTCTAAAGACTTGGAGAGAGAACATGGGCAGATTTTAAAAGTGACGACACATTCTTAGTTATTTCCAGTAGATATATTGAGAACACAGAAAAATCTGGAGTCATATCTATTGGGTATTGAATTAGATGTGTGTATTTCTGTGTTCTGGGATTCACTTTAAAGCCCCAAATGAGTCTCAATATGAGGCCTGAACTGGAGAAGAAGAAGAGTTCGTGGAGAAGAACAGAAGGGTGGCTTACACCTGTAATCCCAACACTGGGAGGCCAAGGTGGGTGGATCACCGGAGGTCAGGAGTTCGAGACCAGCCTGGGCAACATGGTGAAATCCCCATCTCTACTAAAAATACAAAAATTAGTCAGGTGTGGTGGCGGGTGCCTGTAATCCCATAATCCCAGTTACTTGGGAGGCTGAGGCAGGAGAATTGCTGAGGCAGGAGGCGGAGGTTGCAGTGAGCCGAGATCATGCCATTGCACCCCAGCCTAGGCAACAAGAGTGCAACTTGGTCTCAATAAATAAATAAATAAACAAACAAATAAATAAAAATGAAAAGAAGAAGACGAAGAGTTCATCCCAGCCTCTTCTCCACCCTGGGCTAGGAATAGCTCTCTATAAGATATAGGATTTAGACAATGGATCCTAAATTGGAGATTAGGTAAAAACAAAAGAAGTGCTCCAGGACTACACTTCTGAAAGGAAGTTTTCCTAGCCCAGTAACTGCAAGATAGGTATAGAGCTATAGGTCATCATCAGCTCCCTTTACAAGTCACATGGGATTGTAATCTGAGCAATAACAACTGTGTATCCATGTCAGCTGAATGACTTGGCTCAAATGGCACTTCTTTTTTTTCTTTCAGGAGTCGGGTGGGAGAATGTGCTGCTAAAGGAAGGTGAGTCAGCCTCGAACGCCACAGAAACATCCGGCCCAGACATGACTATCAAGGTAAGGGATTCTCTTCAGGTTGATTCTCAAAGTGTATCTCTAGAGTAAAGGCAGCCGATGGCAGGTTTTTCTGGGGGCAAAATGAACACTACCAATCCACCTTGCTAGAGTTCTCTCTCTACTCACTGAGGTCTTAGGGAGGCAACCGTACATAAGATTTTCTGAAATTTGGGATCTGGTCTACAGCCGTACCACCCTGAATATGCCCGACCTCGTCTGAAACTTGGGATCTGGATTAGGAAACTGCTTGAAAACCAGAATCTAAGATGTGATTTCCAATGGGCCTGTCGTAGGGTCTTCAGTGAATATCTACACGTAAGCTATTTGTAAATGGTAACCCCAGTGGGCACAGTGGAGCAAATCTGAAAATTCTGATCTGAGAATTCAGGCCCCACTGTGCATTGTGAGGAAAGGTCAGAGAGGCATAAAGTAGCTTTGATCTTGGCTCAAGATTTCCACTGATGTCAGCAGGAAGGCAGCACATGGCCCACTCCAGCTGAAACACTAATGGCCAAAGGTTTACAAAATGAGTCATCTAGAAATCCACTTAACTATCACTGTTCAAATTAAATGCATCAATTTGTAAGCACTGGCCAGAATAAAGAATCTGTAGCAAAAGTTATCAGAGGTGCCACCATTTCCCCTCTGTTACGGGATTAAACACAAAGGAATGATCTTCCTCTCTTAGAACTCTGCTAACATATTAGTTAACAAAGGATGGGGGTGGGAGGGCTTTCTAACATTCTTGCTTGAATGATTATAATTTGAATATATGCTACTTATGAATTTTTCTTTGAAAAATAAGAAGTAATGTCTTATTTTATATAGAGCTGTAACTGGAGATATTTCTTTTTTTTTGAGACGGAGTCTCTCTCTTTTGCCCAGGCCGGAGTGCAGTGGTGCGATCTCGGCTCACTGCAAGCTCCGCCTCCCGGGTTCATGCCATTCTCCTGCCTCAGCCTCCTGAGTAGCTGGGACTACAGGCGCCAGCCACCGTGCCTGGCTAATTTTTTGTATTTTTAGTAGAGACGGGGTTTCACCGTGTTAGCCAGGATGGTCTCGATCTCCTGACCTCGAGATCCGCCTGCCTTGGCCTCCCAAAGTGCTGGGATTACAGGCATGAGCCAAACTGGAGATATTTCTCTCCTGGATCTATTAGTAGAAGTTGTACAAAAGAATATACAGCATGGATTTATTCAAGTTTTCTTTTGTAATGTGAAGGCTAAACTTGTGTTGTCTATGTTACAAATGGTAGAGAAAGCAAGCAAATGTTACCATAGTAAAGCTAAATGAAAGATAGGATAGTAGCCTGATTAGTCAAAAAGTCAACTAATCTAAGTGGTAACTATCCAGTGCTGAAAGAACTATCACTACGTTTAGCAGAATTTGTAAGACAATAATATAAATTGCAATGACATGTTGGTGTTTTATTGGCTATTATTGCAATGATTGACAAGTTTCAGTCTATGACCACATTGGACGAAGGGGAATGGGTGCCAATAGTAAAACCTGTTGGATTTAGATTTGTTATCTCAAAATCTGTTATCATCTGGAGAATTAGTTTTTGAGAAGAGTTGCTAGTGGGAGAGAAGACAGCATGTTGCCAGTGTAGCTGCAGATGTGGTACAGACAGACATTCAAGTAGTCAGAAAGACTGGAGTTTGCTTTTATAAAGCAAACGGCATATTCCTTTTTTTTTTTTTTTTTAAGACGGAGTCTTGCTGTGTCGCCAGGCTGGAGTGCAGTAGCGCAGACTTGGCTCACTGCAACATCCGCCTCCTGGGTTCAAGCAATTATCCTGCCTCAGCCTCCCGAGTAGCTGGGACTACAGGTGCTGGACACAATGCCCGGCTAGTTTTTGTATTTTCAGTAGAGACGGGGTTTCACCATGTTGGCCAGGTTGGTCTCCATCTCTTGACCTCATGGTCCGCCTGCCTCAGCCTCCCAAAGTGCTGGGATTACAGGCGTGAGTCACCGCTCCAGGCCACAAATGGCATATTCTAATAGAAGCAAGTCTTGTCCAAATCCCATTTGATAAGATTGCTACTTAACCAGGCTACTCATCCATGGTACCAGGATCTTGACTGAAGTTGTATTTGGGTCCCTCTAGTTTAGACATCATTCTCGATCTCCGTTTCTTTTTCTTTTAATGAATACCTGAAAATTTCTCACAAGAAAAGATTTCTTTTACCCCTGCCCTACCCCAGGAAGATTTTTCATCCATAAGAACTGAACTCATTCTGAGGAATAAATACCATACACTTTAAATAGTTGAGCAAAATAGAAATTTATTTCTTTATTCATTTTGAGGCAGAGTCTTGCTCTGTCACCCAGGCTGGAGTGCAGTGTGGCATGATCGTGGCTCACTGCAACCTCCACCTCCCAGGTTGAAGGGATTCTCCCACCTCAGCCTCCCAAGTAGCTGGAATTATAGGCATGTGCCACCATGCCTGGCTAATTTTCGTATTTTTAGTAAAGATGGGGTTTCACCATGTTGGCCAGTCTGGTCTGAAACTCCTGGCCTCAGGTGATCTGCCCGCCTCAGCCTCCCAAAGTGCTGGGATTACAGGTGTAAGCCTCTCCACCCAGCCAGCAAAATAGAAATATATTTAAACACATCAATAAACCCCTACAAATATTCTAGAGTTCTTCTCTTAATGCCAGTTCCTTCTCACTAAGGAATTTGTGAATTTTCTAGGTGGATATAACTACAGAAAATGCTTGTTTCTATCTTCTCCTTTAGGATTCCCAATTACGGAGCAGTCATTGACTTTTTTCCTTTGGGTATAAGTTGTTTCCCACCCCACATTGCCTTACATAACCATGATGTCTTTGTATCTAAATGAAAGTATTATTTTTTCTGCTCCACTTCGTTAATCAGAGAAATGCAAATTAAAACCGCGATGAGATACCATCTCACGACTGGGCATGGTGGCTCACACCTGTAATCCTAGCACTTTGGGAGGCCAAGGTGGGTGGATCACAAGGTCAGGAGATCGAGACCATCCTGGCCAACATGTGAAATGCCGACTCTACTAAAAATACAAAAATTAGCCGGGTGTGATGGCGCGTGCCTGTAATCCAAAGCTACTAGGGAGGCTGAGGCAGGAGAATCACTTGAACCAGGGAGGCAGAGATTGCCGTGAGCCGAGTCTGCGCCACTGCACTCCAGCCTGGCAAAACAGCAAGACTCTGTCTCAAAAAAAAAAAAAAAAAAAAAAGAGAGATACCATCTCACACCAGTCAGAATGGCCATTATTAAAAAGGCAAAATAACAGATGTTGGTGAGGATGCAGAGAAAAGGGAACAGTTATACACTGTTGGTAGCAATGTAAATTAGTTCAACCCCTATGGAAAACAGTAAGGAGATTTCTCAAAGAACAAAACTACTGTTTGACCCAGCAATGGATATCTACCCAAAGGAAAATAAATCGTCTTATCAAAAAGACACTCACACTCATGTTTTCTGTAGCACTATTCACAGTAGGAAAATCATGAAATTAACCTAAGTGTTCATCAGCGGTAGACTGGATAAAGAAAATGTGGCATATATACACCATGGAATACTACATAGTCATATAAATAATGAAATCATGTCCTTTGTAGCAACATGGATGCAGAAGGAGGCCATTATCCTGCAAGAATTAATGCAGAAACAGAAAATCAAATACTGCATGTTCTCCCTTATAGGTGGGAACTACTACACATGGGCATAAAGATGGAAACAGTAGAGACTGGGGACTCTAAAAGAAGGGGCAATAGAGAAAGGAGAAAGGGTTGTAAAACTACCTATTGGATACTATGTTCACTGTTTGGGTGATGGGTTCAGTAGAAGTCCAAATCCCAGCATTACGTAATATACCTTGTATCAAGCCTGTTCATGAACCCCCTGAATCTATAATAAAAAAATTAAAATTAAATAAAAAGAATTATTTTTTTTCTCTCTGTATATAACTGCCTGGAGCTCATTAAGCACAGACTCCCCCTCTTACATTTAGCTATAGCTATTCCTACTTCTAATAGCTACTTTATATATCCTTGCAATATCAGCTATTCCTGCCTTTTGCCTGAGAAAACAAAATATTCTGTTAATAAAACCTGATACACTGACACTTTTCAAGGGAAATATCAGCAGAAATTACAAAGATAGTTGGGTTTCTTCCATATTGCTCTTCTTGTGATAAAGGTGTCTATTTTAGTATTTATAAATTTTCTTTCTGAAAAAGGAATACAATGTTTTGAAGGTGCTTGCTTTCTCTTTGCCTTCCATTTCCCTTGCCATGATTGTAAGTTTCCCGAGGCCTCCCAGTCATGCTTCCTGTTAAGCTTGTGGAACTGTGAGTCAATTAAACCTCTCTTCTGGCTGAGCATGGTGGCTAATGCCTGTAATCCTAGCACTGTGGGAGGCCGAGGTGGGTGGATCACCTGAGGTCAGGAGTTCAAGACCAGCCTGGCCAACATGATGAAACCCCATCTCTACTAAAAATATAAAAATTACCCGGGCGTGGTGATGCATGCCTGTAATCCCAGTTACTTGGGAGGCTGAGGAAAGAGAATTGCTTAAACCCAGGAGGTGGAGGTTGCAGTAAGCTGAGATCACGCCACTGCACTCCAGCCTGCATGACCAGAGTGAGACTCCATCTCAAAACAAAAAACAAAAAAACCCTCTCTTCTTCATAAATTACCCAGTCTCAGGTAACTCTTTACAGCAGTGTGAAAATGGACTAATAAACCTGTGAATGTGACTTATTTGGAAAAAAAGTCTTTGCAGATACAATTAACAATCTTGGCTGGGCACGTTGGCTCATGCCTGTAATCCAAGCACTGGGAGGCTGAGGTGGGTAGATCACTTGAGGCCTGGAGTTCAAGACCAACCTGGCCAACATGGTGAAACCCTGTCTCTACTAAAAATACAAAAAAATTAGGCATGGTGGCACACGCCTGTAATCCCAGCTACTCCGGAGGCTGAAGCACGAGAATCATTTGAATTCAGGAGGCAGATGTTGCAGTGAGCTGAGATCACACCACTGCACTCCAGCCTGGGTGACAGAGTGAGACTCTGTCTCAGAAAATAATACTAATAATCTTGAGATGAGAGCATCCTGGATTTACCAGATGGGCCCTAAATCCAATGACACATGTCCTTATAAGAGACAAAAGAGGATACTCATATACACAGAAGGCCATGTAAGGGGACTGAGGCAGAGGTTGAAGTTATGCAGCCCAAGTCAAGAAACACGTGGATCCACCAGTAGCTAGAAGAGGCAAGGAAGGAGTCTTCTCTAGAGCCTTTGGAGGGAGAGGAGTGCAGCCCTCCTGACACCTTGAATTGGAACTTTTGGCCTCCAGAATTGTGAGAAAATAAATTTCCGTTGTTTTAAGCCACCAAGTGTGTGGTAGTTTGTTATGGCAACCCTGGGAAATGAATGCACTCAGATTCTGCCAAGAATCACACCTATGCTTCTTGAGTGCAAATGCCATAGAGGCTGATAAACCAATATTACGAAGATCCACATAATTTTCTTATTTTACTCTACTTACCCTTATAAATTGTTTTTTACCTGTTCTTGTTTTGGGAGAACCACTAACTTTTTTCAGCCTATATTTATCATCCTTCACTGGAAGAAAAGGGTAGCTGTATCTCAGAATAGCTTCTATTTTATATCCTATTCTGTTTTGTTGCTTGTCCAGACATTGAATTTAAAAAAAAAAAAAAACAGGTATGGATCAGTATTTCTTGAAATGCCTGACCCTGAGAATCACCTGCAGCAATGTAGAAAACAACAATAACACAGCTTGCCAGACATCTTTCAGAATTCAGATTCAGAAGACCTGGGCTTGAGAATTAGCATTTTTAATAAGTGCTCCAAGTAACTTTCATGATTAGTTTCAGAAAATCTTGTCTTAGCACACCACTAATGCAGTCTGGGGGTGGCAATGTGAGCCCTACTATTGCTCTTGGCTCTCCAGTTGTCCAACCAATCTGAGGCAGGATTTGGATACTTCCCTATTCAGTGCCCTTTGATTACTTCCCATTTCAACACTGAATAAGCCTCAGGCTTCCCCTGCCTTCTAGACTTTCTTACTCTTAACTTCAGTTTCATTTTTAGCATTGTCTTTCACTGTGTCTCTCTCTGTACCCATTCTTGCCCTCTTTATCCGGTCTACTTGTAGCCTGGATACTGTAGCTTTCTTTTTAAAAAGCTGAGTTGAGCTTTGCACGGTGGTGGGAAGATTGCTTGAGCCCAGGATTTCAACCCTAGCCTGGGCAACATACTGAGACTCCATCTCTAAAAAAATAAATGAAAAGATCAAGCTGATAATATCCCTCTGCTAAGGCCCTGCTGGCCTTCCCATGGCTCCTGGAACAAAGACCAACTCTTGCAGGCACTGTGTTTTTTAAAAGCCCCTGGCTTTCATTCACTTCTCCCTTGATCTTCCTGCTCTCCCTCTCTCTTTATATTCACATCTTTGGCTCAAATATTCCCTCCTCCAGTGGCACATTCTTTTCTTTTTTTTTCTTTATTTTTATTTTATTTTATTTTATTATTATTATACTTTAAGTTTTAGGGTACATGTGCACAATGTGCAGGTTTGTTACTTATGTATACATGTGCCATGTTTGTGTGCTGCACACATTAACTTGTCATTTAGCATTAGGTGTATCTCCTAATGCTATCCCTCCCCTCTCCCCCCACCCCACAACAGTCCCCGGAGTGTGATGTTCCCCTTCCTGTGTCCATGTGTTCTCATTGTTCAGTTCCCACCTATGAGTGAGAACATGTGGTGTTTGGTTTTTTGTCCTTGCAATAGTTTGCTGAGAATGATGGTTTCCAGTTTCATCCATGTCCCTACAAAGGACATGAACTCTTCATTTTTTATGGCTGCATAGTATTCCATGGTGTATATGTGCCACATTTTCTTAATCCAGCCTATCGTTGTTGGACATTTGGGTTGGTTCCAAGTCTTTGCTATTGTGAATAGTGCCACAATAAACATACGTGTGCATGTGTCTTTATAGCAGCATGATTTATAATCCTTTGGGTATATACCCAGTAATGGGATGGCTGGGTCAAATGGTATTTCTAGTTCTAGATCCCTGAGGAATCGCCACACTGACTTCCACAATGGTTGAACTAGTTTACAGTCCCACCAACAGTGTAAAAGTGTTCCTATTTCTCCACATCCTCTCCAGCACCTGTTTTTTCCTGACTTTTTAATGATCCCCATTCTAACTGGTGTGAGATGGTATCTCATTGTGGTTTCTTTTTTTTTTTTTTTTTTTTTTTTTTGAGATGGAGTTTCGCTCTTGTCACCCAGGCTGGAGTGCAATGACGCCATCTCAGCTCACCACAACCTCTACCTCCTGGGTTCAAGCAATTCTCCTGCTAAGCCTCCTGAGTAGATGGGATTAACAGGCCTGTGCCACCACGCCCGGATAATTTTGTATTTTTAGTAGAGACGGGGTTTCTCCATGTTGGTCAGGCTTGTCTTGAACTCACCACCTCAAATGATCCACCCGCCTCGGCCTCACAAAGTGCTGGGATTACAGGCGTGAGCCACAGCACCCAGCTCCAGTGGCACTTTCTAACAAGCATTGCTTGTTTCACATTCTCATAGGACCTAACAGCTCTCCTTCATAGCCACTCACATCAATAACCATAGATGTCGGGCAGGTGTGGTGGCTCACACCTGTAATCCCAGCACTTTGGGAGGCCAAGGTGGGTGGATCGCTTGAGACCAGGAGTTCGAGACCAGCCTGAGCAACATGACAAAACCCAGTCTCTACGAAATACAAAAAAATTAGCTGAGTGTGGTAGCATGTGCCTGTAGTTCTGGCTACTTGGGAGGCAAGAGATGGGAAGATCGCTTGAGCCCAGGGAGATTGAGGCTGCAGTGAGCTGTGATAAAACAAAAAATAAAATAAAAATAAAAATAACCATAATTTTCATTGCATAATATCCAGTTGCCCTTGCTACAATATCATTTCCGTAAGGGTCATTTTTCTGTTTCATTTTTTACTTGTTAGAGGCTCTAAATTGTAGTTCTTTTTTTAAATAACACAACTTTATTAAGGATAAAATTTGCATGCCATATGGTTCCCCCAGGTAGGTATATGATTCAATAATGTTTCATAAATTTACTAACCATCACACAATCCAGTTTTAGAACACACACAGTTTTAAATAATTTCCATCATTCCAATAAGATCCCTCATGCCCTCCTATAGTTAATCTCCATTCTACCCCATCCCCAAACAACCACTCATTCCTTTCTGTTTCTATAAATTTGCCTGTTCTGGACATTTCATATAAATGGAGTCATACAACATGCAGTGTTTTGTATCTGGCTTAGGATGATGATGATTTTTTTTTTTTGAGGTTTATCCACATTGTAGCCTCAATCACTATCCCTTTCACTCTTTTTAATGCTGAATAATATTTCATTTAATTGATATGCCAGGCTGGGCATGGTGGCTTACGCCTGTGATCCCAGCACTTTGGAAGGCCAAAGTGGGTAGATCACTAGAGCCCAGGAGTTGGAGACCAGCCTGGACAACATGGTGAAACTGTGTATCTACAAAAAATACAAAAATTAGCTGGATGTGGTGGCATGCATCTGTAGTCCCAGCTACATGGGAGGCTGAGGTGGGAGGCTCACCTGAGTCTAGGAGGTAGAGAGTGCAGTGAGCTGTGATTGTGTCACTGCACTCTATCCTGGGTGATGACAGAGTATGACCCTGTCTTAAAAAAAAAAAAAGATATGCCAGTGTCTTGGGTTTTTTGTTTTTTTTTTTTAACAGCCCAGAGGTCTTTTATTTATTTATTTTTTAAACACCTATTATGCCATGAATTCATAGGGAATAGGTTCCAGCAGTTCAGGCTCCTTCCCATTGGTTCTCACAAAGTGTGCTTCTCTGGGTGGAGCAGGCTGGCACTTCAGTTGAACCCAGGTACCTTTCTCTTTGGCTTCTTTCTTTTTCTGATCATTTTCCTTCACACATTTCAGGAAGCTATCTCGGCTCAGAGTGCTTAATGTGCTCAATATGCACATTAATTCTCTTGGCAAGAATCTTGCCCTTAACTTGTTTGTTTACAATACCAACAGCATGCTGGGTAACATTGTAGACTCTTCCAGTTTTGCCATGGTAACACTTGTGGGGCATTCCTTTTTGAACAGTACCCATTCCCTTGATGTCTACAATATCACCTTTCTTATAGATTCGCATATACGTGGCCAAAGGAACAACTCCATGTTTTCTAAAAGGCCTAGAGAACATATGTCGGGAGCCTCTCCTCTTTCCCTTTGTGTTCGTCATTTTGGCGAATTACTGGAAGATGGAGGTTCCGCCCGAAAGGCTTTTTTTTTTTTTGTTCCTTCACAAGTTGATGGATTTTGAGGTTGTTTCTACCTTCTGGCAGTAAGTATTCTTGCTATGAATAGTTGCTGCTTTGGATAGTCACATGTAAGCCTTTGTGTGGACGTAGGTCTTCCTTTGTCTTGGGATTGTACCTAGGAGTAGAATTGCTGGGTCATATGGTAAATCTGGGTTTAACTTTTTAAAAAGCTGTCAGACTCTTTTCCAAAGCATCTACACCACTTTACACCTCACCAACAATGAATGAGGCTTCCAAGTTTTCTACATCCTAGCCAACACTTACTACTGTCCATCTTTTGATTATAACCATCCTAGTGGGTGTGGAGTCGTATGTCATTGTGGTTTTGGTTTGCATTCTCCTGGTGGCTAACGACACTGAGTTATTTTCATGTGCTTATTGGCTATTTGTATGCAGTTAATTTTTAATGGCTTGATTTCCTTTTTTGCCATAGTTTGTTCAATTATTAAATTGAAGCACTCTCTCATTGCAGCTGCCCAGTCAGTGTTTTCTGAGTGAGGGACCCTCTTCTTGACTGTGGCAGGAGGGTGCACTCAACTCACACTTCCCCTTTAAGATCACTGCCCTCTCCACCACTACGTCCCTCTGCAGGGGTTGCATCAATCTCTCTTCTTTCTATTTCTTTTCTTTCTCTCACTCTTTTATTTATTTCTTTCTTTCTTTTAGACAGGGTCTCGCTATGTCACCCAGGCTGGAGCACAGTGTGATCATGGCTTACTGCAGCCTCAACCTCCCAGGCCCAAGCAATCCTCCTACCTTAGCCTCCTGTGTAGCTGGGACTATAGGCGTGCAGCACCACACTTGGCTAAATTTTTATTTTTTGTAGAGAAGGAGGACTCCCTATGTTGCCCAGGCCAATCTTAAACTCCTGTGCTCAAGTGATCCTCGTTCCTCAGCCTCCCAAAGTGTGAGATTACAGGTGTAAGCCATCACACCCAGCGATTATCTCTCTTTTCTATTTTCCCTTCACATCTTAGCCTTTTTTCTTTAATTTTTTTATTAGCCTAATCAATGCTATTTTTTATTGTGGTAAAACAGATATAACATTTACCATTTTAAGCACTTTTAAAGGGTACCCGTCTGTGGCGTTAGGTACATTCAAAGTGTTCTGTAACCATCATCGTCATCCATCCTTCTCCAGAACTTTTTCAACATCTTCTTCAACCAAAACTCTCTACCCATTAAATACCAGCCCCCCATTCTCTCCTACTCCAGCTCCTGTCAACCACCTAAATGTTGCATTTTACACCTAAAATGTATTACTATTTAATTGCCTTCTCAAAGGGATTTTTAATACATTATGTTAATAGTAAAAAGCCAGTAAGGCCAGGCGTGGTGGCTCACTACTGTAATCCCAGCACTTTGGGAGGCCAAGGCAGGTGGATCACTTGAGGTCAGGAATTCAAGACCAGCCTTGCCAAATGGTGAAACCCCGTCTCTACTAAAAATACAAAAATTAGCTGGGTGTGGTGGCACACACCTGTAATCTCAGCCACTCTGGAGGCTGAGGCACGAGAATCGCTTGAACCCAGGAGGTAGAGGTTGCAGTGAGCCGAGATCGCGCCACTGCACTCCAGCCTGGGTAATAGAGCGAGATGCAGTCTCAAAAACAAAAACAAAAACAGAAAAGCCAGTAAGATGGCTACCCCTCAGAAATAAAGTAGGAAGCTGCTACAAGCTAGATTTTTAAAGATATTGCTGGTTACAAAAGTTCCTTTCTTCTGTGGCGTGAACTGTCCAGGACCCTCATACTGGAAATGTCTTGGCCTTATCCAGCTGGTGCCTTGCTGCAAGTCCCAAATCACACCTGCTTGGCTGTGCATCATTTTCTTGAATTTTGTTTATCCAACGACTGGATAAAATGACATCAAGTAATCCATGTTAAAGAAGTATCTCTAGGATAAAAATTTTGTGATTTGGCTGTCATTTCCATCAAATACACCAACTAAATCGTAGATGCTCTCTTTATCTTGCCCTCTTGTCCATATATACTAAGACTAAAAACTAAGTGTTTGCAAAAAAGAATACAAAAAATTTTAGCACAGCAGAATTTTCCTCAGAATGAAGTCTGGTATTCTTATTTACATGTTCAATATTTCTCATTTATGCTTGAACAAGAAACAAGGTTGGTAGCCCTTAGGCAAACTAGAGATTCTGGCTGTAAAACCGTTTGAAAAGGGTACATTTCTATTCAAGGACATGGGAAAGCCACATTTAAAAAAGGATGTTGCTTCTCTACACGTAAAACTTGTTGGAAGACAGATTATCCTCCTAGAAGAGCAGATGTTCTCTATTACAAAAGAGGAAAAGCATTTAGACTCTTCCGGTGGTGAATAGAGGCCACAGGTTACAGCTTTCTTTGGCCTTTGCTTTTAAAAAAACATTCTGCTGAAGGCCTTTTGTTGCCAGTGGTGTCCAGCCGGTTGCCCTTTGTATTTGATGATGACGACATTGAAAGGATTGTTTTGTGCAGGGACTCTGGACAAAAAAGAGACATTTGGGACAGAAAACCTTTCTACATTGTGTATATACATAAAGATCGCTCTAAATTTGGTTCCTTGCCAAAGGAAATATTTTCGAAGATTTTTTAAAAATCCTTGAAACTATTCAGGGTAGTGGATCTCAGAGGGGGTTTGGCATTGGTGAGTAGGAGGCATATCGGTACTATATGGGTCAGTTTTTATAATACATGTCTTTGAGAATCATTGTCTTGAATTTTCTTTAAAATGAATATGAAGAGCTCTGTTGTAAACTGTAATAAACTATATTATTAATGGTTATTTATTGTTCCTGTGTGCTACTCCCTATTTGTCAAATAAAATAAATGTGAAAGAAATGAAGTCACAACCATTGACAGCTTTCAATAATCTATGTGTAGATAAGGAATATTCGTGGCAAGTGAATAATCTCAGGTACCTTCTTCTTTGCCGTTTTATTTCTTCGCTGTGTTCTCTTGCCAACAATAATAGCTAACATGGGTTGAACGTTTGCTTTGAGCTGAGTACTGTGCTACACATACACCATCTCGTGTAATCCTCCAGATGACTCTGCTAAGGAGAAACTGTTATTAATCCCATTCTACAGATGTGGTGGCTGTGGCACAGTAAAGTAACTTACCCAAGATCTCAAAGTGAGTGTGTGGTGGAGCCAAGCTTTGAACCCAGATGGAAGGACACTTTGTAGCCTCTCTGTTTGGGTTTTAATAAGTGCAGGTTTATTTTTTTTTAATTAGCTAAAGCAGGGGAGCTCCAATGACAGGGCAAGGGTAGCTTAGCCAGATAAAATATTAGATGTCCAGTTCGATTTGAATTAAATTGCATGGGACATACTTATATTAAAAAATTATTTGTTGTTTACCTAAAATTCAGATTTTACTGGGTGTTCTGTATTTTTATTTGCCAAGTCCAGTGGCCCTAGGCAAGAGGAGTGTTGCAAAGGAAATGAAGGGAACCGCGTAATGTGTTTTGATTATTGTCCTTTGGGATTATTTGTGGTTTTGGGTTCTTTTTGAAAAAAAAAAAAAAAGACTTTTTTCATTTTAAACATGACAATGTATTTTATTAAGCTTTAAACCAGACAGATGTATATTTTAAGGACTTGTAATATGCTGATAACCTATCAAGGGACATCCCTTGATATGCTTCTTTGCTAGGAATCCAAATCTGATCCATGCCAAGATTTGTACCTCATTGGTTTCTCTATGAAGTGAAACTATGAGAAACACTACCCTCTATTTGTTTGTTTGATTGTTTTTTCTTTTGAACAACAGCAACAACAAAAACCCTTTACCTCAATCTGGGTATATCATGACTTTTTGGAAGCCTTATTCTAGGATCTTCTTTTTAGTTGGGATATCAGTGTTAGCCTAATTTCATTTTCTGCAGATAGCTTCATCATCCCAATTTTTAAAATGTTGATGAAATACTCTTGTGCTTTTATCAACTCCTACTTGGTAAAATCCCCTATCTCTGAGTGGTCACCCTAAAATACATGACATGGGCATGGATATTCCCAGCAAAAGTTCTGACACATTCACAAATGCTTCCTGAGGACATCTGTCTGTTTCCTTCTATGCACATTTTGAACATTCCAGCAGTGAGAATGACTAATGATGCTAAAGCTCTAGAAACTGTCACGTGTTGCTGTTCAGTATGTCAGAGCCTGTCTGCAGATAAGCCTCATTTCTTAAGAATAATCTGTCCCAATCAAGCTAGTTTTGCAACAAGGCTCATTTGCAAGTACCAAAGTCTATGACTTGTGAAAGAACCAAGCCACGCAAACCAAACACAGAACCCAGTGACAGAAACTATTGGTCTTTAGTGCGACTGGAAGGTAGCCAACCTGGTTCCCATTTAGGCAGGGAACCAGTTTGTCTCTCCAGTTAATGTCTGAATAAATTACCATTCATGTCCCTGAGGGTTTGGAATGATTGCAAATTATTTCTGAAATCCTGGGTAGAACTCATGTGGCCACTTACGATAAGCCTTGTCCTTCTGCAACTGGTCAGGTATCAGAGAGGTCTCATAAATCAAGATTGTAGTTATCAGGAAAAGTTGTTGGATTCATAGAGTAGGGGCCAAGGGAAAACTTTCCCTTTGCCCTCTGAAATTTCGTTGAAAAATCAATTGACACTAGACAGATTAACGGGAGAAATGGCATAGAAGTTTACTAATGTGCAAAGAGAGAAAATTACACACAATGGGGTACAGATGGTTATATACCCTTCTTCTTAGAGGAAACGGAGATAGGAAGTGTGGAGATAGGAAGTGGGGGGAAGGGCAGTAAATGATTTTTACTTGAAGAACCAACAGTGACCTGGGACAAAGTCTGTTGGGCCCACAGAACAGACAACAATTTGTGACAGAAGTCTGTTCAGATGTGTTGACAGACTTCATTCAGTCTTTCTTCCTGCTATATGAGTTGCTAATGGCAACTCAAGGAAGAGACCAGAAGTAATTGTTTTCTTCTCTGGAGGGTAAGATTTTAGGTAGATAAGGGAACTTCACAGAACCATTTCATCCTGTGCGTAGGGGAGAGACAGAAGATTGAGAGACAGGAGTGAGGGGAGGTCAGAGAGACCTTGAGCCTTCTTCAGGTTCAGAATATCAAAGCATCATATTTGGGGATATAGGTTTCTGAGCCCTAACAATGGGAAGAATGATCTTTCTGTATCATATGAATACTGAAGATTGTTGAAGTGAGCATCTAGTGCTCCTATCTCGATAAATTATCCAATGCCTTTCCCATCTCTTTCTCCTACCCATTCTCTAGTGGCCTGCCCCCTTGCCCTTTTTATTGTAGTGAAAACTTAGTAGTAAAAAATACACTTGGTAAAAATCATGACATCATGTAAATTGTATGTAAAAAGATGACATGCTCATACAAGATGCTTGATTCATTGCCTAGCAGAGCAGGCCACTGGTAGGTCTGCATACCACGAGCTGGTCTGTTTCGAGGTCACTTATGCTTACTATCATTGCAACAACTACTTCTTCCTCAGAAATTAGTCAGTGGAGATGTGACATTTATTTTATCTCAGAATTTTTATGTCTGTTTCTGAAAAGAAAAAGGTACCAGCAGCTGCAGTTCCCACTCCGTCTCCCAAAGGGATCTGGGCTAGAGGGTAGGGTATTGGATTTGTCATCATATTTTCCATCTGCTCACAGATTGTGAGGTTTATTATTGTTTCTGTTATTGTTTTTTGAGACAGGGTCTCACCTTGTTGCCCAGGCTGGAGTGCAGTGGCGCCATCTTGGCTCACTGCAACCTCCACCTCCCAGGTTCAAGTATTTCTTGTGCCTTAGCCTCTAGCCTCCCTGGTAGCTGGGATTACAGGTGTGCGCCACCAGGCCTGGCTAATTTTTGTATTTTTAGTAGAGACAGGGTTTCACCATGTTGGCCAGGCTGGTCTCGAACTCCTGACCTCAACTGATCCGCCCACCTCAGCTTCCCAATGTGCTGGGATTACAGGTGTGAGCCACTGCACCCCACCAGAGTGTGAGTTTTGATCTCCAACAGTATGCATTTTCTAGTGAAATTCGGTTTAATAAAATGAATAATGAGATAATAGCTAACATATATTGAGAACTTCCCATGTGTCAGGTAGTGCTCTGGGTGTTTAGGGTATTCTATTATTTAATTCTTACCACAACCCTATGAGGTGGGTACTAGGATATCTCCAGTTTACAGAGAAAACAAGGTGCAGAGAGATTAAGTAACTTGTCTAAGGTCACACAGACAAGGA
Source organism: Homo sapiens (assembly GCF_000001405.40). NCBI lineage: Eukaryota > Metazoa > Chordata > Mammalia > Primates > Hominidae > Homo > Homo sapiens. The sequence continues at coordinate 110,031,682 of NC_000009.12, forward strand.
GTGCTGGAGCCTAGGTCTAAGCCAGACAGCACTAGATCTTCATGACTTTGTCACAGTGCTTCACCTTGGAGAATAATGAGATGATGCTGGTATGTAGACATGCTAAGGAGGTCTTCCTTGCCTCACAGTCCTGATCAATATGGAGGCTTTTATGTAGTTCTGTTTGCGTTCATTCTTCCAATGCAAAGCTGGAGTTTACCTAGTGGGATAAGATTTGATTTTCATCCTTGAGAATGAGTTGTTCTTCAGGCTGGCCCATGAGTCTTCATCCTGTCAGCATTCTGATTACATTTCTCATTATCATTCTCCTGCAGTGATTCATGAGTATGATAAAACCGAACAGCCTTCTCAGTAAATAAGCAAAGCTTAGCTTACGGGGAAAAAAAAAAAAAAAAAAAAGTAGAGCTTTCCTTGAATCTGGAGAAATTAAGCACACAGGTGTCCTGCAATATTAGTTAAGAGACTACTGCACCCATCATACTGTAGCTTAAGACAGTTTCTTCTTTTAGTTTTTTCTAAAATGTCTCCATGTCTGTGTTATGCCACAAATAACACAGCCTTGGTTAACTTTTGGACTAAAAAAAATCAACTTATTGGCCAAGCATGGTGGCTTACACCTATGATTGTAGCACTTTGGGAGGCTGAGGCAGGAGGATTGCTTGAACTCAGGAGTTTGAGACCAGCCTGGGCAACTTGGCCAGACATCATCTCTACTTAAAGAAAAAAAACCGCCGGGTGCGGTGGCTTACGCCTGTAATCCCAGCACTTTGGGAGGCTGAGGCGGGCAGATCACGAGGTCAGGAGTTTGAGACTATCCTGGCCAATATGGTGAAACCCCATCTCTACTAAAAATACAAAAATTAGCTGGGCATGGTGGCGCGTGCCTGTAGTCCCAGCCACTCGGGAGGCTGAGGCAGAAGAATCGCTTGACCCCAGGAGGAGGCGGCTGCAGTGAGCTGAGATTGTGCCACTGCACTCCAGCCTGGGTGACAGAGTGAGATTCTGTCTCAAAATAAATAAATAAATAAATAAATAAATAAATAAATAAATAAATAAATAAAATAAAAAATAAAAAAACAAAAAAAATAAAAAAATAAAAAAACAAACAAACTAGCCAGGTGTGGTGTGCGCATGTCGTCTCAGCTACTCAGGAGACAGGTGGGAGAATCACTTGAGCCTGGGAGGATGAGGCTGCAGTAAGCCACAATCCTACCACTGCACTGTAGCCTGGGTGACAGAAGGAGACCCTATTTCTATTATAAATAAATAAATTTATTGAATGTCGTATTATATGTAGCATACCATATTTAAGCAGGGTCAAATTTTTGGTCTGACTTTTCAAATTAATGTGAATAAGTCACTTTGAAATTTTGGAGACAAAACCTTATTTAAGTTGAGAAATAGACAAACATTCATCCACTAAGAATTATTCTTTTTATTATTTTTAGTGTGTTTGAGTTGGTTCTTGCAAAGAAAATATAAACAAATCCCAAATATGAAAAAGTTTCTAAGTTTATATTAAGTGTATCCCATGAGTGACACAGGAAAATCCCTTTTAAGAGAAATGGTATTGCAAAAGACACAGCAAATCTTTTTCTCTTTTAAATAAAAATATGCATTCTGTGTCTAAGCATTTTCCAAACCTTTCTCCTTTGTGTGGCTTTTACTAAACCTTCAATCCTATAACAGTCATTGACTTCTTCCTACTTTCTTTTCCTCTCTTTCCTTCTCTCCCTTCACTCCCTTTCTTTTTCCCAGTGTTTACTGTGGGCTAGGCACTGTGTTAAACACTTTACCTGCATTTCTCTCTTTAACACTCAAAATGACACCATGAGATAGGTACCATTTTTTGTCCCATTGTGCAGATGAAGAAATCAACACTTTGAGAAGGTAAAGACTTTATAAGGTCACAAATTCTGGAAGAGCAGAGTCAGAATTCAATTCCAGGTTTGTCATATTTCAGAGCCCACAGTTTATTGCTTTCTGTGTAATGAGTAAATATTTCTTTTAGAATCAAAAAATATTTTAATTAAAATGTAATGACAGGAAAATAGTTTTGATCCTGGGAGCAAGAATTAGTCAAGAATGGACCTGATCTAAGACCACTGTAGTTTTTTGGACAGGCTATGAGCCAGTGGACTGGCACAGATGAATACAAATAACACATAGCTAATACTAATTGAGAATCTAAAAGGTGTATTCTGTGGCCTTTATAAGCATGAACTTATCCAATGAGTTCCATGAACTCATGATATAGATACTATACACTTGTTCTTATTTTAAAGACTAGGAATCTGAGGCACAGGGAGATAAAGTAACCTATGGAAGGTCCTGCTCAGAATCAGTGGAAGAATGAGGATTCTGCCTTCATTCCTAGCATTCTTCATGTGGTTAGCATAGTCCCCTAACCACAGTGCCAGGGCACCTCTTGCCTGTGATCCCTAAGTGCTCTTCTGCAGGTTTCTTTCTTTCCTTTTTTTCTATTGTTTTTTTGAGATGGAGTTTCACTCCTGTTGCCCAGGCTGGAGTGCAACGGCGTGATCTTGGCTCACCACAACCTCTGCCTCCTGGGCTCAAGCAATTCTCCTGCCTCAGTCTCCTAAGTAGCTGGGATTTACAGGCATGTGCCACCACGCCCGGCTAATTTTGTATTTTTAGTAGAGACAGGGTTTCTCCATGTTGTTCAGGCTGGCCTCAAACTCCCGACCTCAGGTGACCTGCTCGCCTCGGCCTCCCAAAGTTCTGGGATTACAGGCGTGAACCACCACACCCAGCCTCTTTTGCATGTTTCTTGGGGAATGCAGAGCCAGTTAACTTTACAACTAGCCATTCACTTGGAATTCACATCCACAGCATAGAAAAGACCATAGCGTATGCTTTCCCTATGGAGAGAATCCAATAACTATCAAGCCATATATTCCCCTTTTTTTTTTTTTTTTTTTTTTTGAGACACAGTTTCGTTGCCCAGGCTGGAGTGCAGTGGTGCAATCTCAGCTCACTGCAACCTCTGCTTCCCAGGCTCAAGCGATTCTCCTGCCTCAGCCTCCTGAATAGCTGGGATTACAGGTGCCCACCACCATGCCTGGCTAATTTTTGTATTTTTAGTAGAGACGGGGTTTCACCATGTTGGCCAGTCTGGTCTCAAACTCCTGACCTCGTGAACTGCCCTCCTCCGCCTCCCAAAGTGCTGGGATTACAGGTGTGAGCCACCACGCCCGGCTGCCATATATTCTTTGTATAAGTGACAGGTCTGAAAATAGCTGTGTTTATGATTACGGAGTTAAAGGGAAAAGAATGCCATAGCTAATGGGAGAGAAAAATGAAAGGTCAATTGAATTCGCCCATGGTAAATGTTAGAAATTTAAGGGTCAATGTGATCCTTTCATATGAAATACTAAGTTCTTGGAATCAACTTACGGGAAAATCTAGTATGTTTAGTGTTTTACAAGTGCTTTTTTTTCTGCCTAAAATTTAAGAAATACTTTACCCAATGTACTAAATATATATGTGTGCATGTGTGTGTGTGTGTATATATATAAAAAATATATATAATATAATATATAATTATATTATATACACACATATATAATATATAATATACATATTGTACATATGTATAATACATATTACATACATATGTATTATATGTATAATACATATTATATATATTATATGTATAATACATATTATATACATATATTATATGTATAATACATATACGTATATAATATGTATAATACATATTATATACGTATATTATGCGTATAATACAGATATATGTATATATATGATATGTTGTGTGTTATATATAACATATATATGATATGTTGTGTGTTATATATAACATATATAGGATATGTTGTGTGTTATATATAACATATATAGGATATGTTGTGTTATATATAACATATATAGGATATGTTGTGTGTTATATATAACATATATAGGATATGTTGTGTGTTATATATAACATATATAGGATATGTTGTGTGTTATATATAACATATATAGGATATGTTGTGTGTTATATATAACATATATAGGATATGTTGTGTGTTATATATAACATATATAGGATATGTTGTATGTTATATGTAACATATATAGGATATGTTGTGTGTTATATGTAACATATATATGATATGTTGTGTGTTATATATAATATATATGATATGTTGTGTGTTATATATAACATATATGATATGTTGTGTGTTATATATAACATATATATGATATATATATTGTTTTGGTGAGTTGGTACTTTTTTTTGTTATTGTTGAGATGGAGTCTTGCTCTGTCGCCCAGGCTCAAGTGCAGTGGCGTGATCTCAGCTCACTGCAAGCTCCACCTCCCGGGTTCATGCCATTCTCCTGCCTGAGCCTCCCGAGAGTACAGGCACCCACCACCACGCCCGGCTAGTTTTTTTGGTATTTTTAGTAGATACTGGGTTTCACCGTGTTAGCTAGGATGGTCTCAATCTCCTGACCTCGTGATCCACCCGCCTTGGCCTCCCAAAGTGCTGGGATTACAGGCGTGAGCCACTGCACCAGGCCCTGTGCTTTGTTTTTTTAAAAGAAACTTCCTAGAAACCCTGATCAAGTGGGAGTTTTTTTGAACCCGTTAATAAGAACACTTTATTGTAATGAAAATAAGAAGTATTTGGGCATGCATCTGATAATTATGTGTTGAATGCCTTCTGAGGGCAATGCTTTGTGCCATGTGTCATGTGCCTGGTGCAGCTTCCACTTCCAATTATGTCTGGAATCTGATTTCACCATTGATGTCACCACTCCACCATTACCATTCTGCTTTCAGCCATTATCATCTCTTGCCCAGATTATTACAATAGCTTCTAAGTGCTCTCCCGGCCACTCCTTTCCCTTTCTGTAACACAGACTCCACCCAGAAACAGCCACAGTGATGTTATAAAAATCTAAACCAAATCAAGTCATTTTTCTGCTTGAAATAATGCAGTGGCTTCTCATCTTATTCAGGAAAATAGGTAATCCAAAGTGCTTATCAAGGTTTGCAAGGACCTTAGGATCTGGCTCACTGCCAGTCTTCTCTCACCCCTCCTTTCTCAGCTCTGAAGTCCTCCTGGCTGCTCCAAACATGATTGCTCAGTGTCCCCACACCTGCTGTTCCCTATGCTCGAATGCTTTTCCCCTTGATGTCTCCCTGGCTCACTTCCTTCCATTCTCCAGGTCTCTGCTCAAATATCACCTCAGTAAAGAGTCTGTTCTTGACCATTACATAAAATAGTACTCACCTCCTACTGCCATCAATATCTATCCCTTTACCCTGTTTTATTTTTCTTTATAACAATTACCGCCTCCTGACACAAAATACATTTCATGTATCTGCATGAGTGAATTCAATTGGCCTTTTATTTTCTTTCCTGTTATCTATGACATTCTTCTCTTGCTTATTGTTTTTCTTACCTCATTGTCCATGCCATATTAGGTTGTAAGCTACATGAACATGGGGACTTTCCTTTTTTTTTTTCCAACAAATATTTTTTGTTGTTTGTTTTTTTGAAACAGAGTTTCACTCTTGTTGCCCAGGCTGGAGTGCAATGGCACGATCTCAGCTCACCGCAACCACAACCTCTGCCTCCTGGGTTCAAGCAATTCTCCTGCCTCAGCCTCCCGAGTAGCTGGGATTACAGACATGCGCCACCACGCCCAGCTAATTTTGTATTTTTAGTAGGGACGGGGTTACTCCACGTTGGTTAGGCTGGTCTCGAACTCCCGACCTCAGGTAATCCACCCACCTTGGCCTACCAAAGTGCTGGGATTACAGGCGTGAGCCACCGCACCCGGCTTCAACAACAAATATTTAATGAGCACCTACTCTATGCCAAGCTCTAGGCATCTAGAAATTAACAAAAGAGACCAGGTCTTGTACTTATGTAGATTACACTTCAGTAGGGTGAGATAGACAAGAAACAAGCAAGTAAATACTATCATATGAAAGATGGTGATTAATGCTCTGGAGAAAAATCAGAATGCTGTAGAATATGGGATGATTTGGTTAGGGCTAAAAGGATGACCTGTCTTTAACAAGGTAGGCAAGACTATAGGAGGAGCAGGTTTTGAGAGGAAATTAAGAATTTGCAATATACTTGTTAATTTAAAAATGCCTTCTAGGCATCCCGTGGAGAGGTTAAGTATGAGTCTGGAGTTCCATGGAGAAAATAAGCTGACATATAAATTTGGGATTCACCTGTGCACAGCCATTGACTGGATGAGATCACAGAGAGAATGGCCTGAGGGATAGAAGGGATCAAGCCCAAGTCATTGCTCATCCCAAATTAAAGATTTGTAAAATGAGAACGAACCTTAAAAGAGGACTAAGAAAGAATGGTCAGTGAGACTGGGCACAGTCGCTCATGCCTATAATCCTAGCACTTTGGAAGGCCCTCAAGGTGGCAGGATCGCTTGAGCCCAGGTGTTTGAGACTGGCCTGGGCAGCATAGCAAGACCTCCCTCTCTACAAAGAACAAAAAAATTAGCCAGGTGAGGCAGCACACACCTGTCATCCAAGGCTGAGGTGGGAGGATTGCTTGAGCCCGGCAGGTCAAGGCTGCAGTAAGCTGTCATTATACCATTGCACTCCAGCCTGGGTGACAGAGTGACCCTGTCTCAAAAACAAACAAACAAACAAACAAACAAACAAAAAACAAAAAGGTCAGAGAGCACTGAGGAGAATCAAGAAACAGTTGTGAAAGCCAAATGAAGAAAGCAGTTTAAATGTGACTGACTGACTGATGGCCTGTGTTAAATCCTGGTGAAAGATCAGGTCGGGTGAGTTTGGAGAAATGACCACTGGGTTTGGCAACCTCAAGGTCACTGATGACTTTGACAAGTGCTGTCTTGGTGAAAAAAACATCTCTTTTAAGAACTTTTGCTTTGAGGGGAAACAGGGAATTGAGGTGGTAGGATCAAGAGAATTTCTCTTAAAAAAATTATTGTAGGCTGGGCATGGCGGCTCATACCTGTAATCCTAGGACTTTGGGAGGCTGAGGTGGGCAGATCACCTGAGGTCAGGAGTTCGAGACTGGCCTGTCCAACATGGTGAAACCCCGTCTCTACTAAAAATACAAAAAAATTACCTGGGCCTGGTGGAGGGCGCTTGTAATCCCAGCTACTTGGGAGGCTGAGGCAGGAGAATTGCTTGAACGTGGGAGGCAGAGGTTGCAGTGAGCCGCGATTGTGCCACTCCAGCCTGGCAACAAGAGCAAAACTCGGTCTCAAAAAAAAAAAAAAAAATTATTGTCCTAGAAAACACTAATAACGTTGGCCTGGTGTGGTAAACCAGCAATTTGAGAAGCCAAGGCGGGGAATTGCTTGAGCCCAGGAGTTCAAGACCAGCCTGTGCAACATGGGGAAAGCTTGTCTCTACAAAAGATACAAAAATTAGCCAGGCATGCTGGCACATGCCTATAGACCCAGCTACGCAGGAGGCTGAGGTGGGAGGATCACTCGAGCCCAGGAAGTTGAGGCTGCAGTGAGCCATGATCATGCTACTGCACTCCAGCCATAGTGACAGAGTGAGACCCTCTCTCAATAAATAAATAATTTTAAAAAGAAAATTCATAATATACAATCTATCCTCTTAAAGTGTTCATTTAGTACAGTATTATTAACTGTGAGCACAAGAAAAATTTTTTTTGATAGAAGAAATCACAGCATATTTGATAAAGTGAAAGAAAATTCATGTTTTGGGAAGGATAAAATTGCTGGAACAATGTCCTAGAGGAGATAAGAAGGGAGGGATGGCGAGGCTGAGCGATTTTCCTAAGGTCACATAGCCAGTAAGTGACAGGTCAGGATTCCAATCCAGGTCTTCTGGCTCTCTGTTTTTTACTGACATTTTGCTATACCGTAAAATGAGAAAAATGGCTTGGGCAACATGTAACTTTCCTCCTAGTTCTAACTTTCATGTCTCTAACATTTTGATATGCCTTCACCCATCCCAAGCATGTAAAGAAAATTCCGAAGTCAAACATAGTAGCAGCAGCAGCAGCAGCAGCACCTATCTGAACCCACAGTTCTCGTCTAGGTGCTCACCTATCTCATCTCAACCACTCTATGAATTGCTTAGCAGTCAGCACTTGGACTCATCAACGCCTGAGCCCTCTGTGGGAATCACAAACTGTTTCTGATACCTGGCAGCTTTACTCATTTATGTTATCTGTCTGGCTTCCTAAGGTATTTGAGTTTGCAATGCTTGCTCCTAAAATTAACTAGGCAGTGGTCTAACAAGAAAAGGAAGGAAGGGAGGGAGGGAAGGAAGGAATGAAGGAAGGAGAGAAGGAAGGAAGACAGGAGAATACAAAGAAAGGAAGTACAAATGAAGGAAGGAAGGAGAGGAGAAGAGAGGAGAGGGAGAGGGAGCTATAAAGAAGGTATTTACTTAATGAGTTGGAAAATCTTCAAAAACAATATGGGTATAGGTACTTTAGTTGATTGTATTATAAGCTATTGTGGTTTCTAAAGTGATTTTATGTTGGCCATGGTCCCAATCCAACAGAGGCTTTTAATATGCTATAGAAGCTATTATTATTCTCCGTATTTAAATGATCTTAACACCTTATAATCGTAATAGTTACTTAGAGAAGTAATTAATTTATTCTGTGTATATAAACATAATATGCCTTCATAATATTGTCCCATCATCTTCAGTGAAGTTTACGTTAATGCTAGGAAAGCCATTTAATATGTTCAGTATACTAGAAGGAAAAAGCCCATTTCTCAGTGGATAGTTCTCAATACTAAAACATTTGACAAGCAAATCAAGACTACCGCAAAGACTATCTCTGAGAGAATCAGAATTCTTAAAACTTAAAATCTCAAGATTTGGTCTTTTTCCCCCTAATATGACTGGAAAATCTTATGGTTCTTCCCTTAAATTAACAGCCTGTGCTTAAAAGTTCTGAGGGAAACACTTGCAAATTACTAGGAAAATGTTACAGTCGTATTTTTTTTAACAAAAACTAAGAAATAATTTCCTGTTTTATCCAAAATTGAAAAGAAGTTAAGCACCACTGGAAAAGAAAAATACATTTGCATCTAAAACACAGGTCCCTAATGAGAAGAAATTCGCTTGGTTGACTCAGTAAGAGCTGTCTTCTGGGACTCCACACTATTGGCACTGTTTTCCAGCATTCTATCTGTGAACAAGCTGTGTACATTCCAAGTATATTAGGCATATTTTATGTTTTCAGTGCCATGCTTAAAGAGTACCTTGTTGTATGCTGTCTCTCTATTACAGCATGAACTCTGGAGTGTTTACTAGATTTTTTAAATGCTTCAGTTGCTAAATGAGATAAAAGTCTCAGCCAAGAACCAAAGAACTTGGACCTCATAGGACTTTGCTCCTGTTTATTATCAAAGTGATACATGGCTACATTCATGTCATTATTCCACAAGATTTGAGGCCTCTGGAATCAAGGTGCCATCTTGCTTTCTTCACCAGGGGACTCTGTCCTCTGGGCTCTTTCTCATTTCCCAACTCTGTGTTTCTCCTACATAGATACCCACTTTTCACTCTTTCCAACACAGGTCTTCCCATGCTGCTTTTTTGTTGTTGAAGATTTTAGTTTTGAATAGTGTTTTTTTTTTTTATTAGTATACTGGTGCCATTTACATGTATATTACAATGGGCAATTTGGGTGGTACAATGTTATGTCAATGTCGAGAAGGCACAGCCCAGCTACAGTCTGGAACACAGTGTAAACAATTCCATGGGGAAATGTTGCTTGGGTTTTGGAATGTTTCTTATGGGTGTTTTAAAATGTCTTTTAAAGAGGCTCAAGCAGCTGCGGTGAATATAATCAGGTCACCATTTCCTTATGTTTAAGGGTTTGGCGGAGGAGAGGCCAAGTGCGAGGATGCAGGGAAAGGAAATAAATGTGGAACAGGCAGGAAAGAAACTTACTTGGGCACAGGAAGCCAGAGACCCTGGAGAGGAAATAAAGGAAAAGCAGGAACCACAAACTAGGCTAAGAACCACAGTAAACACAGTCTGAGAGCCAAGTGTTCTCTTATGACACCATCCCTGTTTCTGTGTTTGGTTCTCTGTCCTTTCTTCAAGTAAGGGCGACTGTGTCCACCTCCGGTGGTTCCCAAATCAGGCTGTCACAGAATCAGATGGAAAGCTTAAGCAAACACAGATTCCTGTGCTCTGGATCACCTAGAGAAAGGAACCTGGAAATTTTCTTTTCTTGTTTTCCAGCTACTCCCAATGTAAGCCAACTTGGAAACAACTAATTTATAACATCTTAAAAGCTGACCACCTTATCTTAGGGAGAGGTCAACCCCTTGGAGAAGAGATGGTTTAGAAGGGTGTTTTTAATTGTATAAAACACAACTATAAGTCAATGCAAACAAGACCATAGACTAACATATGCCAGTCTTGGATGTGCATTCCGAAAGTTGATGGTTAAAATAGTCTATGGGGGCCGGATGCGGTGGCTCAGGCCTGTAATCTCAGCACTTTGGGAGGCCGAAGCTTGCAGATCACCTGAGGTTGGGAGTTTGAGACCAGCCTGATCAACATGGAGAAACCCGGTCTCTACTAAGAATGCAAAATTAGCTGGGCATGGTGGTGTGTGCCTATAATCCCAGCTACTTGGGAGGCTGAGGGAGGAGAATTGCTTGAATCCAGGAGGTGGAGGTTTTGGTGAGCCGAGATTGTGCCATTGCACTCCAGCCTGGCAGTAAGTCTATGGATGGATCATGCCTGCTACAGAAAAGCCAATGATGCTTAATCCAGAGATGACCTTTTTGCCATTAAGTAAGAACCAGAGATCAGTGAGAAATGTCTTACTTTGGAAATCCGTAAACATACAAATCATCCATATGGATGGTGTAAAACCACTAGTTGAGCTAGAGTAAGCAAATGATCTTTGTGGATTCTAGGAATTAATTGACTAAATATCCCATGTCCTCCTGCTTACACTCCTACCAACATAGTATTGGAGGTTGTCTGATGCTCACCCCACTATTTTTATGGATTTTTATCTTGAGGCACAATGGGTTGGGGTTAGTTCTCCTAGACTCTTGTTGTTCTGATTTCCTATTTCTTCTGAATTATTTTTTTAAAATTCTTTTTTAATTTTTGTGGGTACATAGTAGGTGGCATGTAATGTATAAATAATTACATCAGAGTAAATTGGGCATCCATCACCTCCCCAGTATTTTTCTTTTGTGTTACAAACAACCCAATTATAGATTTAGTTATTTTTAAATGTACAATTAAATTATTTTTGACTGTGGTCACCCTGTTGTCCTAGCAAATACTAGGTCTTATTCATTCTTTCTATTTTTTGGTATCCATTAATCATCCCTACTCCTCTGCCTCCCTGCTACCTTTCCCAGCCTCTGATAACCACCCTTCTACCCTCTATCTTCGTGAGTTCATCCTCTGAATTCTTACTTGTTACATCCATTTTGCCTCCTATGCCTGGTCTTCACCCCACACCAACTCACACATAAACCCCTTCCTTCCCTTTGGTGTCCCAGTTTTCAAATGCTGTTATCAGAAGTATAGGGGGTTACAAGAAGTGTTTACATCACAACATAACACTCAAACAACTTTAAAAGTGTATATTAAATATTTTCTTTTGGCCCTCTCTGTGATCTGGAATTTCTTGTTTACTGACTCCTCCCCACCACTCTGGTCTTTCATCCAATTTGAGAGATTTTGTAAACTTCTGAATTCCAAAAATGAATTGCAGGTGCAAGTGTATAAACATTTTCTATCTCTAGAGTTATCACCAAATTATCTTTCAGATTTACCAATTTATTATCAATCTGTATGCCCATCAATAAAGTATAATCACTTGATTTTCATCATTCCCTTGCCAAAAATACATATTTGTATTTTATATATTTACTCATATTGTAGGCAAAAAAAAATTAGTCCAATATTTTACTTGCACTTTTTTAATTATGAAGAGTTTGAGTATCTCTTCACAAGTTCAAGGGTCATTTTTACTTATTTATCTGTAAACTACGTTTTTTTTGGTGTTTTTTTTTTTTTTTTTTTTTTGGAGACAGTCTCTCACTCTGTCACCCTGCTGGAGTGCAGTGGCACGATCATGGCTAACTGTAGCCTTGACCTCCTGGGTCCAAGCAATCCTCCCATCTCAGCCTCCCAAGCAGCTGGGATCACAAGCATGTCACCACACCCCGCTCATTTTTTAATTTTTTGTAGAGATGGGGTCTCACCATGTTGCCCAGGCTGGTCTCAAATTTCTGGGCTCAAGTCATCCTCCCACCTTGGCTTCCCAAAGTGTTGGGATTACAGGTGTGAGCCACCACATCCAGCCCAGGTTTGTTTTTTCTATTAAGGAGTTGGTAGTTTTCTTCAATTTTCTTATTGATTTGCAAAAACTCTTCACATATGAGGAGTAGTAACTCATTGTCATATATGTTGCAAATATTTCCCCCAGTTTGTTTCTTCTCTGAAATTTTCAGTGGTGCATCTGATCCCATGAGGATCCCCCTGGGCTTGGGATTACTGCTAGCTTTTCAGTGAGGTCACCCACTGTTTGGTGGGAAAGCCCCAGGGACATAGAGCTATTTGTTTAGTGTGAGCGAGTCTTTTTGTTTCTGTTGTTGTTTGCTTTTCCTGCTTTTTCTTTTTCTTTCTTTCTTTTTTTTTTTTTTTTTTTTTTTTTGAGATGAAGTCTCCCTCTGTCGCCCAGGCTGAAGTGTAGTGGCCTGATCTCAGCTCACTACAACTTCTGCCTCCAGGGTTCAAGTGATTCTCCTGCCTCAGCCTCCCAAGTAGCTGGGATTACAGGCACCTGTCACCACACCCAGCTAATTTTTGTATTTTTAGTAGAGACGGGGTTGCACCATGTTGGCCAGGCTGGTCTCAAACTACTGACCTCAGGTGATCCACCCGCTTCGGCCTCCCAAAGTGTTGGGATTACAGGCGTGCCACCACACCCGGCCTTCCCTCTTTTTCTTACTTTTTTTTTTTTTTAAATTTTCAGCCAACTTTTATTTTCTGTAGGACATATTTAGCACTTGTGAATTACTCCCAGCTGATACTTTTTGGTCTTTCGCCTTGCTAGGAGGAGGAAATAGTAAATTCCCTTTTATGATGCACTGTCTTGCCCCCACCTTCTGGTTTTCAGATCAGTTCTCTGAGACACTTCTAAGTCTATTTTTCAGCTTCTACTGTTCTCTAAGTTTGGGGGCATGTGTCTACTGCTAGACCATTATTATTTGCTGGATTTAGTTCATTTTGCTCAGTTTGGGGAGAGAGGGAGAAGAGCTTCTCTCAACCTGTATCTAGGCTAACTTCCTCCCCAGAAAGCTGTTCTTTACTTTGTGTGTTTTTCTAGAAAGAACATTCTACTTCTTGGGTCCCCTGGCTCAGGGGTGTAGTTTAAAGTGGGCCAGCAGCATGGGAGAGGCAAAGTGAGTAAAAATGTACACTTAGGCCACAGTGAAAGAAATCTTCATCTCCTCTCCCCCTAAAAAAATTTCCATGGAAGATTTTGTGCCCTTGATGGTATAGGGCCTGTGGGAACATGTAACATTTACACGTTCGAGTTATATTTCTCTCACATAATTAATAGCCATTTATTTTATTCAAATATGCTCCTAAAATACATCTAGGAGAGTAAATATGCTTCTTTTATTATAAAATATTCTCAGCTCTAATAATCATTATTATGTTAACACACGTATGATGTGATGAACCACAAGCAGGCAGTGGGTGATAAAGCTAACCTTGCCCATTGCCAGTGTTTCCCAAACTTTCATGTTTTTAAGAATCATCTGGGAGCTGTTAACGCAGTTTCCTTGGCCCTGCCCCACACATTCTGATTCAATAAAGGTGGAGCCCAGGAATCTGCCTTTCTTTTTTCTTTCTCTTTTTTTTTGATGCAGTCTCTCTCTGTCGCCCAGGCTGGAGTGCAGTGGTGCAATCTCGGCTCACTGCAATCTCTGCCGCCCGTGTTCAAGCGATTCTCCTGCCTCAGCCTCCTGAGTAGCTGGGATTACAGGCTTCTGCCACCACGTCTGGCTAATTTTTGTAGGTTTTTAGTTGAGATGGGGTTTCACCATCTTGGCCAGGCTGGTCTTGAACTCCTGACCTCGTGATCCACCCACCTCGGACTCCCAAAGTGCTGGGATTACAGGCATGAGCTACCACACCCTGCCGGAATCTGCCTTTTTAACAAGCACTATCTGTGGTCTTTAGTACTGGCTTCGAAAAATTCTGGGGCAAGATATCTCAACCTCAGCATTACTGACATTTAGGGCTCAATAATTCTTTGTTGGTGGGGCGCTGTCCTGTAGATGCCAGTAGCAACCCCCCTAATCGTGACAATAAGAAATGTCTCTAGACATTGCCAAAATGTCCCCTGGGGAGTTCAATCACCCTCAATTGGGAACCACTGGCCTAGGAGAAAATAAATGAGAAAATGTTAATTAAAAACAGTGTTTACTTTTGCATGCAGCCATTCATACTCTTGCATGGATTTCATTGAACAAATTAAACAACTATTTCTGAGCATCTGGTATGTACCAAGCCTTTTATATTAAAAATGTTTAATCATGGCTACCTCTTTAATAATTTGGAAGGTGGAAGAAAATGTTCTTATAAATTAATATCTATTAAGCATATATTTTTCCTAAATTAATATTCCTAATAGTTTTCTGAAGAATATTCTAGAACTTTAAAATTAATATTAACAAAGCATTGACGTTGTTTTAGTAAAGAAGCAATTCAGAATAAAGTTGGTATGATTGCTTTACTTTTTTTTTTTTTTTTTTTTTGAGACGGAGTTTCGCTCTTGTTGCCCAGGCTGGAGTGCAATGGCACGATCTCGGCTCACTGCAACCTCTGCCTCCCACGTTCAAACAATTCTCCTGTCTCACCCTCCTGAGTAGCTGGGATTGAAGGCATGCGCCACCACGCTTGGCTAATTTTGTATTTTTAGTAGAGACGAGGTTTCTCTATGTTGGTCAGGCTGGTCTCAAACTCCCGACCTCAGATGATCCGCCCACCTCGGCCTCCCAAAGTGCTGGGATTACAGGCGTGAGCCACTTCACCCGGCCTTGCTTTACTGTTTCTAATAATGAAACTAATTTTGTTTGTAAATTTTACACTTATTCTAATTTAGGAAAATATGAGAAGGGAGTGATGAAGTACCTGCCATGATATTGTTTATAACATCTCACATCTGATGTAATTCTAAAATTCTTCCTTAGAGAGTCTATGGTCCATATAAATAAATAAGTGATATCCAAGCACACTCATTTTAATGTGAGTTTTTCACATGATATTAAAATGTTAAAAATAGATCAGTATGTAGGGCATCCAAGCATTTAATTCCTTAAATCGGAGACATGAGGAGAAAAAAATGAAAAGGAAGAAAGAAAAGAAGGAAAAGGAAGGAAGGAAGAAAAAGTTGAGTCAAGGCTGAAGCTCTGGCATCTCTAACCACTGGTCAGTAAATTCTATTGAAATTCAATAGTATAAGAGACAAACAGGCAAAAAGGATCGTGAAACCATTTCCAAATACCAAGATAAAGGAGGCTATTGACATTCAGGAACCCTGAGAACAGCTGATGTCCCATTGTAGACTTCATCCTCTTCCTTGGGTGAAAGTGTGAATAGCGCTCAAGGCAGGGAAGAAGTCTTTTCTCTGAAGGTGCTATTTATGGTGCCCTTGGCCTGGATGGGCTTTCTGGGTAGTTCCCAAGGGTATCATTTCTTTGTATTGGAAATCAGGGACCTTTGTGGGTTAGGAAAGTAGAATCAGGCCATGGCTATTGTCTTTCCCTGCTGTGTTTCACATGTAAAATTGACTCCCAGAAGAGCATCCCAGGGCCTTGTCAAGGAGTGGGGAAAATAGCAGACTGCCCTAGGGTGGAAACCTAACTGAGAGTGCAAGGGCGACTTGCAAAGCTGGGGAGAGAGAATTACTGGGAAAATCGTGCCTAGGGCAAAGCTGAATTCAAGAAATCTGACTTTTGTGATCTTCCTCTGCTGAGAATGAATGCGGCCACCTACAGCAGAGTAAGACCACAGCTTGCTTTTGAAAGTGTTGCTCTCTAGGTGGGGTGTTTGTTTGTGTGTGCCTGTCCTCTCTCAGGATTTCTAGACGGTTCATTTTCAAAGGGTCATTAACATTATTTAAATATTCATGGTGGAGGAGGGGATGAGAGACTGAAATTTCAGACATCTCAAGAGTGAGGGATGGCTGGCCACCCGCCTAATACAGCCCCAGTCTGCGGATCAGCTGCCTCCTTCCCCTCCGCTGGCTTTGTTAGCACACGCGCTCTGACACCGGGCCACCGGCTGCCACTACACGGAGGGCAGCAGGAAGGCTCTGGCGAGCCAGTGAGCTGGAAGCATCTCTGTCCACACCTCAGCCTCTGAACCCCATCGGGGGAGTCCTCAAACACGCGGAGACACCATTACTGCCACAAAGACGCACTTCGCAACCAGTTCCGGGAGTCGCTCTGACCCTGAGGACAGTCGTGGTGCTAGGTAAGGGACGAGGGGCTGTTTCCCCGCCTGAGTGGGAACTCAGCGGCTCCTGGCATTTGAGCGCACACAGGCACTCACACACTTCCACATACGCTCATGCGCACATATGTGTACACCAACACACACGTCCACATGCACACACAGCGACACGCCACCCCGCTCCAAAGCCCCGTGCGCTAACAAGTATCCATATACCCAGACACAGCGCTCCCCTGAGTTAGGAAACACTCAGCTTTGCCCGCCCCATCCATCCCTCCGTCTTTCCCTCTCTCCAGTCTCTGCATTCATTCATTTCTTCGTTTGTGCATCGATTCCGCCGAAGCCACTGAGAGGAGAAGGTGTGGGTAGATGGGGAGGGGAGGGGAGGGAGGGGCGGTCCGTGGGCGCTGGGCTACTGGAGGGGAAGCGAGGAGGCGGGGAAGGGGCGGGCCCCAGGAGCAGGCGGGCGGGGCTCCCCGCCCTCCAGCGCGCCCGGAGGCTACCACTCCCTGCAGATGCGCTGGCCCCAGCCCGGGGCTGCCGCTCGCCTTCCCCCGGAGTCTCCTGGACCCCCGGAGTCTCCTGGACCCCCGGAGCGGGAGGCAGCGGCCGCGCGGCGCTGGACTGGAGCAGAACCCCAGGACTGCGCCCCCGGGAGCGGGCGCCCAGAGGTGGGTGTCCAAGCTGGGGAGGGGAGGGGCTGGAGTGTCCTCGAGTGTGAGGAAGGGGTGGCCGAGGAAGGGGTTGCCGAGGAAGGGCTGGAAATCTGGGAGTCCTCGGAAGCACCGCGGGCTTTTAAAGGGCTTTTTGTGGTCCTTGTCGAGCGGAGCGTGTGCTGGGAGAGGGCCCGGGTGGAGGGGCTGTGGCCATGTGGATTTGAATTCCTAGGTTTGTGGGAGGGCCAAGCCTTTGGCTGCTTTGTTCAATGCTTATCATTTATATATGCTTTAAAAACTAAACGCAGGACTCCGCTTCTCCCTGTATACACACAGAGCTGGGCTGTGTGTCCTTTTCAGGAAAAGCAGTGAAATCAAATGTGGTCGTGGCCGCATCTCCTGCCCCGGGAGCACCGGGAGGTGCAGCCGTTCCTTCTAGCTCGCGAGGAAGGCGCGGGTCCTGCCTTTTGGGTGGCAGAGCCGGGGGCATTTTCGCAAGTCCTGAACTTTTCAGAGAGACTGAAGTCAGGGAGGGCCGGGCCCCGGCCCCGGTCCCGGCCCCAGCCAGAGTCTTTCGGGATAGGGTCCAGGGAGCTGAACTCAGGAGATGATGCAGGAGGAGCCAGCAGCCTCTTCTGCCCTGGGAGGGAGAACGCGGTCCGGGTCCGAGCTGAGCCAGAAGTTTGGCCTGAGGCTGGGACCTCAGCAGTTAGAATGTGGTATCTTATCCGAGATAAAGCCGGAGTTTGCGTCTCTGTGGGCCCTTCTTGGGGACACTCTGGGGTATGGGAAGAGCAGACCGTGGGGGAGAGCACTGGGCAAGCCGTACCTGTAATGTCCGTGGAGGCGACGCGCCTGCAAGAACCAGAGCAAGGAGACACTGGTGGCCCCAAGAAATCCCAGAGAAACGGAGTGGATAGGAGGGGAGTAAAACGGAGCCCGGGAGAGCCGGAAGCCCGCAGCAGGGAGCTGTGGCGCTGGTGGCCGGGTGAGGACTGAAGGCAAAGGGCGAGGCGGCGTGCAGCCGGGCTGCCGAGCTCTCCAACGCGGATGCCAGGCGCTCGCCAGCCTGAGGGATCCCTCCTGACCCACAAAGAGGGCGTCTGGGAGGTGACTCGTTTAGAGAGATGGTGGATTCCCTTTCCAGACCCAGGAAAGCCCGTTTCCCGTGTGGGGTAGCATGGGTTTGGCTCTGATAGGCTGCGTGGTCAGATCAGACTTTGACATATCACTACCCTTCCCCGTAGCAGTTTTAAATGCAGCACAGGTGATTTGGGAAGACTTCCTAAATGTATAATATTTCTTTTTGAAAAGAAACTTCACCTACTCATACGTCTATACACCTCTCTCTGTATTGCATCTTGGAATCTGTGAACAAGCCCATGTCTCCCGGGAAGCGCTCTTCTATCCCAACTCCCGTTTCACAGGCTCCTGGAGACTGCATGAATACAAACTCCTCTCACCATTGGGATCCCAGGGAATTTGCTTCCTTGTCTTTTGTTCTGATTAGAGTTCATTTAAGCATCACACTTTTCTTTCTGGAAATGTTCTTAATTTAAATTTAACTAAGCTTCCCTTTCTTCCAGTCTGGCAGCTTCCCCAACATTCATGAATACAATTTCATAATAATATGTCTAGAAATGAGGAGTATCCAGCAAGGAGTTTTACTCTGTTTCTTTAAACATAAAGACTTGGCCTAAAGAGTGTTTTAAGCAATGCTCCGCTGCCGGTTGTCTCCTCCCCAGTTTTGACCCTTGGCCCTTTCTCTGTTTTTCTTTTCTTTTCTTTTTTTTTCTTTTCTTTTCTTTCGAAGTTTTGCTCTTGTTGCCCAGGCTGGAGTGCAATGGCATGATCTTGGCTCACTACAACCTCTACCTCATGGGTTCAAGCAATTCTCCTGCATCAGCCTCCCGAATACCTGGGATTACAGGCACCCACCACCACACCCGGCTAATTTTTATATTTTTAGTAGAGATGGGGTTTTGCCATGTTGGCCAGGCTGGTCTTGAACTCCTGACCTTAGGTGATTCACCTGCCTCGGCCTCCCAAAGTGCTGGGATTACAGGCATGAGCCACCACACCCGGCCTGGCCCTTTCCTTAAAGGGCATCTTCTCCTTTGAGTGGAGGCACACCAAGTTTCCTGCAATTATCTTGGACAGCACCAACAAAATTAGTCCTGAGCCAGGGACAACAAAAGTAAGGCTGCCTGTCTCCCAGTCTTTACTTAACCAACTCTGCTGGAGAGTTCATTTCACTTTCTTTCTGGGATGCTGAGATGCTAGGATGAGAGGAATAGCTGGGCTTTGAGATGGGACAAACATTTTGAAATACTCATTATCTCATAGTTCTGGCATGACAGTTGGCACCACTTCCTGCCTGCAGAGTCTGAAGTTATTTCACTTTCATAAGTGGCTTATTCTGACTCAGTAGCCTCAGGACCTCTGGCTAATAAAGTGAAGTAGGTTGTCTTAACTTCGTTGTCAAATGAAGGGAGAATGAATCCACTGGCTTTATTTCTGAAAGTTTGAATATTTTCTTATAGAACTAACATTAAATATTACTTCCAAAAATGCAAACACTTTGGTCTTTCTAGTCATTGTAATTATTGTCTAGATAATTACAATAATCCAAACAATAACCATTACGGATTTGGTGAGCTCTTAAAATACCCATGTCCCAGATTTCTGTCACGGTTATTACCAGTCTCTGCTTATTAAGGTAATGAGAAATGTTTCAAATGAAGATGAAATTGAATTTGGATGGAGGTTGTGTTGAGGGATTTTAACAGTTGAAACAGGAGCATGCTAAAAAGTTACTTCTGAAGACCAAGGATAGACTGTTTAGTTCCAGTCTTTAGCTTTATACATGACTCAACGCCAGTAGAATTGATGCTGTATCTTGAATCAGCTTTTGGAATGATTGTTTTTTGATCTTAAGAAACATAGTACTCACTGCTTAGATTGTTGATCAGGGATTCTGTGTCAGCTATTGGAAGTTTGAAGTAATTGATTAGTATCTTGATGAGCTTCAACAATTTCAGTAAGTTTGGGTAGCAAATTGCACCCTTTTTTTTTTTTTTGAAATGGAGTCTTTCTCTGTTGCTTGGGCTGGAATGCAGTGGCGCGATCTCGGCTCACTGCAAGCTCCGCTTCCCCGGTTCACATCATTCTCCTGCCTCAGCCTCCCAAATAGCTGAGACTACAGGTGCCCACCACCACGCCCAGCTAATTTTTTGTATTTTTAGTAGAGACAGGGTTTCACCATGTTAGCTAGGATGATCTCGATCTCCTGACCTCGTGATCTGCCCGCCTCGGCCTCCCAAAATGCTGGGATTACAGGCATGAGCCATCATGCCCGGCCCACCATTTTCTTTATACTGTGCAAACTCAACACCCAGAGGCAGAATTTCTGTAAAGCTAAAAATAAAGGAACAACTTCAACTTCAGTTTCTCTCATTGGCATGAGCCTCACCCAGCAGCACTTCGGGTAGCTTGGGCCTCAGGGAAGAATGTTACCATGGACCATGATGGGAGTTAAGGTAATCCATATACATGTATATCTTACTTTGTAAAATAATCCCCTCTATGAACATGTAAGACTACTGTTCACAATTTGGACATTTTCCTTTCAAACACATTTTTCATGAATATATTATAGGAAAGTTAAAACCATCTCTATTCTAAAAGGAAAATCTACCATTTGGCTCAGAGAGAAAGTTACTGAGTTTGTCTATGTGATTTTAAGTAGTATTTGATTAGAGTATTAAAGAAATGGGGTACTTCAAGTAACATAACACCTGATATTTAAATCTAAGTTTTAAAAATGTATTTCACCCATTGTTAATGAAAGTGTTTCTAAGATGTAACCCCTGGTTAGCTATTCCGTCTTCTTGCCTTGATGGGTTGACTGGTGGTGAATGTGCTGTTGTCATTCCATTGACAGTTCGGGATTTTGTGGTGGTCTCAGCATATTAGCATAGATGTGAGTTGTAATTTTATAGGATTATGGAACTGTAATTGTGGAACTCCTGCAGGGCAGACTCTGGAGGCTAGCTTTTTAGAAAACTGAAACCTCCAGTATAAACTTAATTTCTGTCATTTGCCCCATTTTCTTGAAAGTTAAGTGCCAGAAAAGAAAAGGATCGAGTCTCTCTTTTCTTTCTACAATAAAACAGAATATACTTTCTCCAGGGTTTGGTGGTGGGTTCCTTTTTCCTGTTGAGGTGGATTCTGAGATTGAGGAGGGGCTGGAGAAGACAGAGCATGAGGGAAAGAGACTGAGAACATACTCAGGCTGCCCTCGCCTCCTTTTCCCTTTCGTGCTCCTGTCTCCCATCTAGGAGGACCAGGGCTACCAGTCCTTGTGGGGACAAGTTTGAGTAGGATCAAGAGACATGTAACTGCGCCAGGCGCGGTGGCTTACACCTGTAATCCTGGCACTTTGGGAGGCTGAGGCAGGTGAATCACTTGAGGTCAGGATTTGGAGACCAGCCTGGCCAACATGGTGAAACCCTGCCTCTACTAAAAGAATACAAAAATTAGCCAGGTGTGGTGGCAGGTGCCTGTAATCCCAGCTACTCGAGAGGCTGAGGTAGGAGAATTGATTGAGCCTGGGAGGCAGAGGTTGCAGTGAGCCGAGATGGAGCCACTGCACTCCAGCCTGGTGACAGAGCAAGAACTCTGTCTCAAAAAAAAAAAAAAAAAAAAAGAAAAAAAGAAAGAAAGAAAGAAAAAGAAAAAAAGAGACATGTAACGGGAATTTGTTCCCATCTTGGTGACAGTTTCAGAGTGCCCCGCATAGGCCGTGCAACTGGAGAAGGTGCCCTGTGGAGGCAGAATGCTGCTGCTGGGGTCCTTAACCAGGCAGAGGTTGGATATGAAGATGAGATGATGTAGCTTCTTTTGAGTAGGTTTGAGGGGTTGGGTTTTTTGTTTGTTTTTTCTTCTAAGCCTTGGAAGGATGCATGAACTCGTTGAAGGGGGTGTGACATGAATGCCAGGGAAGGAGAGAGACCTGTGGAACTTACTGGGGAAGGCCACTATGCTTTGAACCCTTCTTTTTTCTTAGATATGGGCAGGGGCTTTGTGGTTGTTTTTGATGCCTGATTGGAGCAGATGGGGTGGCAAGGCCAAATACGCAGATATTGTGGTGCGCCCTTTATCCAGAACCAGGGCATGGCCAAAGCACCCTAGTGCCTCAGCCAAGTTCTCTGTGAGATCTTGGTCTGTCACATAAACAAAATCTTAGTTCATTCATCTATAAAAATGGAGATACCAGGCTGGGCATGGTGGCTCACGCCTATAATCCCAGCACTTTGGGAGGCCGAGGTGGGTGAATCACCTGAGGTCGGGAGTTCGAGACCAACCTGACCAACATGGAGAAACCCGGTCTCTACTAAAAATATAAAATTAGCCGGGTGTGGTGGCGCATGCCTGTAATCTCAGCTACTCAGGAGGCTGAGGCAGGAGGATCGCTTGAACCCAGGAGGCAGAGGTTGCGGTGGGCCGACATGGTGCCATTGCACTCCAGCCTGGGCAACAAGAGTGAAACTCTGTTTCAAAAAAAAAAAATACCAAAACCTACCTGTTCAAAACTTGTGTAAAATCAGATGGTTATGGAAGCACCTTGTACATGTATTCCTCCTAAAGTTGGTTGTTCTTAAATTAACCAAAGCCTTCTTTCATCTTCATTACAGATGCAAATGATAAGTAAATAGTTTTTAAATTAATTATTTTTATTATTATTTTTTGAAACAGGGTCTCACTCTGTCACCCAGGCTGGAGTGCAGTTGTGTGATCATAGCTCACTGCAGTCTCGAACTTCTGGGCTCAAGTGATCCTCTTGTCTCAGCCTCTTGAGTAGCTGGGACTACAGGTGCATGCCACCATGCCTGGCTGTTTTTCTATTGTTTGTAGAGACAGGGTCTCACTACATCGACCAAGCTGGTCTTGAACTTCGGGGCTCAAGCAGTCCTCCCACCTCGGCCTCCCAAGCAGTTCCACAATTACATTCCCAAAGTGCTGGGATAACAGGCATGAGCCGCCATGTGCTGGCCTAAAGTTAACACTTAAAATGCTAGCAATTGTGCAGCAGATCAATTGTTCATCCTTCACACTGATTAAGTAGCTTTGAACATGGAAATTCTCTAAGCCTGACTGCCCCCCGCCCCTACCCGCCAGCTGCCATTCTCACCCCTGAAGCACTTGCACTATTGAGAATTCTTCTATTTTTCATTAGTTGATCCTTCTTTAAGCTTTGAGTAATTCAGGAATTGGTCTTCATTGGGACAATGGACCGCAATTTTCAGAACCATAATCCTAGTTTTTTAGTTTTTTTTTTTAAATTTTTATTTATTTATTTATTTATTTTTTGAGACAGAGTTTTGCTCTTGTTGCCCAGGCTGGAGTGCAGTGGCGCAATCTCAGCTCACAGCAACCTCCACCTCCTGGGTTTAAGCCATTCTCCTGCCTCAGCCTCCTGAGTAGCTGGGATTACAGGCGTGTGCCACTGTGCCCGGCTAATTTTTGTATTTTTAGTAGAGGTGAGGTTTCACATGTTGTCCAGGCTGGTCTCAAATTCCTGACCTCAGGTGATCTGCCCACCTTGGGCAATCCCAAAATGTTGGGATTACAGGCATGAGCCACCACGCCTGGGGAAGGGGCCTCTTTTGGTGAAAAGGCAAGGGCACTACTCCTATTCATTAGTGTTCTACGCTTACGACCTAATCACCTCCCAGAGGACCCACCTCCTCATTCCATTGTATTGGGAATTAGTCTTCAAAATATGAATTTTAGGGAGACACAAACATTCAGACCCTAGCAGGGACCCTGGAAAGGATTCTCATTGTGCAGAGTATGGATAAACAGTGATGCTAGGGCAGTTTTTCCAGGGTTGTCAGAAAGGGCTGAACTAGAAGTTTCCCCACTGTGCCTGGAGTGCCCTGGGTTGGTTGAGTGTAGGGTTTCGAAGATAATTTTGTCAGGACTCTTTAGTTTTTAGTCTTTTATGAGTTAGAAGAGTGTGCATATGTAACTGCCACCATACCACAGCAAGTTCCAGCAAGAGAGAGGATTCCTCAGGTGGCCATCCTATCCAAACTCCATGGCTCTTTCCAGGGCGTTTGTGGGAAACCTGTGGGGCTAGGACTGAGCTAGACTTTTTCAGTAGCTGAGACTGGTCCTGCAGACCCATGAAAGGTGCCATGCCGTCACCCAGTAGGGGGCAGGGAGGGACCCTCATTTGCCCCTCTTCCCGCCCAACAGTTGCCTGACTTCAGCCTTAATGCATAGCTCATCCAGAGTCCTCCTGAGCTCCCACCTGGTGAGGTGTGTGTAGAAGGTGTGAGGAAGGCCAAACCACATTTTCCTGGCAGTGGTTAACTGACCGTTTTCAGCCCGCCTCCCAGTGCAGCTGACTGCGTCAGCTTACATTACCGTGATGTCATTCCCATGGTGGGATAATATAGCATCTTACTTTGTCTGGAGTGGTGCCTCCCATAAGTTTTTTGATACCGCCTACAAATGGAGAAAGACATCATTGTTTAGCCATTTTTATTTGGGTGGGTTGGAGGAATGACTTTCCCAAAGGAATAAATCTTAGTTAATATTCCAGAAAATTCAAGTACTTTTCAACCCTAATTGAAAGGCACTCTGTGTGCGTGAATTAAAATCAAGGTGGAGTCCATGTGCCATGTGCTGTGTGATTCTAAAGCCATATTTTAGCTTGGCCTATTAGTATTTTGCATCAGAACATTTTATACTTGCAAAGGTTAGCAAGAATTTTCCTCAGACACATTACAGATGAGCAGAATTTATTCATTTTGGGGGAAAAAATGAACAGACTGTATTTGGAAACTTAGATCATATCCAAAGCACTTGATGATTCCTGTTTGGAATCATTTTTCCTTCAAAGAATAGTTCAGATCAGTGTTAAATGCAGGGCAGAGATGGACTCAAGAGTGGGAGGCATTGCTTTTGAATGGAATCACAATGTGTATATCATTTTAAGTATTATTTTTATGGTATGTTTCATTATCAAAACCATCTATAGCCTCCAAAGGATGACAGGTGTTATAGTGTGAGTGGCGTAGAGGGTGTTGAGATAGAGGAATGAAAAGAGAAGAGATCGTTCCCTTTCCACTCACCATTCATAGAGGAACTAAGTTTTACCTTCTAGGGAATTCCCTGTAATTCCCAGGGACGCCTTGTCCTTGCGGTTCCCAGGCAGGATGGTAGGAGGAGCTAAGTGGGAGGGAATTAATATTTCTTGAGTGTCGGCTGGTAAGTTGGTTGCTTTACCTCCACTTTTTTAGAGACAGGGTCTCTCCGTGTCACCCAGATGGAGTGCAGTGGTGTGATCATAGCTTACTGCAACCTTGAACTCCTACCTACACTATTTTACTTAATCTTTATAGTCACCAGCATTTTTCAAATGGAGATACTGAGACATTTGGAAGTCACATAACCATCCAGGGGTCCCACAGCTACATAATGTCAGGTCAGTTTTCCTACCCAGCTCCTTCTCTGTTTTTTTTTTTTTTGTTTTTTTGTTTTTTTTTTTGCAACAGAGACTCGCTCTGCCATGCTGGAGTGCAGTGGCGCCATCTCAGCTCACTGCAACCTCTGCCTCCCCGGTTCAAGCGATTTTCCTGCCTCAACTTCCTGAGTAGCTGTGTCTACAGGCGCGTGCCACCACGCCCGGCTAATTTCTTGTATTTTTAGTAGAGACGGGGTTTCACTGTGTTAGCCAGGGTGGTCTCCATCTCCTGACCTCATGATCCGCCTGCCTCGGCCTCCCAAAGTGCTGGGATTACAGGTGTGAGCCACCACGCCCAGCCCTCTCCTTTTCTTACTAAACCAGTGCTGTAGGGGCTTGCTACTCCAAGTGTGGTCTGGGGACCTGCAGCATTCCTGTCATCCAGGAGCGTGTTAAAACTAGAGTATCCTGAGCCCCATCCCAGACCTACTTAATCAGAATCTGCATTTTAGCAAAATCCCTAATGAGTCCTGAGCATGTTACTGTGTGAGGAAGCTCTGCTTAGAGGAGGAAAGTCTGACAATTACAACTATGCATCCTGGCCAAGACTCAGGACTTGAATCCATGGACTGGACCCGAAACATTGGTCTATCTCAGTGAGGGAGGAAGGGTGCTACTAGAATCTGATGGGTAGAGACCAGGGATGCAGCTAAACGCTCTATAACACACAGGACACCCCCTTCCACCAACAAAGAATTATCCTGCACAAAATATCAATGGTGCCAATGTTGAAAAACCCTGGTCTAATTGTCTAGATGTAGAATTCACATCCTGTAGATATGTTTCGTAGCCTCAGATGTATGCAAATCTCTAGGAAGTAGATCTTAAAGGAGTTGATACAAATTGCAGTGTGCTATGCAAATGGGAATATTTTTATTGGGACTTGAAAAGAGAAAAAGAGCTTAAACTGAAGCATGAAAGATTTCCATTAGAGTTTTGAGAGTGTCAGACTCTCAAACAATAATATCAGGGATGCAGTGGAAAAGTTTCTAAGCATGTACTGAGTACCCACCATTGAGGGTGCTACAAGGCAACATTCCCTCCCATTCCCAATCCTGCCTGGCAACAGTGCCTTCTGTTTCTTCATTTTATTCCTAAGACTTGCCCTGGCCTTTGTCCTACCTTTCCGTTCTCAAGCAGGATATGCTGGGTCAGTTGTGCCACCTGGAGGCTGGGGGAGGAACGCAAATAATGAATAATTGGTAAAGGGAACCAAAGCGCTGTTTCTACCATCTTTTCCTCCCTGCCTGCGTGGATCCACACCTCACTGTTTCTTACTCAACTCCTTCAATGCCACGACACT
Source organism: Homo sapiens (assembly GCF_000001405.40). NCBI lineage: Eukaryota > Metazoa > Chordata > Mammalia > Primates > Hominidae > Homo > Homo sapiens. The sequence continues at coordinate 110,058,680 of NC_000009.12, forward strand.
GTAGCCACTTCCACTGGTGGACACATATCCTCTCTCCCTCCTTCCTTCCCATTCTCTTTAGATCCTGGCCCAGAACATCTGAAAAGATCTGTCCTCCCTCCCCTGTCTCTCTCCCTTTTTTTCTTCTCTTTCTTCCTTTTCTGAGCTGAACAGCAACCTGTATCAATACTGGGAAGTAAAATGAGTATGCTTATTGTATACTGATGGAAAGTTTTTTGGTTTTTTTTTTTTTTTTTTTTGAGATGGAGTCTTACTCTGTTGCCCTGCTGGAGTGCAGTGGTGCAATCTCGGCTCACTGCAACCTCCGCCCCCTGGGTTCAAGCGATTCTGCTGCCTCAGCCTCCCTAGTAGCAGGGATTACAGGCATGTGCCACCACGCCCACGTAATTTTTGTATTTTGGGTAGAGACAGGGTTTCACCATGTTTGCCAGGCTGGTCTCAAACTCCTGACCTCAAGTGATCCGTCTGCCTCGGCCTCCCAAAGTGCTGGGATTACAGGTGTGAGCCACCGCGCCCAGCCGATGGAAAATGTTTTGAAGTGAAATTATATCCAATAAAGAGCTCCTGTCATTCATCCAGTTGTGAGAGTCCCTTTGAGAGTTGCCAGAAATGTCTGCTGTCTTGTTTTTACTCTTAAATTAACTTGCTCTTTCTCGAAGTACAGAATTCTAAAACAGAGTTGGTGTTTTTGTTGTTGTTCTATTATGTCCTCCTGCTTTCTTTAGTTGTTGGTACTAGAATAGTCATTTTCTACTACTTTTTCATGGACATTATCCTTGAAATAGGTTATTCTAGACAAGTTTTGGAACCCAAACTGGATTTAAGACCAAGGCATTCCAAGAAAAATAAAATCTTTTTGCAATTTCTATGCATCATCTTTTTATAACTTTCATTCTCCTTTGCAAAGGAAATGTGGGGCTGTGGATGTGAAAGGAGGTGGGGGCAGTGACCGGCCAGCTGCAGAACATTCAAGCCTGGCCTTTGGACTCAGAGACTAGGGCAGAAGAAGCCAGAGTGCTAGGCTTCTGGCCAGAGTGGAATGTGTCTTCCCAGGAGTGGGAAGCCTGTGTTTTTCCACCTTACCATCTGATCTGCTCCAGAGGGCTCTGCATTAGAAAAATAGGGAGCTATGGGGAATGACTAGGGGGTGGAGATCATGAGAGCAGTGTCTATGGAGGATTATCAGTTATGCTCAGAAAGGGAAGATTTGGCACCTGGTCATCGATTTTTAGTACAGTAATTGTCTTGAGAAAAGTATTTGAGAATCAATATTAGAAACAATTTTTAAAATATATCAGTCTTAAAGGTACATAAATGAGAGGAAGAAAATCAGAGATCAGGGTGTCTGCAAGATGGTCTACTAGGCTTTTTATTATTGTAATTTGTGATTGAATGCCCTCTGTGGGGCCAGGTATTTTGTTTTTGTTTTTGTTTTTGTTTTTGTTTTTGTTTTAGATGAGTCTTGCTGTGTTGCCCAGGCTGGAATGCAATGGTGCGATTTCGGCTCACTGCAACCTCCGCCTCCTGTGTTTAAGCGATTCTGTTGGCTTGGCCTCCCAAGTAGCTGAGACAACAGGTGCGCACCACAACATCCGGCAAATTTTTGTATTTCTAATATTCACCATGTTGGCCAGGCTGGTCTCGAACTCCTGACCTCAAGTGATCTGCCCACCTTGGCCTCCCAAAGTGCTGGGATGGGCCAGGTAATTTTATTTTAGCCTGACAACTACTCTTTGGGGTCCTTGGATAGTTTTTAATTCCATTTTGAAGATGGAAAAGTGAGATGAATTGGTCAAGGTCAGGCCCACAGGCCCTATTTTTTTCCCCTTGCATTGTTACTGTGCTGGGTGACAACTGGTGCTGAGACAGCTGCTGTCTCCATCACTCTCATGAGGAAAGAGGGTCAACAGGTCCAGGAGTTTTTGTTTGTTTGTTTGTTTTAGATGGAATCTCACTCTGTTGCCCAGGCTGGAGTGCAGTGGCGCGATCTCGGCTCACTGCAACCTCCGCCTCCTGGGTTCAAGCCATTCTCCTGCCTCAGCCTCCCGAGTAGCTGAGACTACAGGTACATGCCACCAGGGCTAGCTAATTTTTGTATTTTTGGTAGAGACGGGATTTCGCCATGTTGGCCAGGATGGTCTCCATCTACTGACCTTGTGATCCACCCGCCTCAGCCTCCCAAAGTGCTGGGATTACAGCAGGAGTTTTTACTCTAAATATTAAGTTAAGCTTACAAGTTAAGCTACTTGTAAGCTGTCTGAAGGTCTATTTCCCTGACTTTGCAGTTCCTTAATTTTGAAGGCAATCTCTGCCTGTATGTCTTCTTCCTTAGAGACCTTTGTCCCGTTAAGGTAACCTCCTCTCCCAGCCCACACCTTCTAAAGTACCTTGTCACGTCTCATGAACTCCACAAGGGTCCTCTTGGGCATGATAATGTGTGTCACCTCTTGCAAGATCCACTAAACCCTCTTTGCCACAAGTTATGCTTTTCAAAGTCCGCCTGAAAATATGCTAACAAGAATCATTGTACAACTGACTTGCAAATACTTGAACAAATACAAATTAACAATTACTGCAGCTTTATGAAGAATGCATCCAAACCAAGGACAGAGTGGAGGAAGACATAATACAATGTATGGGTACAATTTAATAAAACCTTGAACCTTTAACATGGGCCCATTTTCATGCATGCATTGTGATCAAGTTTTGTTCAGAAGGGTGTAACTTAACTTTGAAAAAAACTATACATTTTTATGTGTTTTCAGTGAGTTTAACCTTCCATAAGCACAGATACTCTGTTATAAAAGTGAGTTTAAGCTGCTTCTTGATAATGAATGTTGACTGAAAGTCAGGCCCTATTTCCAGTGTCATATGTGGATTGTCATATTTAACCCCCGTAACAACCTTTGATAGAGATACCATTATTTTATATATATATATAAAATATATATATTTATTTATATATATATGTGTGTGTGTACATATATATATGTGTACAACAGGTACACACCACCACGCCTGGCTAATTTTTGTATTTTTAGTATAGATGGGGTTTCACCATGTTGGCCAGGCTGGTCTCGAACTCTTGAGCTCCAGTAATCTGCCTGCCTCGGCCTCCCAAAGTGCTGGGATTATAGGCATAAGCCAACATGCCAGACAAATATTATTATAATTTTTTGTTACAGATGAAGAAACAGACACAAGGGTTTAGGGCAAGGGTACACAGCTAGTGGCAAAGCCAAGCTTGGAATCCCTATAGGCTAGTGGTTAGAGACAGTCTCTTAATCATTCCTGTTTTTACTATGCTGCCTTCTTAGTGCTTAATACAAACTAAGCTTGTTGTCTCCTTTTACTATGGTTGGGGGTATAAATCTCAGTCCATAAACAAAGGCTTACAAAAAAATAGCATTAAAAAAATTTTATTTTAAGTTCCAGGATACATGTGCAGGACCTACAGGTTTGTTACATAGGTAAACGTGTGCCATGGTGCTTTGCTGCACCTATCAACCCATCACCTACATATTAAGCCCTACATGCATTAGCTAGTTATCCTGATGCTCTCCCTCCCCACCCCCTCCAAGAGGCCCCAGTGTGTGTTGTTCCCTTCCCTGTGTCCATGTATACTCATTGTTCAGCTCTCACTTGTAAGTGAGAACATGTGGTGTTTGGTTTTCTGTTGCTGCATTAGTTTGCTGAGGATAATGGCTTTGAGCTCCATTCATGTCTCTGCAAAGTACATGATCTCATTCCTTTTTATGGCTGCATAGTATTCCATGGTGTATATGTACCACATAAAAAATAGCATTTTAAAACTTATGTAAATTAATTTTATCTCCAAGCCTTCAATCTGTCCAACTATAAGAAAATGTACCCCATTATTTTTAGACACACCCACCCTAGGATTACCTGCAGGACCTAAGGTTTTAGAATGTGCTAGGTTGTGGGAAGTGGTCCATCCAACACCTATCTACAATGGTTTCAACAGTGATTTCTAGCACATGTGTTATATTAGTTTGCTAAGGCTGCCATAGCAAAGTACCACAGCCTGGGTAGTTTAAACAACAGAAATCTATTTTCTCATATAGTTGTAAAAGGAAGTTAAATTTTGGGACCCCAAACTCATTTAGCCAAAGGGAAAAGTCAAGCTGAGAACTGGGTCACGCAAACCTGCCTCCCCTCTTTGGTTCCTAAATAAGATGGCTACAAGATGAAAAAATACCTGCCTTCCCTATATTTTGCCCACAGGGAAATTCCTGGTGAGCTGTTAAAACTTCACCATGGCAATGCAAATTGATAGTTTATCTTATACAGGCGCAGTCACCCAGGCCCTGCCAGACTCAAAAGCATATCTGATTGTTCCCCTACCCCATTTTGTCTGTGCTATCTTATGTAAAATGCAGATTCTCCACATTTTTTCCTCTGCCCCTTTTGTTTATGTGAAAACTGTGTGCTTCTCAATATCCCACCTTTTCTCCTTTAAATTTGGAATCCTCAAAATCATCTCTGGAGAAAGGCATACATCTGTCTCCCAGGCATGTTCTTAACTTTGGCAAATAAATCTAAAATGATTGAGATTTGTCTTGTCATTTTCTTCCATTGACAGAGGCTAGAAGACCAAGATCCAGGTGTTTGCAGGGTTGGTTGCTTCTGAGGGCTGTGAGGAGAGGTTCTGTTCTAGGTCTTGGCTTGTAGATGGGTGTCTTCTCCCAGTGTCTTCACATGGTCTCTCCTCTGTGTATGTATCTGTGTCCAAATTTCTATTTTTTTTTTTTTTTTTGAGACAGAGTTTCACTCTTGTCACCCAGGCTGGAGTGCAATGGCACGATCTCAGCTCACTGCAAACTCTGCCTCCCAGGTTCAAGTGATTCTCCTGCCTCAGCCTCCCAAGTAGCTGGGATTACAGGTGCCCACCACCACGCCCAGCTAATTTTTTTTTGTATTTTTAGTAGAGACAAAATTTCACCACGTTGGCCAGGCTGGTCTTAAACTCCTGACCTCAAGTGATCCACCCACGTTAGCCTCCCAAACTGCTGGGATTACAGGCGTGAGCCACCACGCTTGGCTCAAATTTCCTCTTCTGTAAGAACACCAGTCATATTAGACTCATCCACTCTAAAGACTTCATTTTAATTTAATTACCTCTTTAAAGACCCTGTATCCAAATACCATCACACTCAGAAGTATTGGGGGTTAGGGCTTCAACATAGGAAGTGGAGCAAGGGTTGGGGTAGGGGTGCACACAGTTCATCCCATTTGAGGCTCTTTACCAGTTCATGCAGGCATGGGACAGGTCAGGGAAATCCTTGGTAAGTCTGGGAACCTGGAGCCCCTCTTCTCTGAAGCCTTGCCAGTTCCCTTAGGAGCTTCCACGGACCAAAGTGAAACACCCAGGGGTGGAGGGGGTAAGGAGCTTTTCTAGAACACCTTGCAAATCTTGTTGATGGCTTAGATGTTTACAAAACTCTAGAAAAATCTTATCTCCTTGATATGAGATCCTGGAAGCAAGGAGTTAAAAGCCTGGCTGCCTACCTAAGGAGGAGGAGGAAGGAGTGGAAGTAAACGAAGACATTGATTATGATAGAAAAAATGTTAATAGAAGGCGATTTTTGGAAGCCAAAGAGAAAATTCAGCTTGAATCCCCTAGTAGTGTGTATGCTCATCTTCCCAAGACGGAAGTGCCTCTCCTGTCCGACCTCCTAGCCCAGCCTCGGTCTGGAACACATTGGGTCCTAGGCACCCAGCAGTGAATTGGCTCAGAAAGTGTTTGAGGGCTCAAGTGAGTCCAGGAACGATGGCTCACGCCTGTAATCCCAGAACATTGGAAGGCTGAGATGCGAAGATTGCTTGAAGCCAGGAGTTCAAGCCTGTGTAGTTAGTGGTATGTCCTCAGCAGAAGCCACAGGACTGTGATTTGAAGAGAAGGATATGGGGTTGAACTGCTTCTTACTGCCACGGCAGCTCTCTGGCCCCGGAACTGGGGCAGTTCCTTCATTGTCCCACCTCTGTCATCGCAGGAATCCCAAGCTGTCACACTTCTCAGTATTGTTTCCTTTGCAATTTGATGTGGACTTGGCACATTTCCAAGGTGGAAACGACCCCTCATTCATTATTTTTGGGACCTCGGTGGCCCCGTGATAAGGGAAATGATGGATGCCTGGACTTGTCTTCTGGCATTGCGCACCAGATATCAGGGCCCTCCACAGGACCAGCCTATGAGACAGGAAGAGGCTGAGGTCTTAAAGACATACTTTCTTGGGAGTTTGATGTTTCCTCTTGCTTCCACAGCTGTCAGAAAGGGCTTGTTCTGAGGGTGACCTGCAGGTTGCAAGGCTGTGGAAACATAGCAGTGACAGCGTTGAATGGCTTGTCCCCATCAGTAAGCTTTGGTGTCACACCAGCCGGATGACTTTCTGGTGGAGGGCCAGCTTCCTGCACTTCCGTGACAGCAGCCTGACAGCCCCATGGAGGCATGGCTGTAGACATTAAGACATTTCTGTAGACATTTGTTCTAGTTGTTGTCCTTTTTTGTCTGTTATTTATTATTTATTTATTTATCATTATTTATTTAGAGACAAGGTCTCACTCTGTCACCAGGCTAGAGTGCAGTGGTGCAATCATGGCTTATTACAACCTTGATCTCCTGGGCCCAAGCGATACTCCCACCTCAGCCTCCTGAGAGGCTGGGACCACAGGTGTGCACCACAATGCCTGGCTAATTTTTAAATTTTCTGTAGACAGGGTCACACCATGTTGTCCAGGCTGGTCTCAAACTCCTGAGCTCCAGCGATCCTCCCACCTTGGTGTCCCAGAGTGTGGGGTCTTAGGTGTGAGCCATCGTGCCTGCCCTGTTTTTCATTTTAATTGTGTGACATAAAATGTAAAATGTACCCTCTAAACCATTTTTTAGTGTCCAGTTTTGTGGTATTAAGTACATTCACATTATTGTGCAACCGTCCCCACCATCCATTCACAGAACTCTTTCAACTTGCAAAACTGAAACTGTATGCATTAAGCAATAACTATCCCTTCCTTCTTTCCTCTTCCCCAGCTCTTGGCAACCACCATTCTACTTTCTGTCTCTATGAAGTTGTCTACTCTAGTAACCTCATATAAGTGAAATCACGTATTTGTCTTTCTGTGACTGGCTTATTTCACTTAGCATAATGTCCTCAATGTTTATCCATGTTATAGCATGTGTCACAATTTCCTTCCTTTAAAAAAATTGAATAATGTCCCATTGTGTTTATATGCCACATTTTGTATATCCATTCATTCATTCGATACTTGGGTTGCTTCCACCTTTTGTCTTGCCCTTGTTTTTGAGAGGTTAATCCATCTATGAGGTCCTCCAGGCATCAAAAGAGTTCCCCAGTTCCCTACTTTGGAGAAGTTCACTATCCCTAGCAAAGATGCAAAGAACAGATACATGAAAAAGTAAATCATGGTGCAAAAGTTGTATGAGACAACACTTTAAGATGTATCCTATGAGCGTAGGTGTAGATTTGCAAAATGGCTGGTGTGGAGTTTCTGGAAGAGGATGGCTTAGAGAGAGTATGGACTTAAAGCAGAGTTAAGGAGCCCAAGCTGAAATCCTGGCTTTGTGACTTCCTGTCCTTGTCACTTTGGGTGAATTATTGAACCTTTGTAAGCTTTAGTTTCCTCATCTGTAAAACGCAGATAATAGTACTTACCTCATAGAGTTGTTGAGAGGATTAAGTGAGTAAATGTAAGTAAAAGATGGGCGTGGTGATTCATGCCTGTAATCCCAGCACTTTGGGAGGCTAAGGCAGGAGGATTACTTGAACCCAGAAGTTCTAGACCAGCCTGGGCAGCATAGTGAGACCTTGTCTCTAAAAACAATTTAAAAACTTAGCTGGTCATGGTGGTGCACACCTGTAGTCCTGGCTGCTTGGGAGGCTGAAGTGGGAAGATCCCTTGAGCCCAGGAGTTCTAAGGTGGCAGTGAGCTATGATCACAACACTGCACTCTAGCCTGGGGAACAGACCAAGACATTGTCTCTTAAAAAAAAAAAAAAGTAGGTAAAGATTGAAACAGGCTGGCACACGGTTAGAACTCAGTACTAAAATATAAAGGAGATAACATATTGCCCACTAACATTTTGGCTATTTTTAATATATTGTTCTTGTCTTTTTAATGACCACAGATACTCTTTAGTATCTGTTTGCTGCAGTTTTTGCAGGTATTCATGATGCCTGTTATGCCTTTCCTATTTTACCTCCTTTTCAGATTATGATAGTTTTAGCAAAGAAGTATTCAGTTCTAGAGACTCATTATCAAGGAAAGAGAGAGCTCTTCATTTGGTTTTATCAGATAATAGATAATAATAAATATGGCCTGGCTTTCTTTGCACTGGGAAGATAGAGAATGAGGAAGGAGAATGACTATTAGTCATTCTAACGTTAGTCTGTTTTATCGAACTGAGGAGGGAGTTAGCTTTCTCCAACTCTGGGCAGATTACCGAGAGTAGGATGCCAGGTTACATTCTCTTGGGAGAACAGTGCTATCATGGCTGATCTCTCAATTAAGGACTTCATATTTAGATTATTTAAATCTCAAATATTGAAATACTCTCATTTTTCTAACAATGATAATTAAGAAAACTTTGTAAAGTTACAAATAAAGTGAAATTGAAAAGGTTTGCTGAATGAAGTATTTTACTATTGAAAGGTCTTCTAGAATGTAAGTTTCAAACACATCGTCTGGTTGGTGCATTACTTAATCTATTCCTGTTTGGCTGCTGCTTGGTATTTCCCACGCAGGAGTTCATTGACTTCAAGGCAATTGAATGCATTATTAGCCAGAAGAAGAAAACATGTGAGTCTCCTTCACCCAACAATAGATTTTTTAAAATACATTGTGCACAGTCCTCTTAAAAAAGGCATCAATGGCAGGTGGGTGTGAACAGAGGAATTTCCTCCTCCACCCTGGCTGTTGCTGAGCTGTAAGCTGTAAACATTGTGAGAGACAAAAAGTATCAAGGTCTCAACTTTCTTTCGGATATTGCTTTGTATTTCTGTTTACTAGTATGAATGAAAATTTTCCTGAAAATGCTGGCTAAAACTGAATTTTGGTGTTGTCTTTCTAATGGAATTTCTGATCAACAATTTCCTTTATGTTGGCAATTGCTTAATCTGCTGAAGTAGGTAAGGTAGTTGTGCTGCCTTAAAATTTATTTTTATATTTGTCATTAAAAACAAACATGAAACTTGGAGGTTAATTTTGTCTGTTTAAATTTTGATGCTTTCATTTTGACAAAATCTTTTAAGAATAATGACGAGGCTGCAGTGATTGAAATACAATTTGTGTGGCTTTTAGGCAAGTGAGCATTTAGCAAGTAAGAATTTCCCAGATTGGGTTTAGAGTTGTATTTGCTTATGTTCCAAACTCTTTTTTTTTTTTTTTTTGGTAAGATAATTTTGAATATCAGTAGAACTTGGGGCAGATAGAATGACAGAACATGGAATGTGTAATCCTTTTGGGATTTGTATCTTAGTTAAGTAAACTTTCATGATGGATTAAGGAGGACAAAGTCTCCAGCAGATTTCACTTGGCTGATTTTGTTTTTCTGTTCTTTTTCTGTTTTCCTGATGAGGCTTCTGTACTTCTCCCTTTAAGGAGGCAACTGAATAGCATGAAAATAAGGGGTATGGGTGGTGGTAGTTGCTGAGGGGAATGACAATGGATTTGGTAACACAGCATGCTAATATCATGCAAATAATGAGATGATATAGGAATCTCTGCTCTAGTGGTGGGTCTGAGGTTTGCTCTAGTGGTGGGTCTGAGGTTTTCTCTACTGAGGGCAAAATTGGAGCTTTTTTAAAAAAAAAAAAAAATTTAATTTTTTTTTGAGACAGGGTCTCCTTCTGTTGCCCAGGCTGGAGTGTAGTGGTGCCATCACAGCTCACTGCAGCCTCCATCTCCCCCAGGCTCAAGCGATCCTCCCACCTCAGCCTCCCGAGTAGCTGAGACCACAGGTGTGCGCCACCATGCCTGGCTAATTTTTAAATTATTTTGTAGAGAGAGAGTCTTGCCTTGTTGCCCAGACTGGTCTCGAACTCCTGGCCTCAAGTGATCCTCCTGCCTTGGCCTCCCAAAGTGTTGGGATTATAGGCATGAGCTGCCACACCCAGCCTGGAACTTTCTTAAAAGAGAACTTCTTTCTTGGTTTGCCACACCTCTGGGTTAACAAGGTGCCAGAGATAATTAGCCCTTGATTGGGAGAATGTGGGACTGTTCACTATGGAAGGATCTTACAGTATAGAAATGAAACCCTAGTGTAGGAAGGGAGCTGACATTTTTCAGTGTTACCTTGACTTAATTTGCAAAATGTTTTATTTTCTGAAGCCACAGTGTAATTCACAGATGCACCAAGATCAAAGGTCTCTAAGAAGAAGAGGTTGTGGGGAAAGAGCCCAGTAGAGGTAGGGAGGCCACAATGAACCCATTGAGTTATTCCACCTGTCAAAACCTTGGTTTTGTAAACTGCAAAATAGGACCAGTAATACCTATGATTAGCTGCTGCTGTTACGAATTAAGTTCAGTAACAAGTCCGACATGGCTGGCGCATGCTGTTTTCAATAAATATAAATTCTGCTCCCAACCATTCAACATCAAATGAGTTGATCTGCAAAAAGTGTTTTGAAAACTACAGATACTAATTTTCATTTGTGTATGCCTGTTAGTTGACTTCAAAACATTTGTTTGTCCCAGGAACAGAAGAGAAATATCCTTTGATCATGAGACAGGTTCATTTTTAGTATGTTAAGGCCACTCCATGTCATTCTTGTGGCTTGTTAATGTGGTTAATTGAAACCCTTCCATATTCTTGATGGGGCAGAACCTTCAGCTGTTTTCATGTTCATGTTCAGGGGTGTAAATTTCTAGACGATCTTGTGGGCCTCTGTCAGCTCTGAGATTAAATGACGTGTGCATTTGCTTATCGGATTCTTAACTCTAAAACCCTGGGATGAGGACTAGGAAGGAGAACCAGGAGGCGCTGAGGGAACAACAGCTTCCACATGGCCCATCTGCTTTGCAGAACCTGTGTCTTTGGGGTACAAGTGAGCTGGAGGTGGAGCTGCAACAGAGTGAGTCCCCGTGGTCAGTCACATGCACCGGCTTCCGCCTGGTATGATTTATCAGCAGTGATGCAAACATGATTCAGAGATAGTTTTATAAGAATTTTTACTTCGGTTAAATCATAATCAGGCGGCTATTTCCGTTTTTCTAATGTCACTTGATTAGCTCAAGATGCCCAACCCTTATTGTCCTGACTCATGGAGGGAGGCTGCTTGCTAAGTAATCGTGAGACCCAGGAGAGGAAGAGGGTTGGCGGCCATCCCCACTGGAGGGGCATCCTGGAAAACTCCAGAGAGGGAAGCTTGTGACCATGACTCCTAGCAGAGCGGTACTGACAACCTAGTACAAAACCCATAGTGGAAACACTTTCACCTACTCTCATACATTCATCTTCCCCTGAGAGGAAGCAGAGCTGACATTGTCCAGTCCCATTCTGCACTCAAAGAAATGCAGTCTCAGAGAAGCTACGGGAATGGTTCAAGGTCACATGCTTGCATATGGCAAAATTCCAAATGCAGACAGACCACTGAAATTAGGGGAGAGGGGAGATCTTCTCTTTCTACTTTAAACTATTTTATATTGTTTGGGTAGTTTCCAAAGAACAATGACTATTTTAAAAAGAATTTTAAAAAGTAAATTTAAAAACTAAAAAGTTTTAGAAACTAAATTTTAAAATCTCTGTTTATTTGTGATTATTCAAATTTTAGAAAATGAAAAAAGAGCCTCACCAATTCTTTCAGTCGATCCTCTCATTTTTACAGACCAGAGGACTGAGAAAAGTATAAGTTGGTCAATTGTGATAAGCTGGGTATTGGCAGAAAATCTGTTTTAAAACTTAGTAGGCTCACTGGGATGATTGAAGCTCTGTGTTCTGCTTAATACATGTTTAGCTGCCTGAACTAACTCAGATGACTCCATGCTGTACCATAGAGAGAGGAGCCTGACCTTTGGCTTTGGGATCTATGCGACCCCAGTCAGAACATGGCACTTTTGATGTCTTCATGACCTTTGGCGTGCTACTCTTCCTCTTTGCATTTCTGTTTTTTTCGTCTGTAACTGGGAATAATACCCATCCGGCAAGTTTCGAATTAGAAATTAGAGGCCAGGTGTGGTAGCTCATGCCTGTAATCCCAGCACTTTGGGAGGCTGACGTGGGTGGATCACTTGAAGTCAGGAGTTCAAGACCAGCCTGGCCAACGTGGTGAAACCCCGCCTCTACTAAAAACATACAAAAATTAGCCAGACATGGTGGTACGTGCCTGTAGTCTCAGCTATGTGGGAGGCTGAGGCAGGAGAATTGCTTGAACTCGAGAGGCGGAGGCTGCAGGGAGCCCAGATCATGCCACTGCACTCCAGCCTGGGCAACAGAGCGAGACTCTGTTTCAAAAAAAAAAAAAAGAATTGGTAGAACCCATCTGAAATTGCCACTTTTATAGGTCAAATGGTCGAATATTAGAAATTTCATGTAGTTGAACTCAACATTTAGAGAGTCTGATAGGTACTCAGTAAATAGTTACTATTAGAGATGTAATAGAGGATACAAATAAAATTCTTATGGTTGCTTTAGCGAGGTCCCAAATGTTATTTTCTTCTCCCAAGGAAATGACTAACAGGAATATAGCTTTTCACTTTTTTACATTGGTAAAGATCTTCTCTGACTTTGGAAAGCCTGCCACTTACTGAGGGCCACCTCTACTCATGGCTCCCAGGATGTAGTCTATCTTATTGACGTCTTTGACAGTTCATAACTCAGTTCACTTTCTCCCTGTCTATGCTTGGTCACTTGGATGGATACATGTCCTCTGTAACTCCTCCTTCTTTCAGTTCTCTTTCAATGAAGATCAATTATTTTTCATTTAAGAATCTTCCTGTGCAATGATTGCTCTATGCCCTGATACATAGAAAATGGGCATATTTTCCAATTAGCACTACCATTGTTTCTTGTGGGTAAATTTCGGCTAAAATTATGTCTATAAAATTCCCTTAGACTTAAGTAGTATTATTGAGTGATAGGAGCCTGAGGGTGATTTGGGAGATACTTGTGTTCTGCCCATCACTGTGTTATTAACTAACCTTATATAGTCTTCGTAGGACTTGTTCATATATGTACAAGGTCAGTAAGATCATTCTAAGTCAAACACTTGGCTATCTGTGATTTTCTCACCATTTTGTGTTTATAGATAGTTCAGACAGTGAGTGTTAGGGAAACAGTGAAAGGTGAGTTAGTAGTAGTTCATATTATTAACTCATTTTATTGGAATTTCCAATTTTTCCTTCCCAAAATTTTTCTCTGAACCAGTATAACCCTAAACCTATTGGTAAAATATAGAATCTTAAGCCTATTGGTAAAATATAGAATCTTAACTACATTCCAATATAAAGCAAACTGTTGATGTGGGCAAAAATGAGGGGGAGGAGAGGGAGAAAGAAGTGGAAGAGAAAATGAGAAATTCTAAGTCTTCATCACTTTCCACAGGACTCGGCCATAACCCAAACTCAAGCTGCCCACTGTTGCTTGGGATGGCGGGCTCTCTCTGGACCAGCTCTGTGGCTAAGGGTGGCAAGGGGCCCATCAGAATGGAGCAGTCCCTGATCTATCAGAGGTCTCAAAAAACTGCCTGCTACTAAGCTTGGATCTTTCCAGAATCATGTGGATGATAGAATTTGCCTATAGTGTCATGCATGGAAAAGGAAGAGAAACTAAAGGCAGACTTTAAAGGAATTACTTATCTGTGCCCTCTAGCATCTCTGAGAATTGTGCTAAGGATTTGTTGCAAGGATGGCGGTAGATGAAGAAGCCATTGGTTTGAGTGAGATTTGGAGTTAGGCGTAGTAATCCTTGGGTGCTGGAGTAGTGTCTTGTTTGAGGGAGCAGTGTTCATAGGGCATAAATGCTATAGAGGTGTCTGAACCACCTGGAGCCACAATCTGTCCTCATGATCTTGCCCTTCAAATGCAGCCGCATGCCCACATAACCCACCTTGGGGAGTAGCCAATACTCAGGCTACTCTGTGGGCTGGCATTCTTGGTCTCCTGACTTCTGCCCCAGCTCTACCTTGGTTGATACCCCAAATGCCCCTTTTCCTCTGGCCTACCTAGCCTGCTTTCTCCCCTTCTTCCTTGGTTAACTTTGCACGTGACCATTTTGATTCTCTAAAGAGAATCATTCAATTAGGAAATGGAAATCTGAGGCAATGAGAGAGAGGAGACATGCATCACTATTTATTTTTAGAAACTTCACACAACACCAAGCCCAAACTGTTAAGCATTGCCTTAGGAGAGGTTTCTACCATTGTGCTTGCCAGGTATAAGAAAAGAAAATTACAATTGATTCTGTAATTTCTTTTGTAATAATCATCATAGATTCCAAAACACAGAATGAGTCTTTAGTGCGAAGCCCTGAAGCCTCTGTCTGCAAGTCCATTTTAATGACAGTTTTTGTTCTGAGCAAGAATGCGTCATTGCTGGTCTTGTGTTTTCAGACAAACACAAAGCTTTTAGGAAATAAGAAGCTTAAGTAAAAAGACTACAGGTTGTTCTCTCCTGGGAGTTCCTGGACACCCTCTCAACTGGGACACTTGAAGTGAGCCTCATGACCTGAGCTGAGAATTGCCATGGCTGAAACAGCTTTTATAGGGTGTTTTACATGGACACTTGACACTCTTTGGATCACATTGTGTGTGATCCAGACTCAAGCCAGGGTTAGCCTAGCTTGTTGTTTTATCTCAGTTAAAAGCCTTTTGTTAAGAGAACAAACAAGAAAGTTCAGATAGGTCAAGAAAGCCAGCTCTGAGGATATATCTAGAGGGCAAGTCATATTTATTTTTCAAAGTTTCCCCAGGAATTAAAGGTTGCACATCTAAATGTCACCACTTCTGTGACTTTTGCAGATAAACATTAGATTTACCTTTGGCAAACTGCAGTGTCTACATTATGGGATTTCCCTCCCCAGAGTCTTTTCTCTGGGGAAGTTCTGAAAAATTGTTTCAGGGATACTATAGTTCTTAAATATAACTAACAAACATATTATGAAATGCTGTTAGTTTTTTTCTGGAGGCTGAATATTGATTGCTACTTAGTATACCTTTTTTAATGATTATATTGTCCCACCAGGATATTTACACAGCTTCATGTGTCTTCCCACAAAATACACATGAATTGCAAAGGGAATATAGTAACTTGGCAGTAGAGAAACTTGGCAGATACCACCCTAATCAAATAATCAAATCTAACACCATTAGTAATTGGACAAATTGGCAGTGTGCACCATTTGATGAGATGCACAGAGGAAAACACAGCATCGCTTCTGTGATATTCCTGCACAAATGCATGAGTTAGATCTAATCATGAGGAAATATCAGGTAACCTCAAATTGCGGGATGTTCAACAAAATAACTTGTCTATAATCTTTAGAAGTCCCAAATTAGCTGGGCATGATAGCTCACACCTATAATCCTAGCTACTTGGGAAGCTGAAGCGGGAGGATCCCTTGAGGCCAGGAGTTTGAGGCCAGTCTAGGCAATATGGTGAGAGCCCATCTCAAATAAATAAGTAAGTAAAAGTCATGAAAGACAAGGAAAGACTAAGAAAGTACCCCAAATTGAAGGAGACTAGAGACATGAGACATGGGAGCCTAGATTGGATCATTTTATTAGTAAGAACATCATTGGGACCAAGATTGAAATTTGCATGAGGTCTATGGTTTACATGTAGAATTCCATCAATGTTAATTACAAGATTTTGAGGCTGGACTGTGGTTAGGTGGAAAAAGTCCTTGTTTTTCAAAAATGTACCTTGAAGTATTAGGAATAACGAGGCATTATGTCTGCAAAAAGACTCCAATAGTTCACAAAAAAATTATAAACACACACACGCACATACACATACCATGTAGCATTCTAATTTTTAGAACCAGAAATGAGCTTTTAAAAAGTCACCATAGGCTGGGTGTGGTGGTTCACGCCCGTAATCCCAGCACATTGGGAGGCTGAGGCAGGTGGATCACCTGAGGTCAAGAGTTCGAGACCAGCCTGGCCAACATGGTGAAACCCCGTCTCTACTAGAAATACAAAAACTAGCTGGGTGTGGTGGCGTGTGCCTGTAATCCCAGCTACTTGGGAGGCTGAGACAGGAGAATCTCTTGAACCCAGGAGGCAGATGTTGCAGTGAGCCAAGATTGTGCCACTGCACTCCAGCCTGAGCGACAGAGTGAGACTCCATCTCAAGAAAAAAAAGAAAAAGAAAAAGAAAAAAAAAAGTCACTGTAAGAGATGAATTAGAAGAATGTGTCTTGAATGCGGGCACAATTTATTTTTGTTGTCAATTGACAATCTTGAAAAAATTCTGGCCGAATGTCGGTGTGCCAGCTGTTTCATGCACCAGACCTGTAGTTCACCCCTACTCTTTTACCTGTAGTTCATCCCTACTCTTCTAAGGCTTGAATGGAAAATAATTTCTAATTTGTTGTAAAATTTACCAATTTGGTATTGCTGCTGTAAACAGGATTTTATCTAGGGTTTAGATGCCTTATCTTCAAATTCCACTATCAAGCTAGTACATAAAATTGTTTGAAAACTGAATCAGATGTTTATGTAATTCATAAAAACATATAATTTCCCTCTAATATTTCATTTTTCCTAATTATAAAAATAATGCATGCTTATTATAGAAATGTAGACATAAAAAACTATAAAAAGAAGAAAAGAAAACTCAATCCAAATCTTACCACTCAGAAATGACGTGCCACTGGTAACATTTAGACTTATTTCCTCCTAATATGTATATTTTAAACTGCCCTCATTCTCTTTTTTTCTTTCTTTCTTTTTTTTTAACCTCTATAGTCGCTCCTGTAAAAGCTGCCCCTATGCTTGTAACATTATTCTACAATGGACTTTTGGATCCTAATGTTTTTACTCACTTTAGCATAAGCATTTTCCCATGTAGCAAAATTTCAGATATTTTACCTTTTTATTTTAAAATAATTTTAAACTTAGAAAAGAGTTGCAAGAGTAGTACAAAGAATTTTTGTTTTCTCTTCACTAATTGTTAACATTTCTCATATTTGACATGTTATATAATTTATATATGTCTATATTATATACAGATGCATAATTTTTAATATTTTTTTCTGAACCTTCTAAAAATAAGTTGCAGATATCATGCCCCTTTATATTACTTTATATAGTCTCAAAAGTGTTAAAAAAATTCAGGAAATTTGACATTGATACAATACTATTACCTAATATAAACTTGGTTTTTCAAAATTTGCCAGTTTTTGCAAAGTGACCTCTAGCATTTTTTTACCCCAACACCAGGATCCAATCCTGGATCACACTTTGTATTTTGATATTGTCTCTTTATCACCCTCTAATCTGATAAAGCTCATCAGTCCTTTTTCTTTGTCTTTCATGACATTGACATTTGTAAAGAATATTTTTCCTTCCATGTGAATTAGTCTGGTTTCTACACGTGGTCCTTAATAGCTATAAAATATTCCACCGAATTTTACCTAGATAAATGCTTTATGTTGGTGATTTGATGGTTTCTAGTGTTTATCTTCATAAATAAGGCTGCAGTGAACATCCTTGTATTTATGTTTTATAAACATCCCTGGTTATTTTCTCTCTGATAGAATCCTGGAAATAAAATACTGGGTAAACTAGCATAGGTATATAGGCTCCTGAGGATATATAGGTATATCATATATATTCTACATATATATATATATATATAGGTATATATACCTCCAAAAGGATGCTTTTCAAAAGGATGAAACTGGCAAGAATAAAATCTCACTAGTTGCCAAATGAAACTTCATTTTTGAAACACAGGAGTATAAAATAAAAACTTACAGAATATATCCTATGTTATTATTTTTCAGTTATCTGTAATATTTTGGTCAGATGTGCTTTATTAAGTAAAAATATAGGGTCCCAAATCATGCACACATGATGTTTAGATGCATATGGAAGACCAGCTAGACAAGGCCACCTCCGAGTTTTGTGTGTTGAGCCACTTTTTATGGGTTACTTATTCATTTGAAATTGATCCTGGCATCTGTCAAGGTAACATTACAGTATCACTGCTTGGGGCTCCCTTTCACTTGCCTGTATGGATAGAGCTTTAATGTTTATTTCGTGGGCAATTCATAACCTGTAGCACATGAAGGAGGCTGTCACGCAATGTATACCACCCCTGTGGTAGGCCCAGGACCGGCGTTTGTCTCAAACAATTCCAGTAGGCCTTTTATTCAGTGAAGTGGATAGATTTGGTGGATACCACTCAGTGAGTCAGAGTTTTGGAATCAATGTTCTCCATAGCTCATAGCATAAGCTCTGGAGCCTGACAATCCTGGGTGTGATTCTCAGCTTAACTACTTGCTGTGTGACAACAAGCAAATCCCTTAACCTCTCTGAGCCTTGGTTCCTTTATCTGTAAAAGGAAGACTGTAGTCGTACTCCTCTAATAGGGCGATACCCTATTAGATGTGGATGAAATACAATAACAAATAGGAAGCCTTTAGCATGTTACTTGGCACATTGCAAGTACACATTCAGTGATAGCTTTCATAATTACTATAATAGTACATTCATTTCGAGGTTGTACATTGACAGTGAGCAAAACACTTTAACATCTTGTGACGTGGGCAAGTTCTCCCATTTGACAGATGAGAAACCTTAGACAGAAAGCGGGTTATATGAACTAACAAAGCCATGTGTCAGGTAAACGGTGAGGCTGGGCATTAATCTCACGTCTCTGACTCATGGGTCAGCGGGTCAGGGCTCTCTCTTCAGGATATCCAGTGACTGTTCCATAACTCGTTACCTGGAAGTCCAATGCTGTTTGGGCAAATTTTGAATAAACCCAGTGGTTCTCCTACAGATACATCTTGATTTAGAATAGGCATTAGCAAATGTTTTCTGCAAAGGGCCAGACAGAAAATATTGTAGGTCTTAGCCGAGTGCAGTGGCTCACGCCTGTAATCCCAGCACTTTGGGAGGCCGAGGTGGTCGGATCACGAGGTCAGGAGTTCGAGACCAGCCTGACCAACATGGTGAAACGCTGTCTCTACTAAAAATACAAAAATTAGCTGGGCGTGGTGGTGTACGCCTGTAATCCTAGCTACTCAGGAGGCTGAGACAGGAGAATCGCTTGAACCCAGGAGGCAGAGGTTTCAGTGAGCCGAGATCGCGCTACTGCACTCCAGCCTGGGTGACAGAGTGAGACTCAGTCTCAAAAAAAAAAAAAAAGAAAGAAAGAAAATACTGTAGGCCTTGCAGGCCATATGGTCTCTGTTATAACTACATTTCTCAACTTTGCTGCTCAAACTTGAAAACAGCCTTAGACAATATGTAAATGAATAGGCGTGGCTGTGTTATAATAAAACTATTTACTAGAACCAGCGGCGACCAGATTTGGCACATGGGCTGTCTTTATCAACCCCTGATTTAGACAGGGTGTATTCTGGCAGGGGGCACATGCATTTCATTATATTAGTTACATGACAACCTTCTTTTGAGTTCTTAGACATAGTGAAGAACACTCCAGAACCTTGAGTCTGGCATGTAGTAGGTATTTGGTCACTGTTTGCTGAATACAGGAAAGCTTCTCTGTCTATATTTTCCTATGGTGAATTTTTCTGAATTTATGTATTCTTATCTATTTTTAAATAACTGTTTTATTTTAGCACTTATGAATTTTTAAGTTTTGTTTTTGTTTCACATTGTTCTGAAAGGACATTAAAAGCAGATCGGGAAAAGAGCATTTAGCCCCAAATGTAGGTTTAAACATATTTTCAGATATTCTTAGTGTTTGTCGTGTATCAGTTTGTTATTTTATTTTCATTCTCTTGCACTGAGGGTAATTTCCAATAAAAACTCTGGAGAATTTAGACAGCTTTTGTTTTAATTAGGAAGCTATTTCACTTGCACTCTTGTACTACTGTTGACTCAAATAATTAACAGTAATGGCTGAATAATTTGTTCTTTAAAAGTAAACAACCTCCCTTTGTAATCTAGAAAAGAATCAGCTGGTGATACACATGGAGTGTTTGCTCCAAGAACATTTCTCATGGTGTGGAAAATGGCAGTGGTGGCCTCCTGGCTTTCAGGCTGAAATACATTTAGCTGATCTTTGTCGGCAAAGGTGTCCAACAATAGCAACTGCTTATGACAACTAATTTTAGGAAACGTGTGTAGTTAATTTGAAATATCGCCCTGGGCCGTTCAACCTTGGCTGAATAAGGATGTTTTCTTTTAAAATCAGTACTTTGCTTCCCTCAGTGATTATTCCCTATTAGCCTGCCAAGAAATATTATTTCCCTTTTGTATGATTTGATGAAGTACCTCAAAAATCTCCTGGTTATGGTCAACATTTCATCTGATAGGAAGCGAGTGTATCTTTCTGGTATACAGTGAGGCATGAGGACACACAGCTTATTTTAATCTTCAAGCTCGCCTGTAATCCTAGCACTTTGGGAGGCCGAGGTGGGTAGATCACCTGAGGTCAGGGGATTGAGACCAGCCTGGCCAACGTGGCGAAACCTCCACTCTACTAAAAATAAAAAAATTAGCCAAGCATGGCGGTGCATGCCTGTAATCCCAGCTACTCGGGAGGCTGAGGCAGGAGAATCGCTTGAACTCAGGAGGCGGATGTTGCAGTGAGCCGAGATCGTGCCACTGGACTCCAGCCTGGGCGACAGAGTGAGACTCCATCTCCAAAAAGAAAAAAAAATCTTCAAGTTGAGATGTTAGGTTAATCTTCAGTCTCCCTGTGTTTTCCCACAAGGAATAGTGTGGAAAAGACTTGGGGAAAAAAAAATCATCATGATTCAGCCAATGACCAGGGCAGAGGTATAAATGGAGCATGATTCTATGTATCTGTCTAGAAGGCATATATGGAGCATGATTCTATGTATCTGTCTAGAAGGTATATATGGAGCATGATTCTATGTATCTGTCTTTCTGTACTTGTTGCCTACTGAGAAAATACAGATTTTTATTAGAAGGTTGCTGGGCACGGTGGCTCACGCCTGTAATCTCACCACTTTGGGAGGCCAAGGCGTGCAGAAAACCTGAGGTCAGGAGTTCGAGACCAGCCTGGCCAAGCTGGTGAAACCTCGTCTCTACTGAAAATACAAAAATTTGCTGGGCGTGGTGGCAGGATCCTGTAATCCAAGCTACTTGGGAGACTGAGGCAGGAGAATCACTTGAACCGGGGAGGTGGAGGTTGCAGTGAGCTGAGATTGCGCCATTGCACTTCAGCTTGGGTGACAGAGCGAGACTCTGTCTCAAAAAAAAAAAAAAAAAAAAAAAAAATAGAAGATTAAGGATCCCTATCTGAAAAATCAACTTTGTTCTTTCTCTTCATCAGTTTTGTCAGTGTACATTCAGCAGCTACTACACGCTAGGCATAGTGCCAGGCAGCCCTGGGGATATAAACATGTAATCTATCACCGCTGTTAACCTACTGGTGATTTGAAGACTGCATCCCAGGAGACCAATGATAGTGATGGAAATTGGTAGGGAAGGTTGCTTTAAGGTCTTTAGTATCTTCTATTTGCCTAAGAGAAAGAGAACTTTTGGGAGAAGAAACCATACATTTTATCTCTTTTCATCTTTATGCCTTATGTTATCAGGAAAATATTTAATAGGAGTTGCCAATAAGGTTGATAATTCTAGACCATCAAAACCATAGAGGTGTGATGTCAGGTGTAGGAAGAGATGGGAAACACGATGTAAAATGTCTGCGTGGCTCACATAGGAAATCTGTGCTTAGAGTGCTGTGGCAGAAGTAGAAATTGCTGTCAGCCAACTGATTTTCTGATTCTTCTGTCTATAAAAGCTGTGCCCATTGTTAACTTAGGTGATAAGTTGAATTTTTAGTTTTTTTAGGTTTTTTGTTTGTTTGTTTGTTTTTGAGGTGGAGTCTCACTCCGTTGCCCACGCTGGAGTGCAGTGGTGCGATCTTGGCTCACCACAACCTCCGCCTCCCGGGTTCAAGCGATTCTCCTGCCTCAGCCTCCCAAGTAGCTGGGATTACAGGCACCCGCCACCATGACCAGCTAATATTTTGTATTTTTAGTAGAGATGAGGTTTCATCATGTTGGCAAGGCTGGTCTCAAACTCCCAACCTCAGGTGATCCACCCGCCTTGGGCCTCCCAAAGTGCTGGGATTACAGACGTGAGGCACTGCGCCCAGCCAAATGTTAAAAGTATTTTTGAGCTTCTCAGAGGAAACCAATGAACTGAAGTTCAATAATCTGTGGTTTGTGTTACAATATTTTGAATCCTTCCGGAGACTGAATGAAAGATACATATTTAAAGTGAATGCAGTAAGTAGGAAGAGGCACTGCTTCAGCCTGGTAACATGCAGTTATTGCTTTGAGGGTCTTGCAGAAAGAATATGCACATTGAGTAAGTAGGAGAAGGTGTGTATTTTGGAAAAATCAATCAACTTAGTTCAACTTGAAGGTTTTCCTATCTGAAAAGGGATGTATCAAAAGATATTTTTTCTTAGGAGGAAAAAATCCACAACTCGCACCAGAGCATTTCATTGAGAATTACTGTTATTTACGTTTTGGAATTTACATTGTTAAAAAGAGAGATTTTGGAAAGGCAGGGGTGGGACTAGAATTGTGGCTTGCATGTTGCCTATAAACATAGATTCCTTTTTTTAGATGTCTGTGTTTCTTAGTGGATTATGTTCTTAAAATAGAACATACCACATTACTCTCTGGTTTGGCAGGGTGTGGTGTTTTGTTTACTGCTTGGGTCAATGTTCTATGAACATGAATCTTTTCACAGAGAATCCCAGGGCTAAAAGAATTCTTAGAGGTGAGCCAGTCGAGGCCCCAGCACCCGCTTCCCAAAGGCTCTTCCTGCCAGCCACCAGGCCTCATGCTCCAGTGGCAGTCCAGCCCAAGCGACAGGAAACTCTCCCTTCTTTTAACTGGAATCTCACATCCAGTGGCTTCTCTGCTTGTGCTGGGTCCCTGCTGGGGCTTCCCAGAATTCTGTGCAACTCCTCTTTCCTGTGAGAGCCCTCACGATGTTAGAGATTTGGGGTGGGGTTCTCATGCTCACTCCAAAGCCCCTACCTCTCCAAACCTTCCTCACCATGCTAAATAGCCCCAGTTCCCCCATATGTGTTCTTATTTGATAGTTAAAGCCCTTTGCCACTGATTTCAACCTTTTAATGTGTGCAGTCAAGAGAGAAACCTGTGTTCTGGTCTAGAACATCACCTATCTGGTTCTTTGGTTCATACTTTTCTGAATATATCCCAAGGTAGTGCAAGCAGTGGCTTTTTGTTTTGTTTTGTTTTTTTGAGACAGAGTCTCGCTCTTGTTGCCCAGGCTGGAGTGCAGTGGTGTGATCTTGGCTCACTGCAACCTCTGCCTCCTGGATTTAAGCAGATTACAGTAGTGTGCCACCACACCCGACTAATTTTGTATTTTTAGTAGACACAGGGTTTCACCATGTTGGCCAGGCTGGTCTCAAACTCCTGACCTCAGGTGATCCACCCACCTCAGCCTCCCAAAGTGCTGGGATTTACAGGCTTGAGCCACTGCACCCAGCCAAGCAGTGGCGTCTTAACATAAGAGGGTCAGGCTCTAAAACACCGTAGGAAGTGAAATCTGATATGGTATAAAAATCACCCTTGAGATCACCTATAAAATAAAGTATATAAAAACAACCAGTAGTTTTGTGTCAGAACCCTTTGTAATAATTCTTACGTACAATAAAGTTTAGAACTGCTGATCTGGCCTAAAGAGTAGAAATAAGGGGAAAAATCTCATCTACAAAAGACTTCTGCATAAAGATAGTGGATTGAACACAGGCATCTACTTGCGCCCACCACCAAACAAAACATCATTTAAATGATACAAAGAGAATTTTTGGTTTTGGTTTTGTGGTAAAATGTATGCAACATAAAACTTTACCATTTTAACCATGTTAAGGTATACAGTTCAGTAGTGTTAAGTACTGAACATATTGTGCAACTGTTGCCAACATTTTTGTCCAGAACTTTTTCATTTTCCCAAACTGAAACTCTGTACCCATTAAACAATGACTCTGTAGGGCTGGGCGTGGTGACTCACGCCTGTAATCCCAGCACGTTGGGAGGCTGAGGTGGGCGGATCACCTGAGGTCGGGAGTTCGAGATCACCCTGACCAACATGGAGAAACCCCGTCTCTACTAAAAATACAAAATTAGCCAGGTGTGGTGGCGCGTGCCTGTAATCCCAGCTACTTGGGAGGCTGAGGCAGGAGAATCACTTGAACCTGGGAGGCGGAGGTTGTGGTGAGTCAAGATCACGCCATTGCACTCCAGCCTGGGCAACAAGAGTGAAACTTGGTCTCAAAAAAAGCAAAAAAACAAAAAACAAAAACAATGACTTTATATTCCTCACTTCCCCCAGCCCCTAGCAGCCACCCTTCTACTTTCTGTCTCTACGGTTTGGCTACTCTAGGTACCTTGTATCAGTGGAATCATATAGTATTTGTCCTTCTGTACTAACTTATTTCACTTAGGGGAGTTTTTTTTAAAAAGGCATAAGTCTATAAACACAAGCATAACAGAAAACGAGGCAACAACAGCGTGGTTTTTGGCATTAGGATACAGGGGTGTGTGTGGCTAAAATAAGGAGGCCTAGTCTGTTTTAATAATGTTGAAACATTTCTGAGCCTTTGCACTTCTTTAGATGAATCAGTTGGTTCTCAGCCTTCCCCATTGACAGCCTAGGATACTGTTTTGTTTTTGTTTTTAAGTCTGCAAAGTTTTTTGTTTTTTGGTTTGGTTTGTTTTTTTTCCTACTTATCTGTCTGCTTTCTATCTTGCCAAGTTTTGTTGAAAAATTCCATTGGTAGCAAAGAGAAGATCCTACCTATAAGCTTCCAGGGGGATAAAATAGATCACATACAAAGAGTCAAGAATAAAAATGGGCTTGACTTCTTAACACCAACACTGGCAGCTAGAAGACAATGGGAACAAGGCCTTTGATAGCATGGAAGAGCATGATTTTAAAACTAGAATTGTATATTCCATCACACTCTTGTGAGGGTAGAATAATGCATTTCACACATAACAAGTTTTCAGAAAGTAACTGGAGAAGATGGTCCACTGAGATGAGGGAGTAAACCAGGAAAGAAAACTACCAGCGGTAGAGCAAATGGGATATCCAACCTGAGAGAGGCAGAGGAAATTTCTAGATGCCTAGGGCGGGAACTCCCAGCTGACCGCTGTGCTCCTGAAGCATGCCAGAGGCTCAGGAAGTGACTTCCTTTGTAAGGTGGAGTTGATAGAATATGTGAGGCATCTTGGTGTCATGAGAAGAGATTTAGAGATATGATGGAAAAGTTTAGGCTTGAATTAGCAAGAGCTATATAAAACACTAAGCAAAGGTGGGGAAATACTGTTACTAATGCTGAAAACAGTAAGATGTTCAGGAAAGGAAAACTGACCATCATTCACCATGTGGCTTAGCTGAAAGTAATGTTATGTTATTATAATACTGATCTTCAAAAGTTTCCATATAATTATATTGGGAAGAGTACCCTCATATGGTGAGGGCATAGATAGGAAAAACCATTAAATTATCATTCTCCATATTGAGAAGTTAATAAATAATGCCAACAATGGAAAAATCACAAAGAAGCAATGTAAATTGTTACCAAAAATTACCTAAAAGAGGTTAAAGTACCAAGGATATCCTTGGTAACTATGGGGGGGTTGGTTCCAGGAGCTTCCTCAGATACCCAAATCTACAGATGGTCCTTAATATAGAATGGTGTAGTATTTGTGTATAACCTCTGAAGATCTCTAGATTACTTATGATAGCTAATGCCATGTAAATGCTGTGTAAATAGTTTTTATACTGTATTATTTAGGGAATCATGATAAAAAAAAGTCTGTGGGTGTTCACTACACGTGCTACCATACTTTGTTTGTTTGTTTGTTTTTCTTTTTTTTTTTGAGACGGAGTCTCGCTCTGTTGCCCAGGCTGGAGTACAGTGGCACGATCTCGGCTCACTGCAACCTCCACCTCCCGGGTTCAAGCGATTCTCCTGCCTCAACCTCCCGAGTAGCTGGGACTACAGGCATGTGCCACCACGCCCAGCTGATTTTTTTTTTTGTATTTTTAGTAGAGATGGGATTTCACTGTGTTAGTCAGGATGGTCTTGATCTCCTGACCTTATGATCTGCCTGCCTCGGCCTCTCAAAGTGCTGGGATTACAGGCGTGAGCCACCGCGCCCGGCCTAGATGCAACCATACTTTAAAAAATATATTTTCCATCGTGGTTGGTTGAGTCTACAGTGTGTAACCACAGACGCAGAGGGCCAATTGTACTTACTCTTGGGAGGAAAAATCGGAGGGAAGCAGGCCGAAGTGGTGACCCGTAGGAATTGTTGTTTTCTGTACTATTAGGCGCTTTAAACTATGTAACTGTATGTCTTTAATAAAAAATAGTAATTAAAGTTAAAGAGAATGTGTACAAAGGAAAGGGAAAGGTACTGGAGGATATGGTCCAGCAAGGTGAAGGGGTAAGTTGAAAAAGTATAAGAGGTGGGATACAGGAAACCAGGGATATAGAAACTCAAGAAAATATAAAGTCTAGCAGTCAACTAAGCAAGACTGGAGCAGGAAGACCCATGGCTGTGGGACACAATGGAACAGGTGGATTTCTTGATGTATGGATGTAGAAAATACTACTGTGATGTTTCACCGATCTGGAACTTTGGGCCGAGTTAGCAATATGTAAGTAGAAAACTAAGTAATTGAGGAATATAGTTAACTTCAGAGGAAAAAACCTCAGAAAATTAGACAAGAAAACATAGTATACTCTGTAAGTCTTCAGTGCACAAAATTTATATGAACCTAATAATAAACACTGAATAATAAATTTGTGAAGTAAATAAAAATATTGGGAGGACAAGTTGAGGGGGATGCCAATGGATAATGCCTAAAACTGATAAATAGAAAGCAAGATAGCCTAAACATCATATTTAGAAAAGTGTGGCAAGTACCAAAAAGAAATAACTACAGCCCATGCGAAGTGGCTCACACCTGTAATCCTAGCACTTTGGGAGGCCGAGGCGGGCGGATCACCTGAGGTCAGGAGTTTGAGGCCAGACTGGCCAAAATGTTGAAACCCCATCTCTACTAAAAATACAAAAATTACCTGGGCATGGTGGTGTGTGCCTGTAATCCTGGCTACTCGGGAGGTTGAGGCAGGAGAATCGCTTGAACCCGGGAGGCAGTGGTTGCAGTGAGCTGAGATTGCACTACTGCACTCCACCTGGGCAATAAGAGTGAGACTCCATCTCAAAAAAAAAAAAAAAAAGAAATAACTACAAAGAGTTGCAAGTGGTATAAGACTGAGAAGTGGGAGGGTGTGGGGCACTTGTTTGACAATTTAACTCTTAAACTCTGTTTGATTTTTAAAAACTATGTGCTTGCTATTTGCATTTTAATCTAATGAAGGTAAAAATGGATTAAAATATAAAAAAGAAAAGCCATCTATATGCAGATGTCTGGGCAGTATAAAAGGTCTGAGAGATGTGCTTAATACTATGATTATTAAAGAAGTTAATGTCTATGAGAGCACCCAGCACATAGTAGGCACTAAATAAATGTTTGCTGGATTTGAATCTAAAGCATGCTTGATCAGACCTACATAGAGGCAATTCCTTGAAAAGCTGCAGAGAATGACTTGTACCATTTGCTGACTTTCCAAGATGGCATTTCTTGCTGGGGCTCCACTGATTATTACTGTTGTACCTGTGGGCATTGGGCTCATGACCCCATAGGTGCGTGTGTGTACATGCACATGCATTAAGTTGCAAAGTCAGTCTAAATGACTTGACTATCAACCTGTCTTTGGCAGCCATATCACTTTTGGCCCAGTTGGCACCATCAGGTTTCTGGACACAGAGGCAGTATTTTCCATCCCTGTCCTACAGAGTGTATTTGTCTCAAGTGTTATGTACTTTTCCAGTTTCTTTGCCCCCAGTAAATCTCTAGGGTCATGAAGATCATTACAAAACAGATAGTCATTTCATCTCTCTTCTTAAAGCCTCTCACCCATTGCCCTAGGAAGAAGACCCCAAATCCTTGGCATTCAAAGCCTAGGTGGTCAATGATTTGACCCCCTACCCATTGCTCTGGCTTTATTTCTTGCCACTCCAGACTTCACTGTTTACACTCAAGTAAAACCAAAGTAATTGCAATTCTCTGTAAACACTACGCCATTCCATACCTCAGGTGACTTTGCTCTTGCTATCCTTCCTGCCTGGACTAACTATCTCACATCTCCCTGTCACACCCAACTCCCAATTCTCTCCACCATGCTGGTCCTTCTCTCTAACATGGCTAACTCTACCCCACTTTAAGACTCAGCTTTATCAGCCCTTGCTATGAGAAGCCTTTGTTGATCACCCCAGGAGGAGAAAGGTGTCCCCTTTTGTGCTCTCCATCAAGAGCATCACAGAACTAATGCATCATCTTAATACTATTAATGTGTCTGATGTGTCGGAGAGGCCCCAAAGGTTTGAGGACCATGTTTGTCTTGATCACTGCACAGTACCTGACCCAGCTCATTCCCAGTAGGGCTGGGACTAATCTTGCAGGTCTTCACAGTTGCAATCATTTGTTCAGAGGTGGCTCTTCCCCAGTCTATTACAGAAGCCTCATGTCTATTCTTGGAGAGTCCCAAGACCATGGCCTCTAAGGTTCCAGCCTTATCGTGGTTTGGAGGCTCCTTCAGTTCCTTGTCATTTGAATGCAGAACTGGATGCTGTGAATGAGTTCTAGAACATGGTTCCATGGGGCAGAGTTCTGACTTTAAAAAAGCCATTTACTAACCAAGCTGCATGGATTTCTCTTTTCCCATTTCATCAAGGAAGCACCCCGGCTAGGTGAGCTGGTTCATTTCATTCATTGACTCAACAAATATTTACTAAGTGTCTGCCATAGGCCAGTTACTGTTCTAGGCATGTAGGAGACAGTAGTGAGGAAGATGGATGAGGTTTCTGTCCTCAGGGACCTGAGATCGTAGAGGAGGGAAGCAAACACAGAGCCATTTGGAGTGGTAATAAGTGCTGAGAAGGGAAGAAAGGGAATGTGGGATGAGGGGGCTGCTTAGATGTGCTGATCAAGGGAGGAGGTCTCTGAGACAACAGCATTTGTATTGTATGGTTCTGAATTGCAAAAAAGAGCTGTTCAAATTGTTATCAGTGGAGGGTGTCCAGGTTCTTGGCATCTTGAACAAAGAATTGGACAAAATGCACAAACAAAGGAAGGAAAGAATGAAGCAACAAAAGCAGAGATTTATTGAAAATGAAAGCACACACCACAAGGTGTGCCTTCACAAGCAGCAAGCAGCTCAAGGGACTGGTTACAGAATTGTCTGGGGTTTAAATACCCTTTAGAGATTTCCCATTGGTTACTTGGTGTATGCCCTATGTAATGAAGTAGTGGCTCATGATTAGTCTGATTGGTTGCAGGAGGGGACCAATCAGAGGCTGAAGTTACAAAGCTACACCCTATGCAAACATCTGATTGTGGAAAGCAACCAATCAGAGGCTGCAGTGAAGTTACAAAGTTATACTTCTATGCAAATGAAGATTTGGCCCAAGGCCAACCTGATTGGTTGTGGGAAGGGAGCAATCAGACATAATTTCAATTTTTCATCTGCCACACAAGAAAAGGGTGGGGGATTTGCAAAGGGAGTAGTTCTGGTCCTTTTGTTACTTTGGTGTGGAAAGTTGAGGTTTTCCTTTTGATTCAGTTCTAGGTAGTCAGCGTGAATTGGCTTTAGGTTCCCTGCCTCTAGACCCTATTCTCCTGCCTCAAAATAAAGAGCTATATAGCTGCACTCTCCAGCCACTGGCCACAAGTAGCTATTAAAGTTTGCATTTACGTGTTTTTTTTTTTTTTTTTTTTTTTTTTTTTTTTCTGAGACAGAGTGTCACTCTGTCGCCCAGGCTGGAGTGCAGTGATGCGATCTCAGTTCACTGCAACCTCCGCCTCCCGGGTTCAAGAAATTCTCCTGTCTCAGCCTCCCAAGTAGCTGGGAATACAGCTTCAAGCCACCACGCCCAGCTAATTTTTGTATTTTTAGTAGAGCTAGGGTTTCACCTTATTGATCAGGCTGGTCTGGAACTCCTGACCTCAGGTGATCCACCTGCGTTGGCCTCCCAAAGTGCTGGCATTTCAGGCATGAGCCACCGCGCCGGCCTACAGTTTGCATTTAAGTTAACTAAATACAATTTAAAAAATCAGATCCTCAGTCACACTGGCCACATTTCAAGTAGTCAGTAACCAGCCTATGGCTAGGAGCACCATAATGGGCAGTGCAGAGCAATAGGGAGAAAGGGCACTGGGGAGGCGGATGGGAGAAGCAGTAAGAAAGGGAAACTAGATCACTTGTTGGAGAGCACATGTATGCATTTCAAAGAACTGCCTCCTTTAATTTCACTTGTTGAAAATGGGGCTGAAGCCAAGACTAGTTATGTCTGATAGAATGTTTTAAAGTGGAATTAAAATGATCTCTAGAGATAATATAAAGCAGGTAAAAACCAGCCATGAAAAGATCTTTATTAAGGAATATGGCATGGCTACAGCAAGTCCTGAGATGGAGATAAGTACTAGTTGATTCCAGGGGCCAGTGGATGAGGTCACAGTTACCCCTTGGCCTTAGAAGGAGGAAGCCAGACATCCTAACTCTGACACCAGGAGCATACTTTACCTAAAATCTTAAAGACAG
Source organism: Homo sapiens (assembly GCF_000001405.40). Taxonomy (NCBI): domain Eukaryota; kingdom Metazoa; phylum Chordata; class Mammalia; order Primates; family Hominidae; genus Homo; species Homo sapiens. The sequence continues at coordinate 110,089,547 of NC_000009.12, forward strand.
GACAATGTTTAAAAAAATCCCTTCTTAACACAATTCTTAACAAAAATAGGATTTTGACTTTTGTGTCTTAGGAGGCTAGAATTGTATTCTCATGCCATTACCAGGAACGGCTGTGCCTTGACTTCATTTTGTATCGTGTTTCACAAGATGCTCATCCCTTTTTGCACCTGCCTCTTTGCTAAACAGGTTTTCTTCCTCTCTGTAAAGGTGCCTTTGTTTGAACCAATAGTGTTACTTCTCTTTACTGTAAACAGTGTCCAGTGACTCTTCCTTATCGTGGAGAGCCAGCAGCCTTTTACAGGAGGAGAAAAGTCTTGAAGGTCACTTTCTGATGTTTACATTATAAGTCATCATGACTTTAAAAGATGAAAACTAAAACAACAACAACAAAAAACCACAACTGCCTACTGCTTACCCAGGGCATGTTATCCTATTACATTTGAATTCAAGTAACAGCTAGTATTTGTCAAATCATAATTGATCTGATAAAATGTAATCTGATCATTAGTAGCTGTGTAAACGTAAATACACTCGACTCCTGTTTCATTTGCCCTTGAAGGCTGTAACATGGTTCCAAAGTGTACCTTTGAACCGGAGAAGTCGGGCCGGTTCACATTGCAGCCTGTGTGCTTCCTGGGGCAGCGTCCACCAGGTGTGTGCGGGCAGGTACAGGATGCGAGCTCAGTCCTGCTTCCCCTGAAATCCTGTGACCTGGCAGAGGGCTGTGTTCCTGTGTCCTTACATCGGATGTCCTACTGAAGAAAGGGAAACTGGGACGAAGCTGTAGGCACAGTGGGTTCTGAAGATCAGATATAACTGAGGGAAAGTTAGGTCATGATTGCCACCTGGATGCTGTTCTCTCTCTTCACGGTAGGTCTCAGTTACTTTTACTGTGGACTTTTGCTTGCTGCAGAGGGAACTTACACCTTTCATGCCTCAAGCTCATTAAGGCACATTTCTCTTTTATTCTTCAGGGACATTGCATTTATGAACTCAAGGCATTGAGTCACCCAGAGAGAAAAAGCATATCCCAAACATTTCAGTTTCTGGGAGTTCTAAAAAGCTAATGTTGTGTTCCCATGGCCAACATTTCTTTAAGAGAGGTAAAGCAGAATAACTCTAGGTCTATAAAAATGCTGATCTGCTTCAAGTTCTAAATTTATTGTGAATTATTTATTTTTCCCTAGTAATTACTGTAATACCTTAGTACCTTCAACTTATATAGCATTTTTCAAGGAGGCAAAGCATCAGTAGAAATGTTCTCTGGGATTTTTTTACCTGATGTTTTAATGCTGTGATGATTTCTCAGCCCCTTAGTAATAATGTTAGATGCACTGTGGAAAAACTAGGCACGTAGCTGTTAAGCTGGGAATGTATGAACGGTATACATGCTATGCTTTAAAATCTAGCTCAATTTTTTTTTTTTTGCATTGACCTTGAACATGCTGACAACATAGGTCGGCATGGGTAAAGCTAAAGAATGGCCTTAGGGTTTGAAAACAACTACATGAGCTCTGTTTCAGACCTGCTGCTAGTCGGGCACTTGGCACTTTGCAGGGATTTGGGGCAGGTTTTATGTTTGTGTGCTTCTCTTAGAAGTCAAAGAGTTGGTGAGGTAACTGCAATCCTGTCTATATCAGTGTAGTGATAATGCAGTAGTGTAATGAAGAATGGAGCTGCACGTGTGAGGTTTTTCAAGTCCACAAAGATCAGGTATTGTCTACGGTCAATAAAGATTTTTTTAAAAAACCCTCTTAACTAAAGAGAGGTAACTTCCTTTTCAAAACTCTGAAATTTACATGTGCTGACTTATAATGTGTGTGATCCTCGTTGCTTTTCTGATCCTTGGTGGTTGGGGTGTGTGTGTGTGTGTGTGTCTGTGTGATGGGCTTTTTAATCTTTGAGATTTATTCTTTTTTTTTTTTTTTTTTTTTGAGACAGAGTCTTGCTCTGTCGCCCAGGCTGGGGTGCAGTAGCACGATCTCCGCTCACTGCAATCTCTACCTCCCGGGTTCATGCCATTCTCCTGCCTCAGCCTCCCGAGTAGCTGGGACTATAGGCGCCTGCCTCCACACCCGGCTAATTTTTTGTATTTTTAGTAGAGATGGGGTTTCACCGTGTTAGCCAGGATGGTCTTGATCTCCTGACCTCATGATCTGCCCGCCTTGGCCTCCCAAAGTGCCGGGATTACAGGTGTGAGCCACCGCGCCCAGCCAAGATTTATTTATTTTTTACTTACACATAGTGAAATTCATTCTTTTTGCTGTACATCTCTATGAGTTTAGATAAATGCTTACAGTTGAGGAAACATCACCACAATCAAGATAAAGAACAGTTCCATGATCCCCTAAATATATTTTGCTTCAAATTTCTATTGGCATGTTTGAGTATCAAGTTTACTACCACTTCTGAAGATGGAGCCAAGCCCTTTTGTAACAAATAGCACAGCTGTGTCTGACACTTTTCATGTGAAAGGTTGCCTGAGATGTCAGAAGTAAGATCTGGCCAGTTGCAGTGGCTCATACCTGTAATCTCAGCACTTTGTGAAGCCGAGGCGGGAGGACCACCTGAGGTCAGGAGTTCAAGATCAGCCTGGCCAACATAGTGAAACTCCGTATCTACTAAAAATACAAAAATTAGCCAGGTGTGGTGGTGCATTCCTGTAGTCCCAGCTACTTGGGAGGCTGAGGCAGGAGAATTACATGAACCCGGGAGGTGGAGGCTGTAGTGAGCTGAGATTGTGCCACCGCATTCCAGTCTGAGTGACAGAGTGAGACTCCGCCTCAAAAAAAAAGAAGTAAGATCTGATTGACTTATCCTTTTCTCAAAGTTATAAATGGGAAAATTGTACAATCTGAATATTGTTTCCTTGTATTTTAATTAATGAATGTAGAACTGTGTAATGTATTATATGCTTTTTTAAACCCAAAGAAATTTGTAATAAATACTTTAGTTAGTAAAAAGAATATACTGAAAGTGAAAAAAGTCAATTTTTTGCACTTTAGATTTTTTTTTAAGTGAGCTTAGTTCTGTGTGGTTTTAAGGGCAGTGAAATGCTGTAGAAGGACTGTAATCTGCATAACTCAAACTGGCTTAATAAGTGGAATTTATTGGCTAATATCACTGAAAGGTAAAGGTACAGGGATAGACTTGAGGCATTGTGGGATCTAGAAATTCAAACGATGTTATCCGCCTCTCTTTCCCCACTCAGCTGTGTTTCCCTCTGTGTTGGTTCTATTCTCTAGTAGACTCTTGCTTGCTGTATCAAGGTGACTGACAGCAGCTTCCGGCTTTTATTCTACTTTCTCAATTCCGTACAGTTCCAACAAGTCTCAGAATGGGGTCTCATGGGCTCTGATTGCTTCTCCTGCTCCTTATGACCCCCAGGGATGGGGTGGGGGTGAGCGGCAGTGCTCTGATTGGTCAGACTTAGGTCACCTGCTCACTCCTAGAGCTGAAGGAGTGAGAGCTCCCCCTAGACCACGGTGCAGAATGAAGGTAGAGAGTGGCAGAAGAGGTGGTTCTTTAAGGGAAATTGAGGGACATGTATGTCAGATCAAGAAAACACATGTCCTCTGCAGGGACGTTCAGGCCATGTAGCCAGTTGTTGTCTTTGTTTTTAAATAATTTTTATAAACACCTACCCTAGGCTAACCTTCCAAATAAGCAAAAGTTTCAGAATTGATAGTTGATTGATTGATTGTTTTATGGCTTATGAGATGACAACTGTTTACTGGATGTGAGATGTAATATTTTGGGAGGAAAATAGTGGAAATTGAGTGACTGCGGGACTCGGCTAAGATGGGTAGATGGGGCATGAGGAGAACTGGTCCTGTGTCTGTCAAGGGATCAATGAGTAAGGAAAAATGGGCTTCAAGGACAAAAAGCCAGGAGAAAAGAAAAAGAAGATACCAGAGATTGGCAATTGACCAAAAATTTAGCAAGATTACCATTGCTGAAATAGCAGAAATATTGTCTTGGATAGAAATGCTATCAGGGACATTTAATGAGAATTTATGAAGATTCAAGGCTGGCATAGCTACTCTAATCATGTGAAGAGTGATTGCATCTAGAATAAAGCCCAGATTCCCAAACCTGACATTTGTGATCTGGGGCCCATCTCCCTCTCCAGGCTCATCTCCCCTGCTGCTGCCTTGCACCTTACAACGAGCTGTTTGTAGTCTGGAAGGCATCACACTACCCTGTTTCCTTCACTATTCATGCTCTCTCCTCTGCCTGGAATCCCTCTCCCGTTGACCAGACTCATCTTTTAAGACTCAGTTCAGATGACAGTTTCTCTGAGAAGCATTCTTTGATTATGCCTCTCTGGCTTAAGAATTCCTCTTCTATACTCTCGTGATACCTTGTGCGTCTTTCCCAGTGGTCTCAACTGAGGGCTGTTTTGTCTCCAAGGGGACATTTGGCAATGTTGGGATACATTTTTGATTGTCATGACAGGTGAGCGCTACTAGTTGGTGGAAGCCAGGGATGCTGCTTAATATCCTTCATACAGCACACAGGACAGCCCCAACAAAGAGGCACCTGGCCCCAAATGTCAATAGCACCGCTGTTGAGAACCCTGCTTACCATTGCACTGGCAACATTGTTGGATACATCTGTTTTTAGTCTTATCTTCACCACTAGGCTGAGGCCCATGTGTGTGATCTGCATCTTTGTATGTCTAATACCACAATGCACCACTGTAGGGTAGTTCCTCAGGAGAGAATAGTTTAAAGATGATTGTATACATTTTCTTAGGATAGTGACCAATGAACAAGGCAACTGGAGGCCGTACTCGTCTTTGCGCTAGGTAGCCTTAAACTTGAGGCTCTCTGTATTAGTTAGTTCTCACATTGCTATGAAGAAATACCTGAAACTGGGTAATTTATAAAGACAAGAGGTTTAACTGGCTCATGATTCCACAGGCTGTATAGGAGGCATGGTTCTGGTATCCGCTCAGCTTCTGGGGAGGTCTCAGGAAACTTACAAACATGATGGAAGGCAAAGGGGGAGTGAGCACTTCATATAGCCAGGGCAGGAAGAAAGGGAGTGGGGAGGTGCTACATACTTTTAAACAACAAGATCTTGTGAGAACTCTATTATCGGAATAGCACCACGGGGCGGGGGGGCGGGTAATCTGCCCCCATGATCCAATCACTTCTCACCAGGCCCCACCTCCAACATTGGGGATTACAATTCGACATGAGATTTGGGTGGAGACACAGATCCAAACCATATCACTCCTTTATCTTGCCATGCCTTTGTCTTCTCACTCTTCTGCAAAAAGAGCTTTGGGGTTTACTGTAGCAAATAATGGAAAACATTAAAGAAGTATTGTTAGCATAGTTCTTTTGCTTTCAATTTTTACCTAAGTTATTGTCCAATTTTACATTCTGAATGGTGAACTGGGTGGCCTGGCCACACTATTTGGCTGCCTCTGGCAAAAACTTCTGCCCTCACTTCTGACCATTACATTTTCCCCCTACCGTATGTGTAGTACTCTGGATTGGTAACGTTTGATGGGAAAGAAAACAAAATCAGAAAGCAACGATTCTGAGAGCAGGAATAAGGAATGTTAAGTCCCCTTTTTGACGGCTGGGCTTTTTTTCTTATGCCAAGTTTAAGTGCAAAGCAGCAGTTCCCTTGTGCCCTGGGACTTTTGCCTAGGAACAAGGGACTGCCAGAAAACCTCAGAAAATCCCCATGGAGATGTCTCTGAAAACCATGTAAACAGGGACATTGTCTAAGTGGGTCATCCTGAATATATGATGCAGGATGGAAACCTATTTAGTTATTGAATATTTCAGATTAAGAGGACACCGCAGCCTTGCTTTGCACAATCTTGCTAGCTTTGTGAGTTTCACTGGGGATTGGAGGGGAGGCCCGCCTTCAACTTGAGCTGCTTGTGTTTTGGTTGGTGGTAATGCCTTAGAAACAGAAAGGAGCCAGCTCCCCTTCAGCCACTCAGGCTTCTGCCTGGGTTTCCTTTTAACCCTGGAATTTCAT